>NC_000009.12:113220552-113845552 GCF_000001405.40 Homo sapiens
CAGCCACTTCCTGAGCACTCACTATGTGCTAGGTACCATGCTGCATGCTAGACAGAAATGAACACCATAAGCAGTCCCTGTCCGGTGAGGACTCATAATCTAATAGGTGCGGGGTATAAGAATAGAGGCAAACACACCTAGCTGCAGGAATAAGGAAGAGAAAGCAATTCATTCTGCCTGAGGTTGCAGAAGGAAAAGCATCCAAAACGTGACATCCGAGCTGGGCCTTGAAGAATGCTAGAGCTGACCCACCAAGGCCTGGTTCTAAAGTGTCTTCGCCTTCTCCATGGAGAAAAGAAGTCTCACATCAGCCCCAGCTGACTCCTATAAAAATTCTGAGGCAGGAAGTCTCATCAGCAATCATTCCCATTTCACCGGAGAAATTGTGACCCAGAATGCAAAAGGCAAACCCAGGGCTATCTTCCCGCCAAGAGAGATGCCGGGTCCCGAACCTCAGATCGGCAGGGTCAGCACAGTTGCAAGTTCTGCCCAGATTCTGAGAGGTGTAGAGCACCGGAATGTGGCAAGGGTCTCCCCCCGGAAGTTGGGAAAAGGCCTGAGAAGAGATCGACCCCCCTCCAACAATCCGCCGGTATCTCTCAGCCACGCCCTCCAGCGCATACTTCTCAGTCACTCACCCGCCGCTCGGCGAGAGGAAATCGGTGTCGTCCTCGTCCCCCGCACCGAACATTGCGTTGGCTTTCACCGGGTTGCGGGGAGGAAGCTGGGTATTCCCAGAGTCCCAGGGCCTGTCACCGCCGACGTCGTAAAATGCCGCGGCGGCGTGCTGCTTTCCGGCAGGGCGAACTCCAGCACGGTCTCTGGACCGAAAGTAGACTGGGCTCTGGAGAAGGTGGGGCAAAGGCAAATGAGAGGCTCGCGCGGGCACGAGCGCCGAGTGACGTCAGGCCTCTCCAGCCCGCAGCGGGGCGGAGCTTCACAGCCCCTTGCAGGGATTGGTCGGTAATGCTAGGGGGCGGGAGGGGGCGGGAAATCCTCGGCCTCGGTGGCGGTGGTGGACACGTCGAGCCGGGTAGAAGTGGAGGGGCCGTTCGAAGAGTCGTGAGGGGGTGACGGGTTAAGATTCGGAGAGAGAGGTGCTAGTGGCTGGACTTGACCTGGAAAGGTAAGGCTTCTCTCGGCCCCTCTTTCGCACCCCTGTGCATGGGTACCGTCCTTTTCCCAGCGGGACAAGGACCTTCCTCGCCGCTTTCCTCAGCTCCGCGGAAGGAGAAAGAGCTCGGGACTGGAGGGTTAAAGACTGGGGCTTCGGCCCGGCCCCTGCAGTGGCATAGCCAGAGTGACCTTGGGCCGGGGTGCTCGGTGCCTCAGTTTCCCCGTGTATGCAACCGGCCATTTGTCCAGTTCTTCCATGTGCCTGCTGGTCCAGAAGATTTTAGAGCTCAGAGGCCATGGATTTCAATCCCGGCCTCCTCGTAATCTCAGAATTTACAGATAGGGAGACGAAGGAACTAAGCACCCGGGTGACTAGTCCGAGGTCACAAAGAGTAAAGGGCAGACTGAGACTGGATTCCTCGTCCTTTGATTCAGGACATAGTGAGCTAGTGGGTGAACAAGAACCTTATCAGCCCTTAAGCACTGTGTGCCCTTACAGAGTGACTATTGAAAGACTGTAGCATACACCTCGAGGAAAGTCCCCTTTCTAGAGTCCACCTGTATTCTACGCGGATGAGGTGCAGAAGAGCTAAGATATTCTGGCGGTGGGTGATGGAAAGGAGGATACTTTGGAGGCAGACACATCCCCACCCCAACTTTGGCGTGGGTTTCCCTGGGTCTTCCTGCGACAGCCCTAAATCAACATCAATTGTGGCGGACTCCTCTGCCTCCAGTTTCCACCCTATCTGTATCTTACATAAGTATTTCTTTGGTTAACCTGGTATCATTCTCGAAACAATCCTGGGGTAGTCCTGGCTTAGACAAGGTGTGGCTAAGGAGATAGTGTCCCAGCGTAGCGTCCACAGACTCACTGGAGTTCTTGGGCTTCCCCTCACAGTCAGGTTGGTACTACAGGTGTCCCTTACGTGAATGTTTCAATCTGTCAGTATGAAATTGAAATGAAATGATTGGTAGCTCCCTCCCAGAGAACTTTGCACCTCCTGGCAAAGATGTTAAAGCAGCGAAGGCTCACAGTTGGAATGATGCAACTGGAATCTAAGCACTAGAACCGGAACTGGAACTAGAATCTAAGGACTAGCACTAGAACTGTTGCAGTAGCTCTGTTTAGTGTGTGAACTTGGCTACCTCTTGGAGGTGTTGGGGGAGTAACTGGATTAAGTACCATGGCACTTTCTAATCCCTCTCCCCAACACCGGTCACTGTGATTGCAGCACTGAAACATCTAAATGTTTAACAGAAAGAGCTTGCTAGCCCCTGGCTTACATTATCTATGGTATTTTTAACATGGAATGAATACTTAAAGTCACTTGCAAAGCAGTCTCACTGCAGAATCTTTCTAGGTGTTTATGACATGTCCTTCCAGCCTTTTCTTTAAAAAAAAAAAATGGCCAAGGGAATATTTGAACTCTTATCTTGTATTCTTGGGTGGAGCTGATTTTATCCTGGATGTTTAAGTAGCTTTTGTAGGTACTCAGGAATCCTAAAATCAATAGCCTTTTTGGTGATTGGAACATCACGAACATGCATACGCAGATTATCACTGTAGAAACACAGCTGCTGATTCTCATTAGCAGTATGAGGAGGAGGAAGATGATGGTGAGTCTTGCCAGGCTTTGAACTGCAGGACTGGGTGCACCTAAAAAAAAAAAAAAAGAAAGCCACTGTCTTCCTAAATTCGTGTATCTTCAGATTGGTAATACTGGACTAGGAATCAGGAAATCTGAATTCCTGTCCCAGCCCTTATAACTCACTCTGAGTTTGGGCCAGGCTCCCTAAGCACTGTAAAATGAGTGGATTAGACCTGGACTTCTACTGAGTAACTGCTGGGGATACAAAGGTAAGTAAGGCACAACCTTGATCTCAAGTTTAAAGTAAGCATTTTTGTTTATTTGTTTTGCTTAAGTATACAACTTTTAGAATACTCATAAAATATATTGTCAACCCCCAGAAGATTGGCCAGGAAGCAGCAATTTTTTTTCTCCACCCTCCACTCCCCTTACTCCCTCAGGGAAGCAGCAATTTTAATAATTATTTTCAAATTATCAGCAATTTTGCAACAGAGATGACAGTCTTTATATACGAGTATACCCATACTAATCTGTAATGATGCATGCATTTTAAAATTAGTAGTTTAAAGTTATAACCAAGTTATATCAGGCATAATGATAGGAATATGAATTAAATGCAGGTTCTAGGGGATCTATAACATTCCGTTCACTCAGTCACTGAAAGCAGACTTAGGGCCATTAGTTGGTTAACTGAAGAAGTAAGTTAAAGCAGGGAATCATACAGATAATAGTTATATGCATAACATTTTAACGAACACATAAACATTCTTTTGCCATTCTTTTAACATAAGGCCTCAGCCTTTTCTTGGAGTGTAGGACCCTGTTGCCTGTTTTTATAAGTAAAGCTTTATTAGAACACAGCCTTTCTCATTTGTTTATGTATTGTCTATGACTCCTCTTACCCTCCAAGGCAGAATTGAATATTTGTGATTGCAACAGAAACCACATGGCCTGCAACATCTAAAATGTTTACTTTTGGCCCTTTATAGAAAGAGCTTGCTAGCCCCTGGCCTACGTTATCTATGGTATTTTTAACATGGAATGAATACTTAAAGTCACTTGCAAAGCAGTCTCACTGCAGAATCTTTCTAGGTGTTTATGAAATGTCCTTCCAGACTTTTCTGTTGTCTCCCACACCTAACAGCAAGTTTATGTGTTATCTGTATGCTCACTTTTTTTTTTTTTTTTGAGACAGAGTTTCGCTCTTGTTGCCCAGGCTTGAATGCAATGGCACAATCTCGGCTCACCACAACCTCCACCTCCCGGGTTCAAGCGATTCTCCAGCCTCACCCTCCCGAGTAGCTGGGATTACAGGCATGTGCCACCATGCCCGGCTAATTTTGTATTTTTAGTAGAGACGGGGTTTCTCCATGTTGGTCAGGCTGGTCTGGAACTCCCGACCTCAGGTGATCCACCCGCCTTGGCCTCCCAAAGTGCTAGGATTAGAGGCGTGGGCCAACGCACCCGGCCTTGTGTGCTCACTTTTATCTGGTCTTTCGAAAGCATTCAGTGTGGTGTTTTAGAAATAACTACTAGAGAGTCTATGTAGTACAGTAGTTAAGTACTTGAGCTCTGGAGCCAAATTGCTTTGCCACTTATTAGTTGTATAGGCCATAGACAAGTTACTCAGTTTTTGCCTTTGTAAAACAGGCATAATGGTAGTATCCATTTCTAGGTTTCTTGTGAATATTATAGGAGTTAATTCATGTAAAGCATTTAGAACAGTGCCTGGCAGGTAGTAAGTACTCAGTGTTAATTGCTGCTGTCATTTTTCTCTTCTCATTTATACTTCATTGCTTTACATAGTATTTACGTACTTTCAGTAATAAGCACAACTGGCATAAATAGGTTTGTGAATAAACACACTGTCACCATTGATAAGCACACTTCACAGAGGGGGAACCAGAAGTGTTGTTCCCATCACATTGGAGAATAGCCTAATGGTGTGATGTCAGTTAAATTGGATAAGAGAGTTCTGTGGGATAGTTTGCTAAGAGTATAAGGCAACAGTTCACAGAAGAAAGTAATGGATTAAAATTGAAAAGGAATCCAGGACCATATTTGTCAAATACCTTGAAGGTCAAGGTGACAAGTTTGTACTTAGATTGGTAGGAAGTGGAATTTTTTATTCTAAATGGCATGATTGATGTAAAAAAGTTCAAATGGCTTAGGAGTGTATGAAGTAAAAAGTTACATTTCCCTAGCTCCATTCCATGTCAGTAGCCACTTCATTTTCTAATGGCCCCTAGAACATGAGGTTGTTGTGAAGGCATGGTAAACACCACTTGGGGCACTGGTATTAATCTGTTAAAATTTTCAATTCAGCTTTCCTTTGGATTATAATCTCAATTTTGAATTGAGAAAAATAAAGTTTCCATACTAAATGTGAATAAAATGAAATGACTGTTTTGAAAGTAGATACCATACTCATAAGAGTCTTTGATTCCTAAGTCTTTCTCTACCTCTTTTGTCCAACTTGGAAGTCTTGGTAGAGAAGGACTTAGGAATCAGAGACTCATCTCTACTGTTAATTCCTTTTTGCACCTTTCCCACCAGAAGTGCTACAAGAGAGAAAGATGATATAATAATCACTAGAAAAGCAAAGTGTTCGGCCAGGTGTGGTGGCTCCCGCCTGTAATCCCAGCTCAGGCAGATCACCTGAGGTCAGGAGTTCGAGACCAGCCTGGCCAACATGGTGAAACCCCGTGTCTGCTGAAAATACAAAAATTAGTCAGGCATGGTGGCGGGCACCTGTAGTCCCAGCTACTCAGGAGACGGAGGCACGAGAATTGCTTGAGCTCCGGAGAGGCGGAGGTTGCAGTGAGCTGAGGTCACGCCACTGTGCGCCAACCTGGGCGACAGAGTGAGACTCCATCTCAAAAAAAAAAAAAAAGAAATAAAGAAAGCAAAGTGTTTACAGTGACAAGTTGATTT
Organism: Homo sapiens; assembly: GCF_000001405.40. Lineage (NCBI taxonomy): Eukaryota > Metazoa > Chordata > Mammalia > Primates > Hominidae > Homo > Homo sapiens. Next base: position 113,226,192 of record NC_000009.12, read on the forward strand.
CAACTAGCAGTTGTCAGTTAAGTTAGTAACAGGGCATCACCCAAATAACTGCATTTTAAAGTGGACAGGGCAGGCCTGACTGGGGAAAAGGGAGGGAAGGGGTAGGGGGTTCCTGATGCCTGTACTCCCACATGCAGCTCTTAAATCCATTTTAAAAACTTAAAAGTTTTCTGTAGTTTTGTGACTTAAGTATAACAAGTCATCAAAAGTCTGATACTTAATACATTACAATGAACAGTTTATGCCAAAAGAAATCTTATAGTAGGGCCTGGGAAGGAAATGCTTTTGAAGTTCCATTGCTTTGAGTAATATCATTTTATGATTTAGGTAACATCCCCAAGCAGAGGAGGGGCCCATCCTTAGGAATGCAAAGCCCTGCAGAGAAGGAAAGGGTTGAGAAGGGTCCACCCTACCTCTTTTCCTTTACACAATGGCCCTAGGCTTTTGTATACAACCTGCTTTTGTAGGCTTAGGACATTATGAAATACAGCATGGTAAGATGGAAGCCTGAATCTCAAAAGTAAATATGAGAAATGATTTGGAGGGAACATATAAAGAGAGCAAAATTCTAGCAACAGGTGACATATTTCCCTAGATAGAAGAGTTATTGTAGAACTATGATGAGTGTTTATATAATTTTGAAGCAGTTTACAGCATCTAGAATGTAGTCATTTAATTTATGAAATGAAAGGGAAATGGTGTAACTCATACACCCGCATCCTCTCTCCTACCTTTTCTGATGGCTTTTTATGAGTTCTCACACAACCCCTATGCATAATCTATACCTTAGTACATTTTACATTATTTTTAAATTATTTACATGTGTCCCTCTTTCACCAGAATGGGTTTCTTATGGTTAGAGTTTCATCATGGTACCTTCATTCGATAGGTATGCAATAAATAGTGAAAGAATAGTCTGAGTTCCTTGAAATTGCATAGCAAATGAGACCTAAGAGCCAGATCTAGAATGCAGATGTAGAACCTCTTTCAGTTCCTAGCCCAGTACTTTTACTGCCACACCATACAGCCTCTATCTGAGATATTGAACAATTTTTTTCTTTTTTCTTTTATTTTTTCTTGAAACAGGATCTTGCTTTGTTGCCCAGGCTGGAGTGCAGGAGCACAATCTCAGCTCACTGCAACCTCTGTCTCCCAGGCTCAAGCAATCTTCCCATCTCAGCCTTTCGAGTAGCCGGGACTACAGGCATGCACCACCACGCCCAGCTAATTTTTTGTATTTTTGATAGAGTCGGGGCTTTGCCATGTTGCCCAGGCTGGTCTCAAACTCCTGAGCTTAAGCAGTCTGCCCACCTTGGCCTCTTAGAGTGCTGGGATTACAGGCATGAGCCACCATGTCCAGCCTCATTTGCATTCTTGTACTGCATTTTCATTAAATCATTCAAGTTCCTTTTATCTTGTGTAACATATTTAATTGCATTTTCCTACTGAATAAAAAAAAGGGAACAGTTCAAATGTTTTCTAGTTTCTGTCTTATGCCATATTAATTTCCAATATTACTCATAGGCAAACCAACAACATTATTATCCAAACAGTTTAAATGCTATGTAATATAACTAAAGCAAAGTTTAGACAAGGAGGACCATTGTCTACATTTGATTATAACAATAAAGCAGTTAAAGCAATGCTTTGCCAATGTATATTTGTCTGACTAGCTAGTTTTGTTTAAATCAAACTGTGAAAGGCTGTATACTTCAAGAAACATGAAAGTGAGCCTTATGTGTGACTTAGTTCCTTTCAGAGATTAATTTTGTCATCTAATGAGCAAGCAAGCTATTATATTTCATATTTACTGTACCTTAAAATTGGAAAGTATTTAACATATTTTATTTGACCCTTACAATACTATGAGATTGGCAGCGTAGGTATTTTAATATCTGTTTTGCAAATTTTGCAAATTTTGGTGATTTGCCTAATGTCACATGGCTAGTATATGGCAAATGTGGGTCCAGAGCTCAGAGCCTTTGATGCCTCGTGCTGCATGCTTTCTCCACTCTAAGATACTATCTAGAAAACACTGAAATTGTCACATAAATCATACTAAAGCACAGTTAGCGGACTGGAAGTGCGTCAAGGCTACAAAAGGATCCTGTAAGAGGAGCATGAAAGGGTGCATCATGTGATTACATTATTCCAGGATGTGGCTTACCCAACAACAAAAGGTATCACAGAAATGGAGTAAAGTAGCTGGGAGATCCACTCCCCATTGGACTTAGGCCCTGTTATCATTACATAACTAAAAGACCTTTTCAGTTTGTTTGTTTGACATATCAAATTTGAGTTGTCCTATTAGAACCAGGCAAATAAAAGCTTTTGTAAAGGCCTTTGGAAGAATGTAGTTGTACACTTGATCTTCTTTGTACAGAAGGGTGGGAGTGGGCAAGAGAAATAGGAGCTTCTATGTTATTTGCCACCAGAACAGGATATGTAAAGCTCAGAAACCCATCCTGCTTAGCTGCTTCCCAGCAAGCCATCCGGAGAAATGGGGCTGGAGAAAGCGGTTAGTCTAGTGTTATGGAGCCTTCTATCAGAAGCAGATGTTATGGATTCACCTAACTAAAGAATGTTAGTGTCATCATTTAATAACATAAGCCTCAGTTTCCACATCTGTAAAATAAAGGAGTTGGATTTGATGATACTTTTTTTTTTCTTTTGAGTTGGAGTTTCGCTCTTGTTGCCCAGGCTGAAGTGCAATAGTGTGATCTCGGCTCATTGCAACCTCTGCCTCCTGGGTTCAAGTGATTCTCCTGCCTTAGCCTCCCTAGTATCTGGGATTACAGGCATGTGCCACCACGACCGGCTGATTTTATATTTTTAGTAGAGATGGCGTTTCTCCATGTTGGTCAGGCTGGTCTTGAACTCCTGACCTCAGGTGATCCGCCCGCCATGGCCTCCCAAAGTGCTGGGATTATAGGCGTGATCCACTGCGCCTGACTGATAATTTAATTTTTTAAATAGGAAATATATTCATATGGTTTGTAATTCAAAAAGTACACAAGGATATTCAGTGAAAAGTATTTCATTTACTCCTACCCACTTCTGACCAGCTCTCCTTAGGGACCACGGTCCTATTTTGCCTCCCAGGCTCAACCAACAACTTTGTTGTTTCCCCCCAACTCCCCTGCAGATAGTATAGGTGTATAAAAATAACATGAACATACTCTGTTTCCTTTTTAAGTTTTTTACAAATTATAGCATACAGTATATTCTGCTTTTATTTCATTTCATAATACGTCTTACAGATCATTCTATATCAATATATATGATCGTTCTCATTCTTATTCTGCTAAGTATTCCATTGTATGAAAATATGATAACTCATTTAATCAGTGCCCTATCAATGAACATTTAGGTTGTATTTTTAATATTTTGCTATTACAAACACTCCTGTTATAAGTAACTTTGTACATACACATTTCACATATGTGCCAGTTTATCTGTAGAATGAATATTTAGAAGTGGGATTACTGTGTTAAAGAATGTGGGCAGACTGATGACTGTTCTAGTTTTGATCTTCTATGAGACTTTAACTGAAAATGATTAGTGGAAAAGAAAAAGTATCATTTTCTTGGTAATATCTTAATTTTTATCTCTTACTATTCAGAACTAAGTCTTAAGTAAGAGCCAAGAATAGGTAATCTCTCCAAAATTATGTTGAATTGCAGACTTCACTAAAGTCACCTGCATCATGGTCTTGTAGATTTTTCTATTGCTTTTCAGTATAATACTATTCAAGCTATTTGCAAGGTGAATATTATAAACTCAGAACAAAAGGAGACTGTCTCCCAACTATGTTTACTAGCATTTACCAAGTAGAGGATTCAGAAGATTTGCTCTTTATTACAATTTATGTAGGGAGTGAAGATGGAAAGATGAAACAAAGAGAGCCTAACAAATATCTGCCTCTGTCTGTGTTTTACTGTCTTCCCAAATTTTTGGATGGTTATGAGGTGTGTGATAACTTTACAAAGTGTATGATACCATAACAATTACTAATCTTTTGGGGATTTGTTTGTTTGTTCGTTTGTTTGAGAGACAGAGTCTTGGTCTGTCGCCCAGGCTGGAGTGCGGTGGCGCGATCTCAGCTCACTGCAGCCTCAACCTCCCTGGCTCAGGCTATCCTCCTGCCTCAGCCTACCAAAGTAGTACAAAAGTAGATCCTATGGCCTCAGCCTATAGCTGAGACTACAGGCATGCATCTCCACGCCTGGCTACTTTTCTTGATTTTTTGAGGAGACAAGGCCTCACTATGTTGCCCGGGCTGGTCTTGAACTCCTGGACTCAAGAGATCCTTCCACCTCAGCCTCCCAAAGTTCTGGGATTATAGGCATGAGCCACTGTACCCTGCCTGTTTTGTTTTTAATTAATACATAATAATTGTACATATTTATGGGGTACAGTGTGATATTTTAATACGTATATAAATTGCATAATGATCAAACGATGGTGTTTAGCGTATACATCACCTCAAACATTTATCATTTCTTTATGGTAAGAACATTCAGAATTCTCTCTTCTAGATATTTTGAAATAGCCACAATAACATTGTTTACTATAGTCACTAGTCTTTTGGGGAAGCTAGGGACCATAAAGCAGATCAGAATTGTATCAGCCCCTCATGCTTTCTTGACTATAACCTACTAACTTTTCTTTTCTCCCCATCTCACCTCCCTCATTCTCTTTCTAGGTACAATAAGCCATTTGTGAAATTTTCCCTGTTCAATAGCAAGTTTAAGCCAGAGCCTCCATCCTTTCCATCTCTGAATTCCCTATAGCCTCTGGGGCAGAGGGTACTTCATAATACTTGTTGAGTTGAATTGAGGTAGATGTCAAAGTGATCTGACCTCACTTTGCTCCCCTCTCAAGTGCCATATCCTTCCTTTTCCCTGCTCAGCCTTGACACACCTATCAAGCCATCCCTTTGCATGCTTAATTTGGTTCAGGAAAGGACAAGAGACCAAGTAAATTATCTTGAAGAGGAGTCTGTGTCTGCCTATGTTTAAGTAAATGCGCACACACACCTATCTTTCTGGCTCCTGCTGCCATTCTTTGTGTTGCGCTTAAAAATTGGGGGCCGGGTACGGTGGCTTACACCTGTAATCCGAGCATTTTGGGAGACTGAGGCAGAAGAATCACTTAAGGGCTGGAGTTCAAGACCAGCCTGGGCAACATAGGGAGACCCCTTCTCTACAAAAAGTTTTAAAATTAGCTGAGCATAATGGTATGTACCTATGTTCCCAGCTACTCTGGAGGCTGAGGTGGGAGGATCACTTGAGCCCAGGAGGTGTAGGCCGCAGTGAGCTGTAATCATGCTACTGCACTCCAGCCGGGACAACAGAATATGATCTTGTCTCAAAAAAAAAAAAAATGGGGAAATTATTTATTTAGTTATGCATTAGTGGTAGCTGTGGAGTTAGGCACACCTGGTAGGAACAGCATTGGAATGTATAATTCAAAATACACATGTATCTTTTTATTCACATGAATTCCATTTTATGTGTATGAAATCATCAAGATCAAAGTGAATATTAGATGAATATGAACTCTAGCTTATTGGACATTTAGAAGATAGAGTTTGATTAGTGTTGATTTTTTTTTATTTTAGATTTTAAAAACTTGTCTATGGGCCATACGTTAAGTACTCATAGTATCTCTGTGGAAGAGTTCTGATAAACTCTGGGATAGGCGATAGCCAGGCCCACATGTGGACTATAACTCCTGTAAAGTTACAGATAACAGAATTATATGGTCTAACATGCAGCTCACTTAGGCAGTCCTACCTTTCCAAATGTTTTCTTCAATGCCATATTCCCAGGGAAAATTGCTGCTGGGTAGTTGAAACTAGGTGCCTCACTGGACTTCTTCCTATTATTTGGGCAACTTGTAAAAGCTTACAAACTTTCTAGAAAGTAGCCCTGAAAACAGTTCCTTCGTTATGTTTTTAGCAATACCACAGAATACATGGTTCTATGTTATAGCTTAGAATTGCTACTACTCTTACAAAATTGGAACATAGAAAAGATGGACAAAAACCTAGTATAATGTATCATTATTTCCATTTCAAGATGGCGTTTTGAACTCATCTCTTTTCCTTCCCAAAATCCTAGTGAAATTATCATAGGAATATGAAGAAGCATTATTTATAGTCAGAAAACAGGGAGAAAGAAGCCAGAAACTTTAAAACATTTCAAAGAAAATGTGATACAGATGGGAATCAAATTGAAAAAAATGACTGACCACCTGATTCAACATAGATAAAGGCCATCTCTGTCGGTAAATTTAAATGGGTTAGATTCATTTGCACACCCCTGCAAGCTCCCAAATCAAGAACAGCAGAGATGGCCAGGCACGGTGGCTTACACTGGTAATCTCAGCACTTTGGGAGGCTAAGGCGTGTGGATCACCTGAGGTCAGGAGTTTGAGACCAGCCTGGCCAACATGGTGAAACCCCATCTCTACTAAAAATTAAAAAAAAAAAAAAAAAACTAGTCAGGTGTGGTGGCGGGCACCCATAATCCCAGCCACTTGGTAGGCTGAGGCAGGACAATCACTTGAACCCAGGAGGTGGAGGTTGCAGTGAGCCGAGATCGCACCACTGCACTCCAGCCTGGGTGACGAGAGTGAAACTCTGTCTCAAAAAAAAAAGAACAGCAGACATAAGGAAGAAGTGTTAGCTATGGGGTAGTTGGTGGACAAATCAAGGATTTGAGGAATTGCACTTATACCATATATAGAGAGAACAGTAGATTGAGAAGTAAAAATGAGTATTTATCAAGAACTTCCTGTGTTTAGACACTGTGCTTAAGTAAGTGTTTAAGTGTATACTGTCAAGAGGTAGTTGCTATAAACATCCTTAGTTTAGAGGAAACTAACTTACCCTCTTAACCACTGTGCTGTGGCCTCAGTGAACTCCTGCTAATAATTCTTTAAAACAATCCTATGAAATAGGTTAGTTTTATTTTCCCAATTTTAGAGCTGAGGCAAGAAGATATTAAGTAATTTGCCAAAGGGCCCACAACCAGTAGGTACAGTTTTACCGGTTAGAGAATGAGTAGATCTCCTTGTGTATTTGAATAGCTGCCATAATAAAGAAAGGGGAAATATCTTTTCTACCCACAGCTTCCTCCTTGTGTTTTTTTGTTTTTGGTGGGCTATTCAGGATCTCAGATCGAATCCCAATCTCAGAAAGACAGTTGACAAACCCTGGAGAGGTCAGCTGGGAACAAATGTAAAAGTCTCAGCAAAACGGTGTACTTCCTGTTTGAGGTCTGTCTTTCTGGTAGTTCAATCCCTGTATTTCACAACTAGTCTACAAAAATAAAACTACAAAAATATTTAATTTCCCCTCCCTCTGGGATTTAGAGATTTTACTTACACAGTGCGTTAGAAAACCTCTCTCAAATCCCAAAGACGAGTGATTTGGTATTAAATTCAGTGTTAACCCCCAAGTTCTTTGATTATTAGGTGGTGGTCTGTGCAAATTTTATGTGAGACTGGGCTAACTCTGTGACCTTTTTGGAATTTCAAAATAAACAAATGCATTATTTTAGTTCCTGGTTGAATCTTGGCTTTCTTTTCTTTATTACTGATACATAATAATTGCACATATTTATGGGCACAATAATTAATAATTGCACAATGTATAATGATCAAATCAGGGTATTTAGGATATCCATCACCTTCAGCATTTATCATTTCTTTGTATTGGGAACATTTCAAATCTTCTAATTATTTTGAAATATACAGTGTATTGTTGTTGACTATAGTCACCCTTCTGTGCTGTCAAACACTAGAACTTACTCCTTCTATCTAAGCATCTATTTGTTCTGTTAACCCATCTGTCTTCAATCCCACCCTCACCCCACCTTGAGTACACACATATACACCCTTCCCAGCCTCTGGTGACTGTTCTACTCTCTACCTCCGTAGGATCAACTTTTTTGGCTCCCACTTATGACTGAGAACATGCAATATTTGTCTTTTTGTTTGACTTTTTTTTTTTATTTTTTGAGACTGAGTCTTGCTCTGTCACCCAGGCTGGAGTACAGTGGCGTGATCTTGGCTCACTGCAACCTCTGCCTCCCGGGTTCCTGAGTAGCTGGGATTATAGGCACCTACCGCTACGTCCAGCTAATTTTTGTATTTTTAGTAGAGATGGGGTTTCACCATGTTGGCCAGGCTGGTCTCAAACTCCTGACCTCAAGTGATCCACCCACCTCAGCCTCCCAAAGTGCTGGGATTACAGGCATGAACCACCGCTCCTGGCCATCATTTTTTTTTTTTTTTTTTTTTTTTTTTTAGCTCTCACTTGTTGAACATCCAGTTCTTAGATTCTGTGTACTAAGTATCTATGTTGTACATCTCTGTAATTCAGAACTGTGGTTCTCAAGCTTTAGCATGCATAAGAATTGTCCATGGAACTTGATAAGCACCTAAATTTTGAGGCCCTACTCCCTAAGAGGTGATTCAGTGGTGTGGCATAGGGTCCATAATTTTTATTTTTACCCAAACTTCCCTGATGATTCTGATCCAGGTGGTCCTTGGACCACACTTTGAGAAGCACTTGAGTTAGGAAAGTAATTAACATTTATTGTTTACTATATATGTTATTAACATGGCAGTCTCTTCAATATGTATTTTTACATTTGATATTCATACTGTTGTGAGATTTTTATCCCAGTTTTACGTGTACTTATTATCCTTACAAAGTTTTTGTAACTTGTTACGAGTTTTAAGGATGGCAGTGCCCCTTAGGATAACAAATAAAGCATGATAAATAGACTACATTAACAGTAAAAACTTCTGTTCGTTCATCTAAAGACACAATAAAAGAAATGAAAAGGGAAGCCACAGACTGGGAGAAGATATTTGCAATGTGTGTGATGATAGAAGACTCATCCAGAATATGTAAAGAACCTTTGCAAATCAGTAAGAAAAAGACCTCACAGAAAAATAAGCCACAAACTTGAACAAATAGTTAACAAAAGAAAGGATATCCAAAAGCCAATACATGTATGAAAAAGTTTCCACTTCAATAGTCATTAGGAAGATGCAAATTAAAGTTCAATTTATACCCACCAGAATGGCTAAAATTAAGTAGACTGACTCTAATAAGTGCTGAGAAGAATGTGACCAATCTTGGGGAGGGAAAGTATTTGCAAATGTTCACAGCAGTGTTATTAAAAACCCTGAAAACAGTTTAGATGCCAAGAGCAGAAATGAAAAGTTAAGTTGCATATTGATTCAAAGGAAACTATAGAGCAATGAAAAATAACAAACTGCTGCTACACACAATATGGATGAACCTCCCAAAAATTATGTTGAGCAAAGGACCCAGACACAATAGTACATTCTTTCTGCTTCCATTTATATAAATTTCAAAATCACAGAAGACTGTGTATGATTTTAGAAGTCAGGAGAGAAGATCCCCCCGGAGAGGAGGAGGAAGCATGACTGGGAGAGGCAGGAGGGGAGCTCCTGGAGTACTGGCAATAGTTACTGTTCTGGGTAACAATTAAATAAAATATACTTACTTTATGGGGGAAAAAAGACGGCAATGCCCTGCAACAGTGAGCAGCCTGACTCTGAGAACAGAGTGGGCTCTTGCCCTTGCTGTTTCTGCTTTGGCAAGGTGCCTCTCAGAGCAGATGATTGTTTAAGATTGGTTCTGGAAAGTAATATGAACAGTATGTTCTGGAATGTGTTTAATCAATGTTAAAGCCACTGAAATGTTAGAATGGCTAAAGTATATCAATCATTATTCAGAATGCGTTTCATTTTTTTGTTTTGTTTTGTTTTGAGACAGTCTTGCTGTGTCGCCCAGGCTAGCGTGCAGTGGCGCAATCTCGGCTCACTGCAACCTCTGCCTCCCAAGTTCAAGCAATTCTCGTGCCTCAGCTTCCTGAGTTGCTGGAATTACAGGTGCACGCCACCAAACCTGGCTAGTTTTTGTATTTTTAGTAGAGACAGCGTTTTGCCATGTTGGCCAGGCTGGTCTCAGACTCCTGGCCTCAAGTGATCTGCCCGTCTTGGCCTCCCAAAGTGCTGGGATTACAGGTGTGAGCCACTGCGCCCAGCCCTATTATTCAGAGTGCATTTCGACAAGTCAAGTGTGCATTTGTTTCTCACTGAAACTATTCTTTTTTTGTTGTTTTTTGTTTGTTTGTTTTTTTGAGATGGAGTCTCACTCTGTCGCCCAGGTTGGAGTGCAGTGGTGCGATCTCGGCTCACTGCAAGCTCCACCTCCCGGGTTCACGCCATTCTCCTGCCTCAACCTCCCGAGTAGCTGGGACTACAGGTGCCTGCCACCACGCCCGGCTAATTTTTGTATTTTTAGTAGAGACAGGGTTTCACCGTGTTAGCCAGGATGGTTTCAATCTCCTGACCTCGTGATCCGCCCACCTTGGCCTCCCAAAGTGCTGGGATTACAGGCATGAGCCACCACACCCGGCCCTCACTGAAACTATTCTTATATGTACCTAAACTTTTCAGACCGAAATAGGCTCTAAAGATGAATTAGTCTGTTCCTTGACTCAGGAAGCTATGACCAGAAAGGCTAAATTACCTAATGTAATAGAAAACCAGGGCTAGAACAAAAATTTCTAGTCTTACATTTTTCAAATTGTAATCATTATAAAGATTAAGGTGGGCTTCAGCCCACCAATTCCCCTTGCCTGGGAATTATCCAGAACACTGTTGAGTCAGTGTTTGAGAGTGACAGCACTGTGACAACATTCAGCATATGAAAGTTCACACAAAGCCATGATAATCAGAGATGATCTGATATTTTAAAGGAGTAGAATAAATGGTGACATTTTTATGAATTATTCTCAAAATTTCTGTTTCTGACCCTGAAAATACAAATAGTAGAAAGGCATTTGGGGCTTTTATGCATTATTCACAGAATGCCAAAATGTAGCCTAGAGCTTGGGGCTGTATGGAAGTCCATTTTCACCCCACTTAGAGCCACTTAGAGGTAGAGCAGCCAAGAGTACTGCAGATAACAGTTGTAGCGCATACTGTATGCCAGAAGCATGGCATAAAGCATTGCAGGACACAACTGCTCTGGAGGGGGGTAACGATTAGATTTAGCTCCTCCTGGACAACTTAATGGGCAAGGATTTCATAGACTTGTCAGAGCACTAGGATAGCTTGACATTGGTTTACCCGGAATGTAGAGAATATCCAATTGTGCCTCAACAGGAATAGGTCTACGTTTTTTTTTTCCAAGCCTCTCTCAAAACTACAGCTGTTTCCTTGCCTCCGTTTTTCTGAGTTGCCCTTAGAACGCAAAAAAAGCTTACTTGATGTTGAGAGACTAGGAACATAAAGACAGGAGATAGTTGGATAGAAGGACCATGCTACGAATAATGAAAAGAACACTGGGCTTGAGGTCAGAATCAGGCTTCTAATGATGACCACTAGACTAACTGCCCTGTGACCTTGGCTAGCCTTTTAACCTTTATACCTCAGTTTTCCATCTGAAAAATGAATAACTATTCTTGTTTAATCTAGGCCTATTCTTTTAAGTGGAGTTAAGTTTGGAAACATACTACAATGTTGTGGCTCAGCAATTCTCAGAAAAAGCGTGCATGAAAGCAAAAGTAAATGAACTTACTGTTGGACCCAGACTTAGAATCAATCAATCAACAAGTATTTATTGAATAGCCACCTAAAGGGTATATTAGACTGCATATAGCCTTTACCTAAGCCTTATAGTGAATTCTGTAAACAAGATATGAATGCATTAACCTCATTGCTGAGCTCTCACAGAGCATAATGATAATATTACCACAGAGTAATAATAAGGCTTTTACATATATGGTCTTTTCTCCCCTCTTTTTCCCCATTCATTATCTTATTTGAATCATATAGTAACCCTGAAGGAGGACAAAATAGATGTTATCTCCATGTTTCCATGAGTTTCAGATGAGACATTGAAATTCAGAGTATGAAAATGCTTCTCAAGGGGGTAGGACAAATTGAGAAATGTCTGGAGACATTTTTGGTTGTCACAACTGGGGCAATGCTACTGGCATTGAGTCGGTAGAGGTCAGGGATACTGTTAAACATCCAGTGATACACAAGACAGCTCAGACAACAAAGAATTATCCAGTCCAAAATGTTGTTAATACTGAGGTTGAAACCCTGAGATAGGTGTTTCCCCAAAAGAACTCAAAGTGATAGAGTCGGAACCAGAATCCACATCTTTGACTCACTCTAGTGTGTTTTCACTATGTCTAAAGCAGGGCATTAAAATCTGGATTTTAAGGCTGGGTGCGGTGGTTCACACCTTAAATCCCAGCACTTTGAGGGGCCGAGGCAGGTGGATCACCTGAGGTCAGGAGCTCAAGACCAGCCTGGCCAACATGATGAAACCCTGTTTCTACTAAAAATACAAAAAGTAGCCGGGTATGGTGGCACACGCCTGTAATCCCGCCTACTTGGAAGGCTGAGGCACAGGAATTGCTTGAACCTGGGAGGCAGAGGTTGCAGAGATCGTGACACTGCACTCAAGCCTGGGCGACAGACTGTGACTCTGCCTCAGAATCCTTTTTAAATTAAAAAATAAGTAAATAAAATCTGGAGTTCACAAGTCTTAGATTAATCACTAATGTTTTGATGAGGTATGAGTGACAAGTCGAGTTTGTTTAGATCACTGTTGAAGGTGTATAGTATAGATTATGTAGTCTATTAAACACTTGCTGTGTGTCTCACAGTCTGCTGCCCATGTCCCTCCCAGAGGCTAGTTCACCTTCATCGTATTTATTGATTTTTTATTGAGCAAGTACCAAATTTGAATCATTTGACCAAAATGCTGTTGAAATCTGGACACGATCCCTGTAGCAATCTCTATGCGTAGGACCTGTTGCCAAACTAAAAACCCATGGGACTTTTACAGGAAATGTCACCAGGAGACTCAGCTAGAAATTAGTAGAGCCGGGATTTGAATACCTTCTGACTCCAGACTTTTTTTTTTTTAACTCCTACCCCTAGACCTAGACTCTTAACAATAGTCTGTAAGATCAAATGTCACCTGCAAAGGGTGGCATGTGACTTTTAGAAGCTCTTAAAATCCAGGAATAAATTCTTCTTACTAATTCTTGTAGAATAGTCTTAAGTTGTGCCCCTCAAACCATTTTATGCCCAGAAATTAGATGATTCTTCTCATCTTCCTAAAGTTTTAACAGATGCCATTCTGGATCCTGGAAAATTAAACAGCTGTAGCCATAAGGATTTAATCTATAAAGATTTTTTTCCTTCTGTAAATCTGCCTCAAAGAAGAACTTAAGCAGGAAACATGAGTGCCTGCATATTACCTTTAAATAGCTTCCAATTGCCCTGGAAATAAAATTTAGAATCCTTAAAATGACCTTTAAGATTTTTTTTTTGAGACACAGTCTCGCTCTGTCACCCAGGCTGCGGTGCAGTGGTGTGATCTTGGCCTCACTGCAACCTCTGCCTCCTGGGTTCAAGTGATTCTTCTGCCTCAGCCTCCCGAGTAGCTGGGAGTACAGGCATGCGCCACCACGCCCAGCTAACTTTTGTATTTTTAGTAGAGATGGGGTTTCACCCCGTTGGCCAGTCTGGTCTTGAACTCCTGACCTCAAGTGATTCACCCTTCTTGGCCTCCCAAAGTGTTGGGATTACAGGCGTGAGCCACCATGCCTAGACATTCTTAATTGAGTATCCTTTATGCTTCCCTCTTCAACCTCATTAGCCTCTCCTCCGCTCACTCAGTATGTTCTGTTCATACTAACCTTGATCCCTTATTTCTTCTCTCGACTCAGGAAGGCTCTTACCTTTCCTTCTACTAAACTCCAATAATTAATTTATCAGTCTGTTTAAAGTCAGCTCCTTTAAGAAAGCTCCTCTCTTTCGCTTCCCACCTGTCCTCCATCTAAATTAGTTCTTTCACCGTTATTCTCTGCCACAGTTCATTTTTGTACCTCCTTCATACCACTTACACAAATGATAATTATACCTACCTATATATATTTATTTGCTTACATTTTTACTGAGAGAGCCTTCTTCCTCTTGAGTAGCCCCACAAAGGCAAGTACCTTGTCTTTTTGCATCAGACTCCTTATAGGTAGATATTGAAACCTACATGGATTTTGTAAGAATTAATAAATACTTTTTGAATGAATGAATATTTGGTAAGTATTCTTCCAGATGCTGTAAGGAAGTAAAAATTAGAAAGTTTCTTGCGCTCAAGAAGCTTGCTGTGTATATATGGCATTTTTTATCTTGTATTTTAAAAACTATAAGTCAATTTCTGTAAGAGAAGATTGCTAGGGAAATTCAAAAAAGGGAGATTTCTTAGGAATTCAAGAAAAACCTCCTGGAATGAGTTAGATTATAAATCAAAAAGATCAAGGTCCATGTTTTAGCTTTATCCTTAATTCTGGCACATTTTTGTGCATGATAAATGTTGAATAAATAATGGCAGGATTTGTACATATATAGAAAATGAGGGGAAAAAATAAAAGGAATTCCAGGGAATTACAAAAGCCTGAAAACGCATACAAATGTCAAAATGCTGAATTTTATTGAGGGGCCAGGCACGGTGGCTCACACCTGTAATCCTAGCACTTTGGGAGGCCGAGGCAGGCAAATCACTTGAGGTCAGGAGTTTGAGACCAGCCTGGCCAACATGGTGAAACCCCATCTCTACTAAAAATACAAAAATTAGCTGGGTGTGGTGGCGCTTGGCTGTAATCCCAGCTACTCTGGAGGCTGAGGCAGGAGAATCGCTTGAACCCAGGAGGTGGAAGTTGCAGTGAGCCGAGATCGTGCCACTGTACTCCAGTCAGGGCGACAGAGCGAGACTCTGTCTCAAAAAAAAAAAAAAAAAAAATTATTGAGGAAAAGTGAGTAGGTCAGTTTCAGTGGAACATATGAATGTGAAGCGGAGTAGATTGAGATAAGGCTGGAAAGATAAGTCTGTAACAGACTTAAATGCCACATAGTGAGCTTAAAAATCAGTGTATCAATATCAGAAGTTGGGGGTGAAGATACTTAGGTTTCTTTTTGCAGGCAGAAATTAGTTTTTCGGAGTGCAGCCTAAGAAGCAAATTATAGCTTGAGAAATACATGCAAGTAGTATCTGCAGTACAAATACTGGTTTAGCTTGGAGTACCGGTTCATCAGCATCATCACTGTCAAATAGCAAGATTCAGATTCCAATGGGGCATCTTCTGTATTTGGCTTGACTAGAAAGAGAACTTTGCTTCCTTATATTTCTGGAAGGGAGCAACACACTTGCCTGACAAGTCCCCAGAGGTATTTGAACAGTTATTATAGAATTTGTGTATTACTGAGGAGCACCATGCAATGACTGCTAAGGTCCTTCCAATTCTTAGTGGGATTCTGTGACCCGCAAATTAAGAGACAGAACACTCAGGTTTCAATTTCAGGTGATCTACATATAGCTGAAGAAATGGCTCATCCATCTCTTTGCAGACCGAATTGTTTGGAGCCAGACTTCTCTCCTTGGCTGACTCAAGAAAGAGTAGCATCCAAGAGGGGCTCATTAAGCATCTGCAGTTGATAAAGATGAGAAGGAATTTTAGAATACTTTGATTCAACTGTTTCTCCTACCATTTCTCAATACCATTCTATCAGTGTGATATATGGGCACTGATTCAAAATATCATAAAAACATTTTCGAGTATTTTGTGAGACCTAGTTCCAGTTAGAATTATTAGGAAAGGCACAATATACTATGGCTCTTCAGAGCTCTTAAAACTAGAGGATCACGAGGTCAGGAGATCGAGACCATCCTGGCTAACATGGTGAAACCCCATCTCTACTAAAAATACAAACAATTAGCCAGGCATGGTAGCGGGCGCCTGTAGTCCCAGCTACTTGGGAGGCTGAGGCAGGAGAATGGTGTGAACCCGGGAGGCGGAGCTTGCGGTGAGCTGAGATCACGCCACCGCACTCCAGTCTGGGTGACACAGCGAGACTCCGTCTCAAAAAAAAAAAACTAGACGTTGGAGTATGGCATGGATTTGTTGCACTAGAGATTGTAAGGATGGGCATTTCAGACTTAAGAAACAATGTAGGCAAAGATACCAGACAGAAAAGTGGGGGATGTGTTTCCTAGGAGTGCTAGAAACTTTTGGCCATTGGACTTGTTTGGCTGGAATACAAAGTACATACAGGCAGAAGAGGTAGGTTGGGTTCTTTTTGTTTTGTTTTGTTTTGAGACAGAGTCTTACTCTTGCCCAGGCTGGAGTACAGTGGTATGATCATGGCACACTGCAGCTTTGACTTCCCAGGCTTAAAGCAATCCTCCCACTTCAGGGCCTCCCTCAGTAGCTGACACTACAAGTACATGACACCACACCCAGCTAATTTTTTGCTTTTTTGTAGAGATGGGGTCTCACTGTATTTCCCAGGCTGGTCTCAAACTCCTGGGCTCATGTAATCCTCCCACCTCAGCCTCCCAAAGCACTGGGATTACATTACAGGCATGAGCCACCATGCCCAGCCTAAAATCATTTTTAAGTTGATCTTATCTTATAGTTTGTTCCATTTCCCCGATGTCATTTTATGTGACACTTGTCAAGGCTTCATGCCTTAGAGACTTAATTCACATAAAAAGTTTTGGTTTAGCATTTCAGACCACTTAAAGGTCAATAGCAGCCAGTATAATCTCTTCCCTTCTTCTACTCTTAGAAACAGGTATGAGTTTTGTTTACAGTCTCTCTCATATTTTTCACAAAACACATATTTTCCAAAAGTATATGAAGGTAAATTTGGCGAGAAAATGTAAATGTTCAGATCTCCCAAGAGCTTTGTGTTTTATACGCTAGGCTTCTAAGCCTCCCAAGGGCTTTGTGTTTTTATACTCTAGGCTTTTTTTTTTTTGTTTAAGTTTTAGCTCTAGGTGGAACTTTATGGATTATGTAATTCAGTATTCTTACAGTTAAGGAAAATGAAGCTCTAAAATATAAAATAACTTACCCAATGTAGTATATGTCACCTGTGTCCTCTCTCACATTTAAACTAATTCTTTGCCTTTATATTTTGTTGTTTATGTAGTAATTACATGGTCCATTCATGTTTACTCAGAAGACATAGGTGACCTAGGGATTGGACAATGGGCATTTTAAAAATTGAGTTTGACTTTAGCATGTTTTCTCTTGCAAATAATAGCCTTCAATGGCTGTATAATTCATCACGTTATCACTTTTTCCAGGATTTGTCTTGCCTCAACAGGTTTCTCATCTCCTTTGCTGAGTTTGAACAGCTTGATAAGCTGGAGTGATGTAGAAAGATGAAACTTATGATAGAAGGGGATGACCTTCAACCGATATCTGGAGATAAAGTGTTTCTTTGTCTTATTCCTTCTTTTTAAGAGATGTGGGGCGGGGGTGGGTGTGGGTCTCACTATGTTGCCCAGGCTAGATTCAAACTCCCAGGCTCCAGTGATCCTCTGAGTAGTTGGGACTGCAGGCATGCACCACTGCCCCCAGCTTTTTCCTGTCTTGTTCTGATTAGAATTAAATCACAGGTTTTTTGTTTTTGTTTTTTATCTTTCCATAAGTACAGTTAAAGTAAGATTCTCAGGGCAGCTCCTGAGTTATCGTCCCTTTTTGCTAAAATAGATATTTTTAGCCAAGAGTTTATGAGTAAAGAAGCTATTCCTACTGGCCAAGCGCAGTGGCTCACGCCTGTAATCCCAGCACTTTGGGAGGCCAAGGCAGGCAGATCACCTGAGGTCAGGAGTTTGAGACCAGCCTGGCCAACATGGTGAAACCTCGTCTCTACTAAAAATACAAAAAATTAGCCAGGCGTGGTGGTGGGCACCTGTAATCCCAGCTACTCGAGAGGCTGAGGCAGGAGAATCGCTTGAACCCAGGAGGCGGAGCTTTCAGTGAGCCGAGATCATACCACTGTACTCCAGCCTGGGTGACAAGAGCAAAACTCCATCTCAAAAAAAAAAAAAAAAAAAAAAAAGGCTATTCCTACTACTTCATAGCTTCTGTTTTATTCTTTTAAAAACTTGTCAGTCCATGCAGCATTTCTTGTTTGCCTAGATCATTGGCCACTCATAAATGAAGGCACTTAAAAGTTTTAAGTGTAATTATTTGAAGTAGTTTTCTCCTTTATGTCTCTGACAGTTGGTTACTTTTTATGCAGCTTATTAGTCTGATGTATGAGTAATTCATCCACATAAATTCTGCTATTACTTGAGTATGGCATAGTTTGGCTTTTTTACATGAAAAGTGCTTCAGGGAAGGTATATGGTGAAGAAAGAGAAAATATCTCCATCTGTCAGGGTCAGAAAAAAACAAGAGTGAGAGAGAGAATAATATAAGGATTATTGAAATCTGCAGATAATCACTAAATTAATTCTTGGCCAATTCTATTAATATCCTTCTCAGCCCCAACATTGCTATGAAGAAAAGCAAGTAAGAATTTATTATAGATGATCCCTTGGAGTTATTATCAACAAAGGCAAAAGGCAAAACAGTAGCCAGGTTTTATTGGAGAAGTTTTAAAAAGATAAAATCTAAGATTTGTATGTGGGCGTGTGAGGTAATTATAATGGTGGGTTTGGGATAACTACTTTCCTGAGTGCAGACTATCCTTGTAAGACTACAGTTGTAGCAAGTGCCGTGTGGACTGCTGTCACTTGACAGACTTAATCTGGGGAGAACAATATGTGTTTGAATGTATATAATTGTAAGGTATTTTACATTTCTTTTTTTTCTTGTTGACCTGACCTATTTTCTTAGTACCTCCACTCATCGTTTTACTTACCATTTTTAATACATTGGTATGGCACAACTTTAGGAGTCTTTAAGTTTTTGCCAGTTCTGGCCGAGACCCATAGTTTAATCAAGGCTACCCTTTATAAGAGGAATTGATCAAATTAAGTATACCTACGATCACTGTACCTCAAGAAAGACATAGGCAAGGGAAAGGCAGCTAGAATATCAAAAGGATTATATGGTTATATTCATCCAATTATGGTCACATTTCTGTTGGTTAATTTGGGTTTTGTTTTGTTTGTTGTTGTTGTTTTGTTTTTTGTTTTTCTTAGTAGAGACAAGGTTTCACCATGTTGGCCAGGCAGTTCTCAAACTCCTGACCTCAAGTGATCTACCCACCTCAGCCTCCCAAAGTGCTGGGATTACAGCACTTTGTAATGTAAAATGGGATTGCATTTTATACACTTTATAATGTAATGGGATTACAGCTCACTTTGTGAGCCATCGCACCCGGCCTCTGTCAGTTAATTTGGAATAGGAATATGAAGCCAGCACCCGGGGAATGAGTAGGAAACATTACAGCCTTCAAAGGGAAGTCTTCTCCCTAAATATTTATCAAATTGTATTTCCCCTCCCACTTACTGGGAGCTACTACGTTTTTTCCAAGCAACTGCACTATTTTGGCCTAGAATGCCACTAAGTTTTTTTTTTTTTAAGACAAGACATTCCTGTTGCCCAGGCTGGAGTGCATGGCACAATCATGGCTCACTGCAGCCATGACCTCCCAAGATCAGGTCGATTCTCCCACCTGAGCCTCTCAAGTAGTTGAGACTACGGGCACACATCACCACACCTGGCTAACTTTTTTGTATTTTTAGTAGAGATGGGGTTTCCTCATGTTGCCCAGGCGGGTCTGAAACTCCTGGGCTTAAGCGATCTGCCTGCCTCGGCCTCCCAAAGGGTTAGGATTACAGGTGTGAGCCACTGTACCCAGCTCTAAGTTCTGTTTATTGCAGTATTATATCAAGGTCTCCCCTTTGTTTTCCTACATCTCCTTTGCCACCACTCCTCCCCAAAAGGTGTGTGGGATTTATTGAGCCATCATCAAGATAATTGTTGTTTTTATTTTTTGAGACAGGGCCTCACCCTGTCACCCACGCTGGAGTGCAGTGGTGCAATCACCACTCACTGCAGCCATGACTTCCCAGGCACAAGCGATCCTCCCACACCCTCTCAAGCTGGGACCACAGGTGCACACCAGCATGCCCAGCAAATTTTTATATTTTTAGTACAGACGAGGTTTCACCATGTTGCCCAGCCTGGTATCAAACTCCTGGGTTCAAGCGATCTGCCTGCCTCAGCTTCCCAAAGTGCTGGGATTACATGTGTGAGCCACCATGCCCGGCCATTAAGATTTTTTTTTTCTTTTTTTGAGATGGAGTCTCGCTCTGTCACCCAGGCTGGAGTGCAGTGGCACAATCTCAGCTCACTGCAACCTCCGCCTCCCGGATTCAAGCGATTTTCCTGCCTCAGCCTCCTGAGTAGCTGGGACTATAGGCGCGTGCCACCACGCCCGGCTAATTTTTTGTATTTTTAGTAGAGACAAGGTTTCACCATGCTAGCCAGGATGGTCTTGATCTTCTGACCTCGTGATCTGCCTGCCTTGGCCTCCCAAAGTGCTGGGATTATAGGCGTGAGCCACTGCACGCGGCCGATAATTTTTATTTTTATTTTATTTTATTTATTGAGAAAGAATCTTGCTCTATATCCCAGGCTGGAGTGCAGTGGCACTATCTCAGCTCACTGCAACCTCCACATTATCGTGCCTCAGCCTCCCAAGTAGCTGGAACTACAGACACACCACCACATCCAGCTAATTTTTAGTAGAGATGGGGTTTTGCCATGTTGGCCAGGCTGGTCTCAAACTCCTAGCCTCAAGTGATTCACCTGCCTCGGCCTCCCTAAGTGCTGAGATTACAGGCGTGAGCCACCGCACCCGACCAAGATAATTTTAAAATTCACCTATAGGGGCAATCAAAACAAAGCCAGAGCCATTTCTGAGAGTATCTACTAACCCCATACAGGTCGTCAAAAGGCAAGATTCGCCCAGTTAAACTGGTTGCTTGATCATGTGGACATAGTCCATAAGCACGCATCCCTGTTTATGGTAGTGTACTGTCTTTGACCTTGAATTTTCTGTATAAGTGCTTGCCAGAAACTTACAGTTACCAATTATAAGTAATGACTACAGAAAGCAGAAGAGAAACTAGATAGATTTCTCTTTGTTTAATGTTTTCACAAATCTAAAAAGGAATATGACCCTAATCGTTTTAAGAAAAAAGACTTTCTTCCTTATCATGGAAGCCAGGAAAGACAGGCAGGCTCCAAAAGAACTGTCCCGGGCTCCAGATTATATCTGTCTGAGCTAGAGAAAAGAGCCCATGTGCAGATGTATGACTACTTCTGTGTAGTCTTTTTGTGCAATCTAATCTCCATAGTCCCTATGGATTATTATATCTTATTCTTATTGTACCATAGAAATAAGGCCAATACTCAATGCTAAGACTCAGAATAGGCATCAGAATTTAGCCGTCTTGCTAATTCCCTAACTTCTGACCATAAATTCATATGTATTTTTGTTAAACATATTAGATTTTACAGACTGTGTCTGTCTTGCAGGTGATGGGGCAGGTACAGGGAAAACTTTTTTGATAATCTTCAGAGGTTGACTGTGAAACACTCTTGACTATAAGGAGGTTTTGAAAGCTGTTTGGAAAAATATCATACCATACTTATTAAATGGGGGAGAGGGGAAAGCAACAGAAGTGCTGAGCTCTTCAACAGTCAATATAGCATTTACTGTTTCCTATATTTAATAGCATTCAGAACAATAGAAACAAGTTGGCACATAGCCAACTTCAGGTACCTAACTGAAGATAAATGTTCCCTAGAAACTGAATAGTTTAAAGCCTTCCTGAGAAAGAAACTCCTTTTATTAACTATTTTATGTGAACTAAATTCCACATAAACTCCTGCTTAATTTTTTAAAATAGTCAATTCCTAGACCATTTCTCATCTTCCTTAATGATCCAAGAAGATGGCCAGGCATGGTGGCTCACGCCTGTAATCCCAGCATTTTGGGAGGCTGAGGCAGGCAGATCACCTGAGGTCAGGAGTTCCAGAGCAGCCTGGCCAACATGGCGAAACCCCGTTTCTGCTAAAAATACAACAAAAAAATTAGCCAGGTGTGGTGGTGTGCACCTGTAGTCCCGGCTACTTGGGAGGCTTAGGCAGGAGAATCACTTGAACTCAGGAGGCGGAGGTTGCAATGAGCTGAGATTGTGCCACTGCACTCCAGCCTGGGTGACAGAGACTCTGTCTCAAAAAACAAACAAACAAACAAACAAAAATCCAAGATTTCTGTGCTAGAAGGAAGAGCTCTTATGAACTATTCACATGAGTGTTCATAGCCACTTCATGGTCTCAGGAAATCAGGACAGGCAGAAAGATACTTGAAAGCAGTCCTTTTTTTTTTTTTTTTTTTTTTTTGAAACAGAGTTTTGCTCTTGTTGCCCAGGCTGGAGTGCAATGGTGCAGTCTCAGCTCACTGCAACATGGCCTCCCAGGTTCAAGTGATTCTCTTGCCTCAGCCTCCCAAGTAGCTAGGATTACAGGTGCCCGCCACCACACCCGGCTAATTTTTGTAATTTTGTAATTTTTTAGTAGAGATGGGGTTTCACTATGTTGGCCAGGCTGGTCTCAAACTCCTGACCTCAAGTGATCCTCCCACCTTGGCCTCCCAAAGTGCTGGGATTATAGGCATGAGCCACTGTGCGCAGGCTTGAAAGTAGTCTTGACGCAAATACTTTGTAGGAGAGAAGCTAACAGACAAGTCAAGGGTTGTCTTAATAAAGTCAAGTGAGGAGAGAAACCCAGCTAATATTTTGATTAATGCCTTCTCCCACAAAGTTCACTCATTGGATTTTCCCTACTCAAGTTCTTTTATCCCCTAATATTCCACATAATGATAATAGCTGCCATTTATCAGGTACTTTGGTAGATGCTTTATGTATGTTATCTCATATAATCCTCCCAAGAATCCTCCAAGTTGTACAGGCTGGAAACCAGCTCCAGAAAGGCTAAGTAACTTTCCCAGGACATACAATCAGATCACCTTCTTTTTCTTTTAAAATTCACCTTCACCTTCCAAATTCTTTTTACAGATGTGTTCCAGTTAGGTAGTTAAGTCCTGTCACTCCGTTATTCTAATGCAAAGGTGATTCTCCAGTATTGCAAAGATGATTCTCCAGTATTGAACGATTTTGAATTCTGTTAAAGAAAACTAGTATACCTCAATTGGCAAAAAAAAAAAAAAAAAAGTAAATGAAAGGGCAGTACAGTAATTCTAATCTTTCTTTGTTTTTTTTTTATTTTTTTATTTTTTTTGAGATGGAGTTTTGCTCTCATTGCCCAGGCTGGAGTGCAATGGCAGGACCTTCCCTCACTGCAACCCCCACCTCCCGGGTTCAAGCAATTATCCTGCCTCAGCCTCCCAGGTAGTTGGGATTACAGGCACGCACCACCATGCCCAGCTAATTTTATATTTTTAGTAGAGATGATGTTTCACTATGTTGGTTAGGCTGGTCTCGAACTCTTGACCTCAGGTGATCCACCCACCTTGGCCTCCCAAAGTGCTGAGATTACAGGCGTGAGCCACCACACCCGGCCACAGTAATTCTAATCTTTCTACCCTAGTTATAAGCTCAACTTGGTAAATAAAATATTTTAGGTAGATTTTATCATAGATTAAAGGTTAGGAAAATTTTCGCAACCTACTCATCTGACAAAGGGCTAATATCCAGAATCTACAATGAACTCAAACAAATTTACAAGAAAAAAAACAGACAACCCCATCAAAAAGTGGGCAAAGGACATGAACAGACACTTCTCAAAAGAAGACATTTATGCAGCCAAAAAACACATGAAAAAATGCTCACCATCACTGGCCATCAGAGAAATGCAAATCAAAACCACAGTGAGATACCATTTCACACCAGTTAGAATGGCAATCATTAAAAAGTCAGGAAATAACAGGTGCTGGAGAGGATGTGGAGAAATAGGAACACTTTTACACTGTTGGTGGGACTGTAAACTAGTTCAACCATTGTGGAAGTCAGTGTGGCGATTCCTCAGGGATCTAGAACTAGAAATACCATTTGACCCAGCCATCCCATTACTGGGTATATACCCAAAGGACTATAAATCATGCTGCTATAAAGACACATGCACACATATGTTTATTGCGGCATTATTCACAATAGCAAAGACTTGGAACCAACCCAAATGTCCAAAAATGATAGACTGGATTAAGAAAATGTGGCACATATACACCATGGAATACTATGCAGCCATAAAAAATGATGAGTTCATGTCCTTTGTAGGGACATGGATGGAATTGGAAATCATCATTCTCAGTAAACTATCGCAAGAACAAAAAACCAAACACCGCATATTCTCACTTATAGGTGGGAATTGAACAATGAGAACACATGGACACAGGAAGGGGAACATCACACTCTGGGGACTGTTGTGGGGTTGGGGGAGGGGGGAGGGATAGCACTGGGAGATATACCTAATGCTAGATGACAAGTTAGTGGGTGCAGTGCACCAGCATGGCACATGTATACATATGTAACTAACCTGCACATTGTGCACATGTACCCTAAAACTTAAAGTATAAAAAAAAAAAACTTCAAAAAAAAAAAAGGAATCCTAAGGGTTTTTTTATTGTTTGTATTTCAGTTCTGTCCCTGAGTTATATATTCAGATTTTTTTGGTTAGTATTTGTAATGGTGGTGAGAACTGGTAGGCATTTGGGTCATTAGGGATCCACCCTCATGAGTAAATTAATGTCCACTCTCAGGAGTGAGTGAGTTATTGCTCTCATAGGAATGGATTCGTTCCTGCAAGATTGGGTTGCTATAAAGTGAGCCCGTGTCTCTTTGCACATGCCCACTTGCCTTTCTGCTTCTCTGCCAGAAGCCCCAAAGATGCTGGCACCATGCTCTTGGACTGTCCAGTCACCAGAATCATGAGGCAAATAAACCTCTTTTCTTTATAAATTACCCAGCCTGAGGTATTCTGTTATAGCCACACAAAACAGATTTAGACAGTATTCTTCTTTACAAATAATTTGTAAATTTGGCCTGGCATGGTGGTTCATGCCTGTTATGCCAGCACTTTGGGAGGCCAAGGTGGGCAGATCATTTGAGGTCAGGAGTTCAACACCAGCCTTGCCAACATGGTGAAACCTCATCTCCACTAAAAATAAAAAATTAGCTGGGCATGGTGGCACATGCCTGTAATCCCAGCTACTAGGGAGGCTGAGGCTGGAGAATCGCTTGAACCTGAGAGGTGGA
The DNA here is from genome assembly GCF_000001405.40 of Homo sapiens. NCBI lineage: Eukaryota > Metazoa > Chordata > Mammalia > Primates > Hominidae > Homo > Homo sapiens. Next base: position 113,251,357 of record NC_000009.12, read on the forward strand.
TGTTGCAGTGAGCCAAGATGGCACCACTGCACTCTAGCCTGGGTGACAGAGTGAGACTCTATCTAAAAAAATAAAAAATAAAAAATAAAAATAGAGCAAAGATTGTATGACCCTGGATTTTAACTTATTGTTACATGAGTACCCATTTTTATTTTGGAAGAAGCTGAGCTTAAGTCAGATTAAAGCTACCAAAGGAAACAGGCTAAAAAGAACCAATGCTAGTTTACCTCCTGTAAGTTGAATTTCTATTCTAGAGAGAATGGGTTAGGTGTGTTCGATTGCTTTAGAAGATAACTTATCCAAATACATACAGCACATCACTGAAAATTTAAGTGGGAAGAGAAAAAAATATAATCACTTTTATTTATTATGCTTTAATAATTAATTTGTAAGTTTTAACTTTTTTGATGTAATTTAGCTTTGGCATATTCCCGTGGGATCTTTTCCTAAAATAAAGCTTTTAGTGAGCGTAAGGACTTATCAGGATTGGTTTGTGTTTGAGCCTACAGTGTATGTTTATATATTAATCTCCACCGGCTTTGTATCTTCCTATTCATACACCATTCGGTAAGCCTTGCATAGGATTCCATTACAATATATCCATTGTCTACTGACAATGAGAGCAAGTAGATTCTGCTCTTGTTCTATCTCCTAGTATATTTGGATGTGAAATATATCCTGCACAAATGACACTTCAAAACAGGTGCATACTTTGAAAGGTTTTCTTGGGATTTGTATATACCTTGCCCTGGGTCACTGATATGTCTGAAGAGATTTGATAATGTGGCATCATTGAGTAGATTTCTCTAATTGATAATGAGGGACCTGAATAATTAAGAACCTGTGGGTCTTCAAAATTAGTTCATGGTAATAATTAATGTTATAAAGGTTCATCAAGGAAATCATCAAGGTTACAACTTTTAGATAGTTTGTGGTACTATAGTCCTGCTTTTTTTTGAGATGGAGTCTCGGTCTGTCACGCAGGCTGGAGTGCAATGGCACAATCTCGGCTCACTGCAACCTCCGCCTCCCGGGTTCAAGCGATTCTCCTGCCTCAGCCTCCCAAGTAGCTGGGACTACAGGTGCCTGCCACTAGGTCCGGGTACTTTTTGTATTTTCAGTAGAGACGGGGTTTTTAGTCAGGCTGGTCTTGAACTCCTGACCTCAGGTGATCTGCCCGCCTTGGCCTCCCAAAGTGCTGGGATTACAGGGTGAGCCACCGCACCCAGCCTAGTCTTGCTTTTTTAACAGTCCTCTACATGTTATCTTATATCTCAAAATGAAAATTATGACTGTTCAGTTTCCCTTTCTAGCTTTTAGCCTTAAAGCTCCTTGAGGAAAGACTCCATGTGATGTTCATTTCTTTATTTCCTTTGGTCTTAAGAAGGCACTCTTGCAAATATTCATTCCCTCCTCCTGACCAGGATTCATATTGATAATATGGAATGAAGTAAATCCTTTGTGGTTTTCTTATGCTATAATCATTTTTCAGACTCTCATTGGAAGAGAACAGTATTTGTGTCTTCTGCCTCTAGCTCTTTATGAGGATGTGTCAGTAGTCTTCCTGGCTAGCGAAAGTCTTTTCTTTTCTTTTTTTCTTTTTTTTTTTTTTTTTGAGACGGAGTCTTGCTCTGTAGCCCAAGCTGGAGTGCAGTGGCGCGGTCTCGCTTTACTGCAAGCTCCGCCTCCCGGGTTCACGCCATTCTCCTACCTCAGCCTCCAGAGTAGCTGGGACTACAGGCACCCGCCACCATGCCCGGCTAATTTTTTTGTGTTTTTAGTAGAGACGGGGTTTCACCCATGTTAGCCAGGATGGTCTTGATCTCCTAACCTCGTGATCCGCCTGCCTCGGCCTCCCAAAGTGCTCGGATTACAAGCGTGAGCCACCGCGCCTGGCCAAGTCTTTTCATTCTTATTGCATTTGTTTGGTTCAATATCATAATTTATGATCACTCAGATGCCAGTGATCTCTCCATCCTACCATAATTACCTCTTTATCTGAAAACAGCTGCCCACCTGCCATTTGCCCCATCACTGACACTTTGAGCATGGTCTTTATTTTATTGTGTATTGTATTTTTTAGTGTTTACTCTAAAAACATTGTAGACAAAGACTCTGTTTTATATCTTTTTATACCTCTGATGTAATCTCTTTATGGTAATGGTATCAATAATACCAGATTGTCGAGCTCTGTAATTTTTTTTTTTTTTTTTTTTGAAATGGAGTCTTGCTCTGCTGACCAGGCTGGAGTGCAGTGGCATGATCTCTGCTCACCACAACCTCCGCCTCCCAGGTTTGAGCAATTCTCTGCCTCAGCCTCCCGAGTAGCTGGGATTACAGGCGCGTGCCACCAAGCCCAGCTAATTTTTGTATTTTTAGTAAAGACGGGGTTTCACTGTTGAGCTCTATAATTATAAAATAATGTAGTGTCTGGCATGAAAGTGGATCTTTGATTATGCCTACCTGATGCTTTGCCTTATCCTTCACTAGAAATAAGAACCTATTTCTTAAGCCAGCTGTCATAGAACTATGGGGTAGGAGTTAACAAGGAGAAAATAAATAGATGGCTCCCTGAATCTATATAAATTTCCTACCCACAGTCTTTTTTTTTTTTTTTTTTTGAGATAGTCTCCTGTCACCTAGGCTGGAGTGCGGTAGTCCAACCTTGACTCACTGAAACCTCCACCTCCCAGGTTCAAGTGATTCTCATGCCTCAGCCACCCGAGTAACTGGGATTACAGGTGCATGCCACCACACCTGGCTAATTTTTTTGTTTTAGTAGAGATGGGGTTTCATCATGTTGGCCAGGCTGGTCTCGAACTCCTGGCCTCAAGTGATCTGCCTGCCTCAGCCTCCCAAAGTGCTGGGATAACAGGCATGAGCCACCGCGCCTGGCCAATTTATTCTTTACCTCTTGGTAATTGTGTCTTATTTCTCAGCTTATTTCCTTCACAGCATGAAATTATATTTATTGTTTCTCTCCCTATCAGGAACCTTGTCTTATTCATTGTTGAATTATTAGCACCTAGCTCAGAGTTTGGTATATAATAGGAGCTTGATAAATATTGAGTGAATGAATAATGAAAAGCATACTTGGTTTCATGAACATGAATACCTACTTGGAATTTTTAAAACCACTTTTTCTTCCACAGACTGGACTTGAGGGACACATAAAGAGAATCCACCAACACCTCCCCCTCCACACACACCAGCTTCCCATTCTCCCACTCCAACTCTAGCTATAGGAGTTATTGTTCCTGGGCCGGGCACGGTAGCTCAAGCCTATAATCCCAGTACTTTGGGAGGCCGAGTTGGACAGATCACTTGAGCTCAGGAGTTTGAGACCAGCATGGCCAACATGGTGAAACCCCATCTCTACTAAAAATTTAAAAATTAGCCAGGTGTGGTAGCATGCACCTGTAATCCCAGCTACTCGGCAAGCTGAGGCATGAGAGTCACTTGAATCCAGGAGGCAGAGGTTGCAGTGAGCCGAGATCACACCACTGCACTCCAGCCTGGGCAACCATGCAAAACTCTGTCTCAAAAATAAATAAATAAAAGGAATTATTGCTCCTTGGTTTATGTCCCAGATGGACTTTTGCAGCAATACAGTGATGTGGTAGTAAAGATACAAGGCTGAATTTGCAGTTGTCTAGACTTAATTTAATATAGAGTATCCAATTTATACCTTGTTTTTCATGTTCTTCACTCTAATGTCCTGGTAGGATTGAAATTGTATCTGAAGTCTGAGCACACTGCGTGCCTAGGGCCATAGTAGACCTTTCTTCAAATTTAAATTAGCTGAAGGCTGGTTGTCCTGTATGTGAAAATGTAATCCAAATATCCTGATTAGGCACAGGCCATCCCAATTAGGTGAATTATCTGAAGTCCTTGCTTTTTATCTGCTGACATTTATGATTAGAAAGCCTTAAAGCAGTTAAATTTCATTAATGGCATTCATTTGTATCTTATTACAGATTGCCTGTTTCCTGCAACCCAAAGAAGCTGCTTTCCTTCTCCTTATCTAATATTTAAGTTTGAACATATATTAAGCATACCTATTAAAGGAACTATACTGGTGGGGCACAGTGGCTTACACCTGTAATCCCAACACTTTGGGAGGCCAAGGCAAGAGGATTGCTTGAGCTCAGGAGTTCGAGACCTGCCTGGGCAACACGAGACCTCATCTGTACGATAAAACAAAAAATTAGCTGAGCGTGGTAGTGGTGCAGGCCTGTGATTCCACCTACTCAGGAGGCTGAGGTTGAGGCTGTGGTGAGTTGCACTCCAGCCTGGGTGATGGAGCAAGACCCTGTCTCAAAAAAAAAGGAACAATTCTGCAGAATAAGGAAGGGTTAGGCATCTGTAGCCCTACGTGTAAACCCTTTCTGCTACAGTCTCCAAAAGTGATCCCTATTAGCACGAGTTCTTTCTCTCTCCATCTGTAGATTATGAAAAATAATTCTGAGTAAAGATGCTAGGAGAGCATTCATTTATTAGATGCATTCCATATAGACAAAGTATTTACCAAGAAACAAGCCCAGGAGCAGGGAACCACCAGGTTGCCTGGTGAACCAGCCTAGATCAGAAATGGAGCAGGTCAAAACTCCTGTACTGATCAGTAGTGGGATCATGCCTGTGAATAGCCATTGCATTCCAGCCTGGGCAACATAGCAAGATTCCATCTCTAAAAATAAAAAAAAGAGATAAGATTTTTATATCCTTAAATTATTATATATAATTCTTTCTCTTAAAAGAATCTTCTGCTGACTCTCAACTTTTCCTGGAAAAAATGGATCATTCCCACCATATGGGGATGAGCTATATGGACTCCAACAGTACCATGCAACCTTCTCACCATCACCCAACCACTTCAGCCTCACACTCCCATGGTGGAGGAGACAGCAGCATGATGATGATGGTGAGTGCCATAGGAGGGGCAATGCAGGCCCTTTCCCACCCACTTGGGTAATAGAAATAATGGAATTTTAGTACTGGAAGCTTATTATCTTTAAAGGTCAGTTTACCAGTGAGGATAACTAAAGCAGACCCAAGCAAGTCAAGTCATTTGCTCCAGATTATGTGGCAAGCTACTTACAGAGTCACACCAGAACCAAGATTTTAGGCTTCTTTCTTTGGTGGTCCCTTCTGAAATCGACTCTTTTCTGAATTAGGGGTTCTGGTCTTTATGCCTTGGGTGGAAAAGAGAAAAAGACAAAAGTTGGCCAGGCACAGTGGCTCATGCCTGTAATCCCAACACTTTGGGAGGCCAAGGCAGGTGGATCACAAGGTCAGGAGATCGAGACCATCCTAGCTAACACGGTGAAACCCCATCTCTACTAAAAATACAAAAAATTAGCTGGGCATGATGGCATTCGCCTGTAGTCCCAGCTACTTGGGAGGCTGAGGCAGGAGAATCGCTTGAACCCAGGAGGTGGAGGTTGTAGTGAGCCGAGATCTCGCCACTGCATTCCAGCCTGGGCTACAGAGCGAGAATCCGTATCAAAAAAAAAAAAAAAAAAGATAAAAGTTGATGGTGGGGGCCCAGGAGAAAAGTTGATGGTGGGGGCCTAGTAGAATACTCATGCTCGGTGCCTGTGGTGGTAACGCTAACATGAGGGCAAAAGCCTCCCACTCACGTGAATGTCTCTTATTATCCAGATCTTCTACTTTTAAATGTTCTAAGCTTCTTTGCCCCAAATTCTCATTTAGAATTTTCATTCATCTCTAACTGACTTGTTTTGGTTTTCTGGCAGCCTATGACCTTCTACTTTGGCTTTAAGAATGTGGAACTACTGTTTTCCGGTTTGGTGATCAATACAGCTGGAGGTGAGTAAGCCATTAGGTAGTGTTGGAAGGTGATAGTCACATGAGAGACAGTGACAAATAATTTGGAAGTCCAGCACCTCTTTCTGTCCTAATTACTAAGTCAACATGGTAATGATGCATAACCATCTTGGTTCCTATTTCCTACCTAGAAGGTAGGAAACACAGTACTTTTTTGGTCCTCTGGTAAACCTCTGTTAACTAACATGTATGTTTTGGAGCTCTAAAAAATAATTTAGATACCAGATAGAATCTTTTGCAATCCATTTTCTTTCATTCTTTTCCAGAGTGTTTAATTTTTTTTTTTTTTTTTTTTTTTGAGACGGAGTTTCACTCTTGTCACCCAGGCTGGAGTGCAATGGCAGCTATCTTGGCTCACTGCAATCTCTGCCTCCCAGGTTCAAGCGATTCTCCTGCCTCAGCCTCCTGAGTAGCTGGAGTTAAACAGGCACCTACCGCCATGCCTGGCTAATTTTTGTATTTTTAATAGAGACGGGGTTTTGCCATGTTTGCCAGGCTGGTCTCGAACTCCTCACCTCAAGTGATCCACCCACCTCAGCCTCCCAAAGTGCTGGGATTACAGGCATGAGCCACCATGCCCGGCCTCAGAGTGTTTACTTATTTGATAAGTTATTAGTCCTGGACATAAGACTAACTCAAATTAAGTACCACAAAATAAGTTTAAAACTATTGTTCTAATACTTCAATTTTACAATAAATTAAGTGCCACAAATTGTGAAATGACTCGCCATCAATCATAGAGTTAATATGTCAGAGCTAGGACAAGGACCCAGACCTTCTAGAGCTACCTAGACCAGTGTTCTTTTAGTCTACCAAACTATGGCCCACATCCTTCCTGATTCTTGGCACGGCCCATCTTAGACACTCCTAGTTTTGAGGTAGATGATTACCCATCTGTTTGTGTCTATTATGTTGTATGGTATACTTTAAATTTAACTTGCGCAAACTCAATAGTCAGTTGGACTGCCTTAGGTACCAGATGTCTGTTTGGAGCCATAAAATCAATTTGTTTTGGGAAGAAGGAGAGCATTTAGTTCAGGTAATGTGTTAAATTAGCAGTTTGAATACATTTATATCATTACCAACACTTCACAGTGTGAAAGACTTAGAATTGAAATGCCTATTCAGGAAATGTAGTCAGCCACTGATGAAACTAAATTGTTTTATTCCCTGTTCCATATTCTACATTGTGTGTTTCAGTGTAACAAACCTAATTTAATGATATCAAGCAGTCTGACCAAAAGGTTATTGTTGTTCTGATTATTTTTCTTATCTTAATCAGAAAGTAAATATGTTCTTGGCAGAGGCAATAGTTTTCAGTTACACCATCTTAGCCGTTCTCCTATCTGAGCAAGAGAAGAGGTAAAAATATAATGTCTTCAAAAGCTGAGAGTAGCATTTTTTCTATGTGTCTTTCTAGCTGGACAGCACATTGGCTAATGATTTTGCACATGTTTGACAGTACCTCCATATTTTCCTTCCATACTTAGAAATGGCTGGAGCTTTTGTGGCAGTGTTTTTACTAGCAATGTTCTATGAAGGACTCAAGATAGCCCGAGAGAGCCTGCTGCGTAAGTCACAAGTCAGCATTCGCTACAATTCCATGCCTGTCCCAGGACCAAATGGAACCATCCTTATGGAGACACACAAAACTGTTGGGTAAGAACTGAACAGATCCAGATGAAGTCCTAAAGAACTCGATCAGTTAAGCAGCAAAGCGCAGCTGTGTGATCAGCAGCAGCCCTCTTCTTGAGTTAGGAGTTCTGTATGACCTTGATCAAAACTGTCCTTGGAGGTTTGGGTTTGTAGGTCATGAGCAGGCCAAAGGAGGAATGAGAGGGAGTCTTCTGCAAATATGAATGTTTGTTCTGAGTTGTACGGATTGGCCACTTTGGAAGAAGGGAAGTGAGGAATCCATATTTTAAAATATTTACCAAAATAATAATGAACAAGTTAAGAAATTCAGATCAAGATATAAAAGAATGGCAGATTGCAGTTGATTCTATAAAGTTACACCTAGTCAGCCCTGTCCTCTTTTTCTTTACAATGTAAGACTGTATTGATTTCTGTGTTCTGTCTAAGAAAGTATTTGGATGATTATTGGTTTTTCCCATAGATTGGCAAATGTTTTTTGAGATTGTTTTAATAAAAATGTAAGTCTTAAAACCAAATTGGACCTTAAGAAATCCTATAGACTGATATCCTGCTTTCAAACAAGCAGTGTTATTTATTGTACTGATGAGCTTACTGGGGCCCAGAAGGATTGTGACCTACCTAAGGTGGCACAGGGGATGAGTAGCCAGGTCTCCTTATCCCTAATTAAGTAATTTCTTCTATACTACCCAACCCTCAATTCTATTTTTTTTTCTTTTTTTCTTTCTTTTTTTTTTTTTTTTCTGGAGACAGGGTCTCCCTCTATTGCCCAGGCTGAAGTGCAGTGGCACTATCTTGGCTCACTGCAATCTCTGCCTTCCAGACTCAAGTGATCCTCCCACCTCAGCCTCCTAAGTAGCTGGAACTACAGGCATGAGCCACCACACCCAGCTAATTTTTTTTATTTTTTGTAGAGACAAGGTTTCGCCATGTTGCCCAGGCTGGTCTGAAACTCCTGAGCTCAAGCAATCAGCCCACCTCGGCCTCCCAAAGTGCTGGGATTAAAGGCATTAGCCACCACCCCCAGCCTCTGTTTCTGTTTTTGTAGAATGTAAACTTTGCAAAGGTGGGAAGCCTAAAAATATTCGGGCAGATGAGCGTGAGAGGGTTTACGGCTTCCCTTTCAGGATCTAAGGTGGAGGTAAGTCGGGATTACTCCTCGTCCTTTTCTCCTCCTCCGGAAAAGGGTTCCTTCTACTGGAGGAACCACAGCCATATCTGGCCAATGTTTATAAGCCTGACAGCCCTGTGCTGTTTCATTTCCATGGACCAATCAAAGAACATTCAAGTACCCATGAGTTGCCAGAGTGGCTGTCCAGTTCCAGCTGAGCTCATGGCAAGAACTCTTCCCTCTTTCTCCTGATCTGCAGAACTCCTAGGAGTCCCTGATTGTTGTGTCCCTGTTTACTCTCCAGGCAACAGATGCTGAGCTTTCCTCACCTCCTGCAAACAGTGCTGCACATCATCCAGGTGGTCATAAGCTACTTCCTCATGCTCATCTTCATGACCTACAACGGGTACCTCTGCATTGCAGTAGCAGCAGGGGCCGGTACAGGATACTTCCTCTTCAGCTGGAAGAAGGCAGTGGTAGTGGATATCACAGAGCATTGCCATTGACATCAAACTCTATGGCGTGGCCTTATCGATTGCAGTGGGAAGTTGTTGAAGACTTGAAGACGTGATTCCTGCTCCAATCATCCCTTCTTGCTCCTCTTTGTGCACGTACACACACACACACACACACACACACACACACCCCTGCTCAACAGAGGTTTAGTTTACAGTCTCTGAACTAAAGTAGTAACCTCCCAAATTGTTTTTTCTAATAAGCTGAGATTCCCATTTCTCTTAAGGAGAAGCCACCCATGAGATGTCTTTTCCTTCTCCATCATCTTAGAGCCAAGTTATATGTTCTTGTCTAATCCATGTAGCTTTTTGTTCAATGACTTGATCATCTGCTTCCTTTTTGAATTTTTAACAGATAGTAAGTAAATTTGGTGGTTTTTTCCCCTGGGTCAGTGATGGAAAGGGGTTAACTTCAGCCAGGATTGATGGCAGCTGAGGGAAATTCTTGCCCAACTAAACCCAGAACTCAAACTTAACATTAGAAAATAAGGTCCAGGGCCGGACACAGTGGCCCATGCCTGTAATCCCAGCACTTTGGGGGGCCAAGGCAGGCTGGATCACCTGAGGACAGGAGTTCGAGACCAGTCTGGCCAACATGGGGAAACCCCGTCTCTACTAAAAATACAAAAATTAGCCGGGCATGGTGGTGGGCGCCTGTAATCCCAGCTACTCAGAAGGCTGAGGCAGGAGAATCACTTGAACCTAGGAGGCGGAGGTTGCAGTGAGCCAAGATGGCGCCATTGCACTCCAGCCTGGGTGACAAGAGTGAAACTCCATCTCAAAAAAAAAGAAAAGAAGGTCCAGCTTTTGGATTCAATGAGTGGGAAATACATTGTGCCTTTCTCTAGATGTGATACGTTATACCAAAATCTTTGTAGTGTGCAGAGCGGTGGTTTGAGACTAAATACAGGCTTAGAACTTGCAGAGTGTGTATTCTTGGATGGCTGATGCATCGACTTGCATTCCCACTTAACACTTTGATTAGCATGAACTTGCCAATCAAAAAATGACAATCAATTTGAGAAAATAGAAATAGATATTTTTAAATAAAACCATTCACAGTTTACTTTGTCTTGATACCTTGGTTTGTCCCAGCTGAAGTGAAGCAAGAGAGTTTGAATTAATTTTTCCATTATAATGTTTTCGCATGTCTGCCTCTAAAACTGTGATTTTCAAGCTTTAGCGTGCATCAGAATCACCTGTAGGGCTTGTTAAAACACTAATTGCTGGGCCTCAACCCAAAAGCCCCCAAAGTGGCACTTCTGAGTTCCTGCTGATGTTACAAGGGACCACACTTTTGAGAATCTGTGCTTTAAGCTAAGGAAATATTGCCTGGTGGGTTGGCTGCCTGGTATTGGGCATGGAAATTTGAATTGCTGATTGGTAGATGGTGTGTCTGGACTTAACTCACGTAGTAAATACTGCTGATCAATACCTAATCATTCCACATTTATTGAGCTCCACCTGTGTGTATGTGTACCCAAGCACACATGTGTGAAGGGCTATAGCCAAAGTATTTTTACTAGCCTGTATGAAATCACTAGTCCTTATTTTTAAAGGTCTATGGTTTCTTGGAAGTAGTTTGATTGTTGAGAGAGACCTTTGATCTGCAGTGTAAATCTACCAGTCATGGGCCAGAAGGGCAAAAGCCCAGCTTTCTCTTTGGAAAGACTCAGGCTGTGGTTTGTTGATGGCCAGGTTTTCCTCAGGCTCCAACAACTGTGCTTATACCAAGCAGATCCTCATCCTCCATATAATCATCTTTGTTATTCGTGGGGGTTTAATTACATTACAAGTGGCCAAAACCCCTGTTCTCAGTGAAGAACCACATTGGATTTGTATTCTGTTCAGTTGTAGTCTACACTGCAGTCTTATTCCTGGTTCAAACTACCTCTTTAAATTGATTTGTCTTGTGCTGGTCTGTTAAATCCTGCCCTCCTTGGTGCTAGATCCAGTTGTGCCTCAGGGCAGAGGAAACAAAACACAGCTATCCTGTTGGCCTGTGTTGTGGTTTTGAAGTTTGTACTTTCTCTGTGGGTGCCAGTTAAATATTGGAGAGCAAGGAATGTGGACTTGTATGGCTTTGAACCAAGAGAGGGTTATGAGCCTACTGGATTGAGGTTAAAATCCAAGAACCAACATTTAGAGCTTTGTGCTTTTCTCTCATTCCATCACTTTGTAATGATGATACTTAACATGAGCAGGGTGAATGACAGGTACTGACGAAGTCCAACACAAAGGTATAATACAGCCTGTTGTCTAAAGCCAAGGAGTCATAAAACCATGAGAAATAAATAGGAATCAATAGTTAGTAGTGACATTGGTGCTCTCTAGAAATCTCAGCATGAGCTGCTATAGAATACCCTCCCAGCAACAAAACCTAATCAGTAAGGCCAGCTAGACCCAATGGCTCATGCCTGTAATCCCAACACTTTGGGAGGCCAAGGTGGGAGGATGGCTTGTGTCCAGAAGTTCGAGACCAGCCTGGACAACATAGTGAGATCCTATCTCTATAAAAAATCAAAAATTAGCCAGGCATGGTGGTGCATACCTATAGTCCTGGCTATTTGGGAGGCTGAGGCAGGAGGATTGCTTTAGCCCTGGAGGTCGAGGCTGCAGTAAGCCATGATTGCGCCACTGCACTCAGCCCGGGTGACAAAGCAAGACCCTGTCTCAGAAAAAAAGAAAATTCAAGGCCAGTTAAGACAAAATGCTATGACTTTGAAATTCACAGAAAGAAATAACAGTTTAGATTAGGTCTTCAGGTATTCAGGATAGAGATAATCTCCTGAAAAACCTGAATTTCAGAGATTCTTAGACTGGCTGCCAAAGGATGAAGCTAGTGAAGGAGAAAAAGCTTAAATTCCATCTTGAGCTCTTGGATTGTGATAATACAATGATTTCATTAACTTTTCATTTCTGTATACCTGTTCATTTGGAATTTAATGCTTGACTTCTTTGTTCATTTTGGATCTAAACTTCTCTTTTCTTCCTTCCCCATTCACATCTATTAGAAGACTGCATCACCATTTCTTTGGCCCCCTTACTCTGTTGTCCTTTCCCTTTTCTTTCAGTTTTTTTAATCGCATGTCTAGTATATTAAGTCTCCATAGCCCTCCTGATGCAGTAGACAGTGCTATGCTGTGGATATAATACCAACCAGAAATTGGCATTTATAAACCTGTTAAGAGACTTTAAGCATGCTTCAAGAGGCAGTTGACCCACTGGAATTTCTATAAGGCTGGTACCCTTCCCAGAGTTACAGAATCTTAGGTGCCGTCTCTAGTCTGTGAGGGAGGAACTCCCAGCATCCCCATTGCCCACAAATGGAATCCTCACTGTATCCACTAGGAGATTAGAAATTAAGGTTTCTTCACTACTTCTATGGTAGGGTTGTCTGAAATTCCCTTTCAGGCTGTGGGTACTGGTCTTGGGTTCTAGTCATAAGGGGTTCCTTATAAGGAGCAGGCGGAGGGGAGTACACTTTCATGTGATTTAATTTTGATCCTGCCCTCTCCAGCTGCTCCTTCAAAAGATACATCAAAAGATAGAAACTCTGGGCTGGGCACAGTGGCTCACACACTTTGGGAGGCCAAGCGGGGGTGCAGATCACCTGAGGTCAGGAGTTTGAGACCAGCCTGGCCAATGTGGTGAAACCCCATCTCTACTAAAAATACAAAAATTAGCTGGGCGTGGTGGTGCATGCCTGTAATCCCAGCTACTCGGGAGGCTGAGGCAGGAGAATCGCTTGAACCCAGGAGGCGGAGGTTGCAGTGAGCCAAGATGGCGCCATTGCACTCCAGCCTGGGCGACAAGAGCAAAACTCCGTCTCAAAAAAAAAAAAAAGATACAAAGTCTGCATTTGATATAATGCCTTAATTACTGGGTCTACAATTAATGTTGACTGTTTTAGATTGTAAGCTCCTGGAGAGCAGTATTGCTGTAGTAGGAATGTTTTAACAGTGTCATATGAAAAAGAACAAAATAAATATTTTGATTTTGTGATTCTATGCAAGTCTTTCTGCCCAGAGTGATAATGCAATAAGCTAGTCTTTTCATAGTCTGCATAGAGTCTGGCCATTACCATCAGTTTTTAAGATGTCCATATTGTGGCCGGGCGCGGTGGCTCACGCCTGGTAATCCCAGCACTTTGGGAGGCTGAGGCAGGTGGATCATGAGGTCAGGAGATCGAGACCATCCTGGCTAACACGGTGAAACCCGTCTCTACTAAAAAAAATATTAAAAAATTAGCCAGGCCTGGTGGTGGGCGCCTGTAGTCCCAGCTACTTGGGAGGCTGAGGCAGGAGAATGGTGTGAACCCGGAAGTCAGAGGTTGCAGTGAGCCAAGATTGCACCTGGGCAACACAGCGAGACTCCGTCTCAAAAAAAAAAAAAAAAAAAGATGTCCGTATTTTAGGTGGTATGATCCTTTTAGGTTTTCATCTCACTCTCCCCCTACTCGACTTAAAATGACATGCCTAGTACATGCCAGAAGATCCATGTGACCTTCTGCACAGGAGACAGGGTCTTCATGAAGCCACAAGTATTTCAGTATACTGAGGATTCCTCAGTTTAAAAGCCAACTTTTGTCACATCATAATCCCTTCCCTGTGTCTGCTGTTAGGCAAGAGGCTCTGAGCTGGGCCTATAAGAAGTTCACCGCCCAACCTTGAGATGCACAGTGACCCTGCCAGTCCCTTTGGTAATGCCAAAATGCTGACGTTACTTGCTCTTCCCACTGGCCCCCAGTGGGCATCTTGCCATCACCACCATTCCTAGTCTCTTCCGAGTGTAGTGTCATGAACATGGACTTAGAGGAGTCAATGAGTTTGGATTCTGGTTCCATCACCTACTAGCAGTATGACCTTAGGAAGTTAGTCTAATGATCCCTAAGCCTTAGTTTTCTTATTTAGAGATGGAGTCTCACTCCGTCACCTAGGCTGGAGTGCAGTGGTACAGTCTCGGCTCACTGCCACCTCCATCTCCTGGGTTCAAGTGATTCTCCTGCCTCAGCCTCCCAAGTAGCTGGGGCTACAGGCACACACCATCATGTCTGGCTAATTTTTGTATTTTTAGTAGAGATGAGTTTTTGCCATGTTGGCCAGGCTAGTCTTGAACTCCTGAGCTCAGGTGATCCGCCCGTCTCGGCCTCCCAAAGTGCTGGGATTGGGAAAGGTGTGAGCCACTGTGCCCGGCCATAATACCTGTTTGAATTAGGCACCTAGCACAAAATAGGTATTCGAGCCTTAGTATTTTTTTTATTATCTACAATTGTTGTTACTCCAGCTTTCAGAATGAAAAGTAACACTCTTCTTGATAAGGTTAATAGGTTAGTATTTTTCTTTTTTTGTTGTTGTTTTTGTTTTTGAGACGGAGTTTTGCCCTTGTTGCCCAGACTCGAGTGCAATGGTGCAATCTCAGCTCACTGCAACCTCTGCCTCCTGGGTTCAAGCACCTCCACCTCAGCCTCCCGAGTAGCTAGGATTGCAGGCATGCACCACCACGCCCGGCTAATTTTGTATTTTTAGTAGAGACAGGGTTTCTCCATGTTGGTCAGGCTGGTCTCAAACTCTGGACCTCAGGTTATCTGCCCACCTCAGCCTCCCAAAGTGCTGGGATTACAGGCATGAGCCACCATGCCCGGCCCTTCTTTTTTTTTTTTTTTTAATTTTATAGAGTCAGGGTTTCCCTGTGTTGCCCAGGCTGGTCTAACTCCTGGACTCAAGCAATCCTCCTGCCTCAGCCTCCCGAAGTGCTGGGATTACAGGCATGAGCCACCACACCTGTCCCTCTCCCCCTCGTATTACTCAGACTTAAACTACCCCAAAAAGGCTAAAGTCCTGCTAAGAGTCTCCGTAGAACTGATGATTCAAGAGGCTCTTATGATCACAGCTGGTGATTCCCTGTGTTGAATTAGTGAAAACAGGCCAGGCACAGTAATCCCAGCACTTTGAGAGGACTGCTTAATGTCAGGAGCTCAAGCCCAGCTTGGGCAACACAGATGCCTGTCTCTACATAAAACAATAAAAATTTTTAAAAAAAATTTTTTTTTAATGCCCAGAACAATAGGGCATGATTCAAAATTATCCTCCGAGCTGCCTCTCTGGTTCTTTCTGGGAAAAACACTTAGGCAAGTTGAGAAAGGAAGGAAAGTTGGAATAATGGCAAAACTGTTAGAAGCATTCCTCTTTCCTCCATTGCCTGTCCTCCCAACATTATACCCAAACTAGTTACAAAGCCATTCTGTAAAGAGATCGGGTACCTACAATTTCTTCAGATTTACACAATATCCACTAGAATTTAATTTCTACAAGGGCAGGGATCTTTGTTGAGTGGCACATGGTAGACACTCAATAAATACTTATTGAATAGATGGGTTAAGTGAAAGTGGCAGGGATCAACTAGAGTGTCCTGTGCTTAGGGTCTTTTAATAAAGATGGAAAGAATGATGTTAATCTTGTAGCAATTATCTTTTAAAGTCTGGGAATTAACAGTACTGTTATACTTCATTAAGGATGCCTCACATTTTTCCAAAAATATATTTATTTTTAAAAACAGAAAATCAGATCAGTTTTATAGAGTCAAATTTTCAAGAGACAAACCAGAGTTTGGATTCCAGCTTAGAGTGCAAGTGAAGCATCAGTAATCTCATGCAGAAGATTTGTCTCTGCAGGAGGTACATTCTGCTTGACTGCAAGCACTCAATTCTCTAAATCTGGTTTGTACTTCTGCCATCATTTTATTCCATTCCAGCGCTCTGGCATGCAAGATAATCCATCTCTAAAATTCAAGACTTCCAAATTGAGATGAACGATTATTGGGCTTGGGTTGGGGTTTATAACCAATCCGATCATTGATCATTTGTTCCCGGCTCTTGGGATCACTGCTAAGCCCAATGGCTCCTTCTCCATCACTGCCTCCTACAACTTCCACATCTTCCTTCTGTTTCTTACGGGTCTGAAAGTATAAAAGTTTTAGGATTAAGGCAACATTCTTTCAATTAGCAAATGTTTATTTAGAACACCTACCATGTACTAGGCATGGGCTAAATGATAGAGTTAGGGTGTAAAGAACAATAAACTGAAATCCTAGGTTTGGAGTACTTAGGGGCACAATGAGGATATGGTGTTAAAAGTTGTAACCCCTGATCACTTGAGGTCAGGAGTTCGAGACTAGCCTGGCAAACATGGTGAAACCCTATCTCTACTAAAAATACAAAAATTTGGCGGGGCACGGTGGCTCACATCTGTAATCCCAGCCCTTTGGGAGGCTGAGGCGAGCGGATCACGAGGTCAGGAGATCGAGACCACCCTAGCCAACATGGTGAAACTCCATCTCTACTAAAAATACAAAAATTAGCTGGGCATGGTGGCGCATGCCTGTAATCCCAGCTACTTGGGAGGCTGAGGCAGGAGAATCGCTTGAACCAGGAAGTCGGAGGTTGCAGAGAGCTGAGATGGTGCCACTGCACTCCAGCCTGGCGACAGAGCGAGACTCTGTCTTAAAAAAAACAAAAGATGTAACCCCTACCCTCCAGGATGTCACAGTCTAATAGGGAAACAGGCAAACAGACGATTATAGGGTGATCAGGGCTATGACCTATGACAGAGAGAAGTCTACACTGCCAAAGAGACAAGAGGTAAGGAGTTGGGGTGTGGTGGTACAACAGGAAGCTACAATTGGAAAGCTGTAAGAGCAGACAAGTGAGAGCAAAGGGCATTTCAACAAATTTATTATTCTAGAGAATAGAAAAATAAATTGGGTAAAGAAATAACCACCAAAAATCTATAGCCTGACTGATCCCATGAGATTAAAAGTAACTCAAGAAGGTTTTATGCTATCTTATCAAAAGGTCTGGGTTTTGTGGCTTCATTTTGTTTTCAGATAAAAGGTTTGGCTCCTAAGTCACATGTGACTGCAGAATCCAGAAAGTATGTCTTAGTTTGATCATTTTCAAAAACAGACACTTATCCCATAACAGCCACTACCTGACTGTAAGGATAACAGATGATAACTTTCTCTAAGAGAGTGAAATGATGTTTTATCCAAAGTTACTTAATAGAAGAATGGCTCAGCTACTCAAATCACTGGAATTACCACCATTCTTCACCACTTGCTGCTGAACTGTGGGCATTTAAATGCCAAGCATCAGGCTGACCGCAGTGGCTCATGCCTGTAAATCCCAGTGCTTTGGGAGGCCAAGGCGGAGGATTGCTTGAGCCCAGGAGTGTGACACTAGCCTGGGCAACATAGTGACACTCCATCTGTCTCCACAATTTTTTTTTTTTCTTTAGACTGAGTCTCTGTCTGTTGCCAGGCTGGAGTGTAGTGGCGCCATCTTGGCTCACTGCAACCTCCGCCTCCTGGGTTCAAGCGATTCTCCTGCCTCAGCCTCTCAAGTAGTTGGGACTACAGGCGCATGCCAGCACACCTGGCTAATTTTTGCACTTTTAGTAGAGACAGGGTTTCAACATGTTAGCTAGGATGGTCTCAATCTCTTGACCTCGTGATCCGCCTGCCTCGGCCTCTCAAGGTGCTGGGGTTTACAGGCATGAGCCACCGCACCCGGCCCACAAAAAAATTTAAAAATTAGCCAGGCATGGTGGCGCATGCCTGTATTCCCAGTTATTCAGGGGGCCTGATGTGGTAGGATCACCTGAGCCTGGCAGGTCAAGGCTGCAGTGAGCTGTGATCATGCCACTGTACTCCAGCCAGGGCGACAGAGCAAGACCCTGTCTCAACAATAAAAATAAAAAAAAAAAATAAATGCCAACACTCACAAAGTATTACAGGGAATAAAATAAGGTATTGCCTTTTATGTGGCAAATGACCTTCCTGATTACTAGTAAGTGATGTTAGAAAGTTCTACCTAAATACCTTTGTGAAAACAAGTTCGAAAAGGCAAACAACTCTATCATTCTGAGAATATCCAAATGGAATGAAATCACTTAAAAGGCTTCCCACTTTGAGCAACTGCTGTTTCAGAAGCTAGAGTCACAGTAGTATAATCAAACTCATGTTGGTAATAAATGAAACAGGCCAGTTTTCTACTGGTTTCACTTTAGGGCATGACTGTCCCTGCTTCCTAAGTTACTCTAAAACAAGGTAAAACCCACTAGATAACTGTCTTTAGTGGAAAGACTAACTCAATAGTGAGCTGACTGTAGAGTCAAAGTTCAGCATGCTAGCATTTTATGAGATTCGTTACAACTGAAGTTTAAGCCATACTTTAAAGCTCATGCTTAATAATATATGAGTTTTTAGAAAGCAAAAATTACGATACTTAGAGAACACTAAAGTCTCTTGGGATGAAGCAGGGGGAAAGAAATCTAAGTTATTAGTCTTAATATGAAGCATATACAATACATAATAAAGCTGTTGGTGAATATATGCAAAACGTACTGTCCTCTGCCATATAGTACAAGATACCTACTAGGACAGCAAATGAAAATAGACTTGCATTGAGCCCTCCTTTGGACCTGGTATTGCAGGGAACAGATGCAGAGAGAAATATACTAATCCCTGACTTCAAGGAGCTTATGGCCCAGTGAGGGAAAACAAAAGCAAACAGACAATTACAACAGAGAGTGACCGTGCCTATGAGAGAGGTTAGCACAGGAGGATAAGGTTGAGCCTAACCCAGCTGGGGGCTGGAAGGAGTAAGAGTTAGCCTGGCAAAGAAAAAGAAAGGGCTTTTCTGGCAAAGGGAACACTGTGTATAGGCACTGAGATTAAAGATAACCCAGCAGTGAAAGTGGAGAGATAAGCAAGGACCAGCTCACAAGGAGCTCATATGCCATGCTAGGGAATTTGGAATTTATTCTGTAGACCACTGAAGAATTTAAGTCTTATTAATGGACATCTAATACCATGTAGCAAGGCCACAGTTAAAAATACATATGGGGCCCCTACTATGAACTAGATGGTAAGAACTCAATGGTGAAGCAAACAGACATGATTTCTGCAATCAACGTCCCTAATGTAAATGATTTTACAATAAAAAAAATTGTAAATTATAATAAATGCTATGAAAAAAATATGGTGCTTTGTGAGAGCCTACAGAGATGGAGGCAGCATGGACGGGAATGACACATGAAACTTGGATACGGTCAAAAGTGGCCTCTTAAATTGAAGAGTTGACATTTGAATGAAGACTGGAAGAAAGGGAGCACTCCAGGCAGGGGGAAATAATATGTGGAAAGTCCATGGAAGTGATAAATAGATTGGCATGTTCAAGGAAATGAAAGAGAGCCAATGTGGCTAGGGTATAGAGAGCAAGGCAAAGAATGGCACAAAATGAATCTGGAGAGGCACTAGAACATACAAAATCTTGTAGGCCATGGTGAAGAATTCAGATTTTGTTATAAGTGCAGAAAACTACTGAGGAGTTTTAAACGGGAATGACAGGATTTGAAAATTTCTGAAGATCATTCTTGATACTGGATGCAGAATGCACTGAAAGAGACAAAAATGGAAGTAGAAGACCAGTTAGGATGCCACTACAATTATACAGGGAAAGACGGTTACTTAGCGCAGGACTGTAACAGTGGAGATGAAAAGGTATGGGTGGATTCCAGACATATTCTGAAGGTAGAATCAAAGGGTCTACAGACAGATCGAATATAAAGCGTAAGAGAAAGGGAGGACTCAGGAATGACTGCTAGGTTTCTGGCCTGAGGAACTGAATCAATACTGAGATGGGAAACACTGGGGAAGAATGGAAGGGACGACTGGTTCAAGGGAGAAATCAAGAGTTTTTCTCTCTTCTTTTTTTAACATGTTAAGTGTAGTAGGCTGAAAAATGGCCCCCAAAGCTAGCAGGTCCTAATCCTGGAACCTATAAATGCCTTATATGGGAAAAGGGCCTTTGCAGGTGTGACTAAATTAAGGATCTTGAGAAGGGGGGATTATCCTGGGTTAGTCAGGTGGGCCCTAAACACAATCACACATATCATAAGAAGGAGGCAGAGGAAGTTTTCACAGACAGAAAAGAAGACAATATGACTCTGGAGGCAGAGACTGGAGTGATACAGTCATGAGTCAAGGAATGCCAGCAGCCACCAGAAGCTAGAAGAGCCAAGGAATGGATTCTTCCCTAGATCCTCCATAGGGAATGTGGCCCTCCTGACACCTAAATTTCAGCCCAGCAATACTAATTTTTGGCCTATAAAACTGTGAAATAATAAATTTCTGTTGTCTTAAGCGATGAAGTTTGTGGTACTTTGTTACAGCAGCCACAGGAGACATACATGAAGTTTGAGATGCCTGTAAAGCATCCAAACAGAGATTTCAAATAAGCTGTTGGCTTAAGAGTCTGCAGTTCAGAAGTTAAAGTTATTGTGTATGTATGTGTGTGTATATACATATTTATGTATGACAGAGAGTCTCACTGTTGCCCAGTGTGGAGTACAGTGGAGCCATCATAGCACACTGTAACCTCAAACTCCTGGGCTCAAGCAATCCTCCCGCCTCCGCCTCCTGAGTAGCTCAGGCATGCGCCACCCTGCCCAACATAGAGACAAGGTCTCACTATGTTGCCCAGGCTGGTCTCAAACTCCTGGCCAGAAAATGCTGGCATTACAGATGTAAGCCACTGTGCCCACACAAGAATTATTATCTTAAATATTCCTTAAGCTTTGAAAGTTGTATTCATGGCTGGGTGCAGTGGCTCACGCGTGTAATCCCAGCACTTTGGGAGGCTGAGGTGGATGGATCACTTGAGGTCAGGAGTTGAGACTAGCCTGGCCCCAACATGGCAAAACCCCAACTCTACTAAAAATAAAAAAATGAGCTGGGCGTGCTGGCATGAACCTGTGGTCCCAGCACGCGGGAGGCTGAGGCAGAGGAGGCAGAGGTTGCAGTGGGCCAAGATCATGCCACTGTACTCCAGCCTGTGTGACAGAGCGAGACTCCATCTCAAAAAAACACAAAGTTGTATTCATACCTCCAGGTCCTTTCGAATGTTCTCAAACTCTTCAATGTCATCAAGCTTTAGCTCTAGGCGTGTTGGTTTCCGTCTCAGCATACTGAAGTCAACACTAAGGGCCAAACCCAGTGAACTATTAGCTGTTAAAAATGAAAGAGAGGAGGAAAATCTGAAGGTGATAAAGTCTCAGATACAAAACATAAAATCAATTTGCAAGCATGTATACTAAAGTGAATGGAAATATTAAAAATTTATTTGAATTTACACATAGACTTCTAAAGTCTTTTTTTTTTTTTTTTTAAGAGATAGGATCTTGCTCTTTGCCCAGGCTGGAGTGCAGTGGCATGACCTTAGCTCACTACAGCCTCAACTTCCTGGACTCAAGCAATCTTACTGCCTCAGCCTCCAGAGTAGCTGGGACTACAGGCGTACACCGCCATACCTGGCTAATTTTTGTGTTTTTTGTAGAAATGGGATCTCTCTCTGATGCCCAGGCTGGTCTCAAACTCTTGGGCTCAAGTGTTCCTCCCTCCTCATTTTCCCAAAGTGCTGGCATTATAGGCAAGAGCTACTGTACCCAGCCAACTTCTAAAGTCTTTAGGTATGTGATTATTACATTTTTGTTACATTATGGAGATCTACAGCTCTATAAAATCAAAAACTCTTTCTGTAAGAATTTAAAATAGCAAACTGCCTATAAGAGAGAAATTCTAGGCAACCATCACTTTAATCTCATGTTCCAGTCACATTCAAAGAACTACTCTAGCTAAAAGAATAAACTATCACATCTTAGTATAGTTAGAGGAAAAAGTGGACAAACCAGTGAATTTAATCTACCCTACATGAGAATTGTCAGAGATTTGTGATCACTCTTGAATGCTAAAATCAGTTTGCTAAATCTCAGGAAAACTCCAACTCACCAATTCACAGGATTATCCTCCGCGTCCAAACAGATCTTAAATGTGTACGTCATTCATTAAACAAACACTTCTTGTGTTCCAGCTACAAAGTTAAAAGGTACAGTCATAATCTGTGGGGAAAACAAAGAGAAAACTGTGATATCATGTAATGAGAACCCTGATGAGGATACTAGCACTGGCATCACACAGGCACCTAATCCAGTCTGGGCTGAGTGTGGGGTGGACAAGGATGTCAGGCAAGCCTTCCTGGAGAAAATGATGTCTTAGTTGACTTCTGAAGGTCAGGCAGAGAGAAGAATGCACAAGGAGGCTCAAGTACAGCTTTGGTAACGTAGCAAGACCCTGTCTCTACAAAAAAGTAAAAAAAATAGCTGGGCTGGTAGTGTGTACCTGTAGTCCTAGCTACTCAGGAGGCTGAGGTGGAAGGATCACTTGAGCCCAGGAGTTTCAGGTTGCCACCGTGAGCCATGACCTCACCATGAGACCCCAACTCAAAAAAAAAAAAAAAAAAAAAAAAAGGCTCAAGAGAGCATTCCACAGCCTGAAATCCCAAGGTAATACTATGTTAACAAAAACCATTTTGTTTTGTTTTGTTTTTGAGAAAACACAACCCCCCAACTGAGTTTAATATCTGTTGATGGCATCATTTGTATATTCTCCACAGCATCCCCTAGAGTGTATCTATAAAAACAGTCAGTAAATGTTTGTTGACTAGAAGGTGAGATCATTCTTGAGCACCGTGCTGTTTTTCCATTCCCATTCTTTACATTCTTATTTTAACACAAAAACCCTGTGAAGTTGACAAAATGATTCCTATTTCACACATAAAGAAGTCATCGAAGCAAGCTGTTCAGTTTGGTTAATAATTTTAGCCTCCTATAAAAATTATAAAGGTCAACATGATAAGCATTAAGTGAAAATGATGGAAGTGAAAACTCCTTGAAAGTATGTACAGATACAAATTATTACACGTATCTAGGATGAAACTAAGGACTGTGAAGTATACAAAGGAAGAAATAGTTCCTTCTCCCATGAAGCTTAGGATACTACAGGTGATATTATCAACACAAAACACTGGCACATTACATTTCAAATTCCTTTGTACTAAATCAGGCATTATCTTCTACCAGATTCCAATGCAGACAAATGGTAGAGAAAGCCAAAGTTCCAAAGAGGGAAAGAGAGGGATAGGGATACCTAAAAGGGGGAAAAAAAAATCTATACATTTTACCTTTTCTGCAAACTGCAAAAAACTGGCCACTAGGGAGCAGTATAGATTAACAGTTAAAAGTGCTGGCTGTAGAGGTTAAAGGGCACAGGTTTTAATCCCACTACACCACCGATCCTGAACAATTCGTTTCATTTCTCACTAGACCTTAGTTCCCTCATCTGTATCCTACTCTGCTGTTGTAGGAAGTCAATAACGTAATACAGAGTAAGCTCTTGGAATATTATTTGGCATTTAATAAATGTTCAATAAATAACATCTATTATTGCTGTAATTGTTCTAGGGGGTTGCATGAGGATCTGGCCAGCTAGGGAAACGTCAATATTTTGAGGATCTCCCACCGCCCATGTGGGGATAAAAACCTTATCCTGTTCGTCTCTAATGCCCCAGCATCCAGCAGGGCAGAGAGACGTACAGAGTTACCTGACACCTTCCTATCCATCATCTTACTCTCAATCTGATACAAAGACCAGGCTGAAGACAAATCAACAAAATCAGGCCGAAGCTCCTCCGCCGGGTCTTTATTTGACTTTGGCACTAGCGGGCTCTTCTAGCTTAATCTCCCGCCGCAGCCCAAATCCACCGCCGAGCCATCAAGCTCAGAGGGGGAGCCTGGGAAGACTTCCGGACCATGGAGGAGAACAGTCCTCGTCCCCTAGCTCCAGGCCTGTACCTCGGAGCCCAGGCAAGGGTTTCTATGGTAACATGGTCCTCGGCTCCAAGAAGACGTAAACGCCCCCGTACGCCCGGGGGGCACAGCGGACCCCGGAAGCCCTTGACTCGCTCCAGAGTTCAGCCCCGAGCCGCGCGAGTCGACTCACCTACCTCTTTTCAAGCCGGCCTAGCCCCTTCCCGGAACCTCGGCTCCCCCCCAACGAAACTACTGCTAAGCCAACTGGACTACACTTCCCAGACTGCTTGGAGCCTCTCTCTCCGCAGAACCTCGTCTTCCGCGAGCTTTTCCTGGAGGTTCTAGGAGGGATGCCCCTCAATGCCACGACGCCATTTCCTACTACGACTTCCATCATGCTCCGCGCCGCTCCGGGGGCGGTGACCCCTCTTGGCCCACGTCTTGTCAGTGACGCACTTCCTGTCAGTGACGCACTTCCCCTCTGCTGGGCGCGCGGTGGACGGTCTGAAAGGGAGTGTTCGGGTTTCGCTGGGGCCTCGCGGCTCCAGAGCCCAGCATGGCTTCCTCGCGAGCCTCTTCCACGGTACAGAGCCCGGGATCCCAGCTCACTCTGGCAGGGAGCGCTAAGGGGGAAGGGGATCTCTGCGGGAAGGGGCCGTTAAGGAGCGGGAGAAGGCGGTGGAGGGCTGAGGAGGAAGGCTGCGGGACTCAGCGGTGTCCTACACAGCGGACCACCGTTTTCCTGATCCCTAAGCGCTTTCGTGGACTGTAGCTTATTTGCACCTCTCCCACTACAGCCCCAAAGGGCAAGCATCTCTTCCGACTCATCCAGTAACGGTGCTCTGAAATAGGGAAGTGTCTTGGCCAAGGTTTATGCCTTTGGCAGATCTCAGAATTTTAATGAGACCTACTAACTCCTACTACCTCACGTCTAGGAACGTTTGAAATGTATACACTTGTAATGTTGTAACTTGTTATCCTTTAGCACCGCGTTGGTTATTTCATCTATCCTTAGTATTTCCCCAGTGATAAGCAGTAATCCGGGAAGCATAAAACACGAGATTGAACACTTCCAACGGAATGAAGTAAACAGATTTCAGAGCAAACCTTTCATAGGAAAATACCCGAGAGAACCTCACTAGTTTTATTAATCCCATCAACCAAAGTGAGGGACTGAAACACCCTCACCCTACCTTCACCTCCTCAAATCAATGAAGAGCGTCTTAAGTAGTGTCCAATTTGTCCTTTCAATTACAGAGGAAACAGGACTGTGAAACTCAGGGTGAGCTTCATCCTCTGGTGAAGTCCGGTAAATTGCCAAGATTAAACCTTAGTTTAATGCAGATCTTTGATTTAGCAGGCAACCAAAACTAAAGCACCCGACGACTTAGTTGCTCCGGTCGTGAAGAAACCACACATCTATTATGGAAGTTTGGAAGAGAAGGAGAGGGAGCGTCTGGCCAAAGGAGAGTCTGGGATTTTGGGGAAAGACGGACTTAAAGCAGGGATCGAAGCTGGAAATATTAATATAACCTCTGGTAAGATGCAAATTGTGAGCCCATCTTTACCTCTTTGTGTAATGAATACCTTTCTAAACTTAAATACCACAGTTTTATAATGTCAAAAAATTACAATTTTTTTTTTTTTAAACAGAGTCTCGCTCTGTCGCCAGGCTGGAGTGCAGTGGTGCGATCTTGGCTCACTGCAACCTCCGCCTCCCGGGTTCAAGCAGTTCTCCTGCTTCAGCCTCCCGAGTAGCTGGGATTACAGGCGCACACCACCACGCCCGGCTAATTTTTGTATATTTAGTAGATATGGGGTTTCACCATGTTGGTCTGGCTGGTCTCAAACTCCTGACCTTGTGATCCGCCCGCCTCGTCCTCCTAAAGTGCTGGGATTACAGGTGTGAGCCACTGTGCCCGGCAGAATTTCAATTCTTAAACTTGCAGCTATAAGGCTGTATTTTGCCTACCCCCTTATTATCATGCAGAGAGCCTTTTTCTTACAATCTGTTATATAGTTTTTCTTCTATGAGTGAGCAGTCTTATCAAAAATTCAGTGTACATTTGGATTCAGATTGATTCCATTTGTCTTCTGGAGATCTAACATAGTTCTGGCATTGGTTTGCAGCTAGAGTGGTTCATGATATTCTCCCTTTTGAAGTTTTGTAATTATTTTTTACCCAAAGTGAAATCTTTTTGTGTGTGTGTGTGTGTGTGACAGGGTCTCACTCTCTTGCCCAGGCTGGAATGCAGTGGCGTAACCTTGGCTCACTGCAACCTCTGCCTTTTGTGTTCAAGGGATTCTCCTGCCTCAGCCTCCCGATTAGCTGAGATTACAGGTGCCCGCCACCACACCCAGCTAATTTTTGTATTTTTAGTAGAGACTGGGTTTCACCATGTTGCCCAGGCTGGTCTCCAACTCCTGACCTCAAATGATCCGCCCACCTCGGCCTCCCAAAGTGCTGGGATTACAGGCGTGAGCCACTGCACCTGACTGAGCTATCTTTTTTTATTATAAAAGTAATAGTGGCCAAGCCTGGTGGCTCACACCTGTAATCCCAGCACTTTGGGAGGCTGAGAAGCGGGAGTCTGGCTTGAGCCCAGGAATCCAAGACCAGCCTGGGCAAATAGTGATACCCCATCTCTACAAAAAGTAGAAAATTAGCTGGGCATGGTGACACGTGCCTGTATTCCCAGCTAATTGGGGTTCTGAGGTGGGGGTTCAAGGCTGCAGTGAGTCATGACTGTGCCACTGCACTCCAGCCTGAACAACAGAGCGAGACCCTGTCTCAAAAAAAAAAGTTATTTTCTTTTAAAAGATCAATGTATAAATGTGTGAAGTAGAAAATCCTGTATTTTTAAAATTAATTGATTGTATATCTTTCTGAGAATTTTAATACAGCTAAAAAGTATGTAATTTTTTCCATAAATGAAAACACAATACGTAAATTGTTGTATAACCCCCATTTTTCATTTATATACCATTGAGGATATCTTTCCATGTCAGTAATGAGAGGTCTACTATATTTTAAAAATAAAATTATGCATATTTGTCCTAAGAAATTCAGACAATGCCAAAGGGCATAAAATGAAGACTCCTCTGCAGTAGGGACATCTGTCAGGTTTCTTATTGATCCTCCCACACATTTTCTAAACACATGCACTGTAGCCTAGTGACTTTTTAAACTTTTAATACTGTTTTTAAACATAACGTCACCACTGTACCTCTCATTTTTTATCACACTTGTATTTTGGTGTGGGTTTCAAAACTATTGCTAGATTATCCAGAAATCCTTATAGTTGTGGAACTCTCATTTTCCTGGTAATTATTTGCAGTTTAGTAGTTAATGATTTGTTAAGTATCCCTATACTGGGTCTCCTTTCGAGAATAAATAGCTTTGGCTGTTGTTACAATAATGTTTCTGTTACATCTTCTGGATAGACAGCCTAGTTAACTCATTTGCAAAAGATGTTCTGTACTCTTACTTGCTGGTCTCAGCCAAAGTGTGTGTTTATATAGGCACAAAGTTAATAAATGAAACAAGAGGTGGCTTGAACCATTTTCTTGCCTTTTGAAGCTGTGTCATTTAGGTTTATGTGTTTGGCATAATTTAATAAACTGAAAAACAGTAAACTATAAAATGTGTAATAGACAGTTACTTTTCCCTCAGGGCATACACAGACTGCAATTACTAGAAATTATTTCTCTCTATTTGAAGAAGATCTGCTGATGTTGCCTGTTTTCTTTTTAATAGGAGAAGTGTTTGAAATTGAAGAGCATATCAGCGAGCGACAGGCAGAAGTATTGGCTGAGTTTGAGAGAAGGAAGCGAGCCCGGCAGATCAATGTTTCCACAGATGACTCAGAGGTCAAAGCTTGCCTTAGAGCCTTGGGGGAACCCATCACACTTTTTGGAGAGGGTCCTGCTGAAAGAAGAGAAAGGTTGCCTTTCTAAATATTTACTTTTTTTCTTTATTATAATCACAGGGTTCTACTCCAAATTTTGGTTGATCATTTAGTTGAACTTTAATAGAATGTCTCAAATCATGTTAACAATATCTTACTGTGTTTATATGAGTTAGCCCATAATCTGTCTTAGGCCAATTTTTACCGCACTATTAATGTTTCTTTTTTGTGTTTGTTCGTTTTTGTTTTGTTTTGTTTTGTTTTGTTTTGTTTTGTTTTGTGTTTTGAGACAGAGTCTTGCTCTGTCACCCAGGCTTGAGTGCAGCGTCGTGATCTCGGCTCACTGCAGCCTCCGCCTCCCGGGTTCAAGCGATTTTCCTGCCTCAGCCTCCCAAGTGGCTGGGATTACAGGCACCTGCCACCACATTTTTCTTTTTTGTATTTTTAGTTATTTTTTATATTTTTGTATTTTTAGTAGAGACAGGGTTTCACCATGTTGGCCAGGCTGGTCTTGAACTCCTAACCTCAAATGATTTACCCACCTTGGCCTCCCAAAGTGCTGGGATTACAAGCGTGAGCCTTCGTGCCTGGCCCGTTTTTCTTTATAGACTTGGAAGAGGGTGCTAACATGCTCCCTTGCCTCCCCTCCCCAGTGCGAGTTTTGAATTGGATAAACATTTGTTGTTGGGCTTTGAAAATTGAGACATCAAATGCATTCCATATCAATGACATAGAACAATGATAAATGTTTCTTGGATTTTATTGAAGAGGGGTACCATCCTCAGATAATGCCCTCTTGTTATTTGCAGGTTGCGAAGTCTTAGTTGTGGTCTAGTCACACACAATTATGAGGAGCCCCTCTGGTCTCTCTGTCCACTGTCTCATCTACCCTTCATCATCCAGCTTGTTGGAAGGGTTTTTTCTATTACTCCCTTGAGGTCCTTACCCTTATTTACTCTTCAACCTGCTGCAAACTGACCAACCCCTACCACATTAAAATTGCTCTTTGTTAAGATCACCAATCCACCTTTACTAAGAATAGCCCTAGTATACTGCCAGCCACTCCTCCTTGAAATACTCCCTCCTTGAACTACTCCCTTTCCTTCACTCTCCTAATAACAAATCCTCTTGATTTTCCTCTTCTCTCACTAGCTAATTCTTCTCACTTACCTTCTAAACCTCTTTTTCTCTGCCTGCCCTTTACAGGCTGCCTTTTTCTCTACTTGCCCTTGGTGATCAGCTCTACTCCCATGGCATCATTCACTGTGTGTTCTGATGATTCCCAAATCTCTCACTGCAGCTTAGGTATCCCACAGGTACTTCAAACTTGAGACATCTGAATTGAAATATTTCCCCACCTCTCTCCTATACTCATACAATTCTTAGTTGAAAATCTGCCTAGCCTCCTTTATAATCCATTAGCAAAATCTGGTCTGTTCTACTTGCGAGATACAACTCCAGCTATCTTCTTTGCTCTATCTTTACTGCTTTCAAATCTGCACTGTTGTGATAGCCCCAAACATGTTGTGTTAATTGCTTGCTTAAAATCCTAGATTGTCTTCTCATACTTGGAGTAAAAAACTCTTACCATGGTCTGTAAGGTCTTCAGCCTTACTCATGTCTCCCTTCCCCAATTTACTAGAATAGCCACATTGGTCCTTATGGAATATGCTAGTTCTTTTTATGTCTTTCCACATAATTGGTCTACTTTTATTCTTCTGTCTTGTCTTTTAGAGGCTTTTTTTCTTCCTTTTTTTTTCTTTGAAACGGAGTCTCGCTCTGTCACCCAGGGTGGAGTGCGGTGGTGCAATCTCAGCTCACTGCAACCTCCACCTCCCAGGTACAAGCCATTCTCCTGCCTCAGCCTCCCAAGTAGCTGGGACTACAGGCATGTGCCACCATGCCTGGCTAATTTCTGTATTTTTAGTAGAGACGGGGTTTCAACACGTTGGCCAGGTGTTGAACACCTCCTCAAGTGATCCTCTCAACACCTCCTCAAGTGATCCGCCTGCCTGGGCCTCCCAAAGTGCTGGGATTACAGATGTGAGCTACCGCGCCCGGCCTTTCTTCTTCATTTTTTATTAACCTGGATCCCTGTCAAACTTCTTATTCTTTCGTTTCAGCATAGATGCCACCTATTCAAAGAAGCCTTTCGTCACACCTAACCCCTCTGTTCTCTGTCATAGTATGTTATTTTATTAGCCTTTTCAAAGGGTATACTTTTTTATTATTGTTTAGTTTGTTTTTTCCACCAGCAAAGTCTATCTTATTCATTATTATGTTCCTTAAATGAATCCTTTGAGTCACTACTGCTACTATCTGAATTTCAGTCCACGGTTGTGACTCAGAGCGTCACTACAACAGTACTGTCTGATTTCCCTGCCATTATTCTTCCCTTTTAATCCATTCTTTGTACTGTTTCAGGGATCTTTCTCATCTGTAAATCCTCCTGAGCGTGGCATTAGCAATTCTTTGTGACCTGGCTCCTCCTTGCATTTGCAGCCCTATTCTTCACCAGTCCTCTTCTATGTTCTACGCTCCAGCCATATTGAATTATTTGTGACTGCAAGCTCAACATGTTTTTCTTACCTCCAGGCCTTATTTGTTTAACCCTCTGCCTGACATTTTCTCATTCTTGACCCCCTTGACCTGATTAACTGAGGACTCAATTTACATATTACCTTTTTTTAATGAAGCCTTCCCTGATCCTCTAAGCTTAGTTAGATGCCCGTTACAAAGTCCCCTCTAGCCCTCTGTGCTTACTGCTATAGTGATAGGTAATATAATGGATTATAGTTTGCCAGTACTCTCTGTTGTTTCCCCAGGACTAAGCTACTTGAAATCAAGAACTGATTCCTAGTCATCACTGTATAGTTAGCACCTGAGTCAGTATCCAGTACATTGTGGCACTGAGTGAAAGTTGGCAGTCTTCACAGACCAAGTGGTAGCAGTGTAGGGGCTCATTGACTCTAAACTGTATAGAGTAATTGCTTATAGTTGAATTTTGGAAATTTCCAAATAGAGAAGACTGAGTGGGAGAAACCACACTGGGAGTTTAGCCATCCCCACTTGACTCTTAAAGAAGGTTCCTGGAGGGCCGGGTATAGTGGCTCATGCCCGTAATCCCAGCACTTTGGGAGGCTGAGGCAGGAGGATCACTTGAGCCCAGAAGTTCAAGACTTGCCTGGGCAACATAGCAAGCCCTTCTCTCTACAGAAAAATTTAAAAATTAGCCAGTTGTAGCAGTGTACATGTAGTCCCAGCCACTCGGGAGGCTGGAGTGGGAGGATCGCTTGAGCTCAGGAGGTTGAGGCTGCAGTGACCCATGATCATGCCACTGCACTCCACCCTGGGCAACAACAAGACCTCATCTCTTAAAAAGAAAAAAAAAAGGTTGCTAGGTGGTTTGAACAGTGAGAGAATAGTAAAGGCTTGCTCCCATCTT
This sequence comes from Homo sapiens, assembly GCF_000001405.40. NCBI lineage: Eukaryota > Metazoa > Chordata > Mammalia > Primates > Hominidae > Homo > Homo sapiens. The sequence continues at coordinate 113,282,541 of NC_000009.12, forward strand.
AGGGGAACTTTAATAACAGTGTTTAAAACTGTGTTAAAGTGTACTTTAAAAACAGTATTATCTCAACCATGTTTAAATTCTGATCTTTTTTTTTTTTTTTAACAGGTTAAGAAATATCCTCTCAGTTGTCGGTACTGATGCCTTGAAAAAGACCAAAAAGGATGATGAGAAGTCTAAAAAGTCCAAAGAAGAGGTAGAACATGTCTTTAACTTCACAGTATAAACATGAAGGAAATGAGGGGATAGGTCTCTCGTTTTCTGCTTTCAATGGTTTGTTTTGCTGAGATGTTGGGGGAAATGTTTTTGAAGGCTCTACCATTCAAGAAGAGTTGCTGGCAGTAGTTTTGGTTCCTTTGTAAGTATGAATGGAGCTAAGTGAGTTTTCCAGTCAGGAAAGAATCATGGCATTCCTGGTATAACCATGTAGTTACATATCATAGAAAAAAATTCAGTAGAAAGTCCTCTGCCTGATTTCATCCTATTACCGAATGAATTCACCTTCCTTCTGGGCAGTTAAAATGGAGAAATGACAGTTATAAGAGGAGTAGAATGCTTCAGATTTGACCTTTCTGCTCTTAATTTGCCTTTCAGTATCAGCAAACCTGGTATCATGAAGGACCAAATAGCTTGAAGGTGGCAAGACTATGGATTGCTAATTATTCGTTGCCCAGGTAAAGAGAGCCTCCAGTAGAAGAAAGAAGCATATTTTTTGTGTGTGTTTCCTCTCAGGAACTGAGTGCTGGATAATGACTATGGTTGTTAAATGAAATTGAGGGGTAGAGTAGGGATACATGTGGGTCCTTGTTTACAACCCTGTTGCTCCTGGTGATGGTGTTTCTGTGTCGCAGGGCAATGAAACGCTTGGAAGAGGCCCGACTCCATAAGGAGATTCCTGAGACAACAAGGACCTCCCAGATGCAAGAGCTGCACAAGTCTCTCCGGGTAAGATGCTCCCAGCAATTGTCCCACATCTTAAAGGTTCTTCATGTTTATTTGATTTTTCTACTTTGGCTCACCTCTGGGAAGGTAGAGGCAACTAGAGTGATTCCTCCCTGCTTAAGTTGAGCTGCTGTGACATGGAAGGAGCCATCAGTTAATGTGGCAGGAGCTTACTGTGCTTTGTATTCAGCAGAGGCCTATGGTTCTATTCTTTATTTCTCCCCGTTAATATGTCAGAGTTTCTCTGGGGTTTTCTGTTTATATTTAGCTGACTCAGAAGTTGTGATCCTAAGACTGTAGAAAACATCTGGGCACAGTGGCTCAGTCCTGTAATCCCAGCATTTTGGGAGGCAGAGGCAGGCGGATGACTTGAGCCTCAGGAGTTTGAGACCAGCCTGGTCAACATGGTGAAACCCTGTCTCTACTAAAAATACAAAAATTTGCCAGGTGTGATAGCATGTGCCTATAATCCCAGGTACTTGGGAGGCTGAGACGGGAGGATTGCTTGAACCCGGGAGGCGGAGGTTGCAGTGAGCCAAGATCACGCCACTACACTCCACCCTGGGCAACACAGCAAGACTCTGTCTCAAAAAAAAAAAAAAAAAAAGACTATAGAAAACAGCATGCTGGAGTTTCATATAACTTCATTTATCAATGTATGTGTCTTCTAACAGCAGCAACAAAACCATAGAAGAATCTTGGGATGGGTTAAAACTGAAAAGCTGCTTTGTTGTTCTTTTTATGGTGGAAAAGCAAAGGAGCTCTTAGATTAACCTATTAATGATCACCGTGTGTGTATTTTTTTTCTTTTTAAGTCTTTGAATAATTTTTGCAGTCAGATTGGGGATGATCGGCCTATCTCCTACTGTCACTTTAGTCCCAATTCCAAGATGCTGGCCACAGCTTGTTGGTAAGTTCCATTTTACAATGACATTTTTTCCTAAATGGGGAACAGGCTCAGGAAGAAAATTAGCATTTGCGTTAGACGTCTATTTCTACGTCCTCTTTCTCTGCTTCTCATGATCACACCAAACTACAGATGTCAGTCAGTGCTCTACCTGTTGTATAATACAATGTAGCCTTGGTTTAGCCGTTCTCGCTCTTCACCAGTGACCCCAGAGATCCATTACACAAAGCACTCTGTCACATTCTTGACACTAGTATTTTGGAACAGGTCCTGTAGTGAGTTTATAGACCAACTAGTATCCATAACTCAGTCTGGCTTTTCTTTTTCAGTTATGTGACCTCGCTAAGATACTTAATTTCTGTAAGCTTCAGTGTTCTTACCTGTAAAGTGGGATGAGGTAGTGTTTGCAAGGCATTTTGCCTTGACAGTGCCTGGTATGTAGTAAGGACTCGTTAAACGTTAATTATTGGTTTATCTTTGTTTTATTTTCTTATCACCACATATGCAGAAAACTCAGGATGTGGTAACTTTGTTGTTTTGTTTGAGTTTGGTTGTGTTTTTCTGTGGGACATGGCTATCTAATGAGAAAGGAAACTTAGATTGAATACACAGGAGCTACTTGACTAGGCTGACCTTTAGATGGGTTCAGGAGAAAGCCAAGGTTCTGCACAAATGAGTCCACCTCTCCAAGCCTCATTACCTTCACTATAAAGTTTGATCGTTCCTGCCGTACCTGCTTCACAGGTCTGTTAGAAAGATCATCCGAGATAATAGATATAAAAGTAATTTGTTGAAAAATTTCCAAAATAAGAAGTCTCTAAAAAGTTTAAGGCCAGCCAGCCATGGTGGCTCACACTTGTAATCCCAGCACTTTGGAAGGCCACGGCAGGAGGATCACTTGAGCCCAGGAGTTTGAGACCAGGCTGGGCAACAATAGTGAGACCCTGTCTCTACAAATTTTTTTTTTTTTTTTTTTTTTTTTTTTTTTTTTTTTTTTTTTTTTTTTTTTTGAGACGGAGTGTCACACTTTCGGCCAGGCTGGAGTGCAGTGGCGCGATCTCGGCTCACTGCAAGCTCCACCTCCTGGGTTCACGCCATTCTCCTACCTCAGCCTCCCAAGTAGCTGGGACTACAGGCACCCGCCACCGCACCCAGCTAATTTTTTGTATTTTTAGTAGAGACAGGGTTTCACCGTGTTAGCCAGGATGGGCTCGATCTCCTGACCTTGTGATCTGCCCGCCTTGGCCTCCCAAAGTGCTGGGATTACAGGTGTGAGCCACAGCGCCTGGCCCAAAAAATTTTTAAAAATTTATTTAATTTTTTAAAACGTTAGCCAGGTGTGGTGGCATGCGCCTGTTAGTCCCAGCTACTCAGGAGGCTGGGTGATAGAATTGCTTGAGCCTGGGAGGTTGAGGCTGCAGTGAACTGTGATCACACTACTGCACTCCAGCCTAGGTGACAGAGTGACACTGTTTCTCAAAAAAAAAATTTAAATACTTTGTAATCAGCAAAATACTATTCATATTTAAGGACAGTATCACTATTAATATTCGTATTATTGGATAGTTTAATTTGCCCCACCTTCCCTCACAAGTGGATCCAAAAGTTAAGGAGAATGGCTACTGGTGTAGTGTTAATTATAGTCCAGTAAAAGCCTCTGGTTGCGTGTGGGCTGGAGGTAGCTTTTTCTTCTATAACCCTTCTAACTATAAGGCTTTTATTTTTCTGTCAGCCATTGTAAAGTTTATTGGGGGTGAGAAGAGATTGTCCTTTAGTAATATTACCAAGGTACCTTTTCCTTCCCAGACCAACCCTGGCTGAGATGCTTTCCTTTGTATTTGATAGGAGTGGGCTTTGCAAGCTCTGGTCTGTTCCTGATTGCAACCTCCTTCACACTCTTCGAGGTAAGTTAGAGTCTTATCCAAATCTCGGTCTTTTTCCCAGTGTGAACTCAGTTAAGCCTTAAACTCTGCTTGACACTCAGACCCCATACACACAGCATTAATCCTTGATTTGATTTGACTTGGTTTTCTCTGGCTGCAAGACTGGACTATCACAACTTCCTACACATCCACTTTTCTCTCATGTGCAGTCACACTCTGGCATTTTATAATCTCTAAACCAAAAACCAAAATGGGTTTTTTTGTGTTTTGCTTTTTTAAAAATGTAATTTAAATATTAGCTTAAATTAAAATAGTTCATGTTTTAATAGTTGAATAGTCACTTGAATACTCTGTATGTCCACATGTTCCCTAGTATATAACATGGGTTATAAAGAGGCAGGAACCTTTTAACTTGCATCTCTTACACTCCTTTAGGGCATAACACAAATGTAGGAGCAATTGTATTCCATCCCAAATCCACTGTCTCCTTGGACCCAAAAGATGTCAACCTGGCCTCTTGTGCGGCTGATGGCTCTGTGAAGCTTTGGAGTCTCGACAGGTGAATATCACTGTTCTGTGGCCCATACTGCCATCACTAAAGTAGATGTTTGATTGGTTGGTCCCCAGGACCTCAGTAAAAATCTGGCATTTAGGCCATGCGCAGTGGCTCACACCTTAAGGCTGAGGCAGGAGAATTGCTTAAACCCGGGAAATGGAGGTTGTGGTGAGCCGAGATTGCACACTGCACTCCAGCTTGGGTGACAGAGCAAGACTCCGTCTTGAAAGAACAAAAAAAAAAATCTGGCATTTAACCCCCAAGATGGTTTAAGAGTCAAGGTAACCTAGTGTGAAAATGAAGTAAGTGGAAGATTTCATTCTTAGGCCTTTTCTTACTAAAGGAGTTATGTCCGTTTTTTCTTACCTGTTAACTTTGGATCTTGATTTTTGTCTATAGCCTAGTGACCACTATTTCCTAGCTCCATTTATTCCAGAAAGATCCAGCCTACCTCCTACATGATAAATTAACAATGAACTAAATATAATATTCTTGGCAGTTCGTTGGTTCTTAGCAAACAGCCACAGGGGAGAGGAAAGTGAGGTTCTGTCTAGCAGTATTACCACGGAGATGTCTCCTCGCAATAGCATCATCCTTTACCTAGAATGTATTTTCCAACTACAACAGTTTTTAAAAATGTGTTTATGTGATTGTTTTCCAAAAAAAAAAAAACTTCGGAAGCACCCTGTTGGCCAAAAGGCATCTGAATTTAATTGTTTAGTTTTCTTTCTTTGGGAAAACACATGAAGGTTTTTACTTGAGAATTTTTATGAGAGCTAATTAATGTCTTCACTCCTCACCAGACAGGGTCTCACTTAGGAGCGCAGTGAGTTTTAATTGGCTTTGGTAATACTTAGCAATGTTTATTCCCCTTGGGCTTTGGCTTGTTCTGTGTATGCACATTGACAAAGTTCCCTTTTTAATTGCGTTCCTTAGAGTTCATGTTTATTTCCTTTTGCTGATGTTCAGATCTTTTGGTGGTTGCTGGGTAGCAGAATTTAATGGCCACCAAAAGGAGACTAAGCCTCATCTCTATTTAGGAGTTCCTTTTTCATTTGGATCTTGGAACAGGCCTAAATTTGAAAAAGGTTTATCTGTAATCCACTTGTACCAAAACTATGTGATTTCTGTGTCCTTATATCTCTTCCAAAGCATGTTTTCTTTCTAGAATCCAGGTACTCCTTTGGTGCAGAATGACTATTTTGCTTATTGGGCCAAAGTAGTTTACAAGTGTAGTTACAATTTAGCCTCTCGTGTTGTACAGAATGGGTATGTCTGCACAGAAGGTAAGCAGTTTTGTGACTATTTATATGTCTATAAAATTGTTTATATGTTTGGTTCCTTTCCAGTGATGAACCAGTGGCAGATATTGAAGGCCATACAGTGCGTGTGGCGCGGGTAATGTGGCATCCTTCAGGACGTTTCCTGGGCACCACCTGGTGAGCCATCCTGTTATTGTTTTATCCATATAGGCCTGTAGCATCTTCTTAACCCTTTATGGCTATCTGCCAGGTAAATTTTTAGAGCAGAGATCTTCAGGTAGGATTTTCTTGGGCTGCAGGGAATTGGAATCAGAGGAGAATGTTTAATATAGTGAGAGCTAAGTATATTTGCCTTTTTTTTTTTTTTGAGGTGGAGTCTCACTCTGTCACCCAGGCTGGAGTGCAGTGGCGCGATCTCGGCTCACTGCAACCGCCGTCTCCCGGGTTCAAGCAATTCTCCTGCCTCGACCTCCCGAGTAGCTGGGACTACAGGCGCGTGCCACCATGCCCAGCTAATTTTTTTATTTTTAGTAGAGACAGGGTTTCACCATGTTGGCCAGGCTGGTCTTAAACTCCTGACCTCAGGTGATCTTCCCGCCTCAGCCTCCCAAAGTGCTGGGATTATAGATAACAGGTAACGCGCCCAGCCATATTTGCCTTTAAATTACAATTAATCTGAAATTTCAGAGTTACAAATTACCAGAAAACAAGGATTTTCACTCTTGTCCAATGCTACAGGTATATAAGTCTCCCTTCCTGGTTCTGTAAGTTCAGGGAGGCTAGAATCTGTTAGAGAACTTTTCCATTAAGTTATAATTTACATACAATGGAATGGATTTATTTTAAGTGTACAATGCTGTCAGTCTTTACAAACGCGTACCATTCCTGTGATCGACACCTCTGTCAATATAGAGAATAGTCCATCACCCCAGAAAGGTCCCTCATGCCCTTTTCCAGCCAACTCCCCCTTCTAAAGCAACTGCTGATCTGACTTCTATCACCACAAATTAATTATGTCTATTCATACTGTGAATTCATTTGTGGCAGGCTTCTTTCAGCATAACATTGTTAAGAGTCATTCATGTTGTTGCATGTATCAGTAATTCCTTTTTATTGCTGGGGGTTATTCATTTTTATGACTGTGCCATAGTTTATCCATTCTCCTGTTGATGGACACTTGGGCTGTTTCCAGGTCTGGGCCAGTCAGAATGAAGCTGCTATAAATATTCTTGTACCAGGCTTTTTGTGGACATGAGTACAATTGCTGGGTCATAGGGTAGAGGTATGAGATGTATATTTAACTTTTTCTAAACTCCCCACCAGTTTTCCAAAGCGGTTACACCATTTTACATTCCCGGAGTTCTGGTTACTTCACATCCCTGTTAACATTTGGTGTTGTCAGTCTTACCATTTTGCCCAATCTAGCAGGTGTGTAGTGATCTCCCGTGATTTTCATTCTTATTACCCTGATCATTATTGCTCTTGAGTGCTCTGTCATATGCTTTGCCTGGTTTTTTAAATTGTGTTTGTCTCTTTTGTCTTTATTTCCATGTGCATAGTCAGTTATACCACCTTGTATTGAAGAGACTTTCCTTTCTCTGTTGGAATTGTTTCAGTACCCTTGTTGAAAATCATCTGACCATATATGTGTGGTTATTTCTGTACTTCCTATTCTCTTCCATTGATCTATTTGTGTATGAGTGATTTTTGTATCCCCAACATCCAATTTAGGGCCTAGTAAATGTATAAATGCTTGATGAATGAAAGAATATAACAGTGGAGGAAGAAAGAAGGTAACAGAGTCTTTGCTGGGCCATTCTTGGGGAATCCTGTTATTACAATAGCCACTAGGTTGGGCATGGTGGCTCACACCTATAATCCCAGCACTTTGGAAGACCACGGTGGGTGGATCACCTGAGCTCAGGAGTTCGAGACCAGCCTGGCCAACATAGTGAAGCCCCATCTCTATGAAAAATACAAAAATTAGCTGGGCATGGTGGCGCACACCTGTAGTCCCAGCTACTCAGAAGGCTGAGGCAGGAGAATGGCTTGAACCCGGGAGGTGGAGGTTGCAGTGAGCCAAGATTGCGCCACTGTGCTCCAGGCTGGGCAACAGAGTGAGACTCTGTCTCAAAAGAAGAAAAAAAAAAAAGCCCTAGAGGTTTACAGCGATTCCATGGTTTTCAGCTAGCACCTAAGGCAGATAAGCTTAGTTGTTGAGTCATTGTTTATGTCAGAAAGGAGCTTCCTGTTAATATGGTTATATGAATAGTTTCAGAAGCATTAATAACTTAAGCTATAATGGCTTAGAATACTTTATGTGTTGTAGAAACTGAATAAATATCAGCTGGTTGATTGTTAGTGTGATTTGGTTTTAGCTATGACCGTTCATGGCGCTTATGGGATTTGGAGGCTCAAGAGGAGATCCTGCATCAGGAAGGCCATAGCATGGGTGTGTATGACATTGCCTTCCATCAAGATGGCTCTTTGGCTGGCACTGGGTAAGGCTTCTCCCATGTAGTCAGGGGCAGTTCAGTACTCTCACCTCTTACCTATACCTGCTTCCACAGAGAACTGGATTCAAAGTGTTCATTTCTAAATTATTTTCTCAGGGGACTGGATGCATTTGGTCGAGTTTGGGACCTACGCACAGGACGTTGTATCATGTTCTTAGAAGGCCACCTGAAAGAAATCTATGGAATAAATTTCTCCCCCAATGGGTAAAATAAACACACTGAATGAGGGGCGAAAAAGGGTTCTGGGTCAGTAAGTACTCTATTTCTAACTTCAATACTGCATCCAATCCACAGCTATCACATTGCAACCGGCAGTGGTGACAACACCTGCAAAGTGTGGGACCTCCGACAGCGGCGTTGCGTCTACACCATCCCTGCTCATCAGAACTTAGTGACTGGTGTCAAGTTTGAGCGTAAGCTTTCCTCCTATTTTACGTCTAAATGACACAGACAAACAGTATTGTGTTCCCGTGGAATGCAGGCCAGGCTTTAGCTTAACTGAGCAGTAAAACAGGAGAGAAATTGACCTACTGGTAAAGGAGCAAATTATAATTTCCTTCCCTCTGCCATACCCTTAGATCTGTGGGAAAGCACGCTTCTCGTTGCAGGAAGTAAAGCAGACTTTCATGAGTGCTTTGCTTCATTCTTTCCTCCATGGATGCTCTGAGCACTGAGTCCTTAATATTATTCTGAATAGATTCTCGGTCAGGGAATGAGCCAAAAGACCTTACTGTTATTTGTTCCCTTAAGTCTGTAGAAACAAGTTTTTTTAAAAATAGTATGTTTTTGCAGACTTTTGTGCTTTTGTCTTCTCTTTTGAATACTTGAATTCCTCAAGCAATTCCCCTTCTCTTCTCCTGTAGCTATCCATGGGAACTTCTTGCTTACTGGTGCCTATGATAACACAGCCAAGATCTGGACGCACCCAGGCTGGTCCCCGCTGAAGACTCTGGCTGGCCACGAAGGCAAAGTGATGGGCCTAGATATTTCTTCCGATGGGCAGCTCATAGCCACTTGCTCATATGACAGGACCTTCAAGCTGTGGATGGCTGAATAGATGACAATGGGAAAAGGACTTGAACCTCAAGCTCTCTCTAAGGAGCTGTTTTCCTCAAACGAGAAGAATTGAAGTGTTTAGTTCTATCATGTTTTCTGCCAATTACCATGCATAGACCCTCAGTAGAATTGGATTTCCATGTCAGCCCCCACTCCAGGAAGGCAGCCCAATCCCTAGGTGATGGGGAACCCCTCTCACGGTTGAAAATTTATTACCTTTTTACGCCCTGCCACGAACTGTGTAGACATTGTTTTTATTAATCTTTTGTTTGGCCGGGCGTGGTGGCTCACGCCTGTAATCCTAGCACTTTGGGAGGCCGAGGTGGGTAGATCGCTTGAGCTCAGGAGTTCAAGACGAGCCTGGGCAACATGGCAAATGCCGTCTCTGCAAAAAAATACTAAAATTAGCTGGTCGCGGTGGCTTCTGCCTGTGATTCCGGCTACTTGGGAGGCTGAGGTGGGAGGGATTGCTTAAGCCTGGGAGGCAGAGGTTGCAGTGAGCCGAGATTGCGCCATTGCACTCTAGCCTGTGTGACAGAGCAAGACCCTGTCTCAAAAAAAAAAAAAATTTGTTCGAATGCCTTATAGCCTTCCTCACAGCACCCAGGATTGTGACTGACTCTGCATTTTTAATTCTTGAAACTTGGCTTTCCATAACATGGTACATGCTTCAGGACTACATATGACCCAGAGAGCAAGGTGGCTGAACTATAGTCTGGAAGCCCTCAGGTAAAGAGGCACATCTCACCACTCATTGGTTAAACAATGCATCATAGCGAGCACTTTTCCTTTCCCTGGAGAATGGGATGTGAAGCAGTAGACCGCAGCCACGCCGATGGTTATACAGTGAAGAAGACTTCACCTCTTCCTATTGAGTTTGCTTGGAATGCTGACAGCATCAGGCAACTCTGAACTGAACATTTGCTTTGTCAGAAAATATCTTTTTTTTTACTTTGAAGTTTGGCAACCTTCATGTTACCCCAAAGCAAAACCATTGTGTCAGGAGTCAAACAAATGTTTAGAAAGCAAACATGACGTCTCTATTGTACAACCTCCTTTCTCTTGGCTGTTTAAAGGATGTACTTCGTGTATTAAAGGGTACTTTATGTTGAAGTAACGAAAAAACCCTAATGGGTGTTCCTAAACCTAAACCTTTTCTTTATTCCACATTTGCTACGGTAAAATCCTGTTACAAAACTACCCTATAAAGAATTATTTTCTATAGTTAAGCATTTTCTGAATCCTAGCCATTGGTCCATAGAGGTCTCTTTTTTTTGGTTTGGGATATAATGGATGATCTCAAATATGGATTACTCTGATTTATGTCTCCTTAGCACCTTGTTAACAATTTTTTTTAAAATAGAAGGCTGTTTGCATTTTGGGCCAGACTGCCAGTAAGCCAGGCCTGGACTCAATTACAATTCTTAACTTGTCTGTCATGCACCTCTTTTCACCTCAACTATACAGCCTCTGAACTCTCAAATTACACAGTAAATTCAAAAAAATATATAGGAATTTGGAAGAAGAAAAGGTTGTCTACAGAGGAGAGTTATTAAAGAAAGGCTTCTTGGCCGGGCACGGTGGCTCACGTATGTAATCGCTTGAACCTGGGAGGCGGAGGTTGCAGTGAGCCAAGATCACACCGTTGTACTACAGCCTGGGCAACAGAGCAAGACTCCATCTCAAAAAAACTTAATTTGCTGTTGCAGAGAGGTTGACAATGGCTTTGGTCAGCTCTATTCTGTGGACCCTGAATGTGTGATATATAGCCAAACAACTGGTTTGTTTTGTTTCATTTTGAGACAGGGTCTCGCTTTGTCGCCGAGATTGGAGTGCAGTAGTGCGAACACAGCTCACCACAGCCTTGACTTCCTGTGCTCAAATGATTCTCCTGCCTCATCCCCTCATCCTGTGTAACTGGGATCACAGGAGGATGCCACCATGCCTAGCTAATTTTTTTGATTTTTTGGTAGAGACACGATTTCACTTTGTTGCCCAGGCCGGTCTCAAATTTCTGGGCTCATGCAATCCTGCCTTGGCCTCCCAAAATGCTGGGATTACAGGCATGAGTCACTGTGCCTGACCTAAACATACTGTTTTTAATCTGATTTCAATTATAACCAAATAGTTGCATTTCCTATGTAGTTGTTCAGCTTCTGAATTCTCAGGACTACCCTCTGTTGCTCACTTCACTATTGTTCAGGTATTAATGAATTCTATTTCATAGATTATGATGAAAAGAACTTTTTTTCTTCTTTGTAGTATGTGTAAAATAATGAAGAACACTGGTGAATTAGCATGCAATTGGATATAATGTGCTAACAAAGATTTTTAGTTTCTCAGGTTTAAATTTTGCTATTAGTTCCCTTCGACTTGTTTTTCTTTGTTTTTTGGTTGGTCCAAGAGGTAGCAGTTGGGTGAAAACATTTCATCCAAGCCTTTGACAGAACAAATACCTTGTGGGCTATTTCTTCACAGGAATTAAAACATCATTGTAAGAAAGTGGTTAAGAAGCACAAAGCCAGGTGTGGCATTTGTGAAAATGGCAAGATAAACAGCCACCGTTTCACAGAACACTTAGTCCCTACCTAGATGGTATACCAGGCACATTCAGATACCTTGTTTAATCCCCACAATCTTTTGAGTTTATTATTCCCTTTTTATGGACAAAACAGGCTCCAAAAACACTTGCTCAAGTTTAGCCAGCTAGCAAGTGATGGAGCTTGAATTTGAACTGTCATCTGACCATTGATGACCTTATGAAGGTTTCACAGGTTCCCCACACTGGCCAGACAAAAGGACCGGTACAGCCAGCATGGCCTGTTTCCTGTACGAAGTCTGAGCTTTTTAAGGACTCTCCACTTTGTATAATGCCCCCCACCCTTTTTTTTTTTTTTTTTTTTAAGAGATGGGATCTCAGCCGGGCGCAGTGGCTCACGCCTGTAATCCCAACACTTTGGTCAGGAGTTTGAGACCAGCCTGGCCAACATGGTGAAACCCCATCTCTACTAAATATACCAGAAATTAGTTGGGCGTAGTGGCAGGCACCTGTAATCCTAGCTACTCGGGAGGCTGAGACAGGAGAATCGCTTGAACCCGGGAGGGGGAGGTTGCACTTAGCCGGGATCGTGCCGTTGCACTCCAGCCTGGGTGACAAGAGTGAAACTCCATCTCAAAAAAAGATGAGATGAACTCCTAGGTTCAAATGATCATCCTGCTTCAGCCTCCTGAGTAACTGAGATACAGGCACGGGCCACCGTGCCCAGCTTGTATACTGCACTTTTGACAAGTCACTTCCATCTCTGAGCTCATGCCCATGTTAAAGTAACTCTCGCACATCCTGAACGGATGAGGAGCCTATTGTCAACAAGATAGCTATTTGCATTTTTGGTTAGATGATCTTTCATCCTGTGGAACTGGCAACATAAGCATTGCAGCAGGTGTTAGTATCCCAGACCTCTGAGCCCTAAATGTCAGCAGTGCAATTCACCCCCTCCACTGACTACAAAAGATGCTCCCATGCATTTCCAGATACATTCGAAGAGGATGGGACTGCCCCAAGCTAGAGCTACCGAATATGAAAACAGGAGACACCATGATGTTCAGGCAGCCCTCCCTCTCCATCAGCGGGTTCTAGGATTCAACCAACCATAGGTCGAAAATACACTACTGACCATATACAGACTTTTTTTCTTGTTATTATCCCCTACACAATACAGTATAGCAACTTCACATCGCATTTATATTGTATTAGGTATTGTAAGTAATCAACAGATGAATTAAAGTATAGAGGAGGATGTGTGTAGGTTATATGCAAACACTACATCATTTTATATCAGGGGCTTGAGCATCCTCGGATTCAGGTATCTTCAGGAGGTCCTGGGACCATTTCCCCCTGAATATCAAGGGATGACTGTATATCCTCACCTATCGGAAAAACCCTCAAACTTACATCTTGTCTTATTTGGGTGGTGTATCAACCACTCCAAGGATCTAAGTTCTTTTTTGACTGAAAAGACTCTACCACCTACTAGCTGGGTGGCCTTGAACAAGGTGGAGCCTCAGTTCCATCTGTAAACTGGGGATTAAGCTTGCTGAGGTTAGTAGGCCTAGTGCAGAGGCCAGTGTTCCTTCCTGGGCTTTTCTCAGTTTCTCCTGTCCTGAGCTGCCCTCGCCTGTCCGCTTAGCTCAGAGGACATGGTGAGATTATTGCCTAACTTATCTGCCACAAGTTTAAGGAGCAACACTGTGTAAAGAAATGAAGTCAATGGGGAAAGGTGGAGTCCCAGCTTTAGTGTAATTATCTTTGATGGCACAAATGGAGAGATAGTTGCTAGTCCCCTAAAGGAATATGTAGGCAGTTTTGCAACTTTGTAATGGAGACTTTTTCTTCATATTGGAGCTTAAACCGTTTGGTTTTTCTAAATGTGAAATATACGTATTGGATATTTTGGAGTATTTTGTACATTAAAACACCTGGGGGGAATCTAACATTATTTGGAGCAAATCAACCAACTCAAATTCTGGCCTCTGAACGCTTTTTCTGCTTATCAAAAAACCCCCAAAACCTCAAAATGTTATCCTTACATATTTGTGATGGTATCTTTTGTGTGTGATGGTATCGTTTTTTTTTTTTTCCTGAGACAGAGTTTCACTCTGCTGCCCAGGCTGGAGTGCAGTGGCGCAGTCTTGGCTCACTGCAACCTCTGTCTCCTGGGTTCAAGCAATTCTTCTGCCTCAGCCTCCTCAGTAGCTGGGATTACAGGCACGCGTCACCACGCCCAGCTAATCTTTGCTGGGGATTACAGGCGTGAGCCACCGCGCCCAGGCTGTGATGGTATCTTAACCACTTTAAAATTGTTTCAGAGCCTTGAGCCACCAGGCAAGGTTAAAACTGGGGAAACAGAAATCAGAGTTTTAGACACTGCAAGGTTGCAACTTACCAAGCAACAGCCTGAGCCCCCAAATTCTGTCTGATTGGTTCCTGGATTCTATCATGTAAAGTGAAAGCTAGGGTTCCCCCGCTGCCTCCCATGGCCTGGGATGGGAGTTAAACTTTTGCCTGTGTCCAGCGTTTCCATCTTCTTGAAGCTGGAATTATGGAGCTTGGGGGAAGGGAATCAGAACTCTACCCCATGTCCATTCTAATCAGGGCCTCTGTATCTGCCGGGAGGAAGAAAGACCTATTCCTCCAAATCCCAGACTTCCCCTAGTCCACTGATCTAACATCGTTCACCTTTAGATTTCACCTAACACTCCATGAACTACATGCTGGCAAGAGGTGGTCTCATAAAAGCAGCAGCTGAATGAGCACACCCCTTCCTGCTAGTGAGGGCCATCTGCCACCCCTGGATAATCCTACTCTTCTCTTCCCTCAGTTCTGGCACTCAGCACCAGCCCAGTAAATGGTCGTGGAATGAATAAGTGAATGAATTAATGAATACAGAACACTTTTACTGCAACCAGTGGCAAGACATTCAAAGAGAAACAAACACACATTTACCCACAGAATTGAAGCTCACTTCCCAATTTTTTTTTTTTTTTTAGCAACCCATAGTAAAAGAGCAACTCAAAAAAATATGCACTGATTTTGAAGCAGCTCCAGTGAGAAATGCAACTTGCTATTTGGGCTAGTCAGGTTCCTGGATACCACTGTGCAGCCCTTTGGCACAACTTGCTGTGGAGCTCTGTGGTCAGAACCGCTTCTCTGCCCTTCCATGACGCCACACTCACACCCGGAGGTCGCTCCACATCTCCCAGTCCTTCAAGCTTTTCGTTTTTTTGTTTTTTTTTAAAATTGTTCCCAGAAGCAAACACATGGCCTGAACAATCCCTGGATTGTAAAATAAACAACACTACAAAGGAAGACAATACCAAATGAGGCTCCGTAGTCACCATACCCAGCAGCAACCGAAAAAGGTTTGGTTTCTTGTCTGGGAACAGCACTCACCCCACACCCCAAAGGAACTGCTTGGTCCAAAAGATGGAGAATATGAGCAACAGAGTGACACTGAGGATGACGGCCATCAGGTAGGCAAAGATGCGGAACTGAGGGTTGCGGAAACACTCCCTCAAAGAGTGGTGGCTGGGGATGAGGATGGGCGTAGACACGGTGGCAGAGGCCGTGTCTGGGGGCGGCCCAGTCTGGCCCCCAGGCTGGGGGCCAAGGTCCAGCGTGTAGACTTGAGGCTGGCGCAGGAAGTAGCGGCTCTTGGGCTGGTCCTTGAGGCACAGCTGATGGCCTTCCAGGATGACATGGTGGGGCTCCAGGCGGAGCAGGGCGAGCATGGCAGTGTCCGTGGGCAAGTCAGTGACAGGCTGCCCTGAGGCCAGCACTGTGGGCTGGCGACAGAGTGGGCACAGCAGGCGGCGCCGGGCTGGAGTCACAAGGCTGAGGTGGGCCAGACATTCCACGCAGAAGGAGTGGCAGCAATCCAGCATTTTGGGGGTATGGAACGTGTTGTTGAAGGGGTTCCAGCAGACGGGGCACTCAGCCTCAAGCTCCCGGCCCTGCTGCTCAGCCATCCTCAGCCACACACGGGGAGGCTTCGCGGGAGACGTCCTGGCAGAAGGGGGAAAGGAGCAAAGGAACAGCCATGAAGTCCCATCCTTGTGCTTGGCCTGGGGCAAAGTGTTCTGTGGGTGTTGAAAGGTGTAATCACCACGTTTTACTTAGGTTCAAAAGCGTTTTGTTCTTGATCACCAGTTCCTAACCCATCGAGTTGAGTCAAATGCTCCTACAGCCTCCCCTCTGTCAAGGTGAAGGCCTGGGCCACCCCTACCAAGAGCCCCCAAGAGAGCCGGCATTGGAGCAGATGTCGCCCTGGGCTTTGGAGCTGGACGCAAATGCTCCTTATGGTCATTGTCTGTGCCCTTGGCTGCCCTGAATCCAGGGAGCTGGGGGTAAGCTGCAGTCTGCGGGTTTTGCTACAGGACAAATGTTTCCTTCCCTGCTACCTCAAATCCCTGACTAGCGCAGAGATGGGTTTTGTGAATTCCCTGGTCTGTCCCTCCTATGGGGACAAATGCCAGCCCTCTTTCCCTCCTCCCCTTGAGCTAGAGGGCCAACCCTCCACATCCTACTCACCCAGTCCTTGGCCTGGCAAGGAAGCCCCTGGAAAGGCCTTTCTCCTTACCTGGAAGCCTTGCAGAAGCTTCCCTGCCCCAGTCCCCAGATCAGCCCTTCCAGAGCCTCTTCCCCTTCCAGAGCCTCTTCCCCTTCCAGAGCCTCTTCCCCATCCTCTGCCTACCCTGGCTCCTCCTCCCTCCCTTTGTCCTGGGAAACCTTCAGGGCACGCACCTGGGCTTCTGTGGGCTCCAGGGTGGTCAGGCAGACTACTCTGGAGGGCCTGAGGCTCCAGTTGCTCCCTCCCCTGAATCGGCAAAGCTTTGGGAGACTGCCTTCTTGCCACCAACCCAGGGGCCTGTCTCCATGGCAGCATGCACGCAGCACCTGGGGCTGCCAGGTGGCCCAGTCGGCAGCCTCTTGAGCACACCTGCTTGGAGCCAAGGCCAGAGAGCTTCCTGGGGGGTGGGGTGGGGAGGAAGATGGGGGACCTGAGTTCCCCCCAGGGCATGGCAACTAATTGAACCTGGAAGCCAAGCACCTGTGAGATTGTGGGCAGTCCCTTCAACACCTGGAGTCCCTGGTCTGGAAAGGTAGGGTGGCAATTTCGTCTTTGTAGATGTGAAGAGGGTAACTGAGTCTTCTGGGCTTCCTCTCTCTGGGGCCCTCATTTCTCTTCGAAAGTGGCTGGAACCTCCTCCTTGCACAAAGGGGCTGCCTGCTCAGCACTTTGGTTGCTGTGAAAGTCACCTACTTCGAAGCTTAAGAGCTCCGACTATCAGATTCAGTCCAGTCACCCGCTGATCTTTTAATGTGCCTAAGTAACTGCAATCAGCGTGTACAAACCTCGCTGCCTTCTGCTTTGTTCTTAGCACACAGCTGGTCAGCCTTCTGAGATCTTAGAGCTGGCCATCCCACCAACCTTAGGGAGTTAAAGCGGGGAGTTGGAGGGAGGCGCACTCCAGCCCAGCTTCTCCGTTTCAACCAGAAATACTTGGCTTTTCTCTGTTTCTCATATGGGTCATTCGAATAATTTGAAGAGTTGATCTGCTGGGGAAAAGAAAAAGTTTAAAAACCAATTCTCCATCTGAACTACTCACTTTGCAGATGAGAGACAAGAAGTGACTCACCCAAAGTCACCCAGCTAGTTAATGGTGACATGGGACCCATGTCTTCAGACTCATGGTTTTCGTAAAGACAGAAGGCTGCATCCATGCCGTCCCCCTACTCAGTGCGTGTTACTAGCTAGATAATAAGTGTTTGCATGTGATCAGGAATCCTTCACGGCCAGAAGACTCATGGTAGAAATCCAGGAACTGTGGAAGAGGGGATCTGGGGGAAGGGAGTCTCCCTAGAGCCCCTGATATGACATCATCTACCCCGACTGAGCCGATGTCTGAAGCAAAACCTGCTTATACTCTCGGACCTGTGGCTTCCTGGTTTTCTTCTAGACCTCTGGCACTGCTCCAAACAGGGAAGGAGGAAATGAAGATATGCAGAGGGAGATGGAGCCCTAAGCGAAACTAGGGTAGTTTAGCAGGGCTCTGCACCAGTGCTTTATTCTGCAGTCCATTCATCCACTCGGACATTATTGAGTGCTTACTCTAGCCCAGGTGCTGTGCAAGGTATTATGGTGAACAAAATAGACATTGTCTTTGACCTCATGACATTTAGAGTGTAGTGAGGCAAAAAGACATTTAATGAATAATGGGCAATAAATAAATACACAATTTTAATGGTTGTTAATAAAGGGCAAAAAGGAAAATGGGCTTCGGGTGCTTGGTGGCTGCTCCCAATGAGACCACCAGAGAAGGTTTCTGCAAAGAGATGACAGAAGAGCTGAGACCAAAGTATATAGGAATCCAGCCACGCACAGTGGAGGAAGAGCGTTGCAGGCCCAGGGAACAGCATGTGTGGCCCCGAGGTGAGAAAAGCTCTTCCAATTTGAGAAAGTGAAAGGAGCCCAGGGTGATCAAGGTGTGGTGACCGGAGTAGGCAAGGTGGGAGGGTATAGTACTCGGGACCTGTGAACTCAGGAGCTCATCTGGATTTTATTCCAGGGGTGAGCGGTAGGGTAAGGTACCTGATCCTATTTCCATTTTTAAAACACCATTCTAGCTGCAGAGCAGAGGACAGGCTGAGAGGGATAAGATCGGGAAGGGAACACCCGTTCGGGCTGCAGCAGTGTGGCTCAGGCGTGTGATGGTGGTGCAGGTTAGGCAGTGGCAGAGGAGATAAAAGGGGATGGGATAAGTGATATCTTTGGGGACAGAATCAAAGCCACTTCCCAAGAAGCAGTGGAGTTCTAGGGATCCAGTTGTAGTTTCTGTCAAGGTTCATGATGCCAGATCCATGGCTATTTAGGGCTGTGATTCCAGTTGAATTGCTTGACCTCTCTGTGCCTCTATTTCTCCTTGTGCAAAGGAAGCCAAAACTAGTAAAGCTTTTAGTTAGAGCCCAGCACCCAGTAAAGACCACAAAGCAATGCATGACCTAAAAATGGGACTATGTTCTCAGAAACACATCGTTGTATGAACAGCACAGAGAGTATTTACACAAACCTAGATGGTAGAGCCTGCTACATGCCTAGGCTATACGGTCTAGCCTGTTGCTCCTAGGCTACAAACCCATACAGCTTATTATGTTCTGAACACTGTAGGCAATTGTAACACAATGATAATTGCGTGTGTCTTTCAACATAAACTTAGAAAAGGCAAGGTAAATATATGGTATTATAATCTTAGGTGGCCACCATCACATATGTAATTCACTGTTGATCAAAACATTGTTATGGATATATGAGGCAGTTGAAATTATTAATGCAAATGGATTTGAGAGAAAGGAAGGGTCAAGGTTGATTTCAAAGCCGTGACAAAGTCCTCTGCATCAAGCTTTGAGAAGCCCCTGAATCCCAGAGTGTGTTAGAAGCAGATCTTTAATACTTACCAGAGGCCGTAAACTGTATGTAACCTTGACTCATCATTTCCCCCACTGGGAATCGATTCCACGGAAACCATCAAGGACTTCTGCAAAGATGTGAGTAAAGAGATGCCCATCCAGGCGCTGGTTTAACGGTGACGTATGGAGAACTACGTCATCATCCAGTAATAGGACATTGATTAAGTAGATTCTGCTCCATCCATAGGAAGAGATATTATGCAGCCTTTAATATGATGTGGTAAAACTATTAATATGGATATATACCTAGGATATAATGTCATTAAGCGAAAAAGAACCAGCAACAAAACCATATTACCATATAATCCAATTTCCAAAAGTGTGTGTGCAATGGAAAAAATGTCTGGAGAGATAAACAACCAGATATTAGCAGTGGTTATCTCTGGGGGCAAGATTATAAGTTTTTTTTTTTTTTTTAATTCTCTTACCTGAAAATTCTAACTTTACTCCATCCAGTAAGCTTGTATTACTACACGTCAAGATCTCCTGTTTCCCCCCAAATCAGACCTACCTTCTCTGAAGTTCCATGGCCAGAACTGTAAAAGGCTGTCCAAGAGGAGGAAGCATCATTATTGCCTGGATCTTTATCTGTGCTGCTCTCCCAGGGATCCACTGCTGTTTCAGGATCAGCTGGGGAGAGATTCTGGCCATGTATCACCTCCACCCCAAGCCAGGACATCTCAGCTACAGTAAATCCTAAACACCGCCCCAAAGTCATCTCCTTGGTCTATGAACAAGTCATCGCCAAATATCAATTGTCCCCAGCATCACTCCATTGTTTTCAACCAAGAACTGGCATTTCCATAGCACTTCACAGTTTACAAAGGGCCCTGGCCCTTGCTAAGATCTAAGTGTGGTGATCCATCTAGATAGGTTACTAGCCTTTTGGGATTTTTTGTTGTTGTTTGCAGAAAGCCATTTGATACTCTAAAACCACCCTGTGAGAGAGGCTGAATGGGGAGTAGAAAGGTGCCGGCTTTGGAACCAGATTTGGAACAATTTGTCTTGGACAAATGGCTTAACCTCTCTGAACTTCATTTTCCTCTGTAAAAAAGGCTAATCATCCCACTCCTACAAGGTTGCTCTGGGGAAGGAATAGTCTATACGGTGCCCAGTAGAATACGGAAGGCGCTCAATACAGAGTTAGCATGATTATTTTTAGACCCATTTTCTAGATGGGGAAGCCAAGGCTCAGAAGGGTGAGGCAACTTGCCGAAGTCTTCCCAGCTAAAGAGTGGCTGAGTTTGAAAGATGAACCCAGTAGCCTGCCCTCCCAGGCCAGAGTTCACCTGTCGCGCGCTGCACGGCTGCTGCCTCTCTGGACTCTGGAGCCCTGTGACCCGTCCCTCCGCGACCCTCTCTGTCTCCTTACCTGCTCCCTCGGAGCCGCCTCCTCCGCCTCCGTTCGTGCAGCCCTGCACGCATGTGCTTTGTTTTCTGACTTCCCAGGCCCGATTTCCAGGTAGCGTGGGTGGGTCTTATTTGCATAGGTCTTAGCAGCGTTTGGCCAGCTCTCGCTGTTTCAGGTTTTCTTCTTCCTTCTGGTGACTTTGGACCTCCTGTACACCCTGGAAGCTTTGGTTGCTTTGTCTTTCTCCTGTGAGTCACTCTGGCTTTTTCTCTGAGGGGATCAAGTGCGCTCATCCTTGCAGGCCTCTGTTCTGGGTCCGATTGATCTCCTGCCATCCCCTCGGATTCCACTGTCCTCTGTGCGCTGACCTGCCTCGACTCCTGGCTTCTGCCGAGATGGATCCTTCCCTATGCTGAGTCCCTGTAACCAAAATACAGATAGCTCTTGCAAAATACTGACAAAAGCGGCCACTAATACAGCAGAAAAATAGTCGGGAGACGGTTGAGCGTCTGCCTGAAGAGCCAGGGTTCTCAAGCAAGGCACACTTCTAGGTCAGAGTTCAGCCCTCACTGAGAATCCAAACTCCGTTTAACTACCGATGGAGACTTGAGCAAATTAATTAACTTCTGCCAGCCTCAGTTTCCTCACCTGAAAATGGCCATAATAACCTACCTACTTGATCTGTAGATTAAATGAGGTAATACGTGTCGAGATCGCGTAATAACACAGGGCCTGGCAGACAGTAACTCGCTAAATGTTAACCAGAACTATTATTGTTATAACCGGTCTGTTCACGTGGCCCATCTTTTGTTCCCGCTCAAATTCTTTTTGTACCTATGGTCCTCTTTTCTTTCTCTCTCTCTTTCTTTCTTTTTTTTTTTCTTTCTTTTTTTTTTTTTTTTTTAAGACGTAGTTTTGCTCTGTCGCCCAGGCTAGAGTGCAGTGGGGCGATACTGGCTCACTGTAACCCCCACCTCCCTGGTTCCAGCAATTCTCCTGCCACGGCCTCCCGAGTAACTGGGACTACAGGTGCGCGCTACCATGCCCGGCTAATTTTTACATTCTTAGTAGAGACAGGATTTCGCCTTGTTGGCCAGGCTGGTCTCAAACTCCTGACCTCAGGTGATCCACCTGCCTCGACCTCCCAAAGTGCTGAGATTACAGGCATGAGCCACCGCGCCTGGCCCCTTATTTCTTTACTGACATTTTCAGCCATACTTGAGAAATAAACAAGTAAATAAATGTATCTGCTTGGTGATGTAATCAAATGCCCTAGTCCCCGCATTTTGTGTTTTTTTACATTAATTTTTATGTATTGATTTATTTTGAGACAGAGTCTCACTCTATCATCCAGGCTGGGGTGCGGTGGCACGATCACAGCTCACTGCAGCCTCAACCTCCTGGGGTCAAGCAGTCTTCCCACCTCCGCCTCCTGAGTACCTAGGACTACAGGTGCATGCCACCGTGGCTGGCTAATTTTTGTATTTCTTGTAGAGATGGGGTTTCTCCAGGTTGCCTAGGCTGGTCTCAAACTCCTGGGCTCCAGCAATCCACTTGCCAAAAGTGCTAAGATTACACTTGAGCCACCGTGCCCACATTTGATTTTTAAATAGGTAATATATTTACATGGTTGAGCATGTGAATGGTTTGATTTCACAGTGAAAACTGTCTCTTCGCAGCCACCTAGTTTCCCTGGAAATCAAAGTATTATACTATCAGTTTGTTGTGTATCTTTCCAAAGATGTTTTATACATACACAAACAGCATGTCCATGGCAAAACATCTATGTATTCCTTTACCTCCTTTTTACACAAATGTGCATATTATGTACACTGTTCTGCATTTTTCTTTTTTCATTTGATGATGTATTTGAGATATCATTCTGTATTAGTACATAAAGACCTTCTTCGGTTTTTGGCCCAGCGCTGTGACTCACACCTGTAATCCCAGCACTTTGGGAGGCCAAGGCGGGTGGATCACTTGAGGTCAGGAGTTCAAGACCAGCCTGGCCAACATGGTGAAACCCCGTCTCTACTAAAAATACAAAAATTAGCCGGCGTCATGGTGCACACCTGTAGTCCCAGCTACTCAGGAGGCTGAGGCAGGAGAATCGCTTGAACCTGGGAGGCAGAGGTTGCAGTGAGCTGAGATTGTACCACTGCACTCCAGCCTGGGCGACAGAGCAAAAAAAAAAAAAGAAGACCTTCTTCGGTTTTTTAATGGTTGTATCAGATTTCATTGAATGGCTGTACCATAAATCACTTCACCAATCCCCTATTGATCTAACCCCCTCATTATAAATATATAAATATTGAATGAAAGAATAATGCAAAAATGCTGATTTTAAGTTAGCCTAGAATTGTGTGAAAATAAAACTGTGGACTTTGGGAAGTTTTAGATCTCTAAAGAAAATGTCTAAGTAATTCTCCTCTTTCTGAGCTGGAGACGAGGTATATGATCACCGATGGCCTCAAAGTTCCTCTCAGCTCTGGAATTCCCTGCTTTTCGGTGTCACTACTGGTTAACTGAGGTTACTGGGGATTCGAGACACTGATTTAGTCCAAAGAACCTGGTTTGTATTTGAGAGTTTGGAAGTCACGCTTTCTGGCTTGGCAACATAAGAAAACATAAAGAAGTTCATCTACTTTGACCTAATCATGTAATTCCCCAGAAGCATCAAAAAGATATATTTTGGTTGAGTGAGGATATTCATTGCAGTTTTATTTTAATCACAAATGATTGAAAACACTCCAAAACCCCATCAATTAGGTGAAAAACTACATAATCATTTAAAATGATATAGAAAGATTTTCATTGACTTTTAAAAATGGTCACAGTATACTGTAAATGGAGGGGGAAAGCAGCTTAAAAATGGTGCATGTTGGCCGGATACGGTGGCTTACGCCTGTAATCCCAGCACTTTGGGAGGCCGAGGCAGGCGGATCACAAGGTCAGGAGTTTGAGACCAGCCTGGCCAATATGTTGAAACCCCGTCTCTACTAAAAAATACAAAAAAAAAAAAAACTTAGCTGGGCGTGGTGGCAGGTGCCTGTAATCCCAGCTACTTGGGAGGCTAAGGAGGCAGGAGAATCGCTTGAACCTGGGAGGCGGAGGTTGCAGTGAGCCGAGATTGCACCACTGCATTCCAGCCCAGGCAACAGAGAGAGAATCCATCTCAAAAAAAACACAAACAAACAAACCAAAACCAAAACAAAACAAAACAAAAAAACGGTGCATGTTGGCTGGGCACATGCCTATAATCCCAGCACTTTGGGAGGCCGAGGTTGGAGGATTGCTTGAGCCCAGGAGTTCAAGACTAGCGACCCCATTGCTACAAAAAATAAAAAAATAAAAAATTAGCTGGGCGTGGTGGCACATGCCTGTTGTCTCAGATACTCAGAAGGCTGAAGTGGGAGGATCACTTGAGCCCAGAAAGTCAAGGCTGCAGTGAGCCCAGATTGCACCACTGCACTCTAGCCTGGGCAACAGAGCAAAGACCCTGTGAAAGATAGAAAAGAAAAAAAGAAAGAAAAGAAGAAAAGAGAGGGAGAAGGAAGGAAGGAAAGAAGAAGGAAGGAAGGGAGGGAGGGAGGAAGAAAGGAAGGGAGGGAAGGAGGAAGGAAGGAAGGGAGGGAGGGAGGGAGGGGAAGGAAAAGAAAAGAAAAGGAAAGAAAGAGAGAATGTAGCATAAGCCAGATTTTGTAAAGCATAATTTATGTATAAAGACTGCAAGACCATGAGGCAAAATGTCACAATTTTATCTCTGGGTGATGGCCACTCATGTTTTCGCTTTCTTCTTGCTTACATTTTCCAAGTTCTCAAATATGTATTACTTTTGTAGTAAGAAAGTTCACTTAGAAAGTAAGTTAAGTCTGAGTTTTCTGCAACCAGGGTATCCAGAACTTAAAAAGATAAGCAGGTAGGGCAGGTAAGAAGTCAGTCATGACATTGTAAGCATTGAAATAAAAATAAAATAAGTCATAGCCAGGCATGGCCTGTAATCCCAGCACTTTGGGAGGCCGAGGCAGGCAGATCACTTGAGGTCAGGAGTTCGAGGCCAGCCTGGCCAACATGGTGAAACCCCGTCTCTACTAAAAATACAGAAATTAGCCAGGCATGGTGGTGGGTGCCTGTAATCCCAGCTACTCTGCAGGCTGAGGCAGGAGAATCACTTGAACCTAGGAGGCGGAGGTTGCAGTGGGCCGAGATCGCGCCATTGCACTCCAGCCTGGGCGACAAGAGCGAAACTCTGTCTCAGAAAAATAAAATAAAATTTAAAAAGTCATGGCTTTTTTCCAGGTCACTAATTGTCTAGTGAGTCTATGCATTATCATAATGTCTGTGGGTGGTCAGGCTAAGGAGTGCTTTGCCAACAGTGAAAAATTTTTCCAGGGAGATACCCGGGAGAGATAGTGAGGCATCTCAGGAACTTGAGAGTTAAACTAATTTATAAAGTTCATGCTTGTGGGGGCAAGATCAGCCATCTGGAAAAGCACCTCACCTAAGCAGTACCTTAGACCCGGGTGAGTGAAGAGTCATGAGACTCGGTGGAGCCCAGCCAATGTCTGGAGCAGAGGCGTGGGGTGGTTTTAACTCATCTGGGAAGGAAGAGGTGGCAGAGGGCAGAAGGATGGAGAAAAGGTGATGAGTGCAGCAGGTTTAGAATCCGGCATGGTCAGTGTTTAGCAGGCCCCAGTCAAGGGCAGAGGGCAACTCTCCCTAGGGGGCCACCATGTCATCATCACTCAGAGCCTTGCCTGAGGCTTGTCTAGCATTTAGGACAGTTCCGGCAGCATAGGCATCACTTAGAGATTGTTAGAAATGCAAAATCTGGCCGGGCATGGTGGCTAACACCTGTAATCCTGGCTCTTTGGGAAGCTGAGGCAGGCAGATCCCTTGGGGTCAGGAGTTCGAGACTAGCCTGGGCAACATGGTGAAACCCCATCTGTACTAAAAATACAAAAATCAGCTGGGTGTGGTAATGGACACCTGTAATCCCAGCTACTCGGGAGGCTGAAGCAGGAGAATCGCTTGAACCTGGGAGGTGGAGATTGCAGTGAGCCAAAATTGTGCCATTGCACTCCAGCCTGGGCAACAGAGCGAGACTACGTCTCAAAAAAAAAAAAAAAAAAAAAAAAAGAAAGAAAGAAAGAAAG
Source organism: Homo sapiens (assembly GCF_000001405.40). Lineage (NCBI taxonomy): Eukaryota > Metazoa > Chordata > Mammalia > Primates > Hominidae > Homo > Homo sapiens. The sequence continues at coordinate 113,308,191 of NC_000009.12, forward strand.
AAAGAAAGAAAGAAAGAAAAACAGAAATGCAAAATCTCAGACCCACTCCAGACCTACGGAGGCAGAATTTGCATTTTTACGAGATCCCTGGGAGATTCAGAGACACATTCATTACAAGTGAAGAGTACTGATTTAGGAGACATACCTCCAGTATATACTCCTTGATGCCTTCTGATTATATTCAGCTTCAGATTCATAAAGGCTCCCAAGGACCTGACACCTTAGGCAGGGCAACGTGAATCCCAGCCTGGGGATGGGCACCCCCGGCCTCTGCTGTGTGCAGCATCTGAATTTGCTTTCCAAGTCACAATCCCTTATTCAAAACATTTGGTTCCAAGTGTGTTTCAGAATTCAGAATTTTTCATAATTTTAGGAAGGTAAGATGATGCATTTGCCAACTCTCCCAATTCTCCCAGTGGGATCTGGGGCAGTACCCTATATTCAAACATTGATATCTTGCAGCTTATTATGAATATTGACACCGAAAAGAATAAACATCACAAGATCAGGTAAGTTTTGGCACCAAATTTAATGGAAAACCTTAGTTTTCAGGCTGGGTGCGGTGGCTCACACCTGTAATCCCAGCACTTTGGGAGGCTGAGGCGGGTGGATAACAGGGTCGGGAGTGCGAAACCAGCCTGGCCAATATGATGAAACCCTGTCTCTACTAAAAATACAAAAATTAGCCAGGCGTGGTGGCACGTGCCTGTAATCCCAGCTACTCAGGGGTCTAAGGCAGGAGAATTGCTTGAATCTGGGAGGTGGAGGTTGCCGTGAGCCGAGATCGTGCTACTGCACTCCAGCCTGGGCAACAGGGCGAGGCTCTGTTGCAAAAAAAAAAAAAAAAAGACAGCAAATAAACTCACCTAAAACTTTAGACACAGAGATAATTGCCCACACATTTGGATTATAGCTTTTGTCTCTCTTTACATTTTAAATATATATTTTATATATTTTAAAATAATATATATACTTTATATAATTTCATATAAAATGTCACACTGTATGTAGTTTTCTAGCCTCTGTTTTTCACTTTTCATCTTTTTATATAATCAAAGAGTCTTCTACAGCCTTTTCTTCAAAATCAAGGTAGTTTTATTGTATTTTGGTTGTAAAAGTGATAATAGGAAAAAACAAACATATATTTGCTTATATGTGCATAAAGTCTCTAAAAGGATACACTAGTTGCTGGTCACACTGTTTACCTCTGGAGGGAGCCAGATGGAAGGCAGACAGGGACGAGAGAAGAATTTTTATTGTATAATCTTTTAGACTCTTGATTATTACTTTGTGAATGTATTCTCTATTTCAAAAATAAAATTAAAAAAACTGGTACATCCTCACTGCAAAAGAAATCAAGCAATATAGAAAGGAACAAAGAAGAAAATAAATTCATCTTTAAACTCAATACCCAGATACAACACTGTTAGTATTTTTGCCACATTTCTTCCAAGTCTTTATCTATGAATGTACAGACATGTGTATGGAGATATTTTTACCAAAATAGGATGATGCTGTACGATGGTTTTTGTTACCTGTGTTTTTCATGTAGGGTGAATCACAGACAGCTTCCATGCAGCCTCATTTTAAACATCTGCATTGTTATTGCATGAAGTTAGCCAGTTACCAAAAAATTAATCCAGGTGAACTGAGTCCAGCATCTGAATACGCAGTGCCAGGTAACACCAACCCCCTGATCCAAAGCTGGGATTTTCTTTTCTTTTCTTTTCTTTTTGTTTTTTTTTTGTTTGTTTGTTTTTTGAGACAGAGTCTTGCTCTGTGGCCCGGGCTGGAGTGCAGTGGTGCGATCTCAGCTCACTGCAACCTCTGCCTCCCAGGTTCAAGCAATTCTCCTGCCTCAGCCTCCTGAGTAGCTGGGATTACAAGCATGCACCACCATGCCTGGCTAATTTTTGTATTTTTAGTAGAGACGGGGCCTCACCATGTTGGCCAGGCTGGTCTCGAATTCCTGACCTCAAGTGATCCTCCCACCTTGGCCTCCCAAAGTGCTGGGATTACAGGCGTGAGCCACCGTGCCCGGCCCAAAGCTGGGATTTTCAATTTGCTGTCTGTAGGATCTTGAATAGGCAGGATGTTATGTTCCAGAACCTGGAGAGATAACATATGGGAACGGGCTGGATGTTCCTTCTGTCCATGGTGTTTAAACCCATGTCGCTTATTCCATAGGTACAAACACCTCTACCTGCCCCCTTCCCCTCAGCCTTTATGCCCACTACCACCAGGATGATGCCAGAGAGGGCCTTGGTGGCCAGAGCCAGTCTGCATGTCAAAGACCCGAGCTCCCATTTGGGCTCCACCACACACTGAGTGATCCTGGGAAAGTCACTTTTTCTTCTCTGTAGAACAGAGATAATAATCTCCATGATGCCTTTCTCAGAGTGTTGTTTTGTTAGAAGAATCAGATAAGGTTATGACTGTGAAAGTAGTATGTAAAATACAGGGCACTCTACACATAGAAGTTTTTATTGTTAAAGTCTGGCCTCTTCCCTGGAGCTGTCAGGGAGAAGGTAGATGCCAAAACCAGCTGGCCCAGCTTCCTTCCGTGATTGGCTCATGGAGCAAACATTCCCCTTGTGCACTTTTCAACATCTACACACTCATCTTTAAAATGGAGTGTTGTAAAGGTCAAGGGCACAAAGCGTTGACAAGGGCGTGGAACAACTGAAACTCTACTAATGCTTCTGCACAGCTGCTGGGAAGTAAATTGGTACAACCTCTTTGGAAAATTGACAGTATATACTAAAACTGATCATGTGAATTCCCCTATGTACGGCCCAGCAAGTCCTCTGCTATTTATGTAATAAACACAGGTATTGTGGATGTTCACCAGAAGACATGTTATTAAGATGTTCATAGCAGAACTATTTGTAAGGGTCCCAAACTAGAAACTACCCCCAAATGTCCATCAGTAATTAAATGGATAAATTACAATATTTTCATACAATGGAATAGGATACAGCAATGAGAGCGAATGGTATTCAACTACATGCAGCAATATGGAACAATCTTACAAACGTGTTGAGCAACAGAAGCCTGACCAAAATAAGAGTACATACTTGTTTCACTAATCTATACTTGTTTCGCTGCATAACAAGTATAGATCCCAAAACTTAATGTCTTAAAACAACAGATAGATTACTTCTCATGAGAAGATGGGATAGCTGTGCAATTTCTCTTCTGATTTCACCTTAGTTGAGTCATAAGGCTGCACTCAGATGCAGATTTGGCTGGGTGGGAAGGTCTGAGGTACCCTCACGTGACCTCATTCTGGTGATGCTCAGTTCTTTCCCAGGTGGCCTAGACCACCTTCCTTACACGGCAGTCTGGGGGCAGCATTTCAAGAGAGTGAAAGTAGAAGCTGCAAAGTTTTAAAACTAAGGGTTGTAACTATCAAGAGTTGCAAGGGCCCAGCCTCAGGAGCTTCATCGTGTCCATTTCTCTGCATTCTATTGGTCACCCCATAAGTCAAAAGGCCAGCCTAGATTCAAGGGTGTGAAAATAGACCCTACCTCTCCCTGAGTAGAAGTCACATTGCAAAGGGTCATGCATACAGGAATGGAAGAAATCTGTGGTCCATCTACCACAATACCCTGTGATTCCATTTATAGAAAGTAGAAAAGCAGGTAAAATCCACTGAAGCTGTTATAAATTCTTTGACGAATGGGCCTGGAGAGGAGTATGAGAGACCATCTGGGTTCCTGATGTGTTCTGCTTCTTCATCTAGGTACTGATGACTAGAATGTCCAGTTTATGAAATTCAGCAAGCTATTAACTTAAGACATCTGAAACTTTTTACGTGATTACTATACTTGAATTGAAAGTCTAAGTTACATAGTGGTTTTAAAAGAATGCAGTTCATTTCCCTTTCCAGTTACAGTTCCATCCATCAGGCTGGTGGAGCTGCTCATCTCCTCAATGTTCCTCAGGACCCCCGCTTCCTTCTTTCTTGCCATGCCATCATCTTGTCCTCATCGAGAGTTGAAGCTGTTGCTGGCAGTCTGCATTCCAGCTAGTGGAGAGGATGCAGAGGGGTAGCCCTGGACAAGCACATTCCTTGCAAGCTAATAAGGTGGAAGTTACACACATTACTTCCACTCACAATCCACTGGCAAGCACTGATTCTCATGGCCTGCCTAGCTGGGAATGTAGTCTTAGCTGGGCAGCCTGTGCCAAGGATATGTGCCAATTTCAGGGAAACAACTAGCAGTCTACTGCATTTTTTTTTTAATGGAGTCTTGCTCTGTCGCCCAGGCTGGAGTGCAGTGGTGCGATCATGGCTCACTGCAGCCTCTGTCTCCTAGGTTCAAGGGATTCTCCTGCCTCAGCTTCCCCAGTAGCTGGGATCACAGGCATGTACCACCACATCTGGCTAATTTTTGTACTTTTAGCAGAGATAGGAATTCACCATGTTGGTCTGGCTGGTCTCAAACTCCTGGCCTCAAGTGATCTGCCCGCTTCGGCCTCCCAAAATGCTGGAATTACAGGCATGAGCCACCGCACCTGCCACAGTCTACTACATTACTAATAATAAAGCTGCTCTTTAATAATTATGTTTTCAGAAGGCCATTTGGAAATAGTTTTTATCTCACTGTTGGATTATAAAAACACCAAGTGACCCGAGTTCTACACTTTTCTGTGCCAAAATGAAGAACATTAATAATAAGTATCCATTTCCCCTCAAGTATATATATTTAAATCATAAATATGTAAGTAAATGTATACATTTATTTAAATTTTAAATATGCAATTGGCCAGGTTCCAAGGGCTTATCCACCTTCCTGGAAAAAAATTGTCTTTGGAAAATTCCTTGATATGATTTTAGAGGGCAGCCTCTAAAATGAAGTGTTCAATGAATGTTCAAGGAATGAATGAATTTTAGCAACCTGTATCTTAGGTGCTGAGAGTATCTGATTAGGGCATATCAGACTAAAAAAAGTCCTCTACAAACACTAGAATTTACTAATCTATTTTCTACTTAAAATGCATAGATAATTTGACATCAAGCACATGTACAGTTTATGGAAACAATTTTATTGGTAACAGAACCCTACTAACTCATCAGAGCCCCACTATTTTCTCCCGTGTACTTTCCTTCTCCTGGCAGCCTGTCCCCCTTCCCTGGGACCCCCTCCCAACTCATTCCCGTGAACTTTCTGACTTGCTGCCTCTCTCCCTTCTGGGAAAAAGTGTCAGCTGCTGCACTAATAATCCAGCACATGCTACGACTGTCCCTGAGACAGCTGTCTACTGCCCCTAGGCACTTGGGCAGGGGATCTCCTTGGAGCCAGAAAGTTAATAACTGGTCTTGAAGATACAAACAATGTCATGGTCTATGACTTTGTGACACGATGCAAAGGAAAGCGTTTGGGCTTTGAGTCAGGCAGACCCAGATTCATACCTCAGCTCTTCTTAATATGTGTGTGACTTTGGGCAAAGTACTGCATGTTTCTAGCCCTCAGCTTCCTCATCTGTGAAATGGAAATCACAATACAGAGAATATTGGGAATAACAAATGAGAATAAATATATTTAGCCCTCTGTAGATGCTCAGTGACCGGGCTTCCTCTCCCACTATCTCTTTGTCTTTCCAGAGTTGAAAGACCCATAACAAGGAATCAAAGGAGAGTGAAACGATGACTAAAGGTTTAGAGGATAAGATCTAAGAATGGATGAAGGAGGCCGGGCGCAGTGGCTCACGCCTGTAATCCCAGCACTTAGGCGGGCGGATCACGAGGTCAGGAGATTGAGACCATCCTGGCTAACACGGTGAAATCCCGTCTCTACTAAAAACACAAAAAAATTAGCCGGGCGTGATGGCGGGCGCCTGTAGTCCCAGCTATTCGGGAGGCTGAGGCAGGAGAATGGCGTCAACCCGGGAGGCGGAGCTTGCAGCGAGCCGAGATTGCACCACTGCACTCCAGCCTGGGCGACAGAGCAAGATTCCATCTCAAAAAAAAAAAAAAAAAAAAGGATCAAGGAATGGTAAACGTTTATTTTATTTTATTTTATTTTATTTTATTTTGAGATAGAGTCTCTCTCTGTTGCCTAGGCTGGAGTGCAATGGCACAATCTCAGCTCACTGCAACCTCTGCCTCCCCGGTTGAAGCGATTCTCCTGCCTCAGCCTCCTGAGTAGCTGGGACTACAGGCGGGCACCACCACACCCAGCTAATTTTTGTATTTTTAGTAGAGACGGGGTTTCACCATATTGGCCAGGATGGTCTCGATCTCTTGACCTTGTGATCTGCCCGCCTAGGCCTCACAAAGTGCTGGGATTACAGGCATGAGCCAACGCGTCCGGCAGAATGGTAAATGTTTAATATGGAAAAGGGAACATTTAGTCTGGACAGAGAGGACAATAAATAATTATGGCTACCATTTGTCACCACCTTTCCTGGCATTTACTTATTTATTTATTTATTGAGATGGAGTTTCGCTCTTGTTGCCCAGGCTGGAGTGCAATGGCACAATCTCGGCTCACCGCAACCTCCGCCTCCTGGGTTCAAGCGATTCTCCCGCCTCAGGCTCCCCAGGTAGCTGGGATTACAGGCATGCACCACCACGCCTGGCTAATTTTTGTATTTTTAGTAGAGACGGGGTTTCTCCATGTTGGTCAGGCTGGTCTCAAACTCCTGACCTCAGGTGATCCTCCTGCCTCGGCCTCCCAAAGTGCTGGGATTACAGGTTTGAGCCACTGCGCCTGGCCTTTCCTGGCATTTAAAATAGCTATGTCCAGTCTTCAGAACAGCCCTGTGGCGAGGTATGATCATGAAACCCACGTTATAAAGTGAAGAGGAAACAGATTTTATAACTTGCCCAAGATCATCCAGCTAAATGGAGAAGTGGAGATTCAAAGTCGGGTCTGACTCTTTGTACTAGCTTAAGAACAGACTCTCAGCTGGATGTGGTGGCTCATACCTGTAATCTCAACACTTAAGGAGGCCGAGGCAGATGGATCACTTGAGCCCAGGAGTTTTAGACCACACAAACACACAAAAAATTAGCCAGGTGTGGTGGTGCATGCCTGCAGTCCCAGCTACTCAGGAGGCTAAGGAGGGAGGATTGATTGAGCCCTGGTGATTGAGGCTGCAGTTAGCCATGATCACACCAAGAGAGGGAAGAAGGAAGGTGGCTGTCAGTCACTGGTATCAGAGACAAGCAGAGGACAGAGAAGACAAATGCAAAATCTTTCTTTGGCTGGGACTTGTCAGAAAGGGAATCTCCAGTGTTGGTGATGGTGTCACCAACAGCCTCATGTGCCTTATGTGTGGGCATCTCTGAAGGCAGAAAGAACTCCATTTTCCCTGGAGGAAAATGGACCAGTGAGCATGAGGCTGAGGTCTGACTCCTGGGGGCCACACAGGCAGGCCTGAGCACCTTGCCCCTCCTCACTGAAGGGGGCTTAATGTCTGGGGCACAGTTGACTCCATCCCTCTCTTTTTTCCTGTATGTGGTTTTTTGTTTTTTTTTTTTTCAAGACAAGGTCTCATTCTGTCACACAGACTGGAGTGCAGTGGCACAATCTCAGCTCACTGCAAACTCTGCCTCCCAGGTTCAAGTGATTCTCCCATCTCAGCCTCCCGAGTAGCTGGGACTACAGGCACGCACGTACAGGCTGGTCTTGAACTCCTGACCTAAAGTGATCTGCCTGCCTCGTTTTTCCTGTATGTTCTAATGTTATTTCAGGGATCCCCTTTGCCTCACTCTGGCCATTCCAAAACATATATATGTTTCATTTATATAAATCCAAATGAAAATATTAAAATTGCAAGTGAGATATTTTTGGCCTTAATCTTTGAATTTCAATGTTTTCTTATCTGTAGAGCTGGTGTGCTAACTCCTGTAATTCTGGGCAATGCCCATGTGGTTCTTGGCTGCTTCAAGCCATCTCAGGTCTGATTTTCACACAAGCTCAGCAGCACTGGGCTAGAAGGGTACCGCCCTCCCACTCTGCTGCCACTTTGAATAGAAGTCCAAGCTTTCGCTTTCTTGCCCTGACTTTGATTCTTCACATTGCTGAGGAGCAGTGATTGAAGCTTAATCTCATTGTCTACAGTCCGTCTCCTCTATGGAGCTGCACTATTCTTTCCCATCTCAATTATTTCTGATGTAACCAAAACACTCTCTCTCCCCACTGCCTTTTTTCTTTTGTAAAGACTTGCAAAGGGTCAGTTCCAGAGGCTCGAGCCCTGTGTTCTGACTTTCACAGACAGAGGCCTGCCACTCTTACATTTACAGGTCATCATTCTGAGCAATACACTTTTTTTGAAGAGTAGTCCTAAAAGCTCACTAAAAAGTTGCATTTGTATTTAACTTAAATAGAGAACCTTATGTGTAGTCCATGTTTCTGGACTCTATACCTGATTTTGAATCACTGGACTTAAATTATTGGACTTACAACACTGATACATCTTGTAAATGAACCTAAGCAAAGAATACCAGCCCTACATCCCACTCCCCTCAAGATAACTGGGAAAGACACAAAGCCATGCTGAGGAGGAGCCATGGTTTGATATTGTCCAGTGAGTGTCTCTTGGCCTCAGAATGCTGCCACTTCCTGCAGTTCCAGCCCTTGGCTGTGGTCCATTCTGAGTAAGTGAATTCCTCTGTTAAAACTTGCACACAATAAGGAGATGGCGTCACCAACAGCCAGAGAAGTCAAGGGTCCTGATCCATCCAGAGACAAGGTGAAAAGGCAGGCTGGGGGGGAAAGGGGGACCAGCAGATTAGGCCAAGAGTGTAGCATCATGAAATGTGATGTCTTCATGAGAAATGCAAGGAAATAAAGCATTTGCTGTACATATCTAACCCGTATGAGAGAGACCCCACTTCTTCAGAGGAAAGCATACCAGGGAGGTCAGAACTTGGGCCAACTCCATGACTTCAATGGTAGAGAATGGCACACGGGCCAAACAGGATGCATACCATCACCAAGAAGTGTCGGGGTCTCACCGGCTAAAGACATGTTACAAAGGTGCCCTCAGTCACCTGCCCAGAGAATAAAGCAGGGCCCAGGCAGGGAAAAACACACAAGGATACTGATCTTTAGCTGCTGGCTTCCTGGGGTCTTGATGCCTTGGAGATGGAGGATAATGGGAGAGCCCGAAAGGCAGTCTTTGGGGGTTTCAGCTGACCCATCTCCCTCCATCTGCATCTTAGAGGCCACTCTTCTAAAAACTACAGGCGCATACCTGGTGGGCAGGGAATCTGTGCCACTTGGTCAGGTCAACATTTCCAGATCTCGTTCTCCCTGGTCAGATTTATGATCATTAAGTCTAAAACATCTGCTCTTTTTCCTCAAGCAACAGTTACACCTGAGTGGCTGGAGAAGCCACTCCAGGTAACAGTACAGCAGGCTGTCCTTACTATGGAAGTTTGGCTTGTGGCCACAGCTGTTTGCAGAATGCCCACAAGACATGGTCCTGCCTCTATTCTCTGAGGGAACTACCCTGTCTCCCTTGAGAGGAGCTGAGTTCTAGAAGACTGTTGTAGGACAGATTTGGTTTAAAGTTCTTTAAGGCAATGCTGTTTCTGTCTGTGGCAGAACCCTGTGTCCAGGACAGAATAGATGGAGGCAGTGGGGTGCTGGTAAACCAGCTTTCTGGAAGAGAAAACACCACCACCACCGATTCATAGCACTTGTTAATTTTCATCATGTAAATACCTCCATCATGATCAGATTTCAGGCTACCAAAGGTTTAAAAACCAGTTCACAAAAAATCCTGAATATTTAACAATCGGCCAGCAGGGGCTGGCTCCATCCAGCAGATCCAGGACTCTGGGGAGCTGGGTTGCATAAGACATCTTTTTTCTCTGATGCTTTGAAATGTTATGAGCTTACTGTGTTCTTAAACTTCAGCTACAGAATCAAAACAGGGCAGAGACTTTCTGAAAGTATCCTTACTCCCCCTTACCCTCACCAAGAGCTGGGGCTTTCATTTTAGTCCTTGAAAGAAGACTTGAAAAGTCACAATTCTTGTTCTCTTTTCCAAATATTTTGAGTGTCACAAGTTAGAATCTGATGAAGAACTTCAGGTAGAAAGAATGTAAGAGCCAAATCTACGTGAGTTCTCAGGAATGAGTCTATACAACATGGTACCAGGGGATACAGGGGATAGCATCTTGACATCACCTCTTAAGCATGAGACTGGACAGTGGCAGAAGATGGGTGGCTTTGTAATGCTGAGCAATGGGAAGAAGGAGTTTTAAAGAAGGTTTTAGGACTTCATGTATCTTTTGAGGAGAACTAACAGCAGGCTGCTTACCTCCAGTATCTTGGTTCCAAATCTTCACCTTGCAATCATGTGATGAGGTAGCAATTAAAGGCATCAAGGCCAATGCTCTTGGTAGAAAGACGCAGGATGCGACAGTCTGGAAATGCCCCTTATACTCACATATTCTGTTTCGAGTCTGTCTTAGGTCCCACAACTGCAAAGTAATGACATGGACCAGCTCATAGTCACTTGTCTAGCTTCATCCATGAATATCTATCTCCCCCTACCCCCATGATGCACCTATTCCCTCCACTTACCTGCTCACGTAGCTACCCCTTATCTTCATCCATCCACAGACCCAACAACCCATCCATCCACAGACCCAATGACCCATCCATCCAGTGATTATTTTAAGCCTCAACTATGTCTCAAACAACCCTGGTTAAGAATGTGTCATATGAGTTTTTGCCTTTTTAGTGGTTAGGGAAGTAAAAGCTCCCAGTCCTACAGCATGATGGTGTTCCATCATGGGGAACCCATGGGGAGCCCCAAACAACAGTATGGGGTTGTTTGCTTTCATGGCAACTCAAGAGCTGCCTTATTTCAACCTCTTGGCATCTGTGGGCCCTGTGGGGACCCCGTAGTTAGAAGTACCCCATAGATATAAGTACATCTAGGTGCAGACATTCTGATTTAATGCCTAGATGCTGAACCTTGATGTGTGAAGACTAGCGTCTACAAGAGGGAAGTGCCAGTCAGTGCTGCCAGTCCCACTCTCATTGATACAGATCAGATCACAGCTGGAGAATAATGTTCAGGGAGGAGAGCAAATTGAATTATGTCCAAAAAGATAATGAAGTTATTGGACAGCATGTTATCCAGGGAATAGCTGTAGGAGCTGGAAATGTTTCACTTAGAAAAGAGATGCTACATTCAAAGGCTGCAACACCCCAATCTACCATTTACTAGGGATGTGGTCTTGTGCAAGAGATGTCAACTTGCCATGCCTCTATTTCCTTGTCTGTGAAATGGGAATTATAATAGTACCTAACTCATGGGGTTGTTTTTAAGGATTAAATGAGATATTACATGTAATGTGCTCATCCCAGTGCCCAGCACACAAGAAATGTTCAATAAAATAGGAGGCATAATTGTTCTGTTTGAATACTAGATAACCCTTTTAATGGATATTCTACAATTATGAATCTAAGGTGCTTTGGAGGAGCCTAGGCAATCTATTCCAAAATTAAATGTAAGGAAGGTACATGAGTAAGGGATGGAGTAGGCCCTGGACCAACACTAGAGCTCCAAATTTCCTAAAAAGCTTGAGCTTCTTTTACTGTGGCCACGCCTATAATGGGAATAAATCTGGTTCTTCAAACAGTCCCTCCCCTCTCTAAGCTCTGCTGGGAGTAGAGACATCAGCAGGCTGGTTCTGTGTTTAGCTCCTCCCCATCTTGACTCTCATCCCATTCCTCTTTCCTACTACCAATTCAGAGAGCCCTAAGTTGATGAATGTTTCTTTTATTTTCTTTCTTTATTTTTTTGAGATGGGGTCTCCCTTGTTGCCCAGGCTGGCCTCAAACTCCTAGGCTCAGTTGATCCTCCCACCTCAGCCTCTGAATAGCTTGGACTACAGGCACATGCCACCATGCCCAGCTAACTTTTTATTTTTTTATAGAGACAGGGTCTTGCTCTGTTGCCCAAGCTAGTCTCAAACTCCTGGGCTCAATTAATCCTCCCGCCTTGGCCTCCCCTATGAATGTTTCTTAAATGAAGCAACTGGAATGCAAAGGATCACTCACAGTATGCTTTTGAAAGAGGCCTGAGCCATTAGCAAAGCCCGCCTGTGTAGCACAGCTACAGGCATGAGGCCAGAGTAAGTGATCTGTTCATCAGCAACCAGATACCTGGACCTCACACAGTCTCCTACCGTGGCTTCACAGCCTTCTCCTCCAAAGCCATTGCTGCAGGAGATACACTTGTGTCCATCCACACTGACTTCACAGTAGGTCTGAATGTGCTGCTTTGCAGGAAACATATGAGCTACCTGCAGCCCCCGACTGTCCCATAATCTGAAAGAGATTAGGGCAGGAAATTAGCTTGTAGTAAATGTGGCTGAAATACACCCGTATTGTCCCACTACCAAAAAAGTCTTGGCTCTTTGCTGCATAGGCCAGTCAGATTGGAATGGCATGATTTACCTAAAAACGGCAGCATGAACCAGATCAATCTCTGAGACTCTAAAGTTGGCAGGAAGTAACCAAATTGAATGACATCTGAGTTCTTTCTATTTTGAGATCAGTTAATAGAAATTGAGACCAAGCATCTTAATTGTACAAGTTAATTTGTTAATTTGGTCCTTTGAGACACTGCTTTCCGTGGACAAAAGGATATTTCTGTGCCTGTGACTTAAATTTTTAAAAAGATACTTATTATGATATGGGAAATCAGTCATCATTCAGAATTAGTTACAAAAGATTTACATACAGGTCATGGCCAGCCTTGGCTATGGGGTCCACTGGGGAGTGTTTTGTTTTGCTTCTTATTTCATTTTTACCTCTTTACCCCATTCCTACCATTTTCTAAGGAGAATCTCTTCTGAGATCCAAAGTTTCTAGTTATCCTCTCCGGTCTAAGAACTATTGGCTTTACTGACTCCCCTGATGCTGATTTCAACCCTGCTTCCCCAGGGAGGGCTTCAGCTGAAGGCTGGGTGACTGAGAACACCAGGAGCCATGCAGGGGTAGCAAGGAGAGCCAGGCAGCCCAACAGGGTGGGACAAGCAAGTGACTGATTCTGGGGTTAATCTGAACACCTTCACACAGCAGGAGCTGGCTGAATCAGATGCTTTGGAACCATCCAAAACAGGGGCTTTTACTTGGCCTGATCTCATGACACACAACCTCTACCTTAATGATCCATGGGGCCAAAGCAGAGAGGCCCCAGCACCAGTGAAGGGCAGAGGAACAGAAGGCTCTGGGAAGGGCAGAGCAATGTGGAGAATCAGAGTGGGAATGGAGCCATGTATGCATGGGAGCCACAAACCTCACAAGAAACACTTTCACAGCTGCTCAGTAAGCCCACCTGAGGGTTTTATCTTCAGAGGTCTGTAGTATGTATGGTTCTCTGGGGACCCAGCACAGGTGAGTGACCTAGAAAAAGCAAAATGTTCAGAACTTCTCCACACCAAGTCATTCCTCTGCTGTAATTCCTGTCAAATGTGCTAACTAGCATCACTGTGCCTCTTCTCAAGGATTCTGAACTAGCAAATTCATTTACAGGCATCTTAGGTTTTGCAGATACCTATCAGTCATGCTCTACCTGCATCTCCTAGGTTATCAGCAGCAAGATAACAGCTGGGCCAGTTGTGAGCACCAAAATACATGCAGGCACCCTAAGAGTGCCTGAAACCCCAGCTGTGTGGCAGATAGAACAGCTCCTGTTGTAAGGTGGGTTCACTGAAACTCTAGCCCCAACACCTCATGGGGATCAGGAAGAGCATTCATGTTTCTCTTTATCCCTGCAGGTCCCTGCTGGATAGGCATAAAATAGTTTCCAAAATAACCCGAAATAACAGGATTTTCTTTTCTTCCAGTAACCTCCACCAATATAGAGGGCATGGGGCAAGCATATCTGACCATTGGCAGTCATCTTCAAAATTAGAAAAGATGACTGGGACTGAAATTTGACAACCACTAAAAGAACATCTAGTATGGGTCAGACACAATGTCAGGTATTTCACATCTAGTATCTGAATTCATCCTCTGAAGAACCTTAGCAGGTGATAGAATTCTCCCCATTTTATAAATGAAGACACAGACACTCTAAGAGCTTAAGTAACTTCCTTGAGATAACATAACTGGTAAGTAATAGATCCATGATTTTAACCTGAGTATAACTGACTCCAAAGGCTCTCCAATTTATACCAGTCTGCTACTAGAAAACAACTGGTCCTTCAAAAGCAATGCAAATTCTACATAAAGCAAAAGGTAATGCTTATTTCTCCACATGATGTTACACATATGAACATACAATAAGCATAAGCTGTGAGGTCCTGGAAGACAGGAACTATGTTCTTGGTCACTAACCCTGTTCCTAGCACAGTGTCTGGCCCACAGAAGAAACAGAATAATGAAAGAAATAATGAAGACACCATTTTAAATTCCAATATAAGTGAGTAAAATCATTGTCTGGAGCAGAAGACTCAAGGGAACATCTAATCTAATAACCCTGAGAGGCCAGGGTCTCACAGCAGGTTAGGGGACAGCAATTGGGACCCAGGCTCTAATTTCTGCTCATGGGCCTCCTGATTTATCTCCCGAGCCTTTCCTTCACCCCATGCTCCTTTCTGCTGCCCTGTTCTGTACCAAGTTTGAGTTCATACCACGTTCCTGGAGACAGATGCTCTTTCCACACTCTGTCCTGTCACCACATCCCACAGAAGCAGGGTGTTGTCCCGAGAGCCAGTGCACAGCTGTGATGAGTCTTTGGAAACAATGGTGAGAAGACAGCCTGTGAGTGGGGACCTGAACGGGGCTTTTCAGAAAGCACAAAGGCATTGGGAAGAGGTCCGCTTTGTTTTACCTGGACTCACAGCCAATCCGGTGACCACCATGGCATGGCCACACAATTGCTGCCTTGGTTGTGAGGAACCGTGCAAGTCCCACATCATGACCATCCTGTCACGAGAGGCACTGAAGAACTGGCTGGATTTGGGAATACAGGCTACCTGCTCAGGGAAAAAACAACAACACTGAAATAGCTCTGGTATGCTAGTTGGACTGGACTTTAAATTGGGGGAAAGATGAGTCTGCATAACTCCCTCCCCACACACACTTCTTTTCTTTTTTTTTGAGACGGAGTCTCACTTTGTCACCCAGGCTGGAGGGCAGTGGTGTGATCTCAGCTCACTGCAACCTCCACCTCCTGGGTTCAAGCGATTCTCCTGCCTCAGCCTCCCGGGTGGCTGGGATTACAGGCACCAGCCACCACGCCCAGCTAATTTTTGCATTTTTAGTAGAGACAGGGTTTCACCATGTTGGCCAGGCTGGTCTCCAACTCGTGACCTCAGGTGAGCCACCCACCTCGGCCTCCCAAAGTACTGGGATTACAGGCATGAGCCACTGTGCCCGGCCCCCACACACACTTCTCAAAAGAGTAATACCTAAGCTTGAAATCTATGAATGCACAGCATGGGCCAGTCTGAATTTCCACCTTTATCAATGTTGTGCTACCTTTCCTTTATGTAGCAGATTTCCTCCTGTCCTTCAGGGTAAGGTTAAAAATCTCACCTCCTCAGATCATGTCACCTTGGTGAGGATGTATCCCCTCTTGGGCTTCCTATAGAACTTCCTCCTGTGGGATTCCTTTTGCACTTGATCATCACCACACCCCAAAAATGGATGCTGTACTGTTATGACAGGTGATTCTGTTATACTTACGAAGAATTTGAAGTGAATCTCTGTTCCATTTTATGCTTTTTACCTTGAATACAACTTTGCTTGATATTATTATCATCCCAACTCCTGCTCTGTTTGTTTACATTTGCCTGATATATCTTTGCTGACCTACTCTTCCTGTTCTGATCTCTTCCATCGTGTTTCTTTTTTTTTGGAATTGTGGTAAATATACATAAAACTTACCATTTTAACCATTTTTAAGTGTACAACTCAGTGGCAACAAGTACATTCATTGTTGTGTAACCATCACCACTATCATCTCTAGAACTTTTTCATCATCCCAAACTGAAACTCTACAACCTTTAAACAATTACTCTCCATTTTCCTCTCCCCGCAGCCGCTGGCACCCACCATTATTCTACTTTCTGTCTCTATGGACTTGACTATTCTAGGTACCTCAAATAAGCAGAATCATACCATATTTGTCCTTTTGTGTCCGGCTCTTACTTAGCATAATGTTTTCAGGGTTCAGCCATGTTGTAACATGTATCAGAATTTCATTCCTTTTTTTTTTTTTTTTTTGAGACAGGGTCTTGCTCTGTCACCCAGACTGCAGTGCAGGGACCTGGTCTCGGTTCACTGCAACCTTCCCTTCCCGGGCTCAAGCAATCCACTTGCCTCAGCCTCCTGAATAGCTGGGACTATAAGTGTGCGCCACCATACCTGACTAATTTTTGTATTTTCTGTAGAGACAGGGTTTTGCCATGTTGCTCAGGCTGGCCTCGAACTCCCGGGCTCAAGTGATCTACCTGCCTGGGCCTCCCACAATGCTGGGTTTACAAGCACGAGCCACTGTGCTTGGCCTATTTCATTCCTTTTTAAGGCTGAAAAATAGCCCACTGTATGTATATTACCGCATTTTGTTTATCCATGAATCTGTCAAAGGACATTTGGGTTGTTTCCAGCTTTTGGCTATTATAAACAATGCTGCTATATATATATATGTGTGTGTGTGTGTGTGTGTGTGTGTGTGTGTGTGTGTGTGTGTACAAATATCTGTTCTATATTTACTAACTGTTTTACTTTCAATCTTAAAGCTGTTTTGCATTAGATATGTCTTATTTTTTATTTATTTATTGAGACACAGTCTCACTCTGTCGCCCAGGCTGGAGTGCAATGGTGTGATCTCTGCTCACTGCAACCTCTGCCTCCCAGGTTCAAGCGATTCTCCTGTCTCAGCCTCCTGCATAGCTGGGATTACAGGTGTGTGCCACCATGCCTGGCTAATTCTTTTTTTTTTTTAATTTTTAGTAGACATGGAGTTTTGCCATGTTGGCCAGGCTGGTCTTGAACTCCTGACCTCAAGTGATCCACCCGCCTTGGCCTCCTAAACTGCTGGGATTACAGGCATGAGCCATCGTGCCCAGCCTAGATATGTCTCTTTTAAACAATGTACAGGTGGCTTTAGTTTTTAACTCAGTAAGAGTACTGCCTTTCAATAAGTGAATTTATCCCAATTACATTTACTGCTATCATATATATGTTTGATCTTGTTCCTTCCATCTTTTCTGTTGGTTTTTGAAAAACACTTTGTCATATTTTCATTGTCTTCTTTTTCTATAAAATTGTATATTTGTTTTTAGAGTTATTTTTCCCTTTATATTTTTAATTTAAATAATATGGAACTTAAGTTCTTCTCATGATACCTCTGTATATGTATTAATATCCTTAAACTCATATTCTCAATGTATTAATTTCAGAAAGAAAACAGAATCTCCTGTAAGGAAAATTTTTTTTTTCTTTAATTAGCACAATTATATTACTTCTGGCTCGTTCCCACTTTTGTAAGTACTCTCTTGGATTTTTATCTAGTCTATTATCATATTATTAATATTTTGTATTTTATACATATAAATTTTTAAAAGAATTAAAACAATTACATTTCTTCTCATAGCCCTCGTTTTGACAATTCTTTAGACATAATTCTGTGTTTAATTGGATTGAAGGCTCATACAGTGAATTCAGTTTGGAACTTCTTTAATATTCATTGGCTTTATTATTCATCATTCATTCACATTCTTTATTTTTTATTTTTTATTTTTTGAGATGGAGTTTCCCTCTTGTTGCCCAGGCTGGAGTGCAATGGTGTGATCTCAGCTCACCACAACCTCTGCCTCCTGGGTTCAAGTGATTCTCCTGCCTCAGCCTCTCGAGTAGCTGGGTTTACAGGCATGCGCCACCACACCTGGCTAATTTTTTATTTTTAGTAGAGACGGGGTTTCTCCATGTTGGTCAGGCTGGTCTTGAATTCCTGACCTCAGGTGATCTGCCCGCCTTGGCCTCCCAAAATGCTGGGATTACAGGCGTGAGCCACCGCACCCGGCCCATTCACATTCTTTAATAATATACCTTCAACTATATTATTGAGGAATGCTTTGCATATGGCAAGATTTTACAAATTTAAGAATGTCTTCCCATTGCCTTTACACATGAACAACACTCTCCGCACATACAGATTCTTTTTCTTTCTTCCTTTCCTTTCCTTTCTTTCTTTCTCTTTCTTTTCTTTCTTTCCTTCTTTCCGTCCTTCTTTCTTTCTTTTTCTTTTTCTCTCTTCTTTCTCTCTCTCTCTCTTTCCTCCCTCCTTCTTTCTTTCTTTCTGACTGGGTCTCGCTATGTCACCCAGGCTGGGGTGCAATGGCACAACTATAGCTCACTGCAGCCTCCATCTCCCTGGCTTAAACGATCCTCTTGCCTTAGCCTCCCAAGTAGCTTTGACTATAGGTATGCACCACTATGACCACCGAATATATTTGTATTTTTATTTATAGTAGAGACAGGTCTTGCTATGTTGCCCAGGCTGGTCTTGAACTCCTGAGCTCAAGCAATCCTCCTACCTCAGCTTCCCAAAGTGTTGGGATTTTAGGAATGAGCTACCCTGCCTGGCCAATTTTTACTTTTTAATAATATTTTTTCCTCAAATATTTTCTCTCCCAGATAATTCTTCTATTGTCTTACTTTTTTTTTTGAGACTAAGATCTTGCTCTGTCGCCAAGGCTGGATGCAGTGAAATCATCACAGCTCACTATGGCTTCAACCTCATGGACTCAAGTGATCCTTCCACATCAGCTTCCTGAGTAGCTGGGACTATAGGTGCGCACAACTACATCCAACTAATTTTTTAATTTTTTGTGGAGATGGGGTCTCATTATGTTGCCCAGGCTGGTCTCAAATTCTTGGGCTCAAGCAATCCTCCTGCCTTGCCTTGCCAAAGTGCCAGCATTACAGGCATGAGCCACTGCACCTGGCTTGTCTTATTTTTTCAATTTCTTGTTTCATAGAGTACATGTTCTCTTAATTTATAGAGAGTAAAAAGCATTAATCAAATTTTATCTTTGCTTCTTGAGTAGTTCTTCCTTCAAAGTGTATTTTCATCTGACATTAGCTTGTTATATGTATATTTAAAAAAATCTAGGCATATAGGCCTCACTTTGGATCCTTTCTGCTTATTAATCTTTTCATCTTTGAATGAGGATAAGTCCAATTTTTGGCAGTAAATCCAATAAGGCTTGATACATGCTCAAGTGTTACATGCACACACACACACACACACACACGTGCACACACACACAAGTGCATGCACACACACTCACACACAGTCAATTCTCTCTCACTTTCTTTCCTTTTAGTCCAAGGTCTACTATAACTTGACTTGTCATGCTGAATATTGATGGTTGATTATGTCTTGATTTGTCATCCTGAATATTGATGGCTGATTATGTCTTGTCTAAATAGCTGAGACTACAGGTGTTCACCACCATGCCTGGCTAATTTTTTTTATTTTTGGTCAAGATGGGGTCTTGCTATGTCCCAGGCTGGTTTTAAACTCCCGGCCTCGGGCGAATCACTTGAGGTCAGGAGTTGGAGACCAGCCTGGCCAACATAGCAAAACCCCATCTCTACTATAAATATAAAAATTAGCCGGGTGTGGTGGCACATGTCTGTAATCCCACTTACTTGGGTGGCCAAGGCAGAAGAATAGCTTGAACCTGCGAGATGGAGGTTGCAGTGAGCTTTGATCACACAACGGGGAGAGTGAGACTCTATCTCAAAAAACAAAACAAAAAATTCCTGGCCTCAAATGATCCTCCTGCCTCAGCCTCCCAAAGCACTGGGATTACAGGTATGAGCCACCATGCCTGGCCAGTCCTTCGGCATTTTAGGGTGACCAGAAGAAGGAGAAGCAAGCTGGCAGCAGTCTCAATTTTGTTACATTGTCTTGTTTTACTGGTAAACAATCTATATCTTTAGTCCTCATCTTTCTAAATAAAGGGCTGTTGGGAGGACCATTCAGGACCAGCTCTTTTAGTGACATCTGCACTCTGCCAAATATCTGGGGATAAGTGCATTACAGCATGGTGTTCTCTATCAGTCTAGTTCAGAACACAATGTATCTGGCAAGCAAATATCATATTCTGTGCTATGGGATTGTGGCTGATGCCTAGTTTCATTATAAATGAAGTGTGTATCTTAATTTTTGGTTCATTTAGGCGGACTTCAGAGCGGGGAATTATATAAATTGGCATTCTCTATCATTTTTGCTGGAAGCTCACTCTGGTCTGTAATGCTATCTAACAAATAAATTTTTATTTCATTGTTATTGAATGTTCATTAAATGTCCCCAACTAGACTAGAAGGTTGCTGAGCACAGGGATTTTGTCACTTTCCTAGCTATGGTAAGCACAGGGTAAGCCCAAGCCTTCAGTACAGTACTTGTTGAGTCAGGATAGGTCAAGAGTTGTTATCAGCTGTGTTCTGTTTACTACCTGTGCTATTAAGGGCTTAATGACAAAAGAAAAATTGTGTTCGATATGCCTGTAACAACAACTAAGTGAATGGTTTGCTCTGTTTCTCCTGAAGTAGGATTTCACAGCATCAAACAAACCTTTGCATTTTTCCTTAAGACCAAAGATTCAATCACTCTTAATATCTAGAACTATTAGCTATCCTTTATTCAGTTCCAGATTGCCTTCATAATAATCATTTGAAAATTACCTTGGTGATCTCATGTTCATGTCCTTTGAACCTTTTCACCACATTTCCAGTTTTCCAATTATAGGCCACAACTGTCTGAAGAGAGTGAAGATTGTAGTTTCATTACTCAATTCTTGTTAAAGTGACACTAGCCTCTACTGCATTCTCACCTTACTTTCTCCCTCCTCACTCACTCCCTCTCTGCTCAGGAACTTGCTCAAAGCATTCGGGGTTCCCTGTTGTGGCCGTCCCTCCTCACGTGCCCCTCCTTTGAGTTTCTTTTCTTTCCTCCTGGTTGTTCTCTGTCTCCCTCCGACACTGGACCACTGCTCTAAACTTACTGATGGGTTTGGGCTAACATTCCCCAAGGAGAACTGATTCCCCTGGAGGTTCTGACTGTAGATGGTGAAGGAGAATTCCACATAAGGTTAGATTTGTTTTCCCTATAGTACTGTATTTTTTTGTTGTGGTGTTTTTTTTTTTTTAATCTACCATTTCAAGCTGGGCGCAGTGGCTCATGCCTGTAATCCCAGCACTTTGGGAGGCCAAGGCGGGCAGATCACCTGAGGTCGGGAGTTTGAGACCAGACTGACCAACATGGAGAAACCCCATCTCTACTAAAAATACAAAATAAGCCAGGTGTGGTGGCACATGCCTGTAATCCCAGCTACTAAGGAGGCTGAGACAGGAGAATTGCTTGAACCTGGGAGGTGGAGATTGCAGTGAGCCACCCTGCCTGGCCTAGATTTTAAGACAAAATACTGCCAATTAAACTATGATACTTCGATGCATCCTGATTTCAGAAGTGTTAAAATGTGAAAAGTGAAAACAGGGCCAGGCACAGTGGCGCACGCCTGTAATCCCAGCACTTTGGGAGGCTGAGGCGGGCGGATCACCTGAGGTCGGGAGTTCGAGAGCAGCCTGACCAACATGGAGAAACCCCATCTCTACTAAAAAAAATAAAATACAAAATTAGCCGAGTGTGGTGGCACATGCCTGTAATCCCAGCTACTTGGGAAGCTGAGGCTGGAGAATCGCTTGAACCCAGGAGGCGGAGGTTGTGGTGAGCCGAGATGGCGCCACTGCACTCCAGCCTGGGCAACAAGAGCAAAACTCTGTCTCAAATAATAATAATATAATAAAAATAAAATAAAATGTGAAAACATGCATCTTAGAACCAGTGGAATGCAGTATGCAAATGGAATTTGAAGATTCTAAAAGGCTATTGAAAATGAGAGACATTATTATTATTATTTTTTGAGACAGAGTCTTGCTCTGTCACCCAGGCTGGAGGACAGTGGCCCGATCTCGGCTTACTGCAACCTCCACTTCCCAGGTTCTAGCAATTCTTGAGCCTCAGCCTCCCAAGTAGCTGGGATTACAGGCAAGCGCCATCATGCCCAGCTAATTTTTGTATTTTTAGTAGAGATGGGGCTTCGCCATGTTGTCCAGGCTGGTCTTTAGCTCCTGTCCTCAAGTGATCCGCCTGCCTTGGCCTCCCAAAGTGCTGGGATTATAGGTGTGAGCCACCACACCCGGCCCATTATTAGTATTATTCACTACAAAAAGAATTAGCAGTTGTACTACCAGTATCCCAGCTGTGAGGGCTATGATAGATCCTAATATGAAGGAGAGAAATGTGAGAATGGGAGGAAGGAAGACAAAAACACAGGGAGGAATCATGATGCATACCAGTGTAGAGAGCATAAAAGAAGAGATTAGACAGTTCCTTTTGCTGACAATTAACTCCTGTGTCTCCATGTAGGTGTAACATGGGATTGGTGGTAAGTATAATCTTTGCCATTTATAGAAAGCATGTGGGTGGTCAGGCATAGTGTTAAGATCTCACCTACGTTCTTTGATTTAATCTTTAATAACCACCTGTGAGGTGGCATTATTATTCCCACTTAACAGATAAGACTGAAACTCAAAAAAATTTAAAGACTTGTCCAAACGAATGGGAAGTGGCCAAGCAGGGATTTAAATCCAGTCTTTCTAACTCTAAAGCCAATATTTTTACACTTGTCAACCCTGCTCCAGAAATGCAAATCCTAGACTTCCTTTCAAAATATCTTCCTTTCCCTGCAATAAAGTTCATTTCCCGGGAAACACTGCAAACCCCACCTTATCTTTCCCTCCAGAGACACAAAGGTCTGAGTTCAAAGCAGCCACGACAGAGACGGTATCCATGTGAGCTGGGCTATACTCTTGAAAAGCTTTAGTTTGAATTCTCTCTTCTATAATTTCATCAGGCCTGCTAAAAAGAGTATAGAAAATGAGAGACCCAATGGCATGGGAGTGGATGGGGGTGGGGTGGGGTGGGGTAGGGAGAAGAATGTGGGTTAAGAAGGCAATTCAGGCCAGACTAAGGAGAAATATTTAAAAAGGAGAAGAGAAGGGAGACCCATTTACATTGTCAGCAATGGTATTATTTACTCTGAAAATGTGCAGAATGACTGAAGGACTGGAATCTGATAAAGGGGGATCCTGAAGCCAAGAAGCCAGGAGTCTTTCTTTGCTCACACTAGCAATTAATCCTGAAGATTTAGGGCCCCTCTGTGTATGGGTGCAGACACTAGCTAATAAACTTGACTGTTTCTTTCTTTTGAGACAGAGTCTCACTCTGTTGCCCAGACTGGAGTGCAGTGGCACACATGGCTCACTGCAGCCTTGACTTCCTGGGCTCAAGCAATCCTCCCACCTCAGCCTCCCAAGTAGCTGGGACTACAGGCTCATGCCATTATGCCCAGCTAATTTTTGTATTTTTTGTAGAGATGGGGTTTCGCCATGTTGCCAAGGCTGGTCTCAAACTACTGAGCTCAAGCAATCTGTCCCCCTCGGGCTTCCAAAGCGCTGGGATTACAGGTGTGAGACAGCACACCCAGCCCTGACTGTTTCTTATCCAAAAGAAAACACACTAAACTATTCAGGGAAGGCCAACTATTCAGGGAAGGCCATCAACATTCGCCCTGGGCCTTCTCTTTCTTCAGTGGAGAGTTTTAATGGGGCATGATAAAACCTGGGCTCCCAGGGGAGGATTGCAGTACCCGTATTTATAAGTGCTGTGTTTGAGTTTGCTTTGCTGTTTCCCCATCACGACACAAAACCTAAACGAAACCTTCTGTGGAGGAGCTTGTTTCAGTTGGCACCTGAGTAGCAGCATCCCTTGTGGCTGCTGGAAGTTGTGTTCCCTGTTTAATAAAAAGAAGAATACATGTTGTTAATTTTGTTAGGCACAATAGTATGATGTTGAAAATAAATCCTTTTTTAGACTAATTAATTGTATGCTTTTGCTTTTCCTCCTCACCCTGCTTCACACTTACAGCCCTGAGGTTGCAGACACACAAAAACAAAACTGATTTTAAAAAAGACTAAGAAGTCCTGTAATAAGTAAAACACAGAATTGCCATACGGTCCAGCCATTCTAATCCTGGGTTTAAGGCCAAAAACACAGAAACAGATGTTCAAACAAAAATTTGTGCACAAATGTTCACAGCAGCACTGTTCACAGCAGCCAAAAAGTGAAAACAACTCAAATATTCATCAACAGATGAGTGGAGAAACATCATGTGGTCAATCCACACAATGAAATATTACTCGGCCATTAAAAGGAATGAAGTACTCGTACATACTACAACATGGGTGAATCTTGAGAACATCATGCTAAGCAAAAGAAGCCAGACATGAAAGGCTACACAGTTCATATTCTATGTATGCGAAATATCCATAGTTGGCAAATCTATAGAGACAAAAAGCAGATTAGTGGTTGGCAAGAGCTGGAATAAGGAAGAGACTGGGGAGTGACTACTTAATAGATACAGATAGAATGTAATACAGAGTATCTTAATAGGCTAGATATAGTTTGGATATGTGTCCCCTCCAAATCTCATGTTGAAATTTGATCCCCAATGTTGGAGGTAGGGCTTAGTTGGAGGTGTTTCGGTCATGTGACCAGATCCCTCATGAATACTTGGTGACATCTCCCTGGTAATTAGTGAGTTCTCACTCTATTAGTTCCCACAAGAACGAATTGTTTTAAAAAAGCCTGGCACCTCCCTCCTCACCTGGTTCCTTCCTCTCTTGCCAAGGGATGCCTGCTCTCCTTTGCCTACTGCCACGGTGGAAGCTTCCTGAGCCCTCACCAGAAACAGAAGCCTGCGTCACACTTTTCATACAGCCTGCAGAACCATGAGCCAAATAAACTGCTTTTCTTTATAAACTACTTAGCCTCAGTTATTTTTTTATAGCAACACAAACAAACAAAGAGGCAGAGTTTCCTTTTGGAGTGATGAAAATGTTCTAGAACTAGATAGTGATGATGGTTGCACAACAATGTCTCTATATACTAAATGTCACTAATCATAAATTTTATGTTATGTGCACTCTGCCACAATAAAATAAATACTAAGAAGATGTAATCAAAAATAAAAAATAATTTACACTACTGAAGCTTCTTGAAAAAGAAAAGCCTCAGTTATTCTAAAAGGTTATAACCTTCCTTGGTTGTTGGATTTTTTTTTTTTTTTTTTTTTTGAGACGGAGTCTCGCTCTGTCGCCCAGGCCGGACTGCGGACTGCAGTGGCGCAATCTCGGCTCACTGCAAGCTCCGCCTCCCAGGTTCACGCCATTCTCCTGCCTCAGCCTCCCCAGTAGCTGGGACTACAGGCGCCCGCCACCGCGCCCGGCTAATTTTTTGTATTTTTAGTAGAGACGGGGTTTCACCTTGTTAGCCAGGATGGTCTCGATCTCCTGACCTCATGATCCACCCGCCTCGGCCTCCCAAAGTGCTGGGATTACAGGCGTGAGCCACCGCGCCCGGCCGGATTTTTTTTTTTTTAATAATTTCACTATGGCACCTCTCAGTGTGCCAGAATCATGAAATAGATGTTCTGAGATGCTAGAAATAATGCCACTAAATGAGACAATGTAGGTAATGACCTAGACTAGCAGTTCTTAAAGTGTGATCCATGGAACATGGGGGATTCCTGAGAGCCTTTCAGGGAGTTTGGGAGGACTTCTGTTTTCCAACCACATCTCTCAGTGAGGCCCTTCGCTCCCTCCCTCCCTTCCTTCCTCTCCTTTTCTCTCCTCCTTCTTCCTTCTTCCTTCTCCTCCTTCTCCTTCTTCTTTCTTTCTTTTTCCTTCTCCTTCTCCTTTCTTTTTTTTTGAGACAGGGTCTCACTCTATCACCCAGGCTGGAGTGCAGTGGTGTGATCTCACTGTACCCTCAACCTCCTAGGCTTAGGTGATCCTCCCACTTCAGCCTCCCAGGGAGCTGGGACTACAGGCTTGCACCATCATGCCCAGCTAATTTTTCTGTGTTTTTTGTAGAGACGGGGTTTCGCCAACTCCTGGGCTCAAGCAATCCACGTGCCTTGGCCTCCCAAAGTGGGGCCTTCTTTTCTTTTAATACCTCAACATAAACAATAGATTATAATAGACTGAATGCAGAAGCAGATATCAGAGTCCAATTGTCTCCTTTTTAAGGCAAACATTAGAAATTTGCAAAAACATAAAGCAATACCACTTCTTCCAATTAAATATTTTGGTTTTGGAAAGTATATTTATTTTTCATAAAATGATGTTTTATGTTAATATGCAATAGGTTTATTGCTATTTCAAAATTAATAAGTAAATGTCTTTAAAATTTGTTTTTTAAAATTAATTAATTAATTTACTTATTTATTTTATTTTTTTGAGACGGAGTTTCACTCTTGTCACCCAGGCTGGAGTGCAATGGCGTGATCTCAGCCCACTGCAACCTCCGTCTCCTGGGTTCAAGCGATTCTCCTGTCTCAGCCTCCAGAGTAGCTGGGACTACAGGCATGCGCCACTACATCAGGCTTTTTTTTTTTTTTTTTTTTTTTTTGTATTTTTAGTAGAGACAGGGTTTCACCATTTTTTGGCAAGGCTAGTCTCAAACCCCTGACCTCAGGTGATCCACCCACCTTGACTTCCCAAAGTGCTAGGATTACAGGCATGAGCCACCGCACCTGGCCTCATTTATTTATTTTTAAATTTAACAAACCCTGCATGTGGCATTCAATCTCAGTTTTAATGTCAAATGATGGTAGCAGAGCAGGATTCGAACTCAATCTATAACCTACATAAACAAAACCTCTTTGGGGGTTCTTAATTTTGAGGAGTGAAAAGAAGTTCTGAGACCAAAAAGTTTGAGAGCCAGTGACTTAGAATTTAAATAATGTTAATATTGGATTATATATTAGAATTAAAAGAATAATGAAACATTTTCCAGATTTACTTGTATCATCCCCCTCAACTAACGAGGCTAGAACTGAAAAGAAAGAGAATGAATTATGCATTCAAAGGTGCTCCTCCACTCATTCAGGGAACACCTCCTAAGCACCTTATTTGTGTAGGTCCTATACCAGTTGCTGGTGAAACTGAAAAAAAGAGAAACCTGAAGATGTGACCAGCATGAACATTTGCTGGGACCGAAGGAACCTAACGAAGGACCAGTCTCAACTACTCCATGTCATGTGTCCCCTGCGACTGGCTGTGATATCAGATAGCTGAGGGAAGTATGGGGGGCAGTGGGAGCACCCAGTCCCCATTTCTTCTGAGGTTCTGCCTAAAAGTTCTAGGAAATAAGTTTCTTATGGGCATGACCAACCTAATTCTAGGAAGAACTGTCTACAGGAAGAACTGTTTACAGAAGAGAACAGCAGCTAAAACGCACCAACTTAATATTCTCATTCATACCATTAGCATTAAAAAAATGGAGTTTTCCAGAAGAATTTCAGCCTACATTTTGAGAAGTTGCTAGAATTGACTTCCTGACGAGAATAGGTAACCAATACAGAAAAGCACAATGCAATGGAAACAATGTGAGTGGCATCAAGAGGCCTAGGATCTACCCCAGCCCTGCCTCATCCCATTATGTGTCCTTGAGTAGCTCCATTCCCCACTCTGGCCTCAGCCTCCCCAGCTAGAAAATTAGGACACTATACGAAATGATTTTTAGTAGACTATGTGTATAATGAGAGAAGGTCTCTCGTTATTCATCTTTGTACCCCAAGTGGCTTGCACAGTACTGTACAACAAAAATACTTGTGAAGTGGCAAATCTAAGGTCCCTTCCACTTCAGATATTCCAGGATTTTCTATAAGAGGCCACAAGATGTGCTGAGAGGCAAAATTCAGGATAGTTTTCAAAAAGTTTGGGATGTGGTATTGTTTACAGATAGAGGGTGCAGGGCTTCTTATCTGCCAGCCTAACCTATTTTTCAACATTGTCATCAAACCAATGACAGATGCCATTCATAGATCTAGGTCACTGGAAATTGCAGATGCTATAAATGGATTAGCTCTGCTCAAAACTGATTGGTATAGTCAGAGAGCCATACTTCCCAAGTAAACCATATTCATGGGACATTCTAAGGAAAAGATAACTTTTAGAATTACTTACCCCCAAACCAATAGGATCTTCTTGGTTAGCTGCCCTATTCAATAATTTGTAATGTGTATCCTTTGGAAAATAGTTCAGGCAGCCACTTCTTAATCTCTGTAATTAGTGGGAAGCCACTGAAGTTAATCTCTTCTCTGTCTAAGCATGTTTGCACTGAAAAGAGATTTACAAGGTAAATAAAGACCTTGTTTATTAAAGAGATGGTTAGGTGTAGTTTTCCCTCACAAAGAAAGAAATATTTTACAAAATTCCAAGATTATCTCTCTCACATTTCCACAATTCAGGAAAGTATACTATAGTGTTAATTATATATCTATTTTTAAATATGCAAAATATATTTAAATACATTGTTAAACATTTTGATTTTGCTCATAACATAGTACTTCTATTCATCAAAAATCTTGAGTTGACTGCTTATTTCAGAGTTTACTGCTTTTGTGAAAAAGGCAATTTCTCCTGTTTTAAATAATTCTCCTAGAATTTGAGATGGGAGAGCTTTTCAAAATCACCATATATAAACCATTTATTTATTTCAAGATCTGCAGAGTAAGGGTAGAAATATTATTTGCTCAAAATTATAACTAAGACCATTTATTGAAAGATCTGCAGAATAAGGATAGAAATATTATTTGCTCAAAATTATAACTAAGTAAATCTCTTGACTTCTAGTCCAGAATTTCCATTATAAATGTCTACAAAGAATAAACAGCTTTATTGCATTTTAATAACTCAATTTTAAGAATTCAATTAAATTCTAAATATTGATTGACAGTGCAGCTTATTCTGAGAATTAAGGGCAGCACAGAATAGTCAGAACAACATTTCATTAAATGCATTAGTGTCTGCATTAGATAGGACTAGTTGTGAATTATAGCTCAACTGTGGCCTTGGGCAAGTTGCTGAACCTCTCTAAGTCTCACTTTCCTATGTGTAAAATAGGATAATAACTCTATCATTGACTTCTGTGAAGATTAAAAATAGCACTTAAAAGGTACCAGGAACTGCTCTATGTTTTATATTTATTAACTCATTTTATCTATTCCACAAGCCTCTGAGATACTGTTACTACAGGTTGAGCATCTAATCCAAAAATCCAAAATCCAAAATGATCCAAAATCTAAAACTTTTTGAGCACTGACATGACATTCGAAGGAAATATTCATTGGAGCATTTTGGATTTTTTTTTTTTTTTTTTTTAGACAGAATCTTACTATATTGCCCAGACTGGAGTGCAGTGGTGCAACCTGGGCTCACTGCAACCTCCACCTCCCAGGTTCAAGCAATTCTCCTGCCTCAGCCTCCTGAGTAGCTGCGATTACAGGTGTGTGCCTCCATGCCCAGCTAAGTTTTGTATTTTTAGTAGAGATGGGGTTTCACCATGTTGGCCAGGCTGGTCTCAAACTCCTGACTTCAAGTGATCTGTCCACCTAGGCTTCCCAAAGTGCTGGGATTACAGGCATGAGCCACCGTGCCCAGCCACATCGGAGCATTTTGGATTTCAGGTTTTCCATTAGGGATGCTCAACCCTTAAGTATATAATGCAAATATTCTAAAATCTGAAATTTGAAACACTTCTGGTCCCAAACATTTCAGATAAGGGATACTCAACCTGTATGGCCATTTTGCAGATGTGAAAAGTGAGGCACAGAGATATCAAATAGTTTGCTCAAGTTTATACTGCAAATAAGTGGCAGAGCTGAAACTTGAATCCAGGCAGTCCAACTCCAGAGGCCCTGTTCTTGACCAGCATATTATACTGCATCTCTACAAAAGCTGGTGCATATAAAGCTTTTGGTTCAATCTGGCAAGTTGTTAACAATAAATTATGGTTACTAGCATGATTGCAAGATTAACAGTGATCATACTGGAAGCAGCATTTTCACCCTTGTTAATACTGTTCATAATGCACAAATATTAATGCACAAATATACACAGAGAACACATACAAACGGATATATGAATCTAGAGGATATTAAAGCTGAAGCAAATTATGGCCTCTGATCAGAGTGATTGGACCCAATAAAGCTAAGAATTCATTATGTTACATAGCAAGGCAATTAAAAAGTCTCAAGAACAAAGTATATGAATTTGGGTTATATCTACGTTGTTGTAATTTATCATGAGTAGAATAAGAAATAAAAGTACTACTAAGTTATCTTCCACTATTTTTATTAGGAACATGTAATATACTTGAGAGGAGGTATAATTTCTGGTTCATTTTTGTATCTATGATTTGACCTTAGCCTAGGAGAATGAACGCAAGGCAAATAAATACCTGTTGAATGAGTGAATGGAATACTAAGATGAAGAGTCGGCTTGGTGGTACGCTATTTTTTTTTTTTTTTTCTGAGATGGAGTTTCTCTCTTGTTGCCCAGGCTGGAGTGCAATGGCACCATCTCAGCTCATCACAACCTCCACCTCCCAGGTTCAAGCGATTCTCCAGCCTCAGCTTCCTGAGTAGCTGGGATTACAGGCGCCTGCCACCACGCCCAGCTAATTTTGTGTTTTTAGTAGAGACAGGATTTCTCCATATTAGTCAGGCTGGTCTCGAACTCCCGATCTCAGTTGATCCGCCCACCTTGGCCTCCCAAAATGCTGGGATTACAGGTGTGAGCCACCGTGCCCGGCCCAGTGGTACACTTTTTAGGGACCCAACAACATAAGCGCCCTTTTAACCTGCCCAACAACATATCCCTTAGAGAGCAGTCACCCTGTTTCATCCCAGGCTCCAGACCCAGAAAGGCTGGAGAGGACATGGGAAAATCTACAGATTCAGTTATGGCTCTGGATGTCCCTGTTGGTTCCAGTTGGAACCAGGCCTCGGTCTGAATCCCATCACTTCTTTCTATTCCAATCTGCTTTCCAAAGGCCTTGGGATATCCAGTAGTCACTCTAAACCACCCTAAACAGAAAGCAGAGAATTCTCTTTTAACTCTCCAGTGCAATATTCCTTGATATACACCAGTACCTATCCGACTGTTCTATTCCATGAAGAAACTGGGACTCAGAGGGCTGTGACTTGCTGAAGGTCACAGGGGCAGAGCCGGGTGGACTGGACCTTATTTCCCTGGTCCCGTTAATGCAAATGCTGATATCTTATCTCCCTCCGTCTCCCCAAATCTCCCTCTGCACACTTCTGTCTTACACTCTGGGAGACCAAGGCATCTTTAGTCGCCAAAACAATGCTCAAAGAAAGAAAAGTATGAGTAGAAACACCTGGAAGCTGGTCTGGTTCGACCCTCTAATGGTACAGATAGGGGAAACCGAGGCCCAGGGAATAAGAGGGTCTTGCCTAGAGTCACACAGGGAGCCAGTTCTAGGCCACCACTCTCACGGTTGCCTCAAATTTTGGGGACGACTTGTGTGCAGTTTTTCCTTTCTGTCGCTTCAGATGGCAAATGCTCCTCTCCCTGCCCATTATATGAACAACTAAAGCTTAATTTGTTTTTGTTTTTGTTTTCAAGAGACGGAGTCTCGAGTCTCGCTCTGTCACCCAGGCTGGAGTGCAGTGGCGCGATCTCGGCTCACTGCAACCTCCGCCTCCCGGGTTCTAGCAGTTCTCCTGCTTCAGCTTCCCAAGTAGCTACAGGCGCACGGCACCACTCCCGGCTAATTTTTTGTATTTTAGTAGAGACAGGGTTTCACTGTGTTGCCCAGGATGGTCTCGAACTCCTGAGCTCAGGCAATCCACCCGCCTCGGCCTCCCACAGTGCTAGGATTCCAGGCGTGAGCCACCGCGCCCGGCCTAAAGCTTATTTTTTATGTGTATGTGGAAAGCGGGGAGAAGAGTCCCCGAAGATGGGAACCTAGCGCCACCCAGCCCAAGGTTGGCCCTCATAACCGCTCTCCGCTTCGACCAAAGGGCGAGGGTTGCCCGCTCCTAGTCTGCCGCTATGCCCCTTTCTCCCACCTCAGGCTCAGTACCCACCGGTGGGCTGCGGGGCTGGAGCTGGGGCCGGCGGGAACGCGGAGCCTGGGGGTGGGAACAGCCTCCGAGCCCTCCCGCGCCTCCGCCCCTAGCAGCAGGCGCACGTTGCTAGGGCGGGAGTGCTGGAGAAAAGCCTCCGGGCACCCTCGCAGGCCGCCGAACCGCAGTTCCGTTCGCCTAAAGCTGGGACGGGAACTGAGCGCCCGGCGCTACTCTCTTCGTGATCAGGTCCAGAGGAGAGGACGCTTGTGCCCAGGACTCCGCTGCCAGAAGAATCTAGACAATCCAAGCAAAACGGGTACCTTTGTAATAGCTATGGAGAAAGCACTTAATAAAGGTCATCTTTTAAATTATTGGTCGCTCAGACATACGTGTTGCCGTATTTCTTTGGAGTTTCCCTGATTTCGACTAGAAATTCCTCCTTTGGACACTCCCCCAGCTCCCCACTCCTCTATTCCTTTCGTTTTTTTTTTTTCATTGAACCATTACAGCCTAGTACCATAGCAAGAAGAGACCCCTCAGTACCTTCTTGAGATCCAAATGGGAAGACAGTTGTAGAAACACAGTTTTTACAGCTGCGGTCGCATTGCTACCAGACTAGAGTCTATTCATCTCCGTATTCCTGGTGCACAGTATGGGGCTTGGTATATAGTAGGGGCTTGTTGAATGTTTGTTGAATGAATCAATGGCAGGGATCCTAGCCAACATTTATTTATTTTTAAGACGGAGTCTTGCTCTGTCGTCCAGGCTGAAGTGCAGTCGCGCGATCTCGGCTCACTGCAACCTCTGCCTCCCAGGTTCAAGCGATTCTCCTGCCTCAGCCTCCCAAGTAGCTGGGACTACAAGTGCGCGCCTCCATGCCCGGCTAATTCTTGTATTTTTAGTAGAGATGGGGTTTCATCATGTTGGCCAGGCTGGTCTCGAACTCCTGATCTCAGGTGATCCACCTGCCACAGCCTCCAAAAGTGCTGGGATTACAGGCATGAGCCTCCGCGCCCGGCCCCAACATTTATTTTGAACCCTAGTAGGTGCCTCTGCAGTGTTGATCTGGCAAAACAGCCTTCAATGAAGATTTGTGGAGTTTCTGAAAATTGGGTGCCTTTGAGGGGGTGGGAATGGTGAGAGAAGTTTGCCTCCACATACTGGCTATTGGGTCTGTTTTCCAGTCCAGGGAAGGGATCCCCTCCATGGCATCCCTGATGAAGTATCTGTAGCCCTAGTTGATGCTCACTCTGTAATGATGGGCTGATTACTTTCTAAGCTAGTGACCTATTGTTGGGAGATTTCCTTCTGGCAGGAGAAAGTATCTACCCGTATGCCACTTGAAACTCTGATCTTCGCTCAGAACCAATGGCTCTCCTTACAGACTTAATCCCTTTCCCCCACAACAGCCTGGCAAGCTACAACCAGGATAGACTCACTGCTTTGTCCTGGGACACTGGGCTAGGCTCAGTGCAGCTACAGAGGTGAGTTACTAGATCTCTGCACCCAAGATGTTCCTGCTCTGGGGATGTTTTTCCCTCTGAGAGAGAGGCTTTAGGCTTCAGGCACGAAAGACTCCCAAACTGGTACCTGTAGCCAGGCCTCTCCCTGAGTCGGACCTGTATATCCACCTGCCACCCGCCCATCTGCAACTGGCAGTTTAAAAGACACCTCATTCTTGACATGACTCATACTGGAAACATCATCTTCCCCTCAAACCTGTTCCCCCTCTTTTCCCTGTAAGTGCTGGGCACTACCATTCACCAATCACCCAAGCCAAGGATCTAGGAGTCATTTGTAACTTTACCCTTGCTTCCTCGTTCAAGAACAATCCCCGAGACTTCTCAAT
Organism: Homo sapiens; assembly: GCF_000001405.40. NCBI lineage: Eukaryota > Metazoa > Chordata > Mammalia > Primates > Hominidae > Homo > Homo sapiens. Next base: position 113,342,048 of record NC_000009.12, read on the forward strand.
TCTGCCTCCCAAACATTATAAAAATAAAAACCTTCTCTCTACCTACCAGCTGGATTCAGGCCAACATCAGGGTGTGATAGATTAAAAACGACCACAACTTCTTTGTAGCTCTTCCCATCAAGGCTGGCTTTGTAACTTGTTTTGACCAATAGAATGCAGCAGGAGTGACATCGTGGGACTTCTGAGTTTAAGCTTCAAAAGGCCTTGCAGTTTCTGCTCCCATCCTCTTGGCACACTGCCAGCATGGGAAGAGGACCAGGCTAGTCTGTTTCAGAGACATGGCCCATCCAATAGCTAGCACCAAATGCCAGCCATGTGAGTGACTGTTGCCCATGCTGGAGTGCAGTGGTGCGATCTCGGCTCACTGCAACCTCCGCCTCCTTGGTTCAAGCGATTCTCCTGCCTCAGCCTCCTAAGTAGCTGGGATTACAGGTGCGTGCCCCCACATCCCGGCTGATTCTCGTATTTTTAGTAGAGACGGGGTTTCACCATGTTGGTCAGGCTGGTCTCGAACTCCTGACCTCATGATCCGCCCGCCTCAGCCTCCCAAAGTGCTGGGATTACAGGTGTGAGCCACTGCGCCCGCCTCAGTGTTATAATCTTATGGGACCACCAGGTACATGCAGTCCATCATTGATCAAAATGTTATTATGCAGCATACGACTTTATCCTCAGCTTAGAGGCCATCTCCCTCTCTGCCCCCAAGTCTTCCCTACCCATTCCTCCCCTTCTCCAGACTGGGTTAACTATTCTTCTTCTGTGCTTCCAAAGCCCCCACACTTTACACCACATAGTATAACTTTTCATTTACTTCTCTCTCTCACTCAACTGCAAGCAACAGAGGCAGTGACTGAGTCTCATTTACACTTGTATTGTTGGTGTCTAACCCAGGGTCTGGCACAGCACTGCAACAGAACTTTCAACAATTATGGAAATGTTCTATACCTGCATTGTCTAATACATCAGCCACTAGCCCTACTAGCTATTGAGCACTTGAAATGTAGCTAGTGCAACTGAAGAACTGAATTTTACATGTTATTTATTTTAATTAATTTAAATTTAAATAGCCACATGGGCCTAGTGGCTATGGTATTGAACAGTGTAGGGCTAGCACAGAGTAGATGGCCATTGAATATTTTTGAACAAAGATTACAAGGGAAAGACAGTCATGACAGACCGTTAGGACATGATAGAATGCTATGGGTATAAGCAACATAATTTCATATCGACCTCTCCTGGCTCCTCACTTCACATCCCCTCAACTTTACACTACCAGTGCCTTTGTCTTAGTCCATTTTGTGCTGCTGTAACAGAATACTACAGACTGGGTAATTTATTATGAACAGAAATGTATTTGGCTCATGGTTCTGGAGACTGGGAAGTCCAAGATCGAGAGGCTGCATCTGGTGAGAGCCTTCTTGCTGCATTATGACATGGTGGAAGACATCACATGGTGAGAATGCAGGAGTAGTGAGGGAAGGGGACAAACCTATCCTTCTATCAGGAACCCACTCCCACAATAACATCATTAATCCATGCACGAGATCAGAGCCCTCATGATCTAATCACCTCTTAAAGGTCCCATCTCTCAACACTGTTACAAGGGGAATTCAGTTTCCAGCACATGAACTTTGGGGGACATGTTCAAACCACGGCAGCCTGTGGCTCTGCCTTATTTAAATATAATCCTAGTTTTTGGCTCTTTATGGCCTGAGTTGGTTGTTCTCTCCTGGACTTGCCCAGATTGATAACACCCCTTCTGTGACATGGGCTGGTCTGAAGAGCCCTCTGGAGAAGAGAGCTGTTCTCATCTAGTTTAGTCTGGCCTGAGCAGAGAGCACTCTGTCATTGGGAGGCTTGGACTTCATCATAGAGGACCCATGTGATCTGAATTTGTCTGCATGGCAGGCTGCCAAATCCCTCTTAAAAGTGACAGTTAAAGCTGGCTGTACTGTGAAAACACCCCAGGAGGAAAAGAAGCCACAGTATTGGTAGTCTTATTGCTGTTCCTGGAAACCATGCAAACCCCAGTCAGATGACTTCCAGCCCTGGCACCAGAGATATTGGATCAGTGTCTGAGAAGGAAGGAGGAATGGACACAGGCCCAGGCAGAAGGGGGCTGGGCTGGGCCAGGCCAGGGCCCCACCAGGCAGGCAGAAAAGGCTGGGCCTGACACCGAGGAGCAGGCCTGAGGGAAAGTAAAGGCTAGGGAAGAATAGTCCTTTCCAAAAGACTTTCCAAAATGTTCATTAAAATAAAAAGTTTAGGCCAGGCCTGGTGGCTCACACCTGTAATCTCAACAATTTGGGAGGTTAAGGTGGGAGGATCACTTGAGGCCAGGAATTTGAGACCGGTCTGGGCAACATAAAAAGACTCAGGTCTCTACAGAAGTTTTTTTTGTTTTATTTTTATTTTTATTTTTTTTTGAGACGGAGTCTCGCTCTATCGCCCAGGCTGGAGTGCAGTGGTGCAATCTCGTCTCACTGCAAGCTCTGCCTCCCGGATTGATGCCATTCTCCTGCCTCAGACTCCCGAGTAGCTGGGACTACAGGCATCTGCCACCACACCCAGCTAATTTCTTTCTTTTTTTTGTATTTTTAGTAGAGACAGAGTTTCACTGTGTTAGCCAGGGTGGTCTCGATCTCCTGACCTTGCGATCCACCCACCTCGACCTCCCAAAGTGCTGGGATTACAGGTGTGAGCCACCACACCTGGCCCAGAAGTTATTTTTTTTTTAAAGTTTTTTAAAAAAGATCCAAGCCAAATGTTATAAATGAGCAAGTGAAAGGGCAGGTTAGAGAGCAGGTTGTACACATAATCCCAATTTTGTAAAATAAATATGTTCCAGCTTGTATCATATAGTGGGAGCTAATGAATGCTTTAACCTATGTGTGAGGACCTGTAAGTATATTTGTAGCAGTTTTTCACACATTGTAAATCGTGTGAGGTTCTTTGAAGATTGGGGAGCAGAGTTCATGGTACAGAAAGACATCTTGCACTTGCTAGTCCTCTGTCTGGAAATCTCCTCCCCAGATGTTTTCATGCCTTGCTTCTTCCAGTGCCACTTACCTGAGAGGACTTCTACACCATCCTTTCTACACCAGCACCTCCATCATGCTCTTTTTCTTGTAATACTTGAATCTTTTTCATAGCCCTTATCATTACTGACATTATATTACATATCCATTTGTTGCATTTTATTTGTGCATGAAAGTAGACTTTGTTCTTCTTGACTGTTGTATCCCCAGTGTCTAAGGCCTGGCACATTGGCAGGGGCTCAATAAATCTGTTGAATGACTAAAATGTAACAATGGTGTCCATTCTTCTCTCCCTAGCTCAGAGTGCCTGAAGTTCAAGTACAGCCCTGCCTATGCCCATGAAGCCTCCAGAGGTCCCCTAAGAGCTCTAAGCAGCTTTCAAATTTTTTTGACCTCATAAAGAAGTACATTCATTCTCCACGGTGCATATGTACGTATATATAGGCCAAAGACAAAATTACAACAAATGTAGTTGAGTGATCTTATTGGCTTTTATTAGCACTTCTAGAATCAGGCAACACCTAATTCTATAAAACAGAATGTTCCAATGAGCTGAACAGAGGACATGGGCTTTATAGGTAGAAAAGAGCTGGAAAAAAAAAGAGGATTACTCATTTCAAAGTTACTTTCCTTTTAGGGTTAAAACAGAGAGGACTTCCTTATCATGCCAGCTAATTCTGTACTGTTTGGGGATTTTAATATGCTCTCTCTTTCTCTTTTTCTCTCCCAATTTCTTGGAAGTTCAGATAAACTACTTAGTTTTGGTTTGGTGAAGTGGCAGTTTAGCATGAGTAACTCCATTTTGTTTTGGTTTGGTATGGTGGGGCCTAGTGTGGAAGCCCAGTCCAAAACAACGACCTTCCATCCATTTTGTTTACCTATATATATGTAATTGAAACAACAAAAACCTTACTAAGAGCATGTTTTCTGTTCTTTATTCTTTTCTTTTTTTCTCTTTTGGAGACAGAGCCTCACTCTGTCACCCACCACCCAGGCTGGAGTGCAGTGGTATAGTCTCTGCTCACTGCAACTTCTGCCTCCCGGGTTCAAGTGATTCTTCTGCCTCAGCCTCCCAAGTAGCTGGGACTACAGGCATGTGCCATCACGCCTGGTTAGTTTTTGTATCTTTAGTAGAGACGGAGTTTCACCATGTTGGCCAAGCTGGTCTCGAACTCCTGACCTCAGGTGATCCACCTTCCTCAGCCTCCCAAAATGCTGAGATTACAGGCGTGAGCCATTGTGCCCAGCCTTTTCTTTCTTTTTATAAAAGATGCTGATCTCCACCCCTTGAATTTCTTGATATGCCACCTAATAAAGGGTTGCCACTGCCTTAGGGCAGTGTTTCTAGAAACAGTCAAGGGGCTCCTTTGCATCCTAGTCAAGGAGTGACTGCCACAGATGCAGCTTCTTGGCTTCATCCCAGACTTAATGGATGAAAATCTTACCGGAAAGTCTGCGTGTTTTACAACTCCTCCTCTTTCCCCTCCTGACCATCCCCTGTCCTCCAACGATTCCGAAGCCTGATAAAGCTTAAGAGCTATAACCGGGGAGTTTATGAGTATCCCAGATGTGTCCTGCAGGGCTTGATGAACAGATAGGGAAAGGGCGATTCTCCAGTTCCAGTCCAACTTGGCTCATAAGTGGTGAAACAGAGGAACCCGACTTGATAAAAGTAAATCTACTCCTACCTTAGCCCTTTGCATTTGCTGATGCCACTACCTGAAAGTAATTCTGGTGATTTAGGGGCTGTTTTCCAGATCCTGGACCTGGTAGGGCCAATGACTGCTCTAGGGCCACACCCAGTGAAGGCCCCCCTCCCCCCCCCCCACCTTTCCCTAAGGATTTTAACCCTTGTTCCTCCCCCTGCCCTCCACAACCTCTTTTCTTTCTTTTCTTTTCTTTTCTTTCTTTCTTTCTTTTTTTTTTTTTTTGAAACAGAGTGTTGCTCTGTTGTCCAGGCTGGAGTGCAGTGGCGCGATCTCAGCTCACTGCAACCTCCACCTCCTGGGTTCAAGCGATTCTCATGCCTCAGCCTCCCCAGCAGCTAGGATTACAGGTGTGCACCACCATGCCCGGCTAATTTTTGTGCTTTTAGTAGAGACGGGGTTTCACCATGATGGCCAGACTGGTCTCGAACTCCTCAAGTGATCCGCCTGCCTCAGCCTTCCAAAGTGCTGGGATTACAGGCATGAGCCACTGCTCCTGGCCACACAACCTCTTTTCTTTTTAGCCTTCACACAAAAAGCACCTCCTATTTTCTTTGTTTTCACCATAGGGTTTAATAATTCCCCATCCCCAGTCCTTAGAAGGAAAAAATTCTAACCACAATCTCTAATTACCATGGCCTATTTCCCTCCCCACCCCCAGAGGAGTGTAGATGCTGTTATGAGGCCATCACCCTCCCACTGGGATGCACTGGAAACTTCTTTAGATGCCAGGAAAGCAGCACCCCTGTCGCCAAAGAACCTCACACAATTTACATTCTGAAACCTGCTACAACTGTATTTACAGATCCTCACACATATAATAAAACCTTTTATTATCCCCTACTGTATATCAGACACCCAAAGTAAATACTTTGTAGACAAGATCTCATTTCATTCTTGAAGTAGCCCTCTAAGGTAGATGATAGTATTATTATCACCTCTGTTGTAGAGATAAGAAAACAGACACAGAAGCTGTGAGTAACCTGACCAAGATCCCATAGCTGTAAGCTGCATAGCTGGGATGAAACCAATGACTATATTTCACTCAGTGTTCTCTCTAATCATATGGTGTAATATTGTCTATCTGGGGTGACAATGTGTCCCCATTGGATGATGACACCACTGTGTACCGCTCTGGGTAGCTCTGGGGCTGTTAGCTGCCCTTACCCCTCAGGTGCTAAAGCAGTAGTGGCTGAGAAGGAAAGGGTTCTATCTCCTTTGTGTGGCCATTGCTTAGAGAAGCTTCAGAGTAGAGGTGCTAGAGCCCCTGTGAGCTATGGGATGTAATGTTTCTCTTTCGGTTTAGCTCCCGCCTGTGTTCAGTTCTGATGCACTCAGAGTACTCTCTGACACCTGAAGGCCTGGGCCCTTCCCCTTTTGAGAGAGTGCCCAGCTTTCTGCCAAGACTCCTAAGAAAGAATTTGGGGTTGGTGGCCGGGCGCGGTGGCTCACACCTGTAATCCCAGCACTTTGGGAGGCTGAAGGGGGGAGATGGCTTGAGCCCAGGAGTTTGAGATCAGCCTGGGCAACATGGCAAAACCCTGTCTCTACGAAAAATACAAAACTTAGCTGGGCACGGTGGCATGTGCCTGTAGTCCCAGCTACTCAGGAGGCTGAGGTGGGAGGATCACTTGAGCTGGGGAGGTCGAGGCTGCAGTGAGCTATGATTACACCACTGCACTCCAGCCAGGGTGACACAGTGAGACCCTATCTCAAAAAAATAAAAAAAAATAAAAAAAAAAAAGAAGAAGAAGAATTTAGAGCTGGAGAGCAGCGTTCTCCTTGTATGCCCAGACAGACTAGACTGGATCCCCAGCAGAGGGCTCAATCTGGGCTCAGACTAATATATAAGATCCTGAGGGTGGGAAAAGCCCTAAACAGCTCAGGAACATGTTAGCAGTTTTTCTTTCTGGGGTGGGAGTGGGTGGATTTTTCTTCCACATGCTTATTTGCATATTTTGTTTTCTTCGAAATAAAAAGGCATTACTTTTTTTCAATGCTAGTTTAAAAAGAAAACTCAAATATTCAAATTCAAAAAGTTTGGATGTAAATACTTTGGGAAAATCAGCCTAATACAGATATTTCTCACTGGGCCTCAATGTTCAATTTAAAAAATTATTAATTATAGTAACCTTAAGTCACACTGCCTAGGTTCCAATCTCATAGCTACCAATTAGTAACTGTGACCCTTGGCAAGCCACTTAACTTCCATAAAAATGGGATCCTAATAGTACTTTCCTCGCACTGTTAGTAGACACTTAGCGATTGCAGCTGCTATGTTCCAGATATTGTTTTACGTATTTAGCGTATTTACTCCTCAGACGTCTGGGAGGCAGGTACTCTCACCCCATTTTACAGCTGGAGTTCCCACCCAGTGAGCAGCCAAACGGGATTTGAACCAGGCAGTTTCTCAGCAGAGCCTTGCTTGAAGCTAGGCATCTAAAGCTGCCTCTCAAAAAGGGCAGTGGTCGGGATTACATAACAGAACGCTTGCAAAGCTCTCAGCGAAAGCCTGGCACTTAATAAGTGCTCAATAAAGTTTCCTACGGTCACAGTAATATTTGGAGTTTTATGTTTGTTGTAGAACAAATACGCATACAATCGCGATTTCATTCAACAAGGAATTTAAAGAGACCTGCTGCCCCGGGCGGGATGGGAGCGCGGGTTGGGTGGGAGGAGGCGCAGCTGCGGGGCGCGCTGGCGCACCGGGAGGGCCGGGGGCGGGGTCAGCCAGGCCCCGCCCGCCGCCACCTGCGACAGGTGGAGCGCACGGGGCGGGCGCACGGCCATGTCCGCCGAGGGCGCGGAGCCGGGGCCGGGGTCCGGGTCCGGGCCCGGGCCGGGGCCACTCTGCCCCGAACACGGCCAGGCTCTGAGCTGGTTCTGCGGCTCCGAGCGACGGCCCGTGTGCGCCGCCTGCGCGGGGTTGGGCGGTCGCTGCCGGGGGCACCGCATCCGCCGGGCGGAGGAGCGCGCCGAGGAGCTGCGGGTGAGCGGGTGTGGGCGCCGGAAGGCGAGGGCTCCGGAGACCCCGGGCGCGCCTGGCGGGACCCGGCAGGGACTGGGGAGCCTGGGGCTGGGCGGACTCGACACCCGGCCCCGGAGCCTAGGCTCCTCGGTGGCTTTGGCTGTAGGACTAGGCGGTTAAGGGTGTGGCCTCTGAAGTCAGGCTGGCCTGAGTTCGAATCTACTCCCTGTGAGTCACGTAACTCTGAGCCTCAGTGTCTTCATCTGTAGTTTGGGGACAACAACAATAATAATAGCGCGTATTTATTAGAGTTGTGAGAAATAAATAAGATAGTGGGTAAAATGCTTAGCGATAAGGGGATCCAGGCTCCCCAGGCCCCTTCCATTGCTCTGTTGAGGAAGCTGGGGCTGGCATGAAAGGCTCAGCTGCTCCAGTTCTCAGCGCAGGGTGTGCCCCAGCTCCCGCCCCTGTGGAAACTGACACTGATAAAATCCAGCGCGACCGTATCCCTTAACCCCTGGACTCAAAGCCCCCCTCCTCCTTTCGCCTCTTCCCCCTGCTCCTAACCCCTTCTGGCTTCTGGTGCGGTGATCTCTTTTTCGCTTTCAGGATTGGCCTTGACTGTACTTCAGGCTGGTTTAAGGGCTTCAGCTGGATAAACGGTGGGGGTAGGGAGAATATCAGGGGATTCCCCTTCACCCAGGCTTTCTCGCCACCTCCACTTCCAGCTCGGCTCCAGGGTGGCCACCTCCTTGTCATCACCATTCTCCTGAGCTGCTGAGATTGGGAGAGTCGAAGTCACCTTGGGCTTCTCTGTGGCCCCTGGGGATTTCCTTGCAATTTGATTAAACAGCTTGTTTCTCCCAACCCGACTCTGCAGTTCACCCCTGCTGTGAAGCCTGAGGGCTCTGGCTGGGGACTTCGCCTACCCAGAGTGACCTGTAATAAACACATCTTATATAGGGTGCTGGGCTCGGGAGGGGTTCAGTTTTTCAGCAACACCCAAAAGCTCCTGGTTCGTCCTACCTGTTACCTCTATCAACAATAATGATGACAAAAATAAACCTGGATAACGCGGTGTAATCAACTTGCATAATGGACAAAAAAATTTGCAAACTCCAAAGTACTTAAATGTCTGTCATCTCATTCTGTCTTGACCACGCCTTTGAAGGGGTCCTACCTACATTTTACAGATGAGGCACTGGAGGCTCGGAACAAGGCAGTAACTCCTCCAAGCTTCCTAATGTTCAGGGGTGGGACCCAGGGAGTCATTGACTAGGCAAGAGGAAACTGCTGCTTTGCTTCGGCGGTTGGAGGGAGGAAGTGATGCTAATGGGGGTGAGAATGTCATGGAAACCTTAAAAGTAGCTATCAGGACTGGATTTGAGTGGTGGAAAGAGTGAAGCCTCGGGCAGGTGGCAGGCCTGGTGCTAGTTTCGGTACTACCCTAGGGAACCTTCTTTGAACCCCTCTGAGGCCGTATGCATATTTATCTCCTTTGCCTGAAGGGAGGTGGGTCTTACCCTCTCTTCCACCAAATTAGAGTAGATTTCTGTCTTTTGCACATTCCTTCCTCTATCCATCCAGTCAGCAAATAAATCTCACCCTAGGGCAAGATTATTACCAAAACCAGCACCAGTTCTACTGCTCTCCTACCTCTGGATTCCTGCCCTGTGGTTTTTCAGAAGCCTTCTCAGTGCTCTTAGTCCATGGTGCATGGTGATCACAGCTTCCTCCTAGTCAACTCAATTCTGTAACTTTGTATTTGGACCTATGAAATGTAACTAATTTCTACTTCTGGGTGGAAAGATTTACAAGGGCTTCCTGGAAGAGGTAGCTAAGTTGCCTTTTGGCAGATGGAACTGAGGCAGAACTCTTAGGGGGAACAGTGGAGGGACTGCTGCTTGGATAGGCTCTAGGTATCACCTGGAGAAACGGAGAGCAAAAGCAGGGCCCTGGCCCATACCTTCTTGGGGAAGTCACTTCTCTTTGGGCCTCAGCTTTCCCGTTTCTTTCTCTTTCCTTTTTTTTTAAAATTTATTTACTTATATTTATTTATTTTTGAGACAGTCTCACTCTGTCACCCAGGCTGGAGTGTGGAGTGCAGTGGTGCTATTTCAGCTCACTGCAACCTCTGCTTCCTAGATTCAAGAGATTCTCCCACCTCAGCCTCCCGAGTAGCTGGGACTACAGGCGCATGCCACTACGCCTGGCTAATTTTTGTATTTTTTGGTAGAGATGGGGTTTCACCACGTTGGCCAGGCTGGTCTCGAACTCCTGATCTCAGGTGATCCGCCCACCTCAGCCTCCCAAAGTGTTGGGATTACAGGTGTGAGCCACCGTGCCCGGCCAGCTTTCCCATTTCTAAAACTCCCCTGAGCTCATGGATGATGCTCATAGCTTTGAGAGCCATGAACTGCTGAACCTCTTGTGGTCAAGGCAGTGGGTGTTCGTTCATTCAACAAATATTTATTCAGGGCCTTCTATGTTCAGAAACTCTCTTTGAGGTACTAGGACATAGAGAAGTCAGACTTATGGTGCTTCTGTTCCAGTGGTGGGGGAGACAGATACCCAAAAAGGTAAACAAACACATAATATATAGTCAGAGAGTTATAAGTGCAAGGGAGAAAAATAAAGCAAAGTAAGAGATTGGGTGAGGAGGGAGATGGTCAGGGAAGACCTCTCTGAAGAGATGACATCTGAATGCAGTTGGGGAGTGAGACACACACACACACACACACACAGACTGGTGGAAACGGAACTGCAGGTGCAAAGGCACTGAAGTCAGGACAAGTTTGGTACATTTAAGGAACAGAAAGAAGGCCAGCATGGATAGAGGTAGAAAGTGATGTTGGAGAAATAAGCTGAGTCACATCAGGTGGGGCTAGGTTGGCTAAGCTAAGAAGCCTGATGTCATTGTGAGTGTACTGAAAGCCATTGGAGGGTTTTGAGTAGGGGCATGACCTGGTCTGATTTCCTTACAAAAGGTGGCTCTGGCTAGCTGGGGGGTTGGGGGTGCAGGGTACCCAGTTAAGAGGTTCTAACAGTGGTTCCTGTGAGAGATCATGGCAACCTGGATAGAATAACTGGAGTAGAGGTGACCAGAGGAGAGAGAGAGACTTTGGAGATGGGGTTGATAGGACTCACTAATGGAATTGATGTGGGGTTGGAGACAAACTCCTGGGTTTTTGGTCTGGGTAACAGGTGAATGATTGATGGTGCTGCTTAATGAATGAGGATAACTTGGCAGAGAGCAGTTCTGGACAGAACAGAAGGTATGGACAGTCAGGCAGCTGAGTATGACGGAGGACCAAGAGTGTGTGCGCCAGAAAGTGGTTATAACGGGCTGAGCGTGGTGGCTCACACCTGTAACATCCCAGCACTTTGGGGGGCTGAGGCGGGAGGATTGCTTGAGCCCAGGAGTTGGAGACCAACCTATGCAACATGGCAAAAGTCCATCTCTACAAAAAATGCAAAAAGTAGCCAGGTGTGGTGGCACGTGCCTGTAGTTCTAGCTACTCAGGAAGGACATGGGAGGATCACTTGAGCCTGGAAGGTCAAGGCTGCAGTGAGTCTTGATCATGCCACTGCACTCAGCCTGGACGACAAGCAAGACTCTATCTCAAAATAAATACATAAATAAATTTAAAAAGAAACAAACGCCTGGGTGCGGTGGCTCACACCTGTAATCCCAGCACTTTGAGAGGTCAGGGCGGGCAGATCACCTGAGGTCTGGAGTTCGAAACCAGCCTGGCCAACATGGTGAAACCCTGTCTCTACTAAAAATACAAAAATTAGCTGGGTGTGGTGACACACACCTGTAATCCCAGCTACTTGGGAGGCTGAAGCAGGAGAATCGCTTGAACCTGGGAGGTGGAAGTTGCAGTGAGCCGAGATCGCACCACTGCACTCCAGCCTGGGCAACCGAGTGAGACTCTGCCTCAAAAAATAAATAAATAAAAAAAAATAAAAATAAACACAAGACAAAATGGACTTTAAGGCAAACATAGTACTAAAGATAAAGTCACTTAGAGAATGTGCAGTTCACCAGCAACATATAATGATTCTAATCTTAAATGTTTCTAAATAATATAGCCTGAGAATATTCATAGAGCAAAAATTTGTTTTAAAGTTATTATAATGATAGGCTGGGGTTCTGGGATGAAGACGGAGGTGAGGTCACAGAAGGGGATGATGGACAGTGAAAGGTAGTCCCACTAGTGTGTTGGTGGCCTCAACTGAGCTGTTGCTGGAATAGGTATCCTAGAATTAGGGAGTGAGAAGGATAGGGCATGGTGGGGAGAGTGTGGATCCTTGAAATGGAGATTTAGGAGGTGGTACAGTTTTTGATAATGATGAGATCTGGGCTATGACCATGGGAGTGGGTGGCTGACATGTGGTAACAGGAGAAAATCACTGGGATGGAGTGAATGGCTCAGGTACATGGACCAAGATGCCACAAGCGTTGTTTGTGTTGCAGAACAAGATTGTGGACCAGTGTGAGAGGCTGCAGTTACAGAGTGCTGCCATCACCAAGTATGTGGCGGACGTCCTGCCGGGGAAGAATCAAAGAGCAGTGGTAATTCCTCTTCTTTCCTCTCTACTCAGCCCCCTCCCAGGATAAGGCCTTAGACTTAGGGACTTGGGCAAGTCTAGGGTCCCTTACCAACCTCACAGACTCATTGTGCTACTAGCAAAGCTTCTCATCCCTCAGAGACTCAATTTTACCATCTGGGCAGGGTGGGCTTGTTCCTGTACCATACTTGGTGCAAAGACTCTGCTAGCAAATGACTTTCTTGGGTATCTTGGCATAGGGGATCAAGAAGGGTCGTATTCTTCTACCATCTGGTCATTTTCTGCCCAGCTGCAGAATTATAAAATAACCTAGGACTTTTACATTGAATATTCTCTGTGACAATCTTATGAAGTAGATAGCAGTAACATCCCCATTTACAAATAGGAAAATGGGTCCTTATAGAGGTTAAAGAGGTTAACTGACCTGTCCAAGGACCCCATAGCCTCCTGGCAGTCGGTTCTGTGACCTGGATCTTCTGTCTCCTAGGCTAGTGCTCCTTCTGCTGCATCCCACTGCTGATTCTTTTTTTTAATTTTTTTTCTTTTTGAGATGGGGCCTCACTCTGTTGCCCAGGCTGGAGTGCAGTGGTGTGATCTTGGCCCACAGTAACCCCTGGTTCAAGCAATTCTCCTGCCTCAGCCTCCCAAAGTGCTGGGATTACAGATGCCTGCCACCATGAGTGGCTAACTTTGTAAATTTTTAGTAGAGACGGGGTTTTACCATATTGACCAGGCTGGTCTCGAACTCCTGGGCTTAAGCCAACCTCCCTCCTTGGCCTTCCAAAGTACTAGGATTACAGGTGTGAGCCGCCATGCCTGGCCTCCACTGCAGATTTTTTTATTCAGTGGACTCATTACCACTGCTGTGTCATCACTTTCAAGTATGCCTATCAGGGGCAGAGCCTATGAATTTCTTTCTGCATATCCCCTCCCTCCTTTCCCTATAGTACACGGAACAGACTTGGTACCACATTAGTCAGAGTTCTTTTAATTGCATGGAACAGAACCCAGTTGAACAAGTATAAGCAAAATGGGGCATTTCCTGACAGGACACTAGGGGTCCTCTTAGGACCTAAAAGGGGCTAGACCAGGAACCAGAAAGCTGCTAGGAGTCCAGGCAGCTACTTGGTGCCCATCTATGCTTTGCTTTTGCATGATGGTCTCCATCTCCCTCCCCTGCCCTCTTCCCCTCTTCTTCTTTATCCTTTTTATTTTCTTGTCTTACTGCACTGGTTATGACCTTAGTACTGTGTTAAATAGAAGCTAGTGTGGCAAATCCTGGCTTTTTTTTTTTTTTGAGACAGAGTTTCACTCTTGTTGCTCAGACTGGAGTGCAATGGCGCGATCTCGGCTCACTGAAACCTCCGTCTCCTGGGTTCGAGCGATTCTCCTGCTTCAGCCTCCCGTGTAGCTGGGATTACAAGCGCCCACCACGACACCCAGCTAATTTTTTGTATTTTTAGTAGAGATGGAGTTTCACCATGTTGGCCAGGCTGTTCTTGAACTCCTGACCTTAGGTGATCTGCCCACCTCGGCCTCCCAAAGTGCTGGGATTACAGGCGTGAGCCACTGTGCCTGGCCCGACAAATCCTGACTTTAAGAGGAAAGCTACCAATATTTCACCAGTTATTTATTTAACAAATCTTTATTGAGCACCTACCATGTGCCAGATACTGTTGTTCAATGGGTTAGGCATTCTCCAGTGAACAAAACAGAAATTCCTATTTTCATGAAGCCTACATTCTTGTCACAGAAGAGGGACAGTAACAAAATCTATGTTATGTCCGAAGGTGATATGTGCTATGGGGAAATATAAAACAGAAAGGGGAATAGGACGGGTTGCAATTACATGTGCTGTGACCAGGAATGACTTCATTAAGAAGGTTGAGGCTGGGCGCAGTGGCTCATGCCTGTAATCCCAGCACTTTAGGAGGCTGAGGCGGGTGGATCACGAGGTCAGGAGTTCCAGACCATCCTGGCTAACGCGGTGAAACCCCGTCTCTACTAAAAATACAAAAAAATTAGCAGGGCATGGTGGCGGGCGCCTGTATTCTCAGCTACTTGGGAGGCTGAGGCAGGAGAATCACTTGAACCCGGGAGGCGGAGGTTGCAGTGAGCTGAGACTGCGCACTGCACTGCAGCCTGGGCAACAGTGCGAGACTCTGTCTCAAAAAAAAAAGAAAGAAACACTTTGGCTGCTATGTTTAGAAGTGATTATAGGCGGCAAAGGTTAAAGCAGGGAGACCAGTTAGGAAGCCATTGTAATAATCCAGGTGGGAAACAAGTGTGGTCTGGACCCAAGCAATGGTGGCAAAGCTAGTGAGAAGTGGCTAGATTCTGCATATATTTTGAAGAGGCAACAGGATTTGCTGATGGACTAGATGTAGGCTATGAAAGAAAGAGGGGAGGTGTCAGGATAATGCTGAAGTTTTTTTATTTGAGCAACTGGCAGGATGGAGCAGCCATGAACTGGGTGGGGGAAGGACTGCATGTGGAGTGATGGTTGGCGGAGGCAGGGAGGGGAGTGGGGGAGAGCAGGCATGCTAAGTTGTTGTGGGCATGTTATGTTTGAGATACCTATTTGACATCCAAGTGAAGGTGCTGAGTAGGTAGCTGCATATATGAGTTGGGAGAGGGCTGGGTTGGAGATATAAATTTGGGATTTATCAGTGTATAAATAGTATTGAAAGCCGTGGGAGAGGATGACATCACTAAGTGAATGAGTGTAGACACGAAAGAGCAGCGGTCCAAAGACTGAGCCCTAGGGCACTTCACCTCCTATTGAGAAGACAGAAGGAACCAGCGAACGGGGACCAAGAAATCAGCTAATGAAACGGAAGTAAACTAAGAGAGCAGAGTGTCCCAGCATGGGTTCCAAGGAGGTGGGAGAGATCACTGCTCTCAAATGGTGTATATTTATTTAACTATCTTATCACAGGCATAGATTCATGTGATTACTACCACAATTAAAATACAGAACAGTTCCATCACTAGGACTCCTTGTGCTACCCTTTTATAGCCACATGTACCCTTTCCTATCCCCTTGTATTATTAATACAAAATTTCTGAATTTGGATTGCTAATCTCAGTAAAGCATTTTTTATTTTTGTTTTAGGATTTTTGCTTGTATGCTCAGGAGTGAGATTAGTCTATGAATTTCATTTCTTGTACAGTCCTCATCAGATTTGGTATCAAGGTTATGTGAGCCTTATTCAATGGATTGGAAAACAGAACTCTTTTTTCTTAAGGGTTTACTTAAGATAAAGTTGTTCTTAGTTTTGATCAAAGTTGCCACAGGTTTGACTGTTAGTCTTTAGAACCAGCTTCTAGTATTTTTGGTCTACTCTTTTGTATCTTTGTCTTAATTTCATTATTATTTCTTTCTCTTTTTTTAGACAAAGTCTCACTCCATTGCCCAGGCTGAAATGCAGTGGCGCAATCATAGCTCACTGCAGCCTTGAACTCCTGGGCTCAAGTGATCCTGCTGCCTTGGCCTCCCAAACTGCTTGGATTACCAGCATGACCCGGTACTGTGCCTGGCCTGTAGAGTTCTATATATATATATATATATATATATATATATATATATATATATATATATATATATATCTCTATTAAGCTTATTCATTGGGCTGAGCATGGTAGCTCATGCCTATAATCCCAGCACTTTGGGAGGCCAAGGCCAGGAGGATCACTTGAACCCAGGAGTTCGAGACTGTTTTGGGCAATATAGCAAGACCCTATCTCTACAAAAAATTAAAAAATTATCCAGACATGATGGCATGGGCCTATAGTCCCAACTATTTGGGAGGGTGAGGTGAGAGGATCACTTGAGCCTAGGAGTTTGAGGCTGCAGTGAGCTATGATTGCATCACTGCATTCTAGCCTGGGTGACAGAGCGAGACCCTGTCTCAAAAAACAAAAAATAAAAACCTCTTTTTTTTTCTTTTTTGAGACAGAGTCTTGCCCTGTCACCCAGGCTGGAGTGCAGTGGTGCGATCTCAGCTCACTGCAGCCTCCACCTCCCAGCTTCAAGCAATTCTCCTGCCTCAGCCTCCTGAGTAACTGGGATTACAGGCTCCCACCACCAGGCCCAGCTAATTTTTGTATTTTAGTAGAGGCGGGGTTTCACCTTATTGGCCAGGTTGGTCTTAAACTCCTGACCTTGGGTGATCCACCTGCCTCAGCCTCCCAAAGTGCTGGGATTACAGGTATGAGCCACCGTGTCCAGCCACAACCACACTTTTAAAAGGATGCTTGGGCTATTTTTCCAGCATTTCTCTACTTTATTCTGAGAGGGTTTTTGGTTTGTCTACTCTCTGTCATGTGTTTGGAAAGGGAAGTTTTTCTTTTCTTTGCTCTCCTTTTCTGGGAATGGCTCAACAAACTTGTTGAGAATGACTAGAGTCTTTTAGGCAGGAATCAGAATCTGATTCATCTTGGGTGAGGATCTGTTTTGATCCAGGATCACACAGTACAACCATGGTTTCAGGGGCTCACCCTGTGGGTAAGGCATTAAAGTGGGATAAACAGGAGAATAATCGTGGGCTGGATGCAGTTGCTCATGACTGTAATCCCAGCACTTTGGAAGACTGAGGCAGGAGGATCGCTTGAGCCCAGGAGTTCAAAGCTGCAGTGAGCTATGATTGTGCCACTGCATTTCAGCCTGGGCATCAGAGCAAGACTGTGTCTCTTAAAGAAAAGAAAAGAAAAGAAAAAAAAAAGATAAAGAAGAGCAATAGTGAATGAATGTTATTGAACACATAATGTAGCAGGCTTTGTTCTACTTACTTTATATATATTAACACATTTAACCCTCACTATAGCCTTATGAGGTAGGTACTATTATTATCCTCATTTTACAGATTAGAAAATAGAGGCATAGGGAAGATAAGGAATATGTTCTAAGTTCCACAGCTAATGAGCGGAGCAGTTAAGATTTAAATCTACACACTACCTCTAAAGCTTAATTTCCTGACCACTATGTTATGTTGCCTCAAGAGCACACTATAAACTTGGAGTCTTACCTTCTGGGTTCACTTGCCATTCACTTAGCTAGTCTCTCCTCCCTGTAAGGCAAACTGTGGGTCTCAGTGTTTTCTGTAAAATAGGAATGATTGCCCTGTGCACTGTACAAAGCAGGTCTTAAGGGACAGGGCATAGGGAAAGCTGCTGGCTGTCCCTGACTTTCTGACATGAAGGAGGCAGTTCTATTCCCACTTGTCTGGCAAGAGTACAAGTGCAGCTGCCTTATGCAACAGGTGCCTTTGGGAAGGATTGGTTGCCAGGTGGCATCTGGTGTAGGGGAATGGGACTGGACTGAGAGTCAAGAGAATTGGGTTCGAGTCTCAGCTTTGCTACTGAATTGCCATGTGAGCACTATGAAGAGATCTTTTACTAAGTCAGAAAAAATTTCCTGGGTGGGCACAGTGGCTCATGCCTATAATCCCAGCGCTTTGTGGGGCTGAGTTGGGCTTATTTATTGAGCCTAGGAGTTTGAGACCAGCTTGGGCAACATGGTGAAACTCCATCTCTATTAAAAAAAATTTAAAAAAAAAAATTTCCCATTCAGTCAATATTTGAGTACCTACTGCATGCCAGGCACTGTGCTAAGAATTACAAGAAGACACCTGTTAATTGTCTGAGAATTGATTTCAGGCCTCTTCTGTGGCAGATAAAAATTCTACCACATAACCAGTTGAAATGGACAGTTTTAGGAAGTCATCAGTTTTTTCCCTCAAACATGGTGAAATATCAACTGTACCACTGCTGGTATGGATCCTGCTGATGGGGATGACTTTTTAGGCCCTCTGCTCTGCAATTCTGTGATTCTCTGACCTTGATCCTTTGACCTTGTATTCCCAACTGTGATTAAGCAGAGTATTCTAGTTGGGCTCTAAGTCCTGCCCAGGTCTTCCATTATGTGATCATGGCTCCCTGAGATATGGCCTATGTGTCTGCATCTCAAATTTCTTTACCCTAAACCATATTTGGGAAGTCTTGGGGCAGAGATGTCAAAGTAAAAGGCTTACATGCTATTATTTCCATTACTAAGCCCGTGGCAGACATTGCTAATCAATCTCAACACTCCTTTCCACTGAGCCTAAACCCTCTTAAATCCTGACCGGGGCTTTGCACAGACCACCCAACTCCTCATTTTATCCCTCATTAGAGCATGGCCAGTGCAGCGAGGGAACTGGTTATCCAGCGGTTGAGTCTGGTGAGGAGTCTTTGCGAGAGCGAGGAGCAGCGGTTACTGGAACAGGTGCATGGCGAAGAGGAGCGGGCCCACCAGAGCATCCTGACACAGCGGGTGCACTGGGCCGAGGCGCTGCAGAAACTTGACACCATCCGCACTGGCCTGGTGGGCATGCTTACTCACCTGGATGACCTCCAGCTGATTGTAAGTCAGGCAAGGGTGAGGGCATGACCAGTTGGCCAGGCTCCCCAAAAGCCTGAAAATATCGAGAATGTTTGTCGGTATGAGGAGGGTGGAAATGAGAATTTGGAGCAGGGATGAGTGACAAAGATTCTTTGCTTGGCCAAACTTTAGTCAGGCTTCTGAGCCTTCTCCCAGGCCCATCTGTGCACTTCATTATAAAATCCAGTTTTTGCAAAATAACCCTGCTAAGTCAGTGTAGCCAGAAACCCCCATCCTTGATATCTGATCATCCTTGATATCTGATCAGGTTCCTCATCCACCACCATCCCCTAGGTGATGTCTGATCACTGTGTTCTGTCTGCAGCAAGAATCCTGTTAGGTAGGTTTAGCCATAATCCCCCTTACCCCCAATGTTTCCTCTTAGTAATTTTCCATCCACTAACCCCCAACCCTGCTCCTTAGCTATAAATTCCTACCTGCCCACGCTGTATTCAGAGTTGAACCCAGTCTCTCTCCCATTGCAAGACCCCATTGCAATGAGGTCTTGAATAAAGTCTGCCTTACTGTGCTCTAACAGGTATCATTGAATAATTTCTTCTCTGACATGAGGCAAGGGAATAAAACTATGTTTCTTTGGCACTGATAATAGTTTTCTTTTGATAGTGAGTCATTGTATACTGAGTGCCTATTATATGTGAAGCACTGTGCTATGGGGCAGAGTAACGAGATGCAGCTGTCAGCTGCTCCCAGCCTTACAAAGGAGACAAATACACTGGCTGACAATTAGGATATGGAAGGATATGTGCTATGGTAGAGGAACTCACCCATGCTAGGGACGGACAATCCAGGCTAGGGGAAAGAGGGGTCAGGGAAGGTTCCCGGATGAAGCGACTTAGAAGCTGATGCCTGAAAGATAAGAAAACTAGCTGTGTCAAAGGAAGTGAGGAGGTGGAAAGAGTTCAGGAGCATGTAGAGAGAACACTGTGCTCCGGGGAGCTGACAAGGTCTTCGATATGAAAACACAGAGCTCATCCTTAATCCTACCACCCAGAAATCACCATGATTCATATTTGGTACATAGCCTTTCAAAGTATTTTATATAGATAGGCAGCTGCCTGCAGTTTTGAGGGGAGAAGGTGGCATCTGAGTCACAAGCAGAGGAAAGAGAATGTGGAACACCTGAGCTGTCCCACTGCCTCTGCAAGTAGGGCAGTTTCTATGACTGCTCGAAACTGTGCATTCATTTAGTCACAGCATCCATGGACAGAGCATGCTCTTTCACAGACACTGGGACAGTCACAATAGAAGACTCAGAAAGAGTCGCAGCCGTCCAGGAGCTAACAGTCTTCATGGGAGATGCTGTTGGGTGAACAGGCGATGGTCCTGAGTGGAGTTGAGGGGAATCCAGGATGCCCTGGGACATGGGGTAGAGTGATTCATTCTGAGCATGTGTTATGGGTGTGTGTGTGTGTGTGTGTGTGTGTGTGTGTGTGTGTGTAGAATAGCCTAGAAAGCTTTATGCTGGTCTTAAAGACTAGAAGTTTTTATTCTAGAGTCCACATGGAGCCCTTTCTGGTAGTTAAATCTGTCTTAGCATTGACTCCCTGCTGGGTATCTGGTGCCAAGCTTGACTTTGTTTTCTTTTCTCACAGCAGAAGGAGCAAGAGATTTTCGAGAGGTGAGTATAGACCCCGTGATTTGACTGGGTAGTCTTGGAGACCCTTAGACCTCTTCACACTCCACTGCCTTCAGCCCTGCTGCTCTTGGGAGAATGCACAGGGTGTGCAGCTGAGTGGCTTTTCTGGAGCCTGGCTCTGTGGACAGGGAATGTCTCTGCCCTTGGCTTAGAGAACTGCTTTAAAACACATGGAAAGGCAGTGGAATACTTAGTAATCCAAGGCTTGCCACTGCTTTCTTAAACTTCCTCTGTAAAAAGGTAGTCACCCTGTTGGAGGGTTTTACCACCTCCATGTGCAGATGAAAATGTTGAGATTCTAAAAGGGGAAGGGATCTCCCTAAGCCTGGAACCAGGGGTTGGACCCATCTAACACCTGCCCCGGTACTGTTGCCTCTGCCTCACTTCTCCTTTCCCTGATGGAGGAATCTTTGAAACTTAAGTCTGCATTACCATTCAGATTTTGCATTTTAGCTCTTCAGTAATAAAAGAATTTCACCAGGTCCTGCCTGAGTTCTAAAAGAGCTGAGGGCCTGAGGAAGTGGCCAAGAGGACATAATTTGCCAGGCAGAGTAATTCACAAACCTTCTGTGTGAAATTTCAGAGTTATACTTAGGGAACACAGTCCATTCTTCTTATTTATTTACTTATTTTTCTGTATTTCAATGGGTATAAATTATTTATTTTTATATTGAAGTTTCAATAGTAATACATGTGCATGAGAGAAAAAAAATCCACCAATATAAAGCCATTTAAAATGAAAAATGAATCTTGCTGGGCATGGTGTCTTACACCTGTAATTCCAGCACTTTGGGAGGCCAAGGCAGGATGGTAGCTTGAAGCTAGGAGTTTGAGACCAGCCTGGGCAATACAATAAGACCTGATATCTACAAAAAAAAAATTAGCCATGCTTCGTGCTGAGAGCCTATAGTCCCAGCTTCTCAGAAGGCTGAGACAGGAGCATCACTTGAACCTGGGTGGTTGAGGCTACAGTGAGCTGTGCTCACACCACTGCACTCAGCCTGGGCAACAGAGTAAGACCCTGTCTCAAAGAAAAAGAAAAAAGAAAAAGAAAAATGAGTCTGCATTACCCTTTCCCAATCCTATTCCCTGACAGTGATGGGTTTGAACAGATGTGCATTTGTGGACTTATATATAGTCATAGGAGGGTATGTGGCGGTTTTTTGGTTGTTGTCTTAAAAATGTTTTTTAGGCCCGGTGGCTCATGCCTATAATCCCAGCACTTTGGGAGGCCGAGGAAGGTGGATCACTTGAGGTCAGGAGTTCAAAACCAGCCTGGGCCAAGATAGTGAAATCCTGTCTCTACTAAAAATACAAAAATTAGGTGTGGTGGTGTGTGCCTGTAGTCCCAGCTACTCAGGAGGCTGAGGCAGGAGAATCTCTTGAACCCAGGAGGCGGAGGTTGCAGTGAGCTGAGATGCGCCACTGCACTCCAGCCTGGGTGACAGAGTGAGACTCCACCTCAAAAAAAAAAAAAAAAAAAAAAAAAAAAAAAGCTGGGCGTGATGACTCACGCCTGTAATCCCATCACTTAGGGAGGCCTAGGCAGGCAGATCGCTTGAGGTCAGGAGTTCACAACCAGCCTGGCCAATATGGCGAAAGAAACCTATTAAAAATACAAAAATTAGCTAGGTGCGGTAGCGTACCCCTGTAATCTCAGTTACTGGGGAAGCTGAGGCAAGAGGATCACTTGAGCCCAGGAGGCGGAGGTTATAGTGAGCTGAGAGCCTGCCACTGCACTCCAGACTGGGTGATGGGAGTGAAACCCTGTCTCAAAAAAAACAAAAAAATCAAAACACAGATAGGATCATTTTATACCTGTTGTTGTGAAACTTGTTAGGCTATCTGGGACATCTTTCCACATCAGTACATTTACATTCACGTCACTTTTTTGAAAGTTTGTGAAATATTGCAGTGTAGACGGATCATATTTATTTTACTGTCTCCTAACGCATGCTTGGCTTGTTCCCACTTCTCCCCTTGTACAATCTTTTCACACTTCTGCCCATCTTCTCTATCTCCTTTATCTTTGTCATCTTCCTTTAATACAGTGTGTCCTTAATATCAAGCTGATCTGATTTTTTAATTGATCTTTAATTTTTTATTCAAATGATTCATTTATTCAAATGATTTCAAACTTAGAAAAAAGTTGCAAAGGTAGTATAACGAGCTTCACGTAGAAAATATCAATTGTTGACATTTTGCCACATTCATTGTCGCTCGTTCTCTCTGTCTTCCTATTTATCTATCTAGTATATATGTTAGAAACTTATTTTTTTATGGTATATTTGAGGGTAAATTCCAGAAAACATGAATTTTTCTTTCAAGATACTTCAGCATGTTTCTCCTAGAAACAAAGACATTCCCTTACATCACCCCAGTGTAAATTAAGGAAATTTAACATTGATATAATACTATAATCTAATACACAGTCCATATCCAACTGTTGCCAATTGTGCAAAAGTTCTTAATAGTGTTTTATTTTGTTTTCCTAATTCAGCTGTCTTTTTAAGTCTAGAATTATTCCTTAGCTTGTTTTTTTTTTTTTTTTTAACATTTTTAAAGAGTCAAGGCCAGTTTTATAGGATCTCCTTCAGTTGGGTTTATCTGATGTTATCTTATGATTAGATTCAAGTTATACATTTTTAGCAGGAATACTTCATAAGTGATCTGTCTTCAGTTCATCATATCTGGGGGCACATGATGTCCCTTTGTCCGTTATCAAGGATGTCAATTTTGAGCACTTGGATGTCTGCCAGGTTTCCTCATTATAAAGTTATGCTTTTCCTTTTATAATTAATAAGCAGTCTGTGAGGAGACACTTTCTGCATATATATCCTGTGTCCCTTCAGACTTTCTCCCAATAGTTTTAGCATCCATTGGTCACTCCTGCCTGAATTATTCCTTTTATTTGCTTGTTTGTTCCCTTATTCAATATTAATACAGACTGATGGATTCTTATTTTATTCAGTGCATTATAATCTGTCACTGTTATTACTAATTTTGACATTCAGACTGTCCCAGATTTGGCCTGTAGAAGCCCTTTCAAGCTGGACCCTGTGTCCTTTTGAAAAGTTCCCATCATTCTTTGAGCACTTTCTTGCTCTCTTTCACAAGAAGCACAAGAAGAAAACCCCAGCTCAACTTGTGCTTTTCCTGCCCCTGAATCAGCTGCTTCTCCAGGGCACCTGGTTGTTTTTAGTGGAGAATGATATTTAGAAACCAAGATCTGAGCATTAAGGGTACTCAGTGACCTTGCTTCTAGGCCTCACTCAGCTCACTCAGCATATAGCAGATGGAACTAGGAAGGGAGAAAGAGAAAGAGAGAGAGAGAGAGAGTGTGTGTGTGTGTGTGTAGCTGTTTGATGCATGAGTTTGTGTCACAGCTTCTTTTTTTTTTTTTTTTTTTTGAGATGGAGTCTTACTCTGTCACTTAGGCTGGAGTGCAGTGGCGCAATCTTGCCTCACTGCAACTTCCACCTCCTGGGTCCAAGCGATTCTCCTGCCTCAGCCTGCCAAGTAGCTGGGATTACAGGCATGTGTCACCACACCCAGCTAATTTTTGTAATTTTAGTGGAGACAAGGTTTCACCATATTAGCCAGGCTGGTCTCGAACTCTTGACCTCAAGTGATCCTTCCACCTCAGTCTCCCAAAGTGCTGGGATTACAGGCATAAGCCACCATGCCCAGCCTGTATCACAGATTCTAATTCCAATGTAACACCTCAAGGTTTTTCCTTTGCCCTCTCCCTTTCTACATTTGTACCTTTTGTTATTTTACAGTGAGGACTCCAGCCCCCAACAACATCAGTATTTGCTCAGTCCTACAATACATACAAAGTTGTCCGAGCATTGCTAAGCCCATACTACTATTGAAAGGCCTATCCATAGAGTTCCAGATTTGTCTGTAGTTCTTTATGCCCCCAGGCTGAGCGAATATACTCTCAAAGTAGTGTTCAAAAGTTGTGAAGCCCCATCTAGCCGGAAACTCACTTATCTGAGAAGTGCCTTGTTGGCTCTGGTGTTTCCACGCTTGTAGCTGGGCTCAACTCTGACTGGACACTGCAGCAGATCCTGCCGCACCATCTGGGCATTCTGATCCTGGCCAGGGCCTGCTGTGTTCAGGCCCTTTTTCATTTCCACCCCTTTGGGGCCATGAGTTTTGTCTTCGGTACCATAGGGCAGCTAGCCCGGGTGGTTCGCTGTAGACTTCACTATGTTCAGCCTCACATTTGCCCTGGGATGACAGCTTAGCACCGCTGACATCAGCTCCTCTTTCTTCCCCACCTGTTGGCGGGAGCTCCTGCGTTCTGAGAAGATGGCAATAGACCCTCTGTTGTCCTGACCACAAAGAGCCTTTGTTACTAGAGCTTGCTCCCAGCATTTCTAAGGTTCTGTTCACCTTATACCTCCCAAGACAGAACAGTGACAGTCTTGCAAAGAGCCATCAGGGCACATGCCCCACCCCTGTGCCCACTCCATTTATGCACAGAGCCATGAGATATGGGGAGAGAGTGTGTGTACTCGGAACCACTGCCTGATCTCAACGCCATCTTCAGGATTGGAGGCAGTAGGAAAGGTCTTTCTCAGCACCTAGGTCAAAAGGCTGCAAAGCTCCATGGTAAACCCCTACTTTGCCCTATATTCCTTTGAGATTTCACTTCAGGTCAAGGAAAAAATTATGTTGAATGCTGCCTGGGCTTCATCCCAGTTTTGTTCTATTTTTGCATGGAGGCATGACTTGAATCTAGCTCCCCTTTTTAGCTCTGAATCTGTTCTGTCCTGTTAAATCAGATAACCACTACCTCCCAGGTTATAGCAAAGTTGAGGTATGATTCTGTAGAGAAAACAGCAAACCCAGGCCCTCACTGCTGATACATGGCAGTTTTCAACTCCTAGGCATCATATTGTCCCAAAATACCTCTCCAGCAAAACCCAGCCCCCATTGTGAGCTGAGGGGAGAGTTATTGAGAGCACACAGTGCCATGATTCATTTGTGGCTGGGGTGATAACTGATGGCCCTTTCCTCTGTGGACCCCTCAGGTGTTTGCATTTTTAAAGTAGAGGAGTGGCTGTACCTTCTGACAAAACCCAGGGAAACATGACTGCCCCAACAGGTCTGAGAGGGAGGTGAGATATTTTCCAGGCAAGGGCAAGATGTTGGAGTAGAAAGACTATCGTGCAGGGGTTCCAGAGGCCCAGGAGGTCTTAGCCCCAGCTCTGCCATTAACTTACTGAGGGACTCTGGCAAGTTGCTTCCTCTGCAGAGCACACCACCTTCAATTTCTAATACTGGCACCAAGAACACATCTTCCTATAAACTGTCCACCAGCTTTGCTAAAATTAAGGCTTCTGGGGGGCACAGGGGAAATGGCCACCTTCCCTTTTGGCCCAAGCACCTGTGTGGGGCCTGGATGCCACTCTTTTTTTTTTTTTTGAGACAGGGTCTCACTCTGTCACCCAGGCTGGAGTGCAGTGGCATGATCTTGGCTCACTGCAGCCTCGAACTCCTGGGCTTAAGCAATCTTCCCACCTCAGCCTCCCAGGTAGCTGGGACTACAGGTGCATGCCACCACACCCAGCTAATTTTTAAATTTTTTGTAGAGATGGAGTCTTATTATGTTGCCCATGCTGGTCTCAAACTCCTGGGCTCAAGTGATCCTCTCCCACATCAGGCCTTCCAAAGTGCTAGGGTCACAGGGGTGAGCCACTGCACCTGGCCCTAGCTGCCAATCTTGGTATCGCCTGATAGGAGATTTTACTTCTGTTCTTCTCTTCACCCCATATTGATCCAGATATATTTCCAGAACCATCCTGAATCTCTGTCTCTGTTTTTCCCCATATAAGGACCGAAGAAGCAGAGGGCATTTTGGATCCCCAGGAGTCGGAAATGTTAAACTTTAATGAGAAGTGCACTCGGAGCCCACTACTGACCCAACTCTGGGCAACGGCGGTTCTTGGGTCTCTCTCAGGTTAGGAGCAGTAGAGCCCAGGACCATTAGGACAACTGGGCTTCTGTCTGTCTGTCTGGGGTTCACTCCTGGTTCACAATGGGGACCCGTGCTTCTGAGATGATAGCTTAAACAAGTCATGCTGGATGCAGGCTGGTCAGTAGGGTCAAGGTTCCAGACAGGCCTGGGGCAGCTGGGCCAAGTCCTTCCCATTTCCGGACTAACATGTTCTGTGGTTGGGTCAAAGATAAATCTCATTCCTATAAGTCATGTCTTCCTTATATCCTGACCTACTAGGGCAGCCCAGTATTATTTATTGGAAACCTGGGGTTTCTCTTTAAGAAGATAAAATTGATGGCCAACTGAAGAACATCTGGACCAAGAATCAAACTGCCTGATTTGCCTCACTTATTCACTTTACACACACTGACTCAGGCCAACTGTGGGCCCCACCCTGTGCCACATGCTGGGGCCACAGAGGTAAACTGACATGGTCTTCTGCCTCCAGGAATTCCCATTTAGCACAGAGGTTCTCCAGAGCAGGCCTCCTCCAAGTTAGATGGAAGCTTCCATTCTCCCAATGGTAGTCTTTCACAATTCGTGGAACAGTTAGGTTAATAGACTGATTTTTTTTTTTTTTCAGTTTTAATCCTCCCTCCTCGTATTATCCTTACAATTTTGGTAGAAGCTGTAGCTTCTCTACTCTAGATTCTGGTATCAAATGATGCCTGATTTACCAGCAGTTTAGATATTTGCTAGAAATTGCTTATCTCATGCTTCCTAGCTCCCAGAGGCTGTGTTTCTAGGACACGTCCAATCTGGAGGCCACAGATATGACCAAGTAGAAAGAGTATAATCAGTGCTACGTATAGGAACAAAATGTTTTGTCTTCATTTTGCCCCTCCCACCAAGTCAGTGTGTAAACTTGGGCAACTCCCTTTTTCTCTCTGGGCCTTATTTCTATCAGAGTTTACAGTTGAGGGTCTTGACTGATAGTAACTATTGTTATGAAGGCTACAGTTTATAGAGCACTTACATGCTGGGCACTTTACATGTATGATTCTGTTTAATTCTCGTGATCACCCAGTGAGAAGTCCTATTTTGACCCCCGTTTTGCAGACAAGGCTCAGAGAGAGTAAATGGCTTATATGAGGTCACCATGCTAGTGAGTGGTGAGGAACCTTTTGCTACCTGGCAGGACCAGGTTAGGGCAGGGGTGGGCCCTCGGCAACTCTGAGAATTCTTTCTGGCAGGCACAGAGGACATACGGATCGATGAGAGGACAGTCAGCCCCTTCCTGCAATTGTCAGATGATCGAAAGACCCTGACCTTCAGCACCAAGAAGTCAAAGGCCTGTGCAGATGGCCCGGAGCGCTTCGACCACTGGCCCAATGCCCTGGCTGCCACCTCCTTCCAGAATGGGCTCCATGCCTGGATGGTGAATGTCCAGAACAGTTGTGCCTATAAGGTGGGCGTGGCTTCAGGCCACCTGCCCCGCAAGGGTTCTGGCAGTGACTGCCGTCTGGGCCACAATGCCTTCTCCTGGGTCTTCTCTCGCTATGATCAGGAGTTTCGTTTCTCACACAATGGGCAGCACGAGCCCCTGGGGCTGCTGCGGGGCCCAGCCCAGCTGGGTGTAGTGCTGGACTTGCAGGTTCAGGAGCTGCTCTTCTATGAGCCAGCCTCCGGCACAGTGCTCTGTGCCCATCATGTGTCCTTCCCGGGGCCCCTCTTCCCAGTCTTTGCTGTGGCCGATCAGACCATTTCTATCGTCCGCTGACCTCTGGCCACAGGAAGCCAGGTCCACCGCCCACCACCCTTTCAGGCCATGTTTCTACTCAGTGTGCTTTTCCCAAATGATGTGTGTGGTGTTTCTAAGAGAAACAGGGCCCATAACCAGTGGGCAGCTTTAGGAGGGATGGGGATCTGTTTCAGATCTAGGCATAACCTGTAAATCACAGGTGTCCAAACTTTTGGCTTCCCTGGGCCACATTTGAAGAAGAATTTTCTTGGGCCACATAAAATACACTAACGATAGCTGATGAGCTAAAAAAAAAAAAAAAGTCTGTGTATAATTTTTGTGATATCTGCCACCACAGATAAGCAAAAAAGTCCTTGCATTCAAAGGGTTGGAGATTGCTGCTTTGAGTGCTGGGTACCTGTGGGGAACCTACTACTCCCTGGGCCTTAGTCTCCCAAATCCACCATGCATCTGCCCCTCTGAGGGTGTCTTCACTTTGTCTCTGGCATCTAGCATGGTGCCTGGTGCATAGTGAGCATGCAATAAATATTTGGCAGGTGAGTGGATGGATAGATGGATAGGTGAATGTAGGTGGACAGGTGACTGGGTGGATGTTGTGGTCTCTGGAGAAGCACTGCCATTCAGCCTCCTGCTCCAGCTGTTCACATGCAGAAATGCTCTCTTCACAGGCAGAGAAGCCTGTGGCTAAAGTTTCCACATCCCATTAACTCAGTGCTTTTGTCTTTTTCATGACATGGCACATAGAGAAAATATTTTTTTCTAGCACACAAGAGCAACCTGAAAGGCTGCTCCTGGCCAGAGGACTCTGTCCCGGGGGACCGTGTCCTCCCCCATGTCCTGCCTAGGCCCTCAGAGGACCAGGGGATCATGTCTCCAGGTAACCCGACTGTAGCCCCTGCTGGCTGAGCTCCAGCCTGTGCCCACTGATAATAGCAGGGACGGCCTTTTCTCTTAGAGCAGCTGATAAGTTTCCCTACCTGATGGCCCCCTCTGACATAAACTGCACACCTGGGGTGATGGCTTAAAGCCAGAAAGAGCTGAGGGAGTTAAGAGGGCCAACCTTAGGGCACGTGGGCATTATTAAAGGTCTTAAAAGCATTGAAGATTTATTCCATGTTCTTTGTTGATAATTGGGTGTATACTGTACGCTGGCCTGTCTTCATACCCTTATTGCATTCTCGGAAATAAGTGGGTCGCAGCTCAGTGTAGCGGAAAGAGCCTGGAGACATTACCAAGACCCAAGGCAAGTCCCTTTATGTTTGTCTCCATGAGGAGTTCACCCTAGAACAGTGGTCTTCAAACTTTTGTCCAGGAACTCTCTTCAAAAGTAATCTTACCTACAACTTTAGGCTCCTGCGTCCAAAGAAGATGAAAGGCAGAGCCCTCCCCACTTTCTTTGGGAGCTGCAGAGCAGTTTGAAAACCACTGTTTATTAATTTTTTTTTTGAGACAGAGTCTCAAAGGGATGCTGAGGCAGGTGGATCACCTGAGGTCAGGAGTTTGAGACCAGCCTGGCCAATGTGGTGAAACCCCATCTCTACTAAAAATACAAAAAATTAGCTGGGCATAATGGTGCACACCTGTGATCTCAGCCACTCGGGATACTGAGGCAGGAGAATTGCTTGAACCTGGGAGGCGGAGGTTGCAGTGAGCCGAGATCGCAACACTGCACTCTAGCCTGGGCAACAGAGCGAGACTCCATCTCAAAAAAAAAAAAAACAACGAAATTACTGTTGCCTGGCCTTGGTGCCAGTCCCAAGGAAAACAGACCAAAAGGGGTTTGGTCAAGTCCCAAAGAGATCTTCCCTGCCTTTGCCTGGGCACAGCCCCTGCTCAAAAATCTGGGTCAAAGCCAAGGCTTTTCTTGGCACCTGAAGGCCCCCATGCCATTTTCTCCCAATCCACCAACCCAGCTCCTCACAGCAGCCTTCATTCCACAGTTCATCGGCCTGCTGCAGCAATGTCCTCCTCATCCCCCTGCTCATCTAAAGCCACCCCCAATGCCACTACTGAATTCAGCATCCATTCTAGAGCCCTCCCTAGCTGCTGGCACCAGAACACACTGCCAGCCTGTGTTTTTAATGTGTGGTATCCTCTGGCACTGGGCAAGGAACACAGATGTCCAGCAAATACCAAGTAGAACGGTGTGGGAAGGTGGGGAGGCAGGAGAACTTTTTGTTGTTTTGTTTTTAGAGACAGGGTTTCACTCTGTTGCCCAGGCTGAAGTGCAGTGGCACGTAGCTTACTGTAACAGAACTTGTGGGCTCAAGCGATCCTCCTGCCTCAGTCTTCCGAGTGGCTGGGATTAAATGTGTGTGCCAGCACACCAGGCTAGTTTTTACATTTTTTGAAGAGATGGGGTTTCACCATGTTGCCCAGGCTAGTCTCGAACTCTGGGCTCAAGTGATCCTCCTGCCTCAGCCTCCTAAAGTGAAAAAAGGAATTGAAAAACCCAACCTACTTCAACCTCCAGTTCTTCCCCCCTCCCTCCAAACCTATTCCCTACACTGCAGTCCTTGTTCCCCATACTTTCCTACCTCCACACTGGTCTCTGCGACTGGGGTGCCCTTTGAGATTGATATTCTTTAGGACACCTCCCCTATTCTCCCAGAATCTCCACTGTACCACGTTTCACATGACAAGCATCCTCATCTACTTACAACCTAGTGGTCAAGCCAATGGGCTTTGGATTCAGATGTGCCTAAATGGAATCCTGGTGTCTTTGCATGCTAGCTGTGACCTCGGGCAGGCTGCTTAACCTCTGAATTTCAGTTTCCTCATTTGTAAAGTTGTGGAGGGGGTCAAACCACCTAGGCCCAACGAGGTAGCTTTGAGGGTTATATGTGCATGGAGGTAACTCAGCACCTTACCTAACACGGGGCAGGCATATGTCAACAGGATTTCTTCTCATGACTGTCATGGGGTTCCTTGTTTAAATTCTCCCCTTCATACTATGTGGTGCTAATGGACAGTGTCCCTACAGAATGGCTTAGCATCCTGCTTTTCAAACTAAGCACTGACCCCAGGCTTCCAGAGGGTATTTTCAGAAGCTGAAAGAGAGACCTTAGCACCTCTGCTTCAACTCCAGCAGTTTTTCAGGGTCTGTTTTTAGTTTTGCATAATGGGGTTTCAGATCGCCCATAACTAAAGGACTCTGCTGCTAAAACCAAGTTTGAAAGTGCCTGGTTTTGAAGCTAGTGGGGCCCTCTGTGAATCCTTTGGATGTGAAGTCGACTCCTAGTGGAAAAGGGACACAGGTGTGAATGAGAATGAGGGAGGGCAGAGGCTAGGAGCTGGTTAGTGGGGGAAGGGTGAGAGCTCAGCACTCACTGCTTTATTATCACAGTAGGTGACAAAGGCCGCAGGGAGAGGGGGAAAGGTCCAGAGCTGTGGAGAAAGAAGGGGCTCCCTGTCTCCAGGGTTTGTTTAAGGTTTTCTCCATGGCCTAGGGCCCAGCCACTTCCCTCACTGGCCTCAAAGCCCTGGAGTTGAGCCCTCTAGGCAGTCAAGGGCAGGCAGGAGATGGGCCAGAGAGGGGAGGATGTGTTCTTTAGGTACAGAATCCCTGACCACGGGGTCCAGTGCCTGTGGGCCAACCACCAGGAAGCTGTGCATGCCCACAGCCCGAGGCCCCTGGTAATCGCAGAGGTAATTATCCCCAACATGGGCTGCCACTACTGGTTCCATATGAGCAAGCCGCAAGGCCTCCTGGAAAATGCGGGGGTCCGGCTTGGGCCAGCCAGCAGCCTCGGAGGTCAGCACAAAGTCGAAGTGTTCACGCAGGCCAAGGCCCCCCAGGATGCCCTCTAGCCGTCGGTCAAAGTTGGAGATCACTGCCAGTCTCAGACCCCGTGTGCGGCACTCCCTCAGGGTGTCCTCAGCCCCATCCAACACCTGCCAGGTGCAGGGGTGGCTGAAGTCTTTATAAAGCTGTTCAGCGATGGGGGCTACAGCCTGAGCATCCTGGACACCCGCCAGGTGGAAGGTCTGCAGGACCACATCCAGCCACCACTGGCGGGAGGTTAGGCCGTGGCTCAGGCCGTAGTTGGGGAAGCTGTGGCTCTGAGCCCTGTATGCCTGCCTGAAGCCTTGTTCCAGGGCTGAGGGCTCCACCTCCAGCCCATGGGCCCGGGCCTTGGTGGCATAGGCCTCCCCTAAGGGGTGGCGGAGCCTGAGCAGCGTGTCCTTCACATCCCACGTCAGCAGTCGTATCTGCAGCCGGTGTGCCATGGAGGAGGCCAAGTCCACCCCAGTTCTGCCTCAGGTCCCACGGTGGGTCCCAGGGGAAGCTGAGCTGGATAAGACCACCTCTGCGCAACCTAACAATCACCTCTTTCCAGGCCTTGTGGGTCAGATTTGCTGGCTAACATGAAGCACTTGGGAAATGTCTTCACAGCACAAGATCCTAGAATGAAAAATAGCAGGTAAGGTGGAAGCTCAGGCCCTGACATCAGACAGACTGGGTTCAAATTCTGGTGCTGCCAATGGTGTGACCCTAGGAAAGTCACTCTGAATCCACAACAAATTTCTGAGCACCTTTTTGAGCTAGCTGCTAGCATATGGGATAGATTTCCAGCCCTTAGGGCATTTACAGGCACTGAAGAACAGGGATACGGATATTAGGCAAAGAACTATACAAACACTTAAATATAATGAAGTCAATAGATACCGTAAGGATCTAAATCCAGGGACCGCATCTAGTCTGTGTAGTTAGGGAATGTCATAAGCAAGTGAAGTTTCTTTTTATTTATTTTTTTTAATTTTTTTGTGAGACAGGGTCTCTCTCTGTCTCCCAGGCTGGAGTGCATGGCTCATTGCAGCCTCGATCTCCCAGGCTCAGTCAATCCTCCTGCTTTAGCCTCCCTAGTAGCTGGGGCTACAGGCACGTGCCACCATGCCCGGCTAATTTTTGAACTTTTTGTAGAGATGTGGGGTGGTGGGGCGGGGTGGGTCTCACTATGTTGCCCAGGCTGCTCTCCAACCCCTGGACTCAAGTGATCCCCCAGCCTTGGCCACCCAAAGTACTGGGATTACAGGCATGAGCCATCACTCCCAGCCCTGCAAGTCAAGTTTCAATGGAGATCAGAAGAATGAATGTGCAAGAAGCAGAGGTAGGTGAGTGCTCCCGTCAGTGGAAATAGCAAGTGCAAAGGCCCTGAGGCAGGGCAAGTAGACAGAGGCCAGCTGTCTGGCACACAGGACACAATTATTATGATTGCTATTATCATTATTAGGGATGTCAAAGACAGAAGGGGCCTTGCAGAGCATATGAACGATATCTTGGCTGCTGGGCAGAGTAGACTGAGCCAGAAAGGGGCAGGTACTTACCCAAGGTCACAGTGAGTCAGTGGCACAGCCAGGACCAGAACCCAAACTTCCAGACTCTCTGGCCAGTTCTTCCACTGTACCATGAGATATATTTGGATTTTAAAAATTGGTGAACCTGTACAGCACAGGAGAAAAGACAGGACACAGCAGGCTGTCTGTCTCTAGCCCTCTCTGAACCCCAACTTTTCCATCTTTACTGGAGGTAATAACACTGGCCTAGGAGGAGAGCTGATGAGAGAACTGACTCAAGGCACAAGAAACAAGTGACTCAGCCTGCTATCCAGAGGCTGGTGCAGCTTCTTTCCCCAGACAGAGCTGATCCCAGACAAGGCCGTCCCCTTGAAACCTGAGGGGCCAGAGTTCAAAGTACGGCTAAGTTGATACTTAGGGAAGGGCGTCACTGGTAAATCTGGGGGAGCCTTGGAGGAAGTTTGTCCAGGAAATGAATTAAGGAGACTCATCCAAAGATCCTCTCATTTTGCAGGTGGGTAGACAGAGACCCAGTGAGGGGCAGTAATTTACCCCCAAATCACACAGGGAGTCACATTGGCACAGCTAAGACTAGAGCAGAGGGCTCTGGCTCCTGACCCACGGCTTTTTTTTTTTTTTTTTTTTTTTTTTGAGGCGGAGTTTCGTTCTTGTTGCCCAGGCTGAAGTGCAATGGCGCGATCTCGGCTCACTGCAACCTCCGCCTCCCAGGTTCAAGCGATTCTCCTGCCTCAGCCTCCCAAGTAGCTGGGATTACAGGCATGCGCCACCATCCCCGGCTCCTTTTTTTTTTGTATTTTTAGTAGAGACGGGGTTTCTCCATGTTGGCCAGGCTGGTCTCGAACTCCCGACCTCAGCCTCCCAAAGTGTTAGGATTACAGGCGTGAGCCACTATACCCGGCCGGCTTTTTTTCTTTTTTTTTTTTTTTGAGACAGAGTCTCACTCTGTCACCCAGGTGTACAGTGGTGCGATCTCGGCTCACTGCAACTTCCGCCTCCCGGATTCAAGCGATTCTCCTTCCTTAGCCTCCAGAGTAGCTGGGACTACAGGCGCGCGCCACCACACCTGGCTAATTTTTGTATTTTTAGTGGAGACGGGGTTTCAACTATGTTAGCCAGGCTGGTCTCGAACTCCCGAACTCGTGATCCTCCCCCGCCCCACCCCGCCCCCCGGCCTCCCAAAGTGCTGGGATTACGGTAAAGGCGTGAGCCACCGCGCCCGGCAGGGCTTTTTCGATTTCTAAAACCGCGGGTTTGGGGCTCTGCGCTGCAGGCACGAACTGCTCACCTTTTCTCCCCACCTCCAGGGCTCGGGAAAGGCGAAGTCCAGGAGCCCGGACCTGACGCAGAATGTCTATAGCTGCCGTCGGCAGCGTGAGCTGGGGCGGCGGTCCTAGGGGCCTTGGCCGCGGCCGACCCCTTGGGTCCCCTTCTCAGCTGTAGGGCGTCCACGGCTCCGGGCCGGTTCCTGGGCCCAGGACCCACCTGACTCACAAGGAAGCAGATTGAAAACGCAGCCGCAAGGCCCGCGAGCTCGGGCGGAGGTGCGCAAGCGCCGGGCGGTGGGGCGGGGATCGCGCGGGCCGCCCCTCCCTACCATCCCGACCCGCCTCTGTCCCCGCCCCGTCCCCGCCCTTATCCCCCTCACCTTCGCCCTCTCCCGCCCCATCTCCCGTCGCCCTCGCCGTCCCCTCTCCCTCCTTCGTCTCACTGTGCACCTCTCTGCGCCCCTGTCACCCGCCTTCACTGCGCGCCTCCGTTACCCTGCACCATCTACGCCCCTTATTCCCTCCCCGCACCCTCTGAGGTTCCCCAGCCCGCACCCTTCCGCTCCGCAGCCCCCGTTACCAGCACCTTCTCCGCCCTGTCTGCGCACCCCCTGCCCGCCACACCGCCGCTCCTCACCGCTGTCTCCGCTCCCCATCCCCAACCCCGGCTCCTGGCCTCCTTTGGATCGGGAAACCCCCGAGAAGTACCCAGGTTGAGTGGGAGGAGGGGAGTTGGGACCCAGCCTGGCTTGCTTAGTGTTGTGTGAACCTGGGCAAGGCCCAGCCCCTCTCTGGTCTCAGGGTCCCCAGTTGGTATTGGAGGGAATTGCTTTCAGTTGGAAACTTGTTAAATCCAAGATAACTTGGTGAGGGTAGAGTCCGCTGCAGTAACCTGCTTTTTTATTCTTTCTCTTTTTTTTTTTTTGAGACGGAGTCTCCCTCTGTCGCTCAGGCTGGAGTGCAGTGGCGCGATAGCCCACTGCAACCCCCGCCTCCCAGTTTCTTGCGATTCTCCTGCCTCAGACTCCCCAGTAGCTGGGATTACAGGTGTGTGCCACCACACCCAACTAATTTTTGTATTTTTAGTAGAGACAGGGTTTCGCCGTGTTGGCCTGGCTAGTCTTGAACTCCTGACCTCAGGTGATCCGCCCACCTCAGCCTCCCAAAGTGCTGGGATTACAGGCATGAGCCACCGCACCTGGCCTCTTTTTGTTTTTAAGAACCCTGTGGTACCATCCTGGCTAACACGGTGAAACCCTGTCTCTGCTAAAAATACAAAAAATTAGCCGGGCATGGTGGCAGGTGCCTGTAGTCCCAGCTACTCGGGAGGCTGAGGCAGGAGAATGGCATGAACCCGGGAGGCGGAGCTTACAGTGAGCCAAGATTCTGCCACTGCACAATATTTGCCTGGGCAAAGAGCGAGACTGTGTCCCCAAAAAAAAAAAAAAAAAAAAAGATCCCTGTGGTAAGAGCCTGGAATCCTAACCACTAGACCACCAGGGAGCTTTTTTATTCTTTTGAAGAATAAAAAAAGAGTTTTATCTTTGTTTGCAAAAGTAATGTATGTTGGCTGGGCGCGGTGGCTCACGCCTGTAATGCCAGCACTTTGGGAGGCTGAGGTGGGTGGATCACCTGAGGTCAGGAGTTCAAGACTAGCCTGGCCAACACGGTGAAACCCCGTCTCTACTAAAAATACAAAATTAGGCGAGGTGGTTCATGCCTGTATTCCCAGCTACTTGGGAGGCTGAGGAAGGAGAATCGCTTGAACCGGGGAGGTGGAGGTTGCAGTGAGCCAAGATCAGGCTACTGTATTCCAGCCTGGGTAACAAGAGCAAAACTCCATCTCAAAAAAATAAAAAAATAAAAAAATAATAAATAAATAAGGTATGCATGTAATGCATGTTAGTCTCAAAAAACTAAAAAATACAAACATATGAGAGTTGGCCATGCAGAGGGGAAGGATCTGAGTGATGGTTAAGGGACCCCCTGATGCAAAGGCCTCCAGGCAAGAAAGTTTTTTTTCCGAACCAAAGAGACACTGAGGAACTATAGGAATGTTGCTAGCCAGGGGGTTTGGGCCAAAGAGGCTGGGGAGGTACCGGAGGGGAAGCTTTGAGATACTTCTGTGCCTGTGCTCTGTTCCTCTTTAGTCTCATCACCTTGCACTATGACCTTAGGCAAGACAGGTCATAAGACAGCCCCCACCACCCAGGCCCCTTTGAGAGGGTCTTGCCGCATACCCTGGAGGAAGGAACACTGCACAGAGAGGCCAAGAAGAATCTACACAGATGGGTCTTGGTGGGTTTCTCTATTCAGTCTATTAGCGTTTTGTGCAATCCTGTTTCTACATGTGAAGGGGTGGCCTGCCCCTCCACACCTGTGGGTATTTCTCATCAGGTGGGACGAGAGACTGAGAAAAGAAATAAGACACCGAGACAAAGTATGGAGAAAGAACAGTGGGCCCAGGAGACCGGCGCTCAGCATACGGAGGACCTGCTCTGGCACTGGTCTCTGAGTTCCCTCAGTATTTATTGATTACTATTTTCACTATCTCAGCAAGAAGAATGCGATAGGAGAGCGGGCTGATAGTGAGGAGAAGGTCAGCAAGAAAACATGTGAGCAAAGGAATCTGAGTCACAAATAAGTTCAAGGGAAGGTACTATGCCTGGATGTGCACACAGGCCAGATTTATGCTTCTCTCCACCCAAACATCTCAGTGGAGAAAAGAATAACAAAGCAGCATTGCTGCCAACATGTCTCGCCTCCCGCCACGGCGCGGTTTTTCTCCTGTCTCAGAATTGAACAAATGTATAATCGGGTTTTATACCGAGACGTTCAGTTTCAGGGGCAGGCAGGAGACAGAGGCCTTCCTCTTATCTCAACTTCAAGAGGCCTTCCTCTTTTACTAATCCTCCTCAGCACAGACCCCTCGCGGGTGTCGGGCTGGGGGACGGTCAGGTCTTTCCCATCCCACGAGGCCATATCTCAGGCTGTCACATGGGGAGAAACCTTGGACAATACCAGGCTTTCCAGGGCAGAGGTCCCTGCGGCTTTCCGCAGTGTATTGTGCCCCTGGTTTATCGAGAATGGAGAATGGCGATGACTTTTACCAAGCATACTGCCTGTAAACATTTTGTTAACAAGGCACATCCTGCACAGCCCTAGATCCCTTAAACCTTGATTCCATACAACACATGTTTCTGTGAGCTCAAGGTTGGGGCAAAGTTACAGATTAACAGCATCTCAGGGCAAAGCAATTGTTCAGGGTACAGGTCAAAATGGAGTTTCTTATGTCTCCCTTTTCTACATGGACACAATAACAGTCTGATCTCTCTTTTCCCTACATACACGGCCATGTACACTTCGTTGAACCTAAGCATAAAAATGGACAGTTTCCTCTGTATCTGTGGCTCTTCATTCTGAAGGCTCCCATGTCACAAAAAAACTATGATCAAATAAATGTATATGCTTTTTCTCCTATTAAAAAAAATACAGACATATTCAGGGTTAGGCATAGTGGCTCATGCCTGAAATCCTAGCACTTTGGAAGGCTAAGGTGGAAGGATCCCTTGAGCTCAGGGGTATGAGACCAGCCTAGGAAACAAAGTGAGACCCCATCTTGTTAAAAAATAATAACAGGCTGGGTGTGGTGGCTCACGTCTGTAATTGCAGCACTTTAGGAGGCCGAGACCAGTGGATTACTTGAGGTCAGGAGTTTGAGACCAGCCTGACCAACATGGTGAAACCCCATCTCTACTAAAAATACAAAAATTAGTGGGGCATGGTGGCAGGTGCCTGTAATCCCAGCTACTCGGGAGGCTGAGGCACAAGAATTGTTTGAACCTGGGAGGCAGAGGTTGTAGTGAGCTGACATCACAGCATTGCACTCCAGCCTGGGTGACAGAGCAAGACTCTGTCTCAAAAAATAATAATAATAATGCAAAATACAAACGTGTACAAAATAAAAAGCCAGCCCCCCACCAACACCCAACCTCATTCATTGACCACCTAACATCTGTGGGCTCTGTGTCCCCTGTCCTTCTCTGAGGATTCAGTGGGAAACAAGGTGGTTCCTGCCTGCATGGGGCATGGGAGGGGCAGACAACCATTGAGTAGATAAATAAACAAAGTGATTTCAGAGAGAGAAGTGGAAGCGGTAAAAACAATCATTTTATGAACAGTGACAGGGTATCTCTTTGGATGAGGTGGTCAAGGAAGGAACAAAGATCTGAATGGTGAGAAGGAGGTTGTCAGGTTAAGATCAAGGAAAGTACTCCAGGTGAGGAACCGGAAAGAAGGGTGTGGGGCCTCAGCCTGCTTACTGAACAAGGGCAGTAGCCTTGGGGCAGGGAGAGAAGGGCTTCCCCACCCCATCTCACTCCCCAGGGATTGCTGAGGTGACAGTTTTGGTTATGCTATGACACAGTTTTCTAGCAGCACACAAACATGTATCTAATTTTCTTTCTTTCCTCTCTTTCTTTCTTTCTCTTCCTCCTTCCCTCCTTTCTTTCTTTTTTTTTCATTCTTTCTCTCTGTCTCCCTCCCTCTTTTCTCTCTCTCCTTTCTTTCTCTCCCTCCCTCCCTCTTCTCTCTCTCTCTTTCTCTCTCTCTCTCCTTCCTTCCTTTCTCCCTCCCTCCTCCCTTCCCTTCCCTTTCTTTCTTTCCTTTCTTCTTCCCTCCCTCCCTTCCTCCCTTCCTTCCTCCCTCCCTCCCTCCCTCTCTCTCTCCCTCCCTCTCTCTCTGTCTCTTTCTCTCTTTCTTCCATTTTTGAGACGGAGTTTCACTCTTGTTGCCCAGGCTGGAGTGCAATGGTGCCATCTCAGCTCACTGCAACCTCCACCTCCTGGGTTCCAGCGATTCTTCTGCCTCAGCCTCCCGAGTAGCTGGGATTACAGGTGCCTGCCACCACGCCCAGATAATTTGTGTATTTTAGTAGAGACAGGATTTCATCATGTTGGCCAGGCTGGTCTTGAACTCCTGACCTCAGGTGATCCACCTGCCTCAGCCTCCCGAAGTGCTGGGATTACAGGCATGAGCCACCGAGCCTGGCCCTTTTTTTTTTTTTTTTTTTTTGTGAGACAGAGTCTTACTCTGTCACCCAGGCTGGAGTGCAGTGATGCGATCTGGGGTCACTGCAACCTCTGCCTTCCAGGTTCAAGCAATTCTCCTGCCTCAGCCTCCTGAGTAGCTGGGATTACAGGTGTGCGCCACTGTGCCCGGGTAATTTTTTGTATTTTTAGTAGAGACGAGGTTTCGCCGTGTAGCCAGACTGGTCTAGAACTCCTGACCTCAACTGATCCACCCACCTTGGCCTCCCAAAGTGCCGGGATTATAGGCATGAGCCACTGTGCCTGGCCTAATTTTCTTCCTTTCAACTCTTAAAAACAAAAAAACAAAACTTTCTCCTATGTTCCAAGTTGGTCTGTTCACTGGGTTCAGGCCTGGGAAGAAACACAAAGTGCAGAGTCACAGACTTTGGACCTGCAAGAGAGAGCCCGACTCACTTGCAAAACTGGTTTTGTGTTATAAGCATGAAGCAGAAGTGGGGGTGGGAAGGGCAACTGGGAGACCAGAGGTTCAACTGCATTTCACAGAATCCAAGAATGTCTGATACTGTCTACTTTTCAGGGTCACCGAAAACCTAACCCCTTAGGTTCTGATCCCAGCTCTGCCATCTGTCTGTCTGTGAGCTCTCCATTCAATTGTTTTTCTCTCTGAGCCTCAGTATCCCAATATGCAAAATGTGAATTTTCCCAAAGTGAACATACCCATGCAACCAGCACCCAGACCAAGAAAAAGAACAATTTCCAGAACCCTCCACAGCCTGTCCACTTCCAGTTACTTACTACCCAAAAGGGTAACTATCTTGACTTCAAACTGCATAGTTAAACTTTATTTGTTTTTGAACTGTATATAAACAGAATAATATAGCATGTATTTTTTATGCCTTGCTTCTTTTGCTCAAAATTGTGTTTGATACATCTGTGTTGCTATGTGTAGTTGTAGTTAATCCATTCTCACACCTTTAATATTCTATTATATAAATAGACCACATTTTACTGTTGATGAACATTTGGGTTATCTCCAATTTTGTTTATTACACTTCTTTTTTCTTTTTTTTGGAGACAGAGTCTCGCTCTGTTGCCTAGGTTGGAGTGCAGTGGCGCCATCTTGGCTCACTGCAACCTCCCACCTCCCAGGTTCAAGCAATTCTCCTGCCTCAGCCTCTCAAGTAGCTGGGATCACAGGTGCCTGCCACCACGCCCGGATAATTTGTGTATTTTAGTAGAGATGGGATTTCATCATGTTGGCCAGGCTGGTCTTGAACTCCTAAGCTCAGGTGATCCACCCACCTCAGCCTCCCAAAGTGCTGAGATTACAGGCATGAGCCACCATGCCCGGCCTTATTACATATATTATAAAATGCTGCTATGAATGCTGTTGAACATGTGTCTTATGAACATAGGTAATGTTGGGTAAATACTGTTGGGTAATACCTAGGTGTGGAATCACAGGGTCATAAGGTATGCATATGTTCAGCTTTGGTAAATAGGGCCAGACATTTCTTTTTCTTTTTTTTTTTTTTTTGCAGACAGGATCTCCCTCTGTAGCCCAGGCCGGAGTGCAGGCCAAACATGGCTCACTGCAGCATCCACCTCCTGGACTCAGGCAATCCTCCTGCCTCAGCCTCCCAAGTAGCGGGAACCACAGACATGTGTCACCACGCCCCGCTAATTTTATTTTTGTTTTTATTTTTTAGTATAGACATGGTCTCACTATGTTGCCCAGGCTGGAGCTAGACATTTTGTTTTCTTTCTTTCTTTCTTTCTTTCTTTTTTTTTTGTTCTTGTGGAGCCAGGCATTTTGAAAGGGTGTACCAGTCATATCTGAGAGTTCCAGTTGTTCTGCATTCTCAACACTTGACATTGTCCCATTGTCCTTTTAGTATTAGGCATTTTCTTTTTCGAGTCTCCCTCTGTTGCCCAGGCTGGAACGCAGTGGCACGATCTCAGCTAACTACAACCTCCGCCTTCTGGGTTCAAGCAATTCTCCTGCCTCAACCTCCCGAGTAGCTGGGATTACAAGCGCACACCACCACACCTGACTATTTTTGTGTGTGTGTGTTTTTAGTAGAGACGGGGTTTCACCATGTTGGCCAGGCTGGTCTCAAACTCCTGACCTCGTGATCCGCCCACCTCGGCCTCCCAACGTGCTGGGATTACAGGCATGAGCCACCGCACCCAGCCAGTATTAGGCATTTTTGTGGATGTATTGTGGTATCTCATTGCGGTTTTAACTTGAATTTTCTCCACTAATGAAGATAACACCTTTTCATATATGTATTGGTTAAGTTTTCATTTTTTATTTACATAGCCACACATGAATATATCCTTGTTACATATAATACATGAATAGAAATAATACATATAAAGCTAAAGTCCCTCTAAAACGAATCCCTTCACTAGTTTTATTTTTAATTGAAAAACATTTTTTTTGTAGCAATGGGGTCGTGCTTTGTTGCCCAGGCTGGTCTTGAACTCCTGGTTTCAAGCAATCCTGCCACCTCGGCCTCCTAAAGTGCTGGGATTACAG
Organism: Homo sapiens; assembly: GCF_000001405.40. NCBI lineage: Eukaryota > Metazoa > Chordata > Mammalia > Primates > Hominidae > Homo > Homo sapiens. Next base: position 113,384,302 of record NC_000009.12, read on the forward strand.
GTGTGAGCCACCATGCCCAGCCCCTTCCCGAGTTTTGAGCACTGGGCTTGGAGTTAAGAGACCTGAATTCCAGCCTTGGTCTGCCACTGACTAGATTGCTGTCTAATTTTGGACAGGTCACCTCTCTGGGTCTGTCTCCCCATCTATAAAATCAGAGTGTTTAACTAGATAGTCTCTAAGGATCTTTTTTCTTTAATATTCTGACCACTGTTTCTGTGATCCCAAGAACCTCCATTAGGTAAAAATGGCCATTTGCCTTACTATCCATTCTCTCCATCTTCCTTAGTAACTGAACTCCCGAGTTTTAGTTGAGCATATGGCTGGCCCACTAGACTATTTCCAGCCTCCCTTACAACTGGGCATGACCATGTGACTAATTTGAGACAAGGGTGTGTAGACAGAAATGATGTGTGCAACTTTTGGGTCATGACTTTATAAAGAAGGGTCATGCCCTCCATTTGCTCTTCTCTTCCTGCTGGCTGGAAAGAGGACCTGATGATGGGAACTGGCCCAGCCATTTTTTTGTTTTGTTTTGGTTTTGAGATAGGGTCTCACGCTGTTTCCCATGCTAGAGTGCAGGGGCGCAATCACCACTCACTGCATCCTTGACCTCCTGGGCTCGCTCCTGCCTCAGCCTCCTGAGTAACTGGGACTACAGGCATGCACGACCACACCCAGATAATTCTGTATTTTTTGTACAGACGTGGTTTCCTCATGTTGCCTAAGCTAGTCTCAAACTCCTGGACTTGAGTGATCCACCCATCTCAGCCTCCCAAAGTGTTGGGATTACAGGTGTGAGCCACTGTGCCCAGCACCAGCCATCTTTGTTCATGAGATGGAGGCCAAGATGTGTTGATGATGACAGAACAAGGCAAGAGCTGAGACCCCTCACAACATATTGCTGACATATCAGCCCTGGATTGCTTAGAAGTAAATTTTCATCTCAAGCTATCATTATTTTGGCTTTTGTTATATCCACTGAACCTGAATCCTGATTAATACAGAGTGACTGGAGAATGACTTTTTTTTTTTTTTTTTTTTGAGACAGAGTCTGACTCTCTGTTGCCCAGGATGGGGTGCAGTGGCATGATCTCGGCTCACTGCAACCTCTGCGTCCTGTGTTCTAGTGATTCCTCTGCCTCAGCCTCCCAAGCAGGTGGGACTACAGGCGCCTGCCACCATGCCCGGCTAATTTTTTGTAGTTTTAGTCTAGATGGGGTTTTGCCACGTTGGCCAGGCTGGTCTTGAACTCCTGACCTCAAGTGATCCGCCTGCCTTGGTCTCCCAAAGTGCTGGGATTACAGGTGTGAGCCACCACGCCCAGCTCCAAGAGTGACTTTAGATTGGGTGTTGGGTCAGGTTTCTCAGAGGAAGGGATGCTTTGAGCTGAGATCTTAACAAGAGAGACAGCCATATAGATTTAGGGGAAAAGCATTCCAAGCCAAGGAGGCCACTGGTGCAAAAGCTCAGTCCAAGACAGCGTTCTGTGTAATGAGGCCTACCTGGTCAATTGTGGCGCCATCTCCCATCCCATTGTTTACAGTGACTGAGCCAAGAGTGGACCATGTGGCCTGAACAGGCCCAATCAGAGACCTCCAGAGATTTGCTATGTGAGTGATGGGACAGGAAGGCTCTTTCTCTGGGATTACAAATCTTAACGACTATTTAAGCCTAGAATTATTGAGGATCATGTTGCTGGCAAGTGGCAAAAACCCACCTGAGTATAAAGCTGGGGCAAACACAGACGAGAGTTAGAAAGGGACAGAGACCTCCATGGGGTTTGACCCTGGGCCCAACCACACCTGTCCTTATCTCAATCCAGTTATGAAAACCAATCATGTCCTTCTTTGCTATTGAACTGGATTTCCATCACTTGCAACCAAGTAGGTGCCTGGTCTCCTTGGTCTCCCCGTATAACTGGGGCTAATTGCAGATGGTCCCCGAACTGTGATCATTCAATTCACAATTTTTGACTTTACAACAGTATGAAACAAGACATTCAGTAGAAACTGTACTTCAAATATTGAATTTTTATTCAAAATTCTTTACAACTTTATTACAATATAGATTTTGTGTTGGATAGTTTTGCCCACTGTAGGCTAATGTAAGTGTTCTGAGCATGTTTAAGGCAGGCTAGGCTAAGCTATGATGTTTGGTAGGTTAGGTATATTAAATACATTTTTGACTTATGATCATATTTTCAACTTATGATCATATTTTCAACTTATGATGGGTTTATCAGGATGCAAACCCATCACATAAATGGAGGGGTGTCTATAAAACATTGTTAGACCTATAATTTTGCTGTTGATTATTGGGAGGTGGTATGGCACAGTGGTTAGGGGCAGAGGCCTTGGAGTTGGACTACATGGGTTCAAATCCCAGCTTGGCTGTTTTCTGTGCAGTTCTAATCCAGTTCTGCCACAAACTTGTTGAGTGGCCTTAGGTGAGTCACATAAGCACTCTAGATATAGCTTCCTTATTGCAAAATGTCTCAAGCTAAGTTTAGTATTCTCCCTCCACCCCGACCCTGCTTCTGTTCCTCTTCCAGGCTGCCCCATCTCAGTAAATGGCCCATCAGCCACCCAGAAGGTCAAGCCAGATTCATCCTTCACATCGAATCTACCTTCTAAACACATCCACAATCCATTCCCCTTTCTCCATCCCCACTGTCCCCGCTCCAGTCCATGCCATCAAGACTTTTCATTTGCACTTTGCCGCAGAGCTGTTAAAATACTTTTACAAACTACAAATTTGATTGAGTCACTCTGAAAAGGTGAATGTGGCCCTTGACCTCTGCATGGTTTGGTCCTGGTCTGTCTCTCTCCACTCAGTTCAGGCCATCCTCTCAGTGCTCCAGACAAGCTAGCCTTGCATTCCTCCAGCTAGAAGGAGCCCCAGGGCCTTTGCACAACTCCTCCCTCTCCCTGGAATGCTCTTCCCCAATTGTCTTAGCTTGATGGCTCACCCTTCAGGTCTAGGCTCAAATGTCAGTCCTTCAGGGAAGTATTTTCTGATCCTTCAAAGAGGTCAGGTCCTGGTGACCTCCTTCAGAGCACCTGTCACCACATCACTGGTGCATGTCTGCCTCCTTCCCAACTACTGTTTCAAGAGAGGCCCCTTCCCTGTTGTTGTCTCAGACCCCTTCTTTCCTTCAAAGCACTTATCACAATTTGTAACTGCTTTATTTCTTTGTTTTCTTCTTAGCTGTCTCCCCAATTCTCTTTGTATAATTTCTATGAAGAGATAAGCTGAGGTCTGTCCTGCTGTATTCCCAGGACCCAGCACTGAACCTAGGAACAGAGCAGAGATTCTCAAAAAGTATCTCCTGAATAAAAAGTGTTTGTGGTGGTGGCACCTCTAGCAGTCAGGAACTCCCTCTTTGCCTCTGAGTTTTGATCCTCAGGCAGTATTTATGCTGGTTAATGAGTAATTCTTCTCTGGGTTTATGGTTCAGAGTAGAATAGGAGACCTCAGGCAGCCTGGCAACCTCTGGCCTCGTGGGAAATGCCTTCCAGTGGAATTGCGGCAAATTTCAACTCTAACCCAGGGATATCGATCTAGGCCTCATTCCCACACCCAGCTCTGCTGCCAGAAGCGTTCCAAGGCTTCTCAGGCCCCAAGATCCCACTGCTCTCTTCTTCCCCTAATGCTCCAAGACCCTCTCCCAGCCAGGCCCCAAAGGCTGTGCCCCCGACTCCAGGTTGCTTTCAAGCTGAAGCCACACCAGAGGAAAGAGCTGAGGGTGGCAAAGGTGGGCCTCACGGCTGACCCAGGGGAGGGGCGGGGAAGCTTGGGAGAGCTCATAGGATGCAGCTGCGAGTTACAAGAGTTAGCATGCTGGCAAAACCACCCAGGGCTGCTGGGCCCCGCTAGCATGTGAGCAGGAAGAGGGCATGAGGGCACAGTTCTAAAAGCAGCATTTACTTTGGTTTTCACTTGTCTGAGGCCCCGGGAACGTTTTAAAGTTCTAGTTCTTGGGCCTGGCACTGTCTCCATCATTCCTCCTTCAGCCACTGCAGCAGCTGCGGTGTGTAGTAGGTGATGATGATGTCAGCACCTGTGTTGGGAGAGATGCAGAAAGTTGCTGGGGGGACGCTGATCAGCTCTGAGCACACCTTCTGCGATGGGAAGGCCAGGCGGGGAAGAAGGCTACCATGAAGAAGCACAGCCTGTGGGCACACCACATGAGACGGAGCCCAGCTTTGGGAAACTCTATTTCTTGGGCAAGTCATTTCCTCTTTTGGGGCCTCAGTTTACCAAAGAATAAAATGCACAGTGAAGGAAATAGGTAAGAGGCAAGTTCCTTCCCATGCTGGTGTGCAATTCTAACAAAATGAGTCCCCTTTATGGAGTGATATTACTTCATTTAATCCTCAGGACAACCACGCACCAGGTATCTTATCCCCAGTTATCCAGTTATGGGTGAGGACACTGAGGTTCAGAGAAGTGGCTTGCCCACGTTCTCACAACCAAAAATGAAGGGCTCTGCTTGCTTCACCGGGCCGTGTTCTATGCTGCAGTTCCATATCTCTTCCTCAGTGTGTGTCTGTTTAGATCACTAGTAATTCCCGGAATAAGATCCCAAGCTCTCAGGACGTCGTTCCCCAATCTAGGCAGAGTGCTTATCAGTCCCTGTGGCGCAGGTCAAAACACCCCACCCTTGCCTGCCTACCTGCTCTGCGGAAGGCAGTCATGGCCTCCAGTACGGCAGCCTTGAGATCAAATGCCCCGGCCTGGGCTCCATGCCACAGCATGGCAAACTCTCCAGAGACGTGGTACACGGCGAGAGGGAGGTCAGGGTGCTGCAGGGAAGCAGACAGGGAGACAGGCTGAAATGGAGGGTGGATGTGGCTCTGGAAGCGTCCCTTCCCCCCTGCTCAATCTGTGACCATCTTGAGCCCCGTGTCCTGGGTTACTGCGGCTGGCAGCCTGGCCCACTCTTGAACTGTTAAAGCAGGGCTGTTTGAGGCTCGTGCAAGCCCCGACATAGAAGGCCACGATGGTTCCTGGGCAGGGAAGGGGAGGAGAGGATGCATGCTTAAGGGCAAACTGCTTCCAACTCTGAGATTCCAGAGTCTGTGGAAAACTCTGTCCCAGCCCCCTGAGCCCCCTTTGCCTCGTACCTGTGCTCACCTTGTCCTTTACCTCCCGCACGATGTCCAGGTAGGGCATTCCCGGCTTCACCATGAGCATGTCAGCTCCTTCCCGTACATCCCGGTCCTAAGGGATGAGGGTATAATGTGGGTGGTGCCTAGGAGGGGGCTGAGGGTGGGGCTCAAGTCCTAGTCACTCACCACAGCTCGGAGAGCCAGGCCTCGTGCTCCAGGGGGCAGCTGGTAGCAGCGGCGGTCCCCAAAAGCTGGGCTTGACTTAGCTGCATCCCTGCAAAGCAGAGTCATCAGGGTGGGCTCCAGCTTTGGGCCAAAGGGCCAGGGATTCACAGCAGACCCCTGCCCACCCCTGCTCACCGGAAAGGGCCATAGAAACAGGAAGCAAATTTGGCACTGTAGCTCATCACCGATACCTATGGGGAGACAATGGAGGTCTTGGCTTATTCGGCCCTTGCCAGGTATCCCAGGGTGATGTGGCAGGGAGAGAAAGAACCTAGGCTGGGAAGGAGACTGCCTGTGTTCTGGTCCTGTTGGAGTGCTGGGCTTGATTTCCCTGCAGAGGCCCAGAGGTTTAAATGGTTCCCCAAAGCCTCATCCAGCACTGTCTTCAGTTCTGTGATTCTTTTTTTTTTTGAGATGGAGTCTAGCTCTGTCATCCAGGCTGAAGTGCAGTGGCATGATCTCAGCTCACTGCCTCGTGGGTTCAAGCGATTCTCCTGCCTCAGCCTCCCCAGTAGCTGGGATTACAGGCGCCTGCCACCACGCCCAGCTAATTTTTGTGTTTTTAGTAGAGATGGGGTTTCACCATGTTGGCCAGGCTGGTCTTGAACCCCTGACCTCAAGTGATCTACCTGCCTCAGCCTCCCAAAGTGCTGGGACTACAGGTGTGAGCCAACACGCCCGGCAGTTCTGTGATTCTTAGCAGACACGGGGGCAGGGCTGGTGCAGACTATCTCCTGCCAGCCCTGTGCTGCATTCCCTGCCCTTACCCTGTTGCCAAGTCCATGTGCCATCAGGGCCTCTTTGATGGCTTCCACGCGTCCATCCATCATGTCCGACGGGGCTACCACCTGACATCCTGGGGGGCAGAGGGTGGCCTTCAGAACTCTGGGGCCCTCCTAGCCACTCTGCCACCTCCTGACCCAGAGGTGCCCATCCCTGCTGGTGGTTCACTCACCTGCCTTGGCATACGCCAATGCCACCTCAGCCAGCCGCTGGCGGCTCTCCTCAGCCCGGAATGCTCCGTTTTCACTCAGGAGCCCTTCAGGACAGATGACTGGGTTTTGGGGAGCACCTTGGGCCCTGGCCTGTCCCCACCCTGTTGAGAAGTGGGCAGTAGGAGTGTGGGTGGCAGCAGGGCTGGTGGGAGGGAGGGAACTCACCGCAGTGACCATGGGAGGTGTAGGGACACAGGCAGACATCACAGGCCACCAGGAGGTTGGGGAAGGTCTTCCTCAACAGATGGATTGCCTCAATAGCTGGGGACTCCTCGGAGTCAGCTGCGGAACCCCGCTCGTCCTAGGGGCAGGGGAGGGACAAAGCAGTGTGTCTATTACATGTAGCTTTGGAAGGCAGGATGACAGCCATCACAGAGCATAGCCCTGGCCTTCTCCTTCCTTCATCATCACAGCCCCTGGATAAGGAAGCACAGAGGACTGACCCTACATGGGTGCTGACTTAAGGGCAAAGACCACGTCCATTCACCTGTGGCCCCAGGGCCAGCACAATGTGGGAGTGAGGGTGCAGTCAGTGTGGACCCTCAGTCCACCTTTGCCCAACCTCCCTTCCTTTTTCTGTTTGTATTGGAGACAGGGTCTTGCTCTGTCACCCAGGCTAGAGTGCACTGGCGCGATTTTGGCTCACTGCAGCCTCGACTTTCTGGGCTCAAGCAATCCTCCCACCTCTCCACCTCCCGAGTAGCTGGGACTACAGGCACATACCCCCACACCCAGCTAACTTTTGTATTTTTTGTAGAGATGGGTTTTGCCATGTTGTCCAGGCTGGTCTCAAAATCCTGGGCTCAAGTGATCCACCCACTTTGGCCTCCCAAAGTGCTGGGATTACGGGCGTGAGCGCAACCTCCCTTCTTAGCCCTTCCTTTGATTCTTCACCTTGGGAACTCTGCTGGGGACGCCAAAGATCAAGACACAGCGTAGGCCCTCTTCCACCAAGGGCCTCAGCATCTCTTCCAGCCGCTTCACACCATACCTGTGTGGGTGTGGGTAGAGGGGTTGAAGGAAGGCAGGTCCCAGGCAACGGTCCTCCGGACCCCACCACACTGTGTGCCTCTGTTAGAAACCAAGCTGCATATGGCACCAGGAGGGCTCAAGCCCCCAGGACAGAAGGGGCAGGGATGCATCCACTAAATAGGAGGGAAGACTGAGGCCCTGAGTAGCAGAGCTCCGGAATTCGGCTGTGGAAGGCTCCTTCGAGGCCCTCTTTTTGAACTCCCATCTGCAGTTCAGCTCCCTTCTGCAACAGCCTCTGCCACGACGTCTCGGGTGATGGGTAGCTCTTTACTTTATGGGGCTGCCCCTTCCACTGTGGAACAGCTCTGGCCCCGGGGAAACCCTTTCCTCTACTGAGCTAATGTCTGTCTGTCCGCATCTTCTACTTCCTAGGTCTGCTTCTGCCTCCCAGCACTTCCACCTGTGGAATCTCTCCCTCCACCACCCGCTGGCCCCCCAACTCCACGTCTCCTACCTGGCCACTCCTGGGAGGCTGGTGATAGGCTGTATGTCATCAGGAACATCCCTGCAAGAGCGGGGGTGGGATATGGATTGGTAGCTGTGGGAAGGGCCAGTGGTGCGGGGGCGACTGAGAGGGATGGTTGGGAAGCAGGAAAGAAATATGGAAGTGGAGATGGTGGGAGGAGGATGGGATCCAGTGTCTGGCTTCCCTGCCTGGCCAAGCCCAGGGCCTGAAATAATAATAGGAACAACAAGAATAACAGTGACAACACTAGCAACTGTACTAAAAGAACGGTAATTACAGGAAGGAATTAAGTGGTTAAGAACTTGGACTCTGAATTTGGCAGGTCCTTGCTTTCTATCCCAGCCACTTACTGCCTGGGTGACCGTGGCCAAGTTCTATCATCTCTTTGAGCCTTAGGCCTTCATCTATATCATGCGTGGTTAATTCATTCATTCAACAAATATTTATTGAGTACTTATTATGTGCCAAGTACTGTTCTAGGCCCTGATGATACAACAGTGAACAAAATAGACAAACATCCCTGCCCTCATGGAGCTGATGTTCTAGAGGATAGCTACTCCTTCTTCATACAAATGCTCTCAGAATTGAATGAGATAATGTGTGTAGGTGCTTAGCATAGTACCTGGTAGATAGTAAGTACTCAGTAAATGTCTGCATTATTATTAACAATCACGATTGCCATCTCTTTTTTTTTTTTTTTTTTTTGAGATGGAGTCTGGCTCCGTCGCCCAGGCTGGAGTGAAGTGGTGCAATCTCGGCTCACTGCAAGCTCCGCCTCCCGGGTTCACGCCATTCTCCTGCCTCAGCCTCCCAAGTAGCTGGGACTACAGGCACCCGCCACCACGCCTGGCTAATTTCTTTGTGTTTTTAGTAGAGACAGGGTTTCACCATATTAGCCAGGATGGTCTCGATCTCCTGACCTCGTGATCCGCCTGCCTCAGCCTCCCAAAGTGCTGGGATTACAGGCGTGAGCCACCGTGCCCAGCCTCAATGACTGCCATCTCTTACAGGTACATAGCACTTTACAATGTACAGAGCACCTTCTCAGCTTCTGTCTTACTGCAAGAGCTCAGGATGGCAGGCAAGGGTTATTCTTCTAATTTTCCAAATGGGATGAATGAGTTCTTTCAAAGTTTGTTTTGTTCCTAAGATTCCTGTCCTTAATCCAAGTAGCCTGCTTCCAGTGCCTTGAATTTCAAGCTGACAGCTCACTTTGCCACCCCCAGCCATACTGATGCCCGCTCCAGTCAACACTCCCTCCCCAACCCCAACCCCAACCAGCAGAGCAGAGGCCTGGCCCATTCTTGGAGACTCACGTGACAAAGATGGGGTAGATGAGGTTGGAGGCATTGAGGGTGGTGGTGGCTGTCTGCCAGGCCCGAAGTAGTGGGTGGAAGTAGCCGCTGTGCAGAACGGACTGGGGCTGCATGGCGTGGGCCAGTGGGCACAGGGGCATCAGTTGGTTGGAACCGAGGGCTCCTGGGGCATTGGCTGCAGGCTCTGTCTGTGGGGGGTGATGGGTGGCACATGAGACATGGTCCCTGTCCTCAGGAGATGGTCACATCTGGAAAACAGCTCTTCTAGATTCCTGCCTCCCCTCTCTCTAGCCCAATGCTACTCACAGCATGGTTCACCAATCCCTGCTGGTCAACAAGGTAAGTTGAGAAATGAAAGTAAGTCTTTAGAAACTTTCATGACAATCAGAATCTAATGATATAAAATTTGGGCTTGTATTTTATGTGACTGCTTCTTGTTCATTATTATCTTTTAAAGTAAACATCTGAGCAAGCAATGACTGTTTAAAAAAAATTCTCTTCTTTTTTTTTTTTTCACACAGGGTCTCTGTCGCCCAGGCTGGAGTGCAGTGGTGCAATCTCGACTCACTGCAGCCTTGACCTCCCGGGCTCAACTGTTTCTCCCAACTCAGCCTCCCAAGTAGCTGGGACTGCAGGTGTGCACCACAACATCCAGCTAATTTTCGAATTTTTTGTAGAGATGGAGGTCTTGCCATGCTTCCCAGGATGGTCTCGAACTCCTGGGCTCAAGCAATCTGCCTGCCTCAGCCTCCCAAAGTGCCGGGATTACAGGCGTGAGCCACGGTGCCTAGCCAAAAAAGTAATTTTCTAGCTGGGCATGGTGGCTCACGCCTGTAATCCCGGCACTTTGGGAGGCTGAGGTGGCAGGATGGCTTGAGCCCAAGAGTTCGAGACCAGCCTGGGCAACATGGCGAGACCCTGTATCTACAAAAAGTTTAAAAATCAGCCAGGTGTGGTGGTCCACACCTGTAGTCCCAGCTACTCAGGAGGCTAAAGCAAGAGGATCGCTTGAGCCCAGGAGTTCAAGGTTGCAGTAAGCTATGATTGCACCACTGCACTCCAGCCTGGGTGAGAGAGGGAGACGTCTCTAAAAAAAAATAATAATTTTATTGCATTGCATTTTATCAAAGAATCAATAAATTGGAAATAGAAAAAAAAGAACTAATCCTTCCTTATGCATAAAGAAGCACTGATCTAGCCAACATTTAAACTTTGTTTATTCCACAAAAAATGCCCGTGTTCATGGCAGAACTTTTAGAAAAGTGCAGATAAGCAAAAAGAGAAAAATCCCCTGCAATTCTACCTCTAGAGAAAAGTACTGTTGGCCGGGCATGGCGGCTCACACCTATAATCTCAGCACTTTGGGAGGCTGAGATGGGCAGATCACTTGAGGTCAGGAGTTCGAGACCAGCCTGGCCAACACAGTTAAACCCCACCTCTACTAAAAATACAAAAAAAATTAGCTGGGCGTGGTGGTGCGTGCCTGTAATCCCAGCTACTGGGGAGGCTGAGGCAGGAGAACTGCTTGAATCCAGGAGGAGGAGGTTGCAGTAAGCCGAGATAGCGCCACTTCACTCCAGCCTGGGCGACAGAGCAAGACTTCATTCCAAAAAAAAAAAGAAAGAAAGAAAAGAGAAAAGTACTTGGGACATGGATTTTTTGTTAGGTACAATGCACACCAATAGGAGAAAATAGTACCATTCATGTTAGATAGACAGACAGACACATACACTGTATAGAGTGCCACCAAATCTTTTCTAGCCCAAGGAGTTTCCTGGGCTCCACGAGCACAAGCTACACCTTCTTGCTTTCCTAACCTTGTCCCTTTACCTGAAAGGCTGTGCTCTCCCCACAGCCTCCCCGCACCCAAATCTACAGGGTTCTCCTTCCCTCTCCCACTGAGGCTGTCTTGTCCAGATTGCAGTCTCTCTTATGTAAGTTATCTGTGGACCTGTCTTACCTCATGCCAGTAGACAGAGCTTCTGCAGGGCAAGGTCCAGAGTTGGTTCATTTTTGCCTCCCCTACAGTGCTCTGTCACACACTGACCTTGGCACACAGTAAATATTTAATTACGTGAAGTACAAAAATATGCTCCAAATGCCAAATTAGTGGACACAAGACAGAAGGAAGCTGGGGCATTAACATTTGTTTCTTGAGCACCTACTGTGTGCCAGACCATGCCTGGCATTTTCACAGGTGATTTCTCATCAAGTGGGCACTACAGTCCTGGCAGGCAGGGCTGATTGAGTGCATGGAGCCTGACCAGAAGTGAGCCATGGCTCCAATGGGAGTGAGGAGGTCAGAAGAGGCATATTAGAAGAAGACAGGCGCCAGGCGTAGTGGCTCACACCTGTAACCCCAGCACTTTGGGAGGCTGAGGCGGGTGGATCACTTGAGGTCTGGAGTTTGAGACCAGGCTGGCCAATGTGGTGAAACTCCGTCTCTACTAAAAATACAAAAATTAGGCCAGGCACGGTGGCTCACGCCTGTAATCCCAGCACTTTGGGAGGCCGAGGTGGGTGGATCACTTGAGGTCAGGAGTTTGAGACCAGCCTGACCAACATGGTGAAACCCCATCTCTACTAAAAATAAAAAAAAATTAGCCGGGTGTGGTGGCACATGCCTGTAATCCCAGCTACTTCAGAAGCTGAGATAGGAGAATCCTTTGAACTTGGGAGGCGGAGGTTGCAATGAGCCGAGATCGTGCCATTGCACTCCAGCATGGGCAACAAGAGAGAAACTCCATCTCACAATAAATAAATAAATAGAAATAAAAATAAAAATACAAAAATTAGCTGGGTGTGGTGGTGTGCACCTGTAGTCAGAGTTCCTCTGGAGGCTGAGGCAGAAGAATCGATTGAACCTAGGAGGCAGAGGTTGCAGTGAGCCGAGAGTGCACCCATTGCACTCTAGCCTGGGCGACAGTGTGAGACTCCATCTCAAAAAAAAAAAAAAAAAAGAAAATGACAGGGCGTTGAACTTGGTTTTGCAGGATGAGTGGGTTCAGCCTGGTGGAGAGAAGGGGGCCAATATTTCCTTAGGAAGGGAAGAAAGGGGCAAAGGTGGGGAAGGAGGATGGCTGTGGACTGTTTTGAGGAGCTGAGGCAAGTGTGTATGGAGGGGATGGATAAGAGGGGGCCAGGCTGAGGCTGTGGGAAGATTTCTGAGCAGTGGGTAGGGTTAGTGGCCTGGTTGACACCTGGCTTTGGGAAGATCAATCCTGCAGGCTGAGCAGAGCAGACAGGAAGCAGAGGAATGCAGAGGCTGGGGAGGCTGCGGGCAGAGAAGGAAGGGGCGTCTTAAGGCAGCCAACAGGCAGTGTCTCAGGGCGGATGCTCTAGGCCTGCCTGCCTGCCTGATCTAAAGGGCAGCGGAGACAGGGACAGGGCAGGAAGAGGGCAGTGGGGAGCTGGGCTTGGAGAGGAGGTGGAGAGCTCTGTTTTAGACACTTCCTTTTGGAGGTGCCTGGGAGACTATCCCATAGCCAAAGGATGGGGAGGGGCGGGGAAGAGCCACAAAAATGGGGGCTGGCAGGCCTGAGTCCAACTGCTTTTTGTATGAATGGGACCTCAAGGTCCAGAGAGGGGCAAGGACTTACCCAAAGCCACACAGCGAGCAAAAGGACTAGAACCCTGGTGTGTTAACTCCCAGGTGAACTGGGAGATCCTTTGGTAGGTTGGAGTCAAGTCAGATGTCGAAGCCAGGTCTAATCCCTCTAATTTGCTTCCCAGAAAACCACCTTTGTAACAGGTCCTTGGCTTCTGGAATCCAAAGCTGCATTCCCGTGGCCTCAACTCCTCATTGCTTTCAGGAGGCTGAGGGAACAACTGCCTCCTGCTTATCAGAAACAGTGGGGCAGGGCTGCCTAGGAACTGGCTGCCCTTCTCCCCATAGTCTCTTAGGCCCCTTTAGCTGCCTTCAGCCATCTCAGGGGCCCATTTTATCCAGTCTTCCTCCTTGGTAGGGTGGGGTTATCACAAGTCACACAGGGGCCAGCCCTGCTGCCACACCCCTGGGTGGGCCAGCCCCATCACCTAACACAGGGGCAGGCCAGGCCTCCCCAGTCATGTCTCAACCTCCAAACAGACAATTATTCAGTAGATATGAGGTCCCAGCTGCCCATTTCGTACTCGATTTTGCTCTCATGTCTGCCAGGAGTTTTTTTTCCTTTTCTTTTTTTTTTTTTTTTTTTTTTGAGACAGAGTCTGGCTCTGTCACCCAAGCTGGAGTGCAGTGGTTCGATCTCGGCTCACTGCAACCTCCACCTCCTGGGTTCAAGTGATTCTCCTGCCTCAGCCTCCCAAATAGATGGGACTACAGGCATGCATGACCATGCTTGGCTAATTTTTGTATTTTTAGTAGAGACAGGGTTTCGCCATGTTGGCCAGGCTGGTCTCAAACTCCTGACTTCAAGTGATCCGCCCGCCTCTGCCTCCCAAAGTGCTGGGATTACAGGCGTGAGCCACCGCACCTGGCCGAGAGAATATTTTTGCATATTGAGAGAATTACCAAAATGTAAGCCAGTTGCCCAAGACCACATAGCTACTTAGTGACTGAGCCAGAATTTGAATTTGTTCTGGACTCCAAATGCTGGGTTTTATATACTGTATTTCATAATACTGATAAACACCTGATTCAGTAGGCGTCTCTCTGCCCATACTGTTTCTGCTTTGGGTGCTGGAGAGACAGAAGAAACAAAAGAAAAACATACTGAGTGTATTCGTTCTGTGCTGGGCACAGCACTGAAGTACTTGGTAGTAGTATCTCATTTCATTGCAAGAATTGTCCTAACTTTTAGTGATAAGGAAACAGAGGCTCTGAGCGGTTCAGTGACTTGCTTAATGCCATTCTAGAGTCTAGTCAGATGTTGAAGAGAGGTCTAATCTCTCTGACTCACTTCCCACAAACAATCTCTGTTGTTTTCTGGCTTCTGAATCCAAAGCTGCATTCCACTGGCCTCAACTCCCCATCGCTTTTAGGAGGCTGAGGGAACAACTGGCTCCTGCTTAGCAGAAACCCTGGGGCAGGACTGCCTAGGAGCCTGAGACCGGGGCAGGGTTAGAGTAAAGGGAACAGTCTCACTACAGCAGTCCACTTTGATCTGTTTTTGAATTTTAAGATTCAGAGACAGATTTGATTTGAGAAACGGCTGTCAGTGCTGAAAATATTAAAAGCTTGAAAATTGCCAATCCTGTTTAATCCCTTACACTTTAATGTGGAAAATGGGGTATAAAGAGGCAACGGGACTTTTGGAGATCACAGTGAGTGACATACAGAGCTATAAACTGACCCTGCAGCTCCTGGCTTCTATTTCAGTGCCCTGATACCTACACCATAGAGTCATTCCATTGTAAGAGGTACTTAATAAGTGGAGTTTCCCACTCCATTCTGTGAGTGGGAAAACACCCCCTGAATCACATATTGGCAGAGCCAAATGCAGGGTGGGTTTTGCTTTGCAAAAAGGCCCTTAGAGTTTGGGAGAATTTCACAGACTGGGAGGGCACTTCTCCCAAATCAAGCGAGCTTGCAAACCACAATTTAAATGCCTGTGACATTACCACACTGAAGACAGGAGCGAGCCGCCAGGAGGTCCAGCACCTCTGCCCAACCACATCAGACAGGTTAGCTTTGCTGGGACGCAGAGTATAGGGCGGTGCAGAAAGATCCATGTTTCAGGGTCAGACAGTCCCAGGTTTGGTCTATGCTCTGCTGTGTAATTTTGGGCAAAGTAATTGACCTTTCAGTGTTCATTTCATAATCTACAAAATAGGCATGATATCTCTAACTTGCAAGGCTGTGGAGATTATTGATAGGGATAAGGTAGGTGTCTGGCACCAAGTAGCTGCACAGTAAACATGTAGCTACTTTTATTACTATTAGGAGTGGGGCTGGGTTGGAACGAGATGTCCTGGCACAGCTCTGTGCCTTCTGCACCTCACCAGATGGGAATATGAGCTCAAACCCTTGTGGGCCACAGGGTTTTCCAAGATTTCTGAAGTGGAGTCCCTGCCTTCCAGCAGGTTATGTGGTGGAGGAAAAACAAAATAATCACCACCGGGCTGCCAGAGTAGAGGGGTGGACCAGGTGCTGTCAGAGGGACTGTGTCTCTGAGTCAAGGGTGGTTTCATGGAAGAGGGGACAGTGAAGGATAAGAAGTGTTTCAGATTTAATATGAAAGTATCTCCTCCCATGGAAGGCAACATCCCCAAACTGGGAGTAACTGAAGTTGGGCCCTGAGCACTGCTACCAGGAGGGGCTATGAGCTTCATGTGCCACCCCCCACCCCTGCAAGTTGTACTATGCTGAGGATTCCAGAGGCTGTGGGTCTTCGCACAGAGGCTTAGGACCTGCTGCCAGCCCTGGCAGGCTCTGCCACTGGCCAGGGAGGAGGCAGTCAGGAGAGCCAGCTAGATAGAAGGTGGCCAGAACTGAGAAATCCAAAGCCCCACAAAGGCCCAGGAGAGCAGCTGTCATGCAGTTCTGAAAAGAGATGAAGTGTTTATTCAGCCAACCCACATTTCTTGAATATCTACTATGGGCCTGCTGAAGTGCTAGACACAGGGATTAAAGAGAAGAATGAGACCCCAGCCTTGCCCTGGGGCTTTGAAGAGCCTGATCGCCTCTGGGGTTAGCCATTTAGACGTAGGAGAAGCTGCCATTCCCAGAATCCTAGAATATCTTGGCTAAGAGTCTTCTTAAAGTTTGCTGATTGTATCACTGAAACAAGGGTGAAACTGGGCTCAGAGAGGGGTAGACACAGGCCCAGGATCACGCAGTGGGTCAGCGGCAGATCTGGGGGAAGGTCTCCAGCAGCCCAGTCCTCAGTGCCCACCATGACACCTCCATACTTTAAGGATAGATATCAAATCTGTTTCCCAGCAGGTTGGGCTTGTGGAGAGCTTTGGGTGAGCCAGACTCTGGGCCTGGCTGCTGTTGGTAGCAGGATGGTTAAGTATGTGGGCTCTGGAGTCTGATAGATGTGGGTACAAATCCTAGTTCTGTAGCTTTCTAGTTGTGTGACCTCAGTTTCTTCGTTTAGTAAATGGGGACTAGAACCGACCTCAATGGGTTGTTGTAAGAAATGAATGGGTCAGGCCGGGCGTGGTGGCTCACGCCTGTAATCCCAGCACTTTGGGAGGCCGAGGTGGGCGAATCACCTGAGCTCGGGAGTTCGAGACTAGCCTGACCAACAGGGAGAAACCCCATCTCTACTAAAAATACAAAAATTAGCAGGCGTGGTGGCACACGCCTGTAATCCCAGCTAGTTGGCAGGCTGAGGCAGGAGAATCGCTTGAACCCGGGAGGCGGAGGTTGCAGTGAGCTGAGATCGCGCCATTGCACTCCAGCCTGGGCAACAAGAGCGAAACTCCGTCTCAAAAATAAATAAATAAATAAAATAAATGAATGGTCAATGCACGCAACGCTTAGTACAAAACGGCTGTTATTGTTTTCACCTCCCTACCCCCCCACCAACCACCACCCGCACCTCGGGTTCTGCATCGATGGAGTCTGCCCAGGCGGTATCCGAGAGGGTGAACCCCAGAGAAGAGGTGCGGAGCCCCGAACCCGGGCCCCCAACCTCGGCTGCAGCGGGATAATCCAGCCCAAACAAACGCTCCACGGGACTCCGTGCACGGCTGCACCGCCAGGGCTTCAGGCGCACAGCACAATCTGGGGACGCAGGACTCTTGGTGCCACAGTCCCCGCCTCGCCCTGGAGCCGCCCTCCAGGCCCGCTATCTCCCCGCATCCAGCCCCCGCTCACCTGCCTCCCTAAGGGCTCCCGGCCGCTGCTCCTGTCACCGCTGTCTCCCGCTCCGGTCTCCCACAGACCGCGTAAGAGCGGGGGGGGCTCACCCGGAAGCAGCTTCCCCACGGTCCGCCCCCTCCACAGTCCAGGCCACGCCCCCTGAAGGCGGTCTTCTGGGGGGCTCCTCCGCTCCAGCCGCGGCCCCGCCCACACGCAACGAGGCCTGGCCAATTGGGTGTGTCGAGGGCCTGGAGGGCCCGCCCGTCCCCGCTCCGGGCCCTGCGCTTGTGCAGCGAACTGCAGGAGGGAGGCCACGAGGGGGCGCAGGAACCGCTTGGGAGGGTCCCTGGGTGTGAGCCGGCCTCGGAGGCGGTTACAGCCCAGGTTTCACTTCACAGCATTCCTTTGCCCAGCCTAGGGCAAACTTGGCTCTGGTTAATGGCTTGGTGAAAGAATAATTGGATGTCAAAGCCGTTAAAACAGCACCATTATGCCTAACACAGTATTAGCTAAGTCCATTTTTGCGGACTAAGCTAAAGTTGTTGAGTTCAGCGCCAGGCTTCCAAGTTTTCAGAGAAAATTTGTACCAGCTTCATTTATTTCTCAGGGTACGGCAATGCTATGAGTTGAGAGATGTGATGTGAAAGACATGGGCGTTTAGGAAAACTCCAAGTCTTGATAGGGGCATCAGACCTATGATAGGTACAATGATAGATCCGATCAAAGGTCTTTATGGAGATTGGAGATGTGCAGAGGCAAGAGGGATCTGGTGAGGCTTATGGGGCCTGGGTAAACCAGTAGGATTGGATGAGTAAAATGGCGATCGGGCATCATCGCCCTAGCGAAGCAATGCCTTTCAGGTGGTTCTTCAGGGATTATTGAAAAGTTGACTTTCAAATGTAGAGGACACTAGTGGGTTACATTACACTTATTCTCAGATTTTATTTCTCAGCCCGGTTCGGTGGCTCACGCCTGTAATCCCAGCACTTTGGGAGGCCAAGGCGGGCGGATCTCTTGAGGTCAGGAGTTCAAGACCAGCCTGACCAACATGGTGAAACCCTGTCTCTACTAAAAATACAAAAAATTAGCCGGGCGTGGTGGCGGGCTCCTGTAATCCCAGCTACTCGGGAGGCTGAGGCAGGAGAATCGCTTGAACCCGGGAGGCGGAGGTTGTAATGGGCTGAGATCATGCCACTGCATTCCAGCCTGGGTGACAGAGGGAGACTCTGTCTCAAAAAAAAATTTTTTTTTAAATTTCTCAAAATCTGTACCCCAAACCTGTTGTATACTTTATATTTTAAATTTAAGGGGCCTAGCGGCGTAAGGCTAGGGAAATATGACACTGCTTAGTTTCCAGCTACTGGAGTTCTGATCTGTATTCAACAAGGAAGGGGATAGAAAGCAAATAATGTTTGCTGTGCATTAAAGAGTCAGGGACAGTACCATGCATTTTACATTCATTTATCTAATCTTGACAGCAACGATGTTACTATTCTCACTTTACGGATTGGGAAAACAATTGCCAGCTAGATTAAATAATTTGCCCCATGTTACACTGGGCTCTCTCTGCAATGCCTGCTAATAACCACACTCCATAGGGGCAATTATTATTTGTTTTTTCCTAGATTCCCTGCCCGACATTTCTTTCCTGACACTCATTCCTTCCCTGAGGTTATTGGTAACTAAAAATAATTAGAACCATCTAAGAACCCAAATAGAACGGGAAATTTTAAAATGTTGCTGTTTGGTGTAGCTTATTTCCCCCATGTCTTTTCTTCTTCTTGACTGAAAGACCTGTTCCCACTCTCCCCCCAGCCTCCACCTTTTGAAACATTTTACCTTAATCTTTCAGTATTGTGAATGCAATAATATGAATAAATCTTAAACATATTGTTGAGTAAAAGAAGTGAGACACAAAATAGTATATAATATGATTTCATTTATATTAACTACACAATCAAGCAAAATTAAGCTGTGTTGTTAGGACTCAGAATAGTGATTTCCACTGGGGAGATGGGGAGGATTGAAAGGGAGATTAGGCTGGGTGTGGTGGCTCACACCTGTAATCCTAGCACTTTGGGAGGCCAAGGCTGGTGGATCGCTTGAGCCCAGGAGTTCAAGACCAACCTTGGCAACATGGCGAAACAGTCTCTACAAAAATTACAAAAAGTAGCTGGGCATGGTGGTGGACACCTGTAGTCCCAGCTACTTGGGAGGCTGACATGGGAGGATTGCTTGAGCCTGGGAGGTCAAGGCTGCGGTAAGCTGTGATCGTACCACTGCACTCCAGCCTGGATGACAGAGCAAGACCCTGTCTCCAGAAAAAAAAAAAAAAAAAAAAAAAAAAAAGGCGGCAGGGGGAGACTAAAGAGGTTTCTTTGGATGCAGTTAATGTTTATTGGTCTGGGTGTGAGTTACATGGCTGTGTTTAATTCGTGAAAATTCATTAAGCTCCACACTTATTTGTGTCTTTTAGTATGTATATTTCGTTTCAATAAAAAGTTAAAACTAAACTATTCTGAGTGTCTTCTAGGTAGGTATATGGCATTGTGCTAAATGCTGTGAAAAGCATAAAAAAGGAACAAGAAAGAAAGCAGACTGCTGATTGCCAGGGCCTGAGGAAAATGTTTTGAAACTAGATAGAGGTAGTGGTTGCACAACATTGTGACTGTTCTAAATGCCACTGAACTGCTCATTTAAAAATGGTTAATTCTATGTTCTTTGAATTTCATCTCAGTCTTAAAAAGTGAGTTCACTAGATGCAATGTGGTATTCTGGGTTGGCCCCTGTAATCGAAAAAGGACATAAGTAGAGAAACTGTTGAAATATAAAAAGCTTATTAAAAAAAAACGGGGCAAGGCCAAAGGTCATTGGAACAGAATCCCAGTTTTCATAAATTCTTGGTAAGATCTTGAGCAAGTCACTTCTCTCTGAAGAACCTCAATTTCCTATCAGTAAAAATAGGAGGTTAGGCTGCAAAAGTAGCTTTGAATGGGTTGGGACGAGAACCCTCCCACCTCCCGAATCCAAATCAGAATCTCTGGGCATGAAGGGCCATGGTAAAAAAGTGAAACATTACCTTAGCCTAGTAAGGAACTTCAAAAGTCCAGATACCACTGCAGTAATGATAGAAGTGTGGTGGGGGGAATACTGGTGGATGATGTCAAAAATTTTTACCAGTTGTTAAATTCTGTAGTTTTTTTTTTTTTGAGACAGAGTCTTGCTCTGTCACACAGGCTGGGGTGCAGTGGCGCAGTCTCAGCTCACTGCAACCTCTGCCTCCTGGGTTCAAGCGATTCTCCTGCCTCAGCCTCCCAAGTAGCTGGGACTACAGGCTACCATGCCCGGCTAATTTTTGTATTTTTAGTACAGAAGGGGTTCCCCATATTGGCCAGGCTGGTCTCGAACTCCTGACCTCGTGATGAGCCTGCCTTGGCCTCCCAAAGTGCTGGGATTACAGGTGTGAGCCACCGCGCCCGGCCAAATTCTGTAGTTTCAAAGTAATAGTCCCTATTTTCAGGAAACATGTTTTTCTTAGGTAGTCCAAGTTTGGTGATGAATGGGGCAGAATTAACTAAAGCCATATGGAAGAGTTCTTTTGGGGATTCACCGTTGACTAGAGCACATAGCCTTGTTAGAGAGTGGCAGGTTAAAATAGGTAGCAGGGTGAGCCCTTCTCATGCAGGCTTTGAATAATAGGTTTAAGTATAGATTTGATTTAATAGGAAACAAGGAGGGTCTGTAACCCAGCAATGCTCCAGGAAGATCCACGTGCCAAGTAATCCACAGAGGAGACTAGGGGAAGTGGAGATGAGGCAGGGGACTGAGCTTAAAGGAAGCCACAGAAGTTGAGTAGTGCTCATGGGAATTAAGAAAGGATGTTTCTACTGTGAAGGAAAAAGCTATTAGATCTAATGAGTATTGGGGGTTGTATCTTTGTGAAATGTTATTTATAAATTTATGATTTGAAGAAGCTATGTAGATTATGTAGATTTGGCCAGGCACGGTGGCTCATACCTATAATCCCAGCACTTTGGGAGTCAGAGCCGGGCGGATCACTTGAGGTCAGGAGTTCGTGACCAGCCTGGCCAACATGGTGAAATCCTGTCTGTACTAAAAATACAAAAATCAGCCAGGTGTGGTGGCGCAGGCCTGTAATCGCAGCTATTCAGGAGGCTGAGGCAGGAGAATCTCTTGAACCCAGGAGGCGGAGGTTGTAGTGAGCCGAGATGGCACCACTGCCCTCTAGCATGGGCGACAGAGCAAAAGTCCTTCTCAAAAAAAAAAAAAAAAAAAGGAACGCCTGTAATCCTAGCACTCTGGGAGGCTGAGGCAGGCGGATCACCTGAGGTCAGGAGTTCGAGACCAAGACCAGCCCGGCCGATGTGGTGAAACCCCATCTCTACTAAAAATAAAATTAGCTGGACGTGGTGGCCGGTACCTGTAATCCCAGCTACTAGGGAGGCTGAGGCAGGAGAATTACTTGAACCGGGGAGGCAGAGGCTGCAGTGAGACAAGATCACGCCACTGTACTCCAGCCTGGGTGACAGAGCGAGGCTCTGTCTCAAAATAAAAAAGAAAAAGCTATGTAGATTAGATAGGTGATATAGCATTGTGGTAAAGAGATAATAAAGGTAACAGCAGTGCTGCTTCATAGGGTTTAAGAGTTAATACTTAGGGCTGGGTGTGGTGGCTTATGCCTGTAATCCCAGTATTTTGGGAGGCCAAGGCAGGAGGATTGCTCGAGCCCAGGAGTTGGAGACTGGCCTGGGTAACACAGACCCTGTCTCAAATTAAAAAAAAAAAAAATTAAGGCCGGGCGTGGTGGCTCACACCTGTAATCCCAGCACTTTGGGAGCCTGAGGCGGGTGTATCACGAGATCAAGAGATTGAGACCATCCTGGTCAACATAGTGAAACCCCATCTCCACTAAAAATACAAAAATTAGCTGGGTGTGGTGGCGTGCGCGGCTGTAGTCCCAGCTACTTGGGAGGCTGAGGCAGGAGAATCACTTGAACCAGGGAGGTGGAGGTTGTAGAGAGCCGAGATTGTGCCACTGCACTCCAGCCTGGTGACAGAGTGAGACTCTGTCTCAAAAAATAAATAAATAAAAATAAAAAAGGGTTAATACTTGAAAGCAGTTAGTGCCAGACACAGTAGGGGGCTCAATAAATGAAGCTGCTGAGAATCTAGTATGTATAAGGGTGCCCAGCACATCCATGAAAAGCTCTTGCACCGGCCAGGCATGGTGGCTCACCCCTGTAATCCCAGCACTTTCGGAGGCCGAGGCAGGCGAATCATGAGGTCAGGAGATCGAAACCATCCTGGCTAACACAGTGAAACCCCATCTCTACTAAAAATACAAAAACAAAATTAGCCAGGCATGGTGGCGAGTGCCTGTAGTCCCAGCTACTAGGGAGGCTGAGGCAGGAGAATGGCGTGAACCCTGGAGGCAGAGCTTGCAGTGAGCCGTGATCATGCCACTGCACTCCAGCCTGGGAGACAGAGTGAGGCTCCGTCTACAAAAAAAAAAAGCTCTTTCAGCAGGTGTGTTGGCTCACGCCTGTAATCCCAGCACTTTGGGAGGCTGAGGTGGGTGGATCACCTGAGGTCAGGAGTTTCAGACTAGCCTAGCCAACATGGTGAAACCCTGTCTCCACTAAAAATATAAAAATTAGCTGGGCATGGTGGTGGGTGCCTGTAATCCCAGCTACCTGGGAGGCTGAGGCAGGAGAATTGCTTGAACCTGGGAGGCGGAGGTTGCAGTGAGCCGAGATCATGCCACTGCACTCCAGCCTGGGCGACAGATTGAGACTCTGTCTCAAAAAAAACAAAACAAAACAAAACAAATGCTCTTGCAGTAGTTCAGAGCCCTTGCCTGTGAATGAGCAGCACCTGCTGGTCATCCAAGGCGATGCAGTATCTCATGTTTACAAAGGTCTGGCCAGGACCACACGCCAAAAACTGCATGGAGAGTATCATCAGGGGCTCTCTCCAAAAACACACTGTGAACAAGCAGCATGAAACAGGAGGCATCATTTTTTAACAAGACTTTTATTTGTACAAAGCATTACAATCTTCTCAGCATTCTTCACTCACAAACTTTTCACTGTATTTAACAAGTTAACAGTGTCAAACTACACGTCACTACCTGTCAAACCCCAAGCACTCAACTTAGAAACAAAAAGCGCTTGGAGCACTGAATGGAAACAGAAAAAGGCTAAGAAAGGCCAACAGAGATATTTTAGAAGCAGTTAAAGAGGATGGTTTAGGGAGAGTTAGATTCCTGAGCACCATCAGATTTCCCTTAAGGTTTTTTGTGAAGGGGCTTCACAAAATAATTTTTAGAAGACATGAGACAAAATTAGCCAGGCTTGGTGGCACGCATCTGTAGTCCCAGATACTCAGGAGGCTCAGGCGGGAGGATCACCTGAGCCCAGGATTTCAAGGATGCAATGAGCTATGATCATGCCACTGCACTCCAGCCTGGGCCACAGAGTGAGAGACTCCATCTCTTAAAAACAAAACGTGAGATTAGAACTAAGGAATCAAGAGATCAGAGGAACTCACACTTTGGAGTATTAAGCAGGTTATCAAAGCTTACAGACTGACAGAAGTGAGAAAAGGAGGCAGATGAGAAAGTGGGATGGGGAGCAGAGGAGAGGCAGGAGAGAGAAAGGAAGCAGGAGGCACAGAGGGAGAAAGCTGTGCCTAGAGAAAATCAAGTTTGGCACTCGTCATGAATTGAAGAATGAAAAGCCATAGTCACAAGTCTGGGAGATGGACTACAAGAAGAGGAAGCCTGGGGTTTTACACCTTCCGGGAGGTGATGACAAATCCTAAAGCTGTACAGTAGCAGAGAGTAAGGTACATCTGACACTATGCCATCTGTTTTTGTAAAAGACACTGGCACCATGTTTGACTAATACCATTCCACACTGCTGATTTAAGAATATCTGTGATCAGATTACTACCACACCAGCAGGCCGATCATCTACAGGCAATATAGAAAGGTTTTGGGCCAAGTGGGTCTATGAAAAACAAAATTCAGTTAATGCTTCTGTCAAGTGAAGAGAGAGAACGGATTTTGTTATTCTCCCACAGCATTTTAGTAGTTTCCTAAAGCTTACTCATTCTGAGCAGTCTTAGTAAGCTACTATTGTCAAAGACTGTGCAATCAAACATAGGCTGACCATAAGCAAAGCCCCAGTTTTTCCTGAGCCTTGGCTGCCTCTGTGATCTGGAACACAGCAGGCAGCATGGAAGTTATTATTACTTATTTGGGGGACTAGGGAAGACTGCAGATCAAAAACCATCTAACCATACATTTAAGTAAACAAAAGCGAGCAAACTGACTAATTTAGTCGTTCAGAATCCCTCTTGTCAAAAGGCCATAACCTTCAGATTGATGAAGCAAAACAGGATTCTGCTACTCAGATGCTCTGAGTTTGGTAAGTGCTGGTTTTGACGGTATTTCTAGTCAGTTTTTATTCTGATCTTTTCAGGCACTTTTGCCTGAGACTACTCTGCCCAGCATGGAAAAGCTTCACAGAAACACGTAGCACGTCTCATTTCAAGTGGTACCTTCCAAGGTGCCACAGTCTCCCGCCCTTTTCAGTTGTCTACTTCTTCCTCTTCATTCTGTTCTTCTTCTTCCAGCCTTTCTTCGTCTTCATCATTGTCCTCATCCCTGCTCTTGTCTTGCTCTTCCGAGTCTGTTTTTTTGTCTTTGTCCTTCTTCTTTTGCTCTGAGGCCTCCTTCTTGCCTTTCTGCTCCCGCCTATATGCTGTAAGGACGGAACAAGGGGTTAGGAGACAGAGCTGAAAGTGAGCCAGACGGACTGCAGGAGCTAATTACATTGTACAATTGGAAAAACGGAGGCAGATGGGCGCGGTGGCTCACGCCTGTAATCCCAGCACTTTGGGAGGCTGAGACGGGCGGATCACCTGAGGTCAGGAGTTCAAGACCAGCCTGGCCAATATGGTGAAACCCCGTCTCTACAAAAATAAAAAATGAGCCGCACGTGGTGGCGTGCGCCTGTAGTCCCAGCTACTCGGGAGGCTGAGGCAGGAGAATTGCTTGAACCCAGGAGGAGGAGACTGCGGTGAGCTGAGATCCCATCACTGCACTCCAGCTTGGGTGACAGAGCAAGACTCCGTCTCAAAAAAAAAAAAAAAAAAACAAAAACAAGAAAAGCAAGACAAAAACAAAAACGGAGGCAGAGAAGGAAAAATAACTTGCTCAGCATTACAAAACAGATCTGAGGTGGTGCCCACCGAACTGGGTCGAGTCACATCAAGTGCTGGCTTACTGGACTTAAAGGGACCCGCGCTGAGAAGGCTCAGGGCCTGGTGAACAGGTCACACAGGATGACCATCTTCTATGTGGTTTAGAAGACAAGAGGCTCGTTACCTTCCAGAGCTTCTTTCAATGGGGTAACGAACCGCTGGAACTCCATCTCTTCCATGGCTGAGAGCACATCACTGGCATTCAGCGTCTTCCGCTTTCCTTTCATTGCAAAGTTGTTAGCACTGAGAGAAGAGAAAGGCTGTCAGACTCCCTCTTGTTTGTAAGGCGTGAGTGGGAAAAGGAGCACCCAGAGGTGGAACGGGAAAGCCTGCCTCTTACATGTATGGATTTTGGTGTGACAGGGATAAGTCCTTCCCTTCTCTGCACAAAAAAGCTAAAGCAAAGTGATTTTGTTGTGTTATTTTGCTTCAGAACTTGTAAAAACTGGCAGAGGACTGTGAACATGTCCCCACCGAGGGAGAACACAATCGTTGGGGTTTGTAGGCTCCCAGCCAGCAACTCCCAGCCAGGTATCCCCGCGCCTCCCTTATGCCTCTGTCCCGCTCACCAGGATGTGGCGTACAGCACGAAGACGCTGGCGGCGCGGGAGATGGCGCTCCGGGCCTCCTTGGAGATGTTGACACCGTCCGGGAGCTGCGAGGAGACCGGGGGTGAGCAAAGCTGCCGTTCCAGCACCTGCTTCCCTCCTGCCCGTTCGTCCGCCCCCCCCGAGCTGCTCACCGCCTCCTTGATGATCCTGGTGATCACGGCATTGGGCAGGTTTAGGTCCTCGGGCCTCTCCGCCATTGCCGCCGCTGGGGCTTAAACTCCCCTTCGCCTCCGCTTCAGGGAGCTACTGCGTCCGGACTTCCCGCGTCGCTACGGTCTGACCCTGCGAGGTTTCCGTTCCGCCCCACGTGGCCTACAGTGTCCCACAGTGCTCTGAGCGCCATAGCCTCCCTCCTCCCCCCACAGCCCCGCCTCCGCCTCAAATACCGGCGCATCCGGATTTTGAAGCCGCAGTGGTTTTGGCCCGCCAAGGCTTCCATCCAACCCTACCGCACCCCGCACGCCCCTCCCCAGGTCCATTTCTCTGCTTCTCGCCATCGCCGCGTCGGGAACCTTCTCACCAACTTATTTGGCTCAATGGAGCTTCCGTCCGTTTCCCATGGTGCCCTGCGCCGCTGCTGGGTGACGGCGCGGCCGGGCGCAGCGCGTGGGAGACGAAGGCGTGGCTGACTCGGCGGGGCGGATCCCTTTAGGACCCGAGGCAGGCTCTGGGCCCGCCGGGTCCGTTAATCTCACCGCGCCGCAAGGGGCCACGTTTTACCACTTGATTTAGCAACCCTAAGCGGTTTGGAATCTGCTTTGCTCTCACAGGACCTCAGCCCGTCGTGATCAGATTCTCCCACTTTCTTTTTTCTTTCCTGGAATGGAGTGGGCAGTCTTTTTCCATCTCTACCGAAGTTGATGTTCATTTTTAATCTTTTCGCCCCTCACGCTTTTGTAATAATGGTACTAAGACTGAGTGTTATTTAGATTTTATTGTTGTTGTTTGTGTTTAACGCGAACTATTTAGGCAGCCCAGGGATAATGCTGGCCATATAGAGATGCGCCTGATTAGGTCTCAGGAGTCAATTCGGACTGGGCAGGTAACGAAAGGGCGAGAAGCAGCCTTTTCACTGTATGAAGAATGCAACGTCACATTCGCTTTCAAAAACAAACCGTGTTAAAATTGTATTTATTTTTCAGTTAAATTGTTCATCATACATTTTTTCCAGTTAAAACCATTCTCAAGGTTTTGCAATGGCGTTTCTTTTTTTTTTTTTTTGAGACAGTCTCACTCTGTCGCCCAGGTTGGAGTGCAGTGGCGCCGATTTCGGCTCACTGCAAGCTCCGCCTCCCGGGTTCACGCCATTCTCCTACCTCAGCCTCCTTAGTAGCTGGGACTACAGACGCCCGCCACCACGCCCGGCTAATTTTTTTGTATTTTTAGTAGAGACAGGGTTTCACCGTGTTAGCCAAGATGGTCTCGATCTCCTGACCTCGTGATCCGCCCGCCTCGGTCTCCCAAAGTGCAGGGATTACAGGCGCCAGTCACCGCGCCCGGCGCAATGGTGTTTTAAGTTGTTTTTAAGTTATTTTTATATTAAGTTCGTAGAAATTCTCACTCCCACTGATTTTATTTATTTTTTAATTTTTAAAATTTCTTGACAGGGTCTCACTCCGTCCCCCAGGCTGGAGTGCAGCGGCACGGTCTCGGCTCACTGTAGCCTCGACCTCCCTGGCTCAGGTGGTCCTCCCACCTCAGCCCCAAATAGCTGGGGCTACAGGTGCGTTCCATCACACCCAGCTAATTTTTTGTATTTTTCGTAGAGACAGGGTTTCACCATGTTGCCCAGGCTGGTCTCGAACTCCAGGGCTCAAGTGATTCTCCCTCGGCCTTGCAAAGTGCTGAGATTACAGGCATGAGCCACGGCGCCCAGCCTCCCACTGAGAATTAATGCTGCTTTTTTTTCCCGTCAAGCATGCAGTCCCAAGTCGCCCTGTAGTTTTCCTGCTTTCGATAGAAGCCTGATTATAGAGAAATATTTTAAAACAAAAGAGCAAATGCTATGATAAATGGCAACTGAAAGTGTTTCAATTAGAGACCATAAGGTCTGGTGGGGGAACTCCGCTTGGATAGAACAGACCTGGCTGAAACCATCAGGGCTGCTCAGCGCTAGTCAGTTGCTCTTCAACTGGAATTGGGCTCAGTGTTGTCAAGTATTTTGGTCCCTAAAAGGACATTGTGGGCTATTTCAATTTTAAAATTGATTCAAATTTAAAATTGATTCAAAGTGCTAGCCAAACAAAACAAGTAATAGGCCAGGTGCAATCCCAGGCTGATAGTTTATCTTTGATCTAAATTATGAAACTGTTTAGAACAGGGAGTTTGTTTATTACTGTTCATGTCCAAAGCAGGTCCCCTCACATATTTAGTAATCAATAAATGTGTTGAATAAAAGAAAGAAATGGACACTGTCCTTAAAAAGTTCTTAGGAATAAGGTGGTAGTTAGTGATTGCCTAAAACACCTCTAGAAAGGAAAAGATGATAATATTTATTGAACACCTCCCATGAATAAAAGTACATTATCTCATTTAATGCTTCTGCAGTCCTACTTAGGGATTCCCTGCCTTCTGCTTATGTTATTTATTATTTTTTGTGGAGAGGGGGTAACTCATCTTGGCCTACCAAAGTGCTGTGGTTACAGACCTGAGACACCAAGTCAGGACCCCTCCCCCTACTTGAGAGAGAGGTGTGAAGACCCTTGTCAAAGGCCATATGGCCAATGAATGAAAAGCTAATGGCCTCTGATGCAACTAGCAGTGTCTAGTGATTTGCTATTTGAGCAAACACATTCATTGCTGGTGGGTATTTTATCTGCCTGCATGGGAACTGAAGCACATTGAAAAATGAAACATGTCTTCCAGAAGTTTGGGCCTTCTAAGACACTTCTGTGACTACTTTGGTCATAATTTGATAATGCTTTTTGGAGATGGTGGCATCTTCTCCCTGATGACTAACGAAGGGGAAAAGGAAAGGATGCAAATATTTATTTGGAACAATATGCCAGGCTTTTAATATCCATTAACTAATTTTTATAATGACCCTGTGAAATAAGCTTATCCTCATTTTACAGTGGAGGCAACAGGCTCAGACTGGTTAAGTCCCAGGTCACTCAGCTATTAAATAGCCAATTAGGAGACCTGAAGTCCTGCTCTCAAACTCTTGCCATTCTACTTTATGCTGAGCTATTTTCATACTTGCTTGTTATCCAATCTTTAATTATTTTGTGGCCATCATTTACCTATATAGGTTCAATAGAAATATTTTATACTGTGAGTTCAAATTAACATCTGGACTGTATGGCTAATGTATAATACTCCCTAATTATGTAGCTGTTGATTTTCCAGAGCACTAGAATGCTGCAGGGTTGGCCTTTGGCCTAAACCATTTCTAGCTATGGACTTGCCAGATGAGAGCCAGTGGGACGAAACCACCTGTGGCTTGGCTGTTTGTCAGCACCCACAATGCTGGGCAACTATCCGCCGCATTGAGAGGGGCCATCCTCGAATCCTCGGCTCATCCTGCAAAACTCCCCTGGATGCTGAAGGTGAATTAGCCAGCTTCTGTCCTCTCCCTCACGAGGTCCTTAACGTATTTATGTATGTGGCTCCCTTTCTCCAGGCAGCAGGTTAACATGTTTTCTTCTGGTCTGCCTTCTTAGATAAACTCCCAGTGCTCACCGTGGTAGACATCTTAGATTCCGGCTTTGCAGCTCATCATTTACCAGAATGTACCTTTACTAAGGCCCATTCTTTATTGTCTCAGAGTTCAAAGTTTTACTCCAAATTTCATGGCAGGTAAATTATCATGGAATCTTCCTTTACAGCCTATTGTCTCAAAATTCTGGATTATGATTTTCCTTATCCATTAGTATACTTTGAGAAAGCTAGATTAAAAAGAAAATACCAATTGGGTTAAAGAAGTGGTGAATAGGCAGTGGGAAACAGAAAGAAACCCTTCCTGCTTGTGCCCTAGGAATTGGTTAATTTGGGAGGTATATTGGTTCGGTAGGGCTGTTATAACAAAATACCATAGACTGGGTGCCTTAAACAACAAAATTTATTTTCTTGTAATTCTTGAGGCTAGAAGTCCAATATCAAGGTGTTGCCAAGACTGTTTGCTTTTGAGACCACTCTTGGTTTGTAGATGGTAATTTTTTATACCCTGTGTCCTTTTTATTTATTTTTTTTGAGACAGGGTCTCACCCTGTCACCCAGGCTGGACTAGAGTGCAATGGTGCGATCATAGCTCACTGCAGCCTCAACTTTCTGGGCTCAAGCGATCCTCCCACCTCAGCCTCCCAAGTAGCTAGGACTACAAGTGTGCACCACCACGCCTGGTTAATTTTTTTTTTTTTTTTTACTTTTATTAGAGACGAGGTCTTGCTTTGTTGCCTGGGCCGGTCTTGAACTCCTGGCCTCAAGTGATCCTCCTGCCTTGGCCTCCCAAATTGTTGGGATTACAGGCATGAGACACCATACTGAGCCCCTCTCCCTATGTGTTAACATGGTCTTCCCTCTGTGCGTCTGTGTCTTAATTTCTTCTTACAAGGACACCAGTCTTACTGGGTTAGGGCCCCCTCATGTGACTTCATTTTTACCTTAATAACTTTTTAAAAAACCATATCTCCAAATACAGTCAAATTCTGAAGTACTAGTTGGGACTTTAACGATGAATTTTGGGAGGACACAATTCAGCCCATCTTATCAGCATCTGTATGTACGGACAGAAAACCATCCATATATGCCATCTTTCTTTTTTCTTTTTTGAGACAGAGTCTCACTCTGTCACCCAGGTTGGAGTGCAATGGCACGACCTCTGTCTCCCAGGTTCAAGCAATTCTCATGCCTCAGCCTCCCGAGTATCTGGAATTACAGGCGTGCACCACCATGCGTGGCTGATTTTTATATTTTTAGTAGAGACAGAGTTTCACCATGTTGGCCAGGCTGGTCTCAAACTCGTGACCTCAAGTGATCCACCCGCCTCAGCCTCCCAAAGTGCTAGAATTACAGGTGTGAGCCACCATGCCCAACCCTGTCTTTCTATTTCCTTTTTTTTTGGTGGGGGATAGGGTCTTACTTTGTTGCCTAGCCTGGAGTACAGTGTCGTGATCTCGGCTCACTGCAACCTCCACCTCCTGGGTTCGAGTGATTCTCTAGCCTCAGCCTCTCAAATAGCTGGGACCACAGGCACGCGCCACCACTCCCGGCTAATTTTTGGATTTTTTGTATAGACAGGTTTTCGCCATGTTTGCCCAGGCTGGTCTTGAACTCGTGAGCTGAAATGAATTGTGTGCTTAAAAATGGCTAAAATGGTCAATTTTTGTTATGTATATATTTACCACAGTAAAAAACTCATATCCTTGTATTTTCATATCACTTGCTGTTTGTCTTATTTTTAAAAAGACGTGTTACATGCATGGATGAATGAATAATGTAAAGGGGTTATCCTGTAATCCCAGAGTGTTAGGATTACAGGCGTGAGCCACCATGCCCGGCCCCTGTCTTTCTATAATAATATTTTATTTTTAGGTATGAAACTATTTGTAAGCTCCTAAAGGAAAAAGCAGTGCCTTTTTTTTTTCTTTTCTTGAGTCTCCTACAATGTCTGTGTACCCAATGAGTGCTTGCTGGTACATGAAACAAAGGGACAGGTATCTGTGGAAAACTTAGACTTAAAAAATTCGAAGACTTTGTTACCTGGAATAAAGCACCAGTGGTGGCTCTCATAGTATTTTCTTTTCTCCTGTTCCATTTAAGTAGCCCTTAATGATTTCTCTTTGGCTAACAATAGTATAGGAAGAGGTGTGACTATTTTCATGTTCTCTAGGACTTTAACTCTGGTTAGACAGCGGTGTTTCTCAGTCAGGACCTATGATATGCTTCATATTCATACCCAGGGACACACTCCGCCCCTGCCATGCCCGCCATGTATAGCGCAGAGCTGTGAGAGAGCTGCCTCCTCTAGTCATTTCCCTGTTTACACGCCTTCTTCCTTCAGTGTGTCTTGCTTTCTGCTTCACACTCTCTGTC
Organism: Homo sapiens; assembly: GCF_000001405.40. Classification (NCBI taxonomy): domain Eukaryota; kingdom Metazoa; phylum Chordata; class Mammalia; order Primates; family Hominidae; genus Homo; species Homo sapiens. The sequence goes on from NC_000009.12 coordinate 113,416,130, forward strand.
GGAGACCAGTCCTTCATGACATGGTGGGTTTTTGCAGTGGCTTCTGAACTGGTTTCCCTGCCTTTTCTCCTCGAAGCTATTTTACATATGGCCAACAGATTAATCTTCCAAAAATATTGCTTTGTTCATTTCCTTGCTTGAAAAGCCCCTTTATCAGAACTTTGTTTACTAGAGAACAGACTCAAACCTCCCAACTCTAGACTGGTGGCCTCTCTCTTTACTGTCTGGCTCCTCTAATCAGAGTCTTCTCTTCTTGAACACCAACTTTTCCTCTGTGTGAGACTGGTTTTCTGATTGTGCTTTTCTGTCATGCAGTTTCCTAAACCTTAAAGGCCCTCTTCCTTCCTGTCACTTCATTAAGTCCCTTTCCTGGCCTGTAAGGCCCTACGAGATCTGGCCTTCCTACTGGACCTCATCTCGCATTTCTCCCTTCCTTGTTGAGTAGGCTGCAGCTGCACTGCTCTTTCAATTCCTCATCTATGCCACACCTCCCACCCCAGGGCTAATGGCCCTACTGTTTCTTCTGAGTAGAACACTTTTTCTCTTAACTAGGTTTTTTTTTTTGTTCTTTTGTTTTTTGTTTTTAAAACACTATTGACATTTTGGACCAGATAATTCTTTGTCCTTTGGGGCTGTCTTATTTTAGCTACTTCCCTGGCCTGTACCCATTGAATACTAATAGTACCCTACCTCCAGTTATGACAACCAGAAATGCCTCCAGACATTACCAGATGTCCCCTCGGGGCAAAATTGCCCCCTTGTTGAGAAATACTGCCCTAGATCCTTCCATCTAATTCCTTTTGGTCATTTGAGTTTAAGCTTAAATGTTGCTTTTTCACAGAAGTCTTCCTCAACCAGTCTATTTAAAATTTCCTTACACCCTCATTGTCATTTAACCAAGCATCATTTTTCTTCAGTTCTTCTGACCTGAAATGATTTTTTTGATTTGTTTGCCGCCTCTCATGAGAATGTCAGTCCCTACAAGAGCAGGGACCATATGTTTCTTTTGTTGGCTGCTCTGTCTCCTATGTCTTCAACAATGCATGGCAAGTAGTGGAAACATAATAAGTATTTGTTGATTGAGAGAATATGGTCCTTTTCTTCTGTCAAGGTTGAGTTTCCTCATTTCCCACTAGCCTCTGATACTCTCTCTTCCAAACTACCCCCAGTACTTCAGTCCCTGACATGCTTATTGATATTTTTATGTTTATCTCCTGTTTGTCCAACTGGATTTTAGGCCCTTTGAAAGCAGGGACCATGACATTTGTTTAGTCATTCAATTCACAACTGTATTTTAGTGCGGGCCACTGTGATGAATGCTGGGATACAATAGTAAACAACATACAGTCTTTATCCTCAAGGGACTTTCAGCCTAGTTGGGGAGGCAAAGAAATAAGCAGTCCGTATGATGAGTGTCATGAGAGGACCGCCCCCTGGTGTGTGGAAACACCAGAAAGGGTTCCCAAGTCAGGGCACTGTCTTCTGTGTAAGTGGCATCTGTGCCTAGACTGGAAGTCTGAGCAGTCTAGTGAAATGGGGGTTGTAGGTGGGAGGTTGGCAGGAAGCGAGTTCTAAACCATAGGAATAGCATATGCAAAGGCTTGGAGGCAAGAGGAAATTGTGTCTGTATCAGGAAAATAGTTCATTGTGCCTAGAACATAGAGCAGGAATGGAAGAGTGGTCAGAGATGAGGCTGGGGAGCTGCAGTAGAAACAGGAAGCAGGAGTCTGTGTCATGTAGGACTTCATAAAGCAGGCTGAGTGTTAGGTCTTTATCTTTTTTTTGTTTTTAAATTCCACTATCATTCCTAAAGATCTTTATCATTTACCCCTTTACATTATTCATTCATTCATGCATGTAACATGTCTTTTAAAAAATAAGAAAAATAGCAAGTGATATGAAAACATAAGGATATGAGTTTTTTACTGTGGTAAATATATACATAATAAAAATTGACCATTTTAGCCATTTTTAAGCATACAATTCATTGGCATTAAGTACATTCACAGTGTTGTACATCCATCAGCACTATCCATTTCCAGAATGTTTTCATCATGTCAAACAAAAACTGTATCCATTAACAGCAACTCCCCATTCCCTCCTCTTCCCAGTCCCTGGTAATATCTATTCTATTTTCTGTCTTTATGAACTTGCCTGTTCTAAATACCTCATGTAAGTGGAATTACACAACATTTGTCCTTTTGTGTCTGGCTTATTTCACATAGTATAATGTTTCCAGTGTTGTAGTATATACTGTAGTCCCCCCTTATTTTCAGGAAATATATTCTCAGACCCCCAGTGGATGCCTGAAACTGTGAAAGTACCAAACCCTATATTTACTATGTTGTTACGTATACATACATACCAATGGTAAAGTTTAATTTATAAGTTAGGCACAGTAAGAGATTAACAACAATAAGATAGAACAATTAAAATATACTGTGATGAAAACTCATGGTGTGAATATCGTCCTTGTGGTCTCTCTCTCTCTCTCAAAATACCTTAGTTATAGGTGCTCACCTATTTTCAGACCATAGTTGACTGTGGGTAAGTGAAACCATGGATAAAGGACTACTGTATCAGAATTTCATGACTTTTAAAAGCTGAATGATATTCTATTGTATGTATATACCGCATTTTATTTATGTAACGTATTTTGAACATCTACATCAAAGTACTTAATATTAACTTTCATTGATGGTGATATAACTGTCTCTAGCTGGAGAGAAGAGTAGGCTATGAATTCTGTTTGATGGAACAAATAGTTGTGAAGTATTTGCAGTGTGCAATGTCTGTTAAGGAGCTGTTCCGGGAAAAACAAACAAAACTTAAGGATATGGTGAGATCCTACATTCATTTGGTAAGCATTAAGCCCAAGGTTTTCTGTAGATAAGTAGAAGGATTTCCTCATAGCACTAACGTTATCATTCCAATAAGTCTTTTGTATTTCTGTTTTATGTGTGGAACTCATTTTTTAGGCCTCCGAAGGGTTTACCTGACAAAAGTTTGATCAACTGTACTAACAGACTTCCCAAAGTAAGTCATAGATTTTAAAAGTACTTCTTCAACATTTTTTCTTTACTAGTGGAAATAAACTATTCTGCCTTTATTTGAAATTATTCCTCAGGAGGACTAAAATCTGAATAGTAATGTTGATAGTAACCATCTAATATTGGGCCCTTCCTGTATGCTAGACTCTGTGCTATCTACATGCCATATTGTTTTCAGAAATCCTAGAAGCCAGTGGGATCTATTTGTATGGGTTTGGCGTAGGTGAGAATTTTCTGTCTCTATCCTGCATAGAACATGTTCAGCTACTCAGTAAATACTGTCGTCTCATAATCAGGGAAACTGGAATGCTGGAATGGCAGACCCAGGTAGGCCTTAAGATCATCTCATCTGATAACTTACAAAGTGTTTAGCTATGATCTACAGTAAGAAATAGATTTTACAACAAAAATACCATGGAACAATCCTTACCCTAACTATGCACTCTAATATTTTCTGCCCTATTCTGTTTTATTCTATTTCATTTTTAAACAATGTGGTCTGTGATTCAAAAAATTTGATTTTATGACCTATGAATAAGTTGCAATTGCAGTTTGAAGAACACTATAATGGTTTGATAGACCACAGCCTATCTTATATATCTTGCAGGTGAGGAAACTGAGATGGGTAGTGATTAGCTAAAGCACACAGCTAGTTAGGGGTAGAGCTAAATTAGAAATTTAGGAAGAAAAAACCCTCCTACTTAACTATGGTAAAGAGAGATTTACTATTCTTTGCAGTACTACTGGATGCCTTTTATTTTTTTCTTGAGATGCTTCACTTTTCAATATCATGTGTAGTGGAGCGTATAAGGAACTGAGATGGTAGATGGTTTTGAATGGATGAATTGACTAATCACTTTACCTCTTTGACTTCTTTAGAACAAGAGGATTAGATTAAATAATAATAACAACAATAATAATTATTATTTTAAGAGACAGGGTCTTTCTCTGTCACCCAGGCTGGAGTGCAGTGGTATGATCATGGCTCATTGTAGCCTCAAACTCCTGGGTTCAAACCATCCTCCTGTCTCAGACCCCTGAGTAACTGAGACTACAGGCACACACCACCACACTTGGCTAATTAAAAACTTTTTGTAGAAACAGGGTCTCACTATGTTGCCCAGGCTGGTCTCAAACTCCCAGCCTCAAGCAATCCTCCTACCTCTGTCTACCAAAGTGCATGAGTTGTCATGCCTGGCCGAGATTAAATTATTTTAAGTTAATTATTTGAAGAGATAATGTATGAACATGATTTTTAAATTCAAAAAGCATTAAAGGATTTATAATAAAAAGGAATCTCTCCTATTACCTCCAAGTCCATCAGTTTGTCTTCACAGGGACAACCTTATTTTGAATAGTTTTTTCGTGTGTGTATCTTACCAGGAATATGGACTAGGTGATTTATAAGATTTCCTTGAGCACTATGTTCTAGGATCCTAAATAGCTAAATGTGAGAAGAGTTAGCCTTTGACTTTTATATAAATGCCTATAATTGTAGTCAGACTGTAAAAGAAAACACCTTGCTTCTGTTTCTATCAGTTCTCTTCCTGCTCCCAAACTGCAGATTGTAATGTCTGTGGGATCTAAGTCTTTGGAGTGGAGTGGGCAGGATAAGTAATGTTCCTGTAGGTAAGCCCCAGGGCACCCTCATATGGGATTGGATTGGGAGTTGCTAAATGCTACCCTAATGGCACAGGGAAGCAGGGGAGATTATCTGCTTATTAATACTCACTCTTGCAGATACCTATACTGATATTTGATGGAGTAGTCTGTTTTTTTTGGGAGAATATTATGAAGATATCTTGAAGATGGGAAACTTAAAATCATCTTCTGTGCCACCAGACTCTTTGCTTAGCATATCCTTAATCTGATATAGGAGCTTAGCACCTCAAGCCATACATAGGCTTTATATCTTTCTCTTAGTTTCCAGTGTTGAATTTGAATGAGACGCAACTTCCCTGCCCTGAAGATGTTAGAAATATGGTTGTATTGTGGATCCCAGAAGAAACAGAGATACATGTGAGGTGAGTATCATATCTGGAACTCAGAGGACTTTGACTCTATAAATCCCTGATGTCTTCTGCAGCGTCCTTTTTGTGATCTCCCATTTAGCCAGCTCATTGCAAGTAGCAGGAGGCCAAGCAGAGAAGGTCGTGGTCTGTTGCATCTGCCTTTTGCTACACTGGAATTTTAATGTAATGCATTTTGAGATTCATGCTGTGGGACTTCTCCATATCAAATTTTACACGGCAGTAAATAGCATACAAGATAGGGCTCAACTTACTTATAAGGCTTGACTAAGAAATAAATGCTCTCTCTTAGTTTTTCTTATTAGCCACTTGCAACAAGTGAAAAAGTTCTCAGTGAAGCATGTGAATCTCTGTTCTCAACCCCAGGGCCTAGTACAGTGTACAAAAGCAATAGCATATAGGACTTGTGTACAAAAGAGTGTGACAAAGACCATTTGGTGAAGGCCCAAAGGCTTGCTAATATTGACAACCATGGGGAAAGTGTTTGGTTCTTCTTTCCTGATCCTTGAGGCTTTCAGGTTCTTAAGTGACATTTAGAGATGATGAAACTTAAGAATTTCTTTTTATTTCTTTTGTTTTTCTTTTTAAAAAATAATCCTGTGAGTGCTTCTCTCTATATATATGCATTTGTGTGTGTGTATATATGGTATAAACAAATGAAAAACAACCCTAAGGGTTTATTTCCTTTCGTGTGAAAGAAGCTCAGAAGTAGGCAGGCTAGGTCATGTGAGCTCCATGAGATAATTAGAAACCAGGGCTCCTTCTAGCTTTTTGGGCCGTCATCCTTAGCCCATGGATTCCAACTTCTAAGGAGTTTCATGGCTGCTTTTAAGGTATAAGTTGGCTACTAGAGATCCAGCTATCATATCCACGTCCCAGGCAAGGAGGAAGAGGTCAGAGCAAAAAATACTTCTTACCAAACATCTCTGTGTCAAGCAGTGAGGATTTAGTGAACCAAATAGATTTGGTCCCTGTCCTGTTGGAGCCTTGTCAGGGGGAGTCAGCCATTACAGACATAACCACACCTACATATATCATTTCTAATTTGGATTCATGCTATGAAAGTAGGTAACCGGATTGCCTGAGAGAATAATGGGAAACCTAATTTAGATATGAGGATGGGGGGTCTTTTTAGCAGAAGGTACTTGGGCAGCAGTTACTGCTGGGTTCCCAACCAGCTATCTTTGAGTACTGATCAAAGATAGGAATCTTTGTGGTCATCATTCACAAATATCCTTGGAGCTTCTGTTTAAGATATCTGGGAATAAGTTGTGCTTACTCTTATTTCAAGTCCAGCTGAGAAGCATGTTTTGTTTTGTTTTGTTTTGTTTTTCTCCAGCCAGCATGGGAAGAAGAAAAGAAAGAACTCGGCAGTGGTGAGTTTGATGTTTTTGTGCAAACCTTTATAATATTGCTATGTAGAGTTTATTTTGTTTTCCTTTCAGGTCTCCTCCACCTTACCCCCGTTCTTTCCTGAAATGATCCAAATCTGCTAAAGAAAACCCTTCTTTAGGAATAATTAACCAAACCATTCTCTATTCAGAGACTCCTTTTTTCTGTCTCCTTCCTATAGGGAGATGAAGAGCACCTTGAGATAATAGGAGGAACTGTTGCGTGTTCAGGGGGGGAGTTTTTGGTCAATTAAAAACGAATCCCCAACGTGATCATATAGAATTTCAATGGACTAGGGGTTATAAGACCTGGGCTTCTAACTCTAATTGTACCATTTATGAGTAAATGTGACCTTGGATAAGTCACTGTAAGACTGCTATGTCCATGAGAGTAGTGTCTTGGTTCATTTTGTTCATTGCTGAATCCCCATCCCTAGCCCTGTGCCTGACACATAATTAGACAATAAATTTTTGTTCAGTTTGTTGAGTGAGTAAACGAATGACCTTTCTGGAAAATGAAACAAAACAACGAATCCCTGTATGATCTGAATACAACAACAGAGTTGGGAGCTTGAGAGGGAAACATGTGGCGGCCCTCATCGTTCAGAGGAGGCAACCATGGCTGGAGTACATGCCAGGGTAGTGTTGAGAGGCTAGAATGTTGATGGAAAGGACTAGGCTAAAAAGAATGCTTTGGAGAATTCTTTCCATTGTTTCTCTTCCAGAAAAGCAAGTCATTTCTGGGTCTCTCTGGAAATCAGTCCGCAGGAACACGAGTAGGAACACCAGGGATGATCGTGCCTCCCCCAACCCCAGTGCAATTGTCTGAACAATTCAGTTCAGATTTCCTACCTCTCTGGGCTCAATCCGAAGCGTTACCTCAGGATCTACTGAAGGAGTAAGTATCATGTAGGTCTGTGGGAGAGCCAGAGCACCTGCTTTTTACTGAAGCTGGGATGGGTCTAAACAGTGTGCTTTTTCTGAGTAGGACTGGGAGAAAACTATCACCCCGATTTGTTTACTGAACTCTTGGACTTACCAACAGGCAGGGATGACCATCATAACCACCACCATTTGTCACACTTACCATTTGCCTGGCCCTGTGCTAGGCATATCACATGTACTTTCATTTAAATTTGCACTAGGAGGTAGGCACTATCACTGTCTTCTTTTTATAGGTGAATTATGAATAAGTGGTAGGCAGAATATGTGGTCTGCAGTGAGATGACCTTTGAATTTTACATTGAAACTTAACTGGCTATATGAATTTTGGTAATGTATTTAGCCTCTTAAAGCTTCATTTTCCTCATTTGCAAAGTGGGAGTAATATCTGTTCTCAGGTGTTGTAAAAGCACATGAGCCTGACATAGAATCAGCACTGAGTATATGCAGCTATGATGATCGTAGTTGCATCAGAAAAGTGTTACCAAATGAACACTTGTTGGTACAGGCCTTTTCAGACCCAAAGTGGAAATTTCTTGGAGCCCTTTACATCTCTTTCTCCTCAGCCATGCTTTCCGGGAAGAGCTGTTGCTGACTGTCTGGCTGTCCTCTGTCCCCTTCAGACTTTTGCCAGGTGGAAAGCAAACCATGCTCTGTCCAGAGATGAAGATAAAATTGGCCATGATGAAAAAGAATCTTCCCTTGGAAAAGAACCGACCTGACAGTGTGATTTCTTCTAAGATGTTTCTATCTATACACCGCCTCACCCTGGAAGTAAGAGCTAGGAAACAGCAGGGAAGAAGCCTATGTGAAAATTCAAACCCATCTCTCCTCAAATCTGGAAGAGTTGACATTCTATTCCTTATCTCCCTTCTGCCTTTCCACTCTGAACCCATGCCCCAGAGAAGGCTGGGCTCTATGTATGTAAAAGCCAGTCGATGGGGAAGTGTTGAGAGAGCAATGTTCTCTATTTCTTTCTTTTTTTTTTTTTTTTCTTTTTTGAGAGACTGGGTCTCACTCTGTCACCCAGGGTGTAGTGCAGTGGTTGATCATGGCTCACTGCAGCCTTGACCTGCTGGGATGAAGTCATCCTCCTACCTCAGCCTCCAGAGTAGCTGGGACTACAGGTGTGCGCCACCATGGCTGGCTAATTTTTAATTTTTTGTAGAGACAGGGTCTCACTATGTTGCCTAGGCTGGTTTCGAACTCCTGAGCTCAGGTGATCTGCCCACCTCAGCCTCCCAAAGTGCTGGGATTACAGGCATGAGCCACCATGCCTGGCCATGTTCTCTATTTCTTCTGCACTTTGTTCCCCACACCTTTTCCCTTCCTCCGTAGCCCCTGGTACAATGCTGCAAAACACTGGGTTCTTAAAATGTGCTTGTTGACTGGATGAATAAACGCATTTGGGGGATACATTTGGAGAAAGGGAAAGACCTGCAGTAGAGCTTTTCTTTTTCTTTTTTCTTTCTCCAGAGACCAGCACTGCGATATCCTGAACGTTTGAAGAAATTACATAACCTGAAGACAGAAGGTAGATTTGCTGTTGCTGCTGGATCTCTAAGCACCATTTTCTGTTAGCCCACATTTCTCATACTTTAACGTGGTCCAATTCAGTTATATTTGTGGCCACAGTCATACAGGGTCACATGTAGAACTCAGGAAACAATAGTTTCAGGAAGCAGCCCCTCTGGCTTGGTCCTTACCAGGGAGTCACCATTGTGAAGGAAGGCACAGCAGGCATTCCAGTGGGAGAGAGGGGGCTGTTAGAAGAGGATCAAGCTGGCTCTCTGGTCACCAGGTTACAGGAAACAGCAGCAGCGGCAGCAGCAGCAGCAGCAGCAACAGAAGAAGGTGAAAACACCTATTAAGAAACAGGTAGAGTGGCAGTGAGGGGCTTGCTGGGACTGGGAGAGGTCTACAGCCTGGAATGGGAAGGGATGTATGAAAGGTGGGGGTCTCCTTGTTTTCTATCTGGTTATAGATAAAAAGTTCTTGTCTGGTTGTAGATGTTAAATTCCTTCTTTTTGATATTCCTTTTGAAAAAAGTTTTCTTTACTTCCAAAAATCCTAATTTGTTCCTCCTGATGTGGGTTTCAGGAGGCTAAAAAGAAAGCCAAGAGTGATCCAGGGATCCAGAGCACTTCACATAAACATCCAGTTACCACCGTTCATGACCGTCTCTATGGTAAGGGGAATATATGCTTGGTTGGGGGTGATAGGATCCCTGAGGGGTAGGTATCTGAGGGCAGGAAAAGCTAAACATGCTCTTGTCATTTTGAGACCTGCCTTTGTCAGGCACTCAGAGTTTCTTGGAATGCTTCAGTCTGTCTGGTCTCTCATGCACCATCCTTCCCTCATAAATTTGCTAAACAAACAAGCTGAGCCAGATGTCTGCTTCACATGAGGGCTTGAAAGATGACCATGAACATGAATCCCAGTCATCTTTTCCTCAGGTTCTACCTTAGAAAAGGCAGAGCACTTTGAGGATCAGGAGAGGAACAAGCCCAGGTTACTGAAGAGAAAACCCTGAGGGCCCATTTTCCAATGAGGCAGGGAGAGCTGGGGCCCCTCACTAGAACCCCAAAAGAGTTCTAAGGAAGCAGAGCTCTGGGGCCCCCTAACCTTCCTGCCACAAGGTAGAGAGTCTCTGGAGCCTCACGTTAAAATCAACACATTGTCTAGCCCCATCCAGGAGTCAGGGAGCCAACTCTTGTCAGGCAGTTCTTTTGCTCCAGTGCTCATGCTGGACACAAGAATGGACATCTCCCCTTTTTGGAGTCGTTATTATGTCTGAGCTCAGGCATATACTTACCCCTATCCCTCCAAAATTTTTCAACTTGAGTGGAGAATGGGAGGAGGGAGAAAGAATCCCCCCAAACTTTGGAGGATCGTTGTGCCCGTCTCAGACTGGACATTGCTGACTTTAATATGAAAACAACTGTTTAATCATCAGAAAGAGCTCTCCAATCCTGGGGCACTGGGAGGGCTGAGATGAGGTTTCCTGAGAAGGATGTTGCCCTCTTGCTTTCCTTCCCATCTCACTTAGTTGTCTGATGCCAATGATCTGCTCTAACCTGAAGGTTGGAAGGTTCCTGCCCTTCTTATGGGAGGTGGACAGAATCAGGGCTTGGCCCCGGGCAGGAGGTGATGTATCCAAGGTTAACACTCCATCTAGGGTGACCACTACCACTCCCCTGAATTCCGTTCTGGTGCCTTTTGTACCCCTTCCCAATGCCTCCAATAGGAGCAATTTTGCTTGGGTGACTGGGGTGCCTCTGTGAGTCATGTTCATAGAGCAGTGGCCTGTCCTCACTGAGTTGAGAAAGGCTTTATGGAAGAGATGATTTTTGCATTGAATCTTGAGTATGTGTGGGAGTTTTCCTGATATGGGAAAGAACTCTTGAGAGGGAATAGCCTGTGCAAAGGCATCTAGGAGGATCACAGCTGCTCAGGAAACACTGAGCAGTTGAGTGTGGTTGTGGGGTTGGGTATTTAAGGGAGAGTGGTCTATCACACCAAAGAGGTAGGCAGGGGCTTGTATGGACTGCTAAGTCTTTTGACCTTTATCATCCAGGCCAGTGGTGCTCCGCCTTGACTGTACACTAAGACCAATTGTGAAGCTTTTATTTATTTATTTATTTGAGACGGAGTTTCGCTCTTGTTGCCCAGGCTGGAGTGCCATGGTGTGATCTCGGCTCACCACAACCTCTGCCTTCTGGGTCCAGGTTCAAGCAATTCTCCTGCCTTAGCCTCCCCGGTAGCTGGGATTATAGGCATGCACCACCACGCCTGGCTAAGATTTTGTATTTTTAGTAGAAACGGGGTTTCTCCATGTTGGTCAGGCTGGTCTCGAACTCCCAACCTCAGGTGATCTGCCCGCCTCGGCCTCCCAAAATGTTGGGATTACAGGCGTGAGCCACTGCGCCCAGCCAAGAAGCTTTTAAAACTCTAATACTCAGACTGTGTCCCAGCTATTAAGTCAGAATTTCTGATGGTAGGAACTAGGCCTCAGTGTTTTTTGTTTGTTTGTTTTTTAAAGCTCTTCATTTCTCCCAGTGTACAGCTAAGGTGAGAACCAGTGCTGGTAGGGAGTCCATGGAAATGCTATAATTTAGCATAATACCTCTGGTGGCAGCTTGGAAGATGTTTGTTTAGGGAAAGGGAGATTGAGAAAAGAATGAATGAATCTACCTAGGGACTAGTTGGGGAAGCAGCTGATGCAAAAGAAACATAAAACTAGAGGTTTTTGTTTTTGCTTTGTTTATGGGTACATGAGGGATGGCGCAAGAAGATGAGTCACATTCTGGTAAGAGGAGTATTCATATGCTGTGAAAAAGTAGATTAGGGTTTCTTGGAGGAATCCTGGGTCTTTTAACACACACTTGAGCGTAATCTCTAATTCTGTAATAGATGAAGTTACAGTCCCAGGTGAGCAGAATCTCAAGTAGAACTCAGAAGGTCTAACTACCTTTTACCTGCCATCAAGGTCTTGTCTTTTCCTGGATGCAGAGTCACTTGTAGACTAGGGGTCACCTAGAAGCCCCCAAATAGGGTATGATATGGTAATAAGAGGAAGATTGAATGGACTCTTTGGTTACTAGGTTACAGAACTCTGCCAGGTCAGAACAGTGACATGAAGCAGCAGCAGCAGATGGAAAAAGGAACCACTTCGAAACAGGTGAGAGTGTACCAAGGCCTCTGCTAGGACCCAGTTTCAGTTATCTATTACTATGTAACAACCCCAAAGCTTAACCATAATGATTTGCTATTGCTAATGATTCTGTGGGTTGACTGGACAGTTGTTCTTCTCCTGCTTGAGGTCACTTAATGCAGCTGGGCTGAGGCTGTTGGCCAAGTTGCTGGTTTTCCTTCCTGAGGCCTCTGCATGTGGCTTATTTGGGCTTTTTGATAGCATAGTAGTCTCATGAAAGCAGTTTCATGAAAGCAGTTTCTTAAGGGATGGGCCTGGAACTAAAACAGTGTTACTTGTGCCACATTTTCTTGGCCAAAGAAGCCACAAGTCCATCCCAGAGAGTAAATAAGAGAAGAAATAGGCCCTATCTCCTGATGGGAGGAACAGCATGTGCATACCAGAATGGGAGGAATTGTTGGAAGCCATCTTTGGAGGCCGTCTGCCCTTAGTTGACTGCAGGGAATGGGAAGGAGTGGTTCTAGGTTCATTTGGACAGCATGGAGGGCAAAGAACGTGTGGTAAAAGCTTCTCTTCAGTCCCAAGAGGTGGGTCTCTGGCTCATCTTAGATGTTAATTTCTCCAAGAGAAGCATCTTTTAGAAAAATCCTTTTAGTTTCCTAAAGTCTTGATTCAAATTTCCTTATACCCCAATGAATTTCAGGATTCCACGGAGAGACCAAAGATGAACTACTATGACCATGCGGATTTCCACCACAGTGTAAAAAGTAAGTTACTAGAGTAGAGGAACCTTAGTAAGTGACTGAGGATAGGGAGAGTTGAACCTGTGTTGACCAGGATAGTTTACCTCCCTGAAGGCACAGTTCCTCTATCTCAGAGAAGTCCTAAAAACACCCCATTTTTCCTTTTCTGTCCTCCATTTGTTGTAGTTGAGAGGAGTTTACAGGTGCAATTAATGACTGCATCTTCTTTTAGGTCCTGAATTGTATGAAACAGAACCCACTAACAAGGACATTAGTGCTCCAGTGGACGCTGTGCCAGAAGCCCAGGCTGCCAGGCAAAAGAAGATCTCCTTTAACTTTTCAGAAATTATGGCTAGCACAGGCTGGAACTCTGAGCTCAAACTACTTAGGATTCTTCAGGACACTGATGATGAGGATGAGGAGGACCAGTCCTCTGGGGCAGAGTGAGAAGCCTCTGGAGGAATAGACTGAAGGCATCCCCTGGGGCAGCCGTGTTCCAAAGCGGGATGGCTGGTATCCTGAGGGCAGCAACGTTTCACATAAGGGCAAGAGGAGAGGGGCTTCTGCTCTCTGGAGCCTTTACCAGGGCCTGAGCTCTGAGCTTAGGGATTCCATTTTCTTTGTTCACCTCTACTTGCCTCTAAAATAAATGTAGGAGAAAAATCCCCAGCCTTTTTAAATTTAGATTATTTCCTTTCCATTAGGGTCAGAATAATTTTGGTGATTAAACACAACTGCTTTTCAATCAAAAGACTTATTTTCTGTTTCTAGGAGGAAGGGAAAGATGTTTCTTGGTATCTGTTTTCTGGGTCACTCTTATCTCTGAAGTTCTGAAAGGTTTCCAGTTGTAGGAGGCTGAATTTGGCTCATGGGAGCTGCCATGATGCTCCCTAGATTTTCCTCTCATTCCCTAGAAATGGTTTCTTTTGGAGATGGGATCTACATTGTTATCAAATAATGTTCATTGTGTCGCTGGTCTTAAGCTCCTAGGCTCAAGCAGTCCTCCCTCCTCAGCCTCCCAAAGTGCTGGGATTACAGGCATGAACCACTGTGCCCAGCCAAAAGCTCTAGTTTCTTTCTTTTTTTTTTTGAGATGGAGTTTTGTTCTTGTTGCCCAGGCTGGAGTGCAATGGCATGATCTCGGCTCACCGCAACCTCCGCCTCCTGGGTTCAAGCGATTCTCCTGCCTCAGCCTCCCGAGTAGCTGGGATTACAGGCATACGCCACCATGCCTGGCTAATTTTGTATTTTTAGTAGAGATGGGGGTTTCTCCATGTTGGTCAGGCTGGTCTCGAACTCCTGACCTCAGGTGAGCCACCCACTTCAGCCTCCCAAAGTGCCGTGATTGCAGGTGTGAGCCACCGCACCCGGCAAAAAGCTCTAGTTTCTAAGGAACTGAGTCTGCACAGGAAAGTTTCAGTGATGCTCATAAAGGCTCAGAATTTCAGAGTCTGAGAGAACTTCTAACTTGGTTTTGGAGGTTTTTTTTTTTTCATGTTTTAGTCCTTAAAAAGATATAATGTAAAAATTTCAAAATTACGTAAAAGGAAAGAGAATAATATAATGAAACTTTGATGTATTCAGTATCTTAGATCTGGGCAAGGAAGGCCCTTGGCCCCGTGCTTTAGAAAGTCCTCTGGTGTTCTGGCTGTGCTGCCCCTCACGGCAGAGAAATCTGCAGAGCCAAGTGGACGTACACCTAGCTGGAGTCTGTGACTCCCCTTTTAGACTTTGTTCCTGGTATTTGGAACCCTGGAATTCCCTGCCCAGTGGCCTCTTGCCTACTTCCATGGCTTCTGCAGGCCTCTTTTGTGGGTCCATCTCCCAAGAGTGGACTATCCCACCAGTGTGTGTGCTGCTGGGTTCAAGGGGGTAAGAGGAGGGTATTTGGAGAGGGATGTGCCCAGAGCTTGGACAGATAGACTGGGGTATCAGCATTTGTTGCCTTTCCCAGTAAGGATGGGATCATGGGGATGAGAAGTGAGGGCTGGTTCTTCTAGTGCTGCATGTTAGTGTGGAACCTCAAGGAATCTGTGGATTTTGAATGAACCTGGCTTTCTAGATCATGAAGGTATACTGGTCAAGGTAGCAAGTTAGAACATGTTTTATTTAACAATTTGTTAGCTTAATTTATAGTTTTTAAATGTTCAGACATGGTTAGTAGACCTGTTTTTGTACACTTATCCTGAGTCCTGCAAAACATTAGGACTGTCCAGAGCCATCATTTGGGACAAATTTTAAGGAGGAAGAATTTAACCCCACAATGTAGAGATCATTAATTTGCAGTCCCATTTTAAAGGTAAGGATAGCAAGGCTCAGAGAGGGGATTTGTCTTGACTGAGCTCATGAGCTGGGAAGTGGGGCTAAGCTGGAATCTGGGTCTCCTAGTGCTAGGTCAGAGCTCTTTTCATTATTCCAGTCTGCTGTTCTCTCACCTCATTCTCCAGAAACAATGGTAGGTTATTCATCATCATATTTAACCAGAGTCTGACTTCCTCTCCTTCCTGGTGTGCTGTCTGTCTTCCTCTGTAATTGATTAATGTGGGTCCCAGGGATGCTGGCTCCATGTTTTTTATAATCAGGAAAGTTGGAAACATATAAAAGTTAATGAGATCCCATGTGTCCATTACCTAAGAATTATCAATTTGTGACCAATCTTGTTTCATATACACACACCCCCATCCTGAACAAGGTTATCTGAAGCAAAGGTCATTTTTATCCATAAATATTTCAGCATACACTTCTAAAAGAAAAGTGTTAAAAATAACTACGAAAATTAATCATAGCTGCTTAATATCAAATATCCAGGCAAATTCAAATTTCCCTCTATTATTAATTTCTTTTCACAGTTGATACCTTCAAACTAGAATCCAAATAAGGCCCATAAATTGTATTTGGTTGATACACTCAAAAATTTCTTTCTTTCTTTTTTTTTTTTGACATAGGGTCTCACTCTGTTACCCAGGTTGGGGTGCAGTGGCACGATCACGGCTCACTGAAGCCTCGACCTCGTGGGCTAAGATGATCCTCCTGCCTCAAATTGTTGGGACCACAGCCATGCGCCACCATGCCTGGCTAATTTTTTTTTTTTTATTATTTGTAGAGATGGTGTCTTGCTATGTTGCCCAGGCTAGTCTCAAACTCCTGGGCTCCAGTAATCCTCCCATCTTGGCCTCCCAAAGTGCTGGGATTACAGGAGGGAGCCACCTGGCCCCTAAAATTCTTTAATCTATAGGTCCCACTTTCTCCTTTTTCATTTTTCTTTTCTTGCAATTTATTTGCTGAAGAAACTGGGTTGTTTGGTCTGTAGATTCCTACATTCTTGATTTTTCCAGTTGTATCCTCATGGTGTTGTTTAACACATTTCTTCATTCTCTTTATTTCCTGCAAACTGTTAGATCCAGAGGCTTGAGCTGCTTCATGGTATTTTTTTTTTTTTGCAAGAAAATTTCATAGATGGCATTATGTTCTTCCATCAGGAGGCCCTTAATGTCTGGGTGTCTCTTCTCTGGTCTTAGTGGCCAATAATGATCTTTGCCTGATTTTTGTATATTGATCGTGTATCCCGCAACATTACTTACCTTGTTACTTAGTTTTGGTAGTTTTTTAGTGGATTTCTTATTATTTTCTTTTTCTTTTTTGGAGTGTTTCGCCTTTATTGATAGTGTTGTTGGGGACAGAGGAAAGATTTCTTTTCTCACATGTTGCTAGGTTAATGACAGAGACATATATAGCAAAGGACAGATTAGCAAGAGAAAAGCACACACGTTTATTTAATATAAGTTTTACATGACATGGGAGCCTTCCTATGGAGGTGAAGACAAAAACACAGGGAAACCTGGGTATTTTTATGCTGTTTGATGGAGAGTAGACAGTTGTGGAGAAATATGATTGGAGGACAAAAGAGTATGATCTAATGGTAATAAACTGGGGGAACTTAGCAAGGCGTGTTTGTGTAGATTCTTCTTTGTGTCCCTTGTGTCTTCAGAGCTAAGGATATTCCTTCCCTTTAGGTATAGGGAGGGTCCCTCTCAAAATGAGAAACTTGTTTTGGGGAGAAGAGGGAATGATGAGAGTGACCTTCCTGGTTCTGCCATGTTTTCAAATGCCAAGGTGCCATATTTTGGGGTTGCATGTCCTGAACCCCATCATTGTCCTCTTCTAAATTCATCCCTAACATGTCAAGGTGACTTCAGGGTGGTCACATGGTCCTGAGGCTTCCCCTTCATGAGTGAAGTGTGTTTTTCTAATGTGATGCTCCTGCAGGCAAAGTGGGGAAAGATGCCTTCTGACATGCAGCCCAACTTGTTTTTGGCTTATCATTCCTTTCATCCAGCAGGAACTAAGATTGCACCTGCCCACTTGCTGGTTTATTATACTACAAAGGATACAGATGAAGAAATGTGTAGGTCGAGGTATGGGGGAAGGGGCTTCCATGATTTCCCTGGGCACGCCACCCTCCAGGAATCTCCATGTGTTCAGCTATCTGGAAGCTCTTCTTAGGATTTTCTATATACAAGATTATATCATCTGCAAATAGAGATGTTTTTGTTTCTTTCCTTTTAATCTTCATGCTTCTAATTTCTTTTTCTTGCTTAATTGTCCTGGCTAGAACCTCTAGTACAATGTTGAATAGAAATGAAGAGAGTAGACATCCTTGTTTTATTTTTGATCTTAGGGCAAAGCATTCAGTCTTTCACCATTAAGTATGATGTTCACTTTGAGTTTTTCATAGAAGCACTTTATTATACTGAGTTCCCTGTTTTCTTCTTTTCTTTTTTTTCTTTTCTTTCCTTCCTTCCTTCCTTCTTTCCTCCCTTCCTTCCTTCCTTCCTCTCTCTTTTAATCTCTCGGTTTCTTTCTTTTCTTTTCCTTCCTTCCTTCTTTTCTTTTCTTTTTTTGACAGACTGTGTTGCCTAGGCAGGAGTGCAGTGGCACCATCATGGCTCACTGCAATCTTGACCTCCCAGAGCTCAGGCCATCCTCCCAGCTCAGCCTCCTGAGTAGCTGGGACTACAGGTGTGTGCCACCATGCCTGGCTACTTTGTTGTATTTTTTGTAGAGATGGGGTCTCACTTTGTTGCCCAGGCTGGTCTTGAACTCCTGGGCTCAAGTGCTCCTATTGCCTTGGCCTCCCAAAGTGTTGGGATTACAAGCGTGAGCCACCATGCTTGGCACTACCTTTTTCCTTTTTCTTTTTTTTTTTTTGTTTTTGAGACAGGGTCTCACTCTGTTGCCCAGGCTGCAGTGCAGTGGCACAATTATAGCTCATTGCTTGCAACCTCGACCTCCTGGGCTGAGGTGATCCTCCCACCTCAGCTGGGACCACAAGTGCACCACCATGCCTGGTTAATTTTTTTGTTTTTATTTTTAGTAGAGACAAGGTCTTGCGATGTTGCCAAAGTCCTGCGATGTTGCCAAAGTCCTGGGCTGAAGTGTTCCTCCTGTCTCAGCCTCCCAGACTGGTGGGATTATAGGTGTGAGCCACGGTATACCCAATCTTGAGTTCCCTTTTATGCCTAGTTTGTTGAGTGCGTGTGTGTGTTTTGTTTGTTTGTTTGTTTGTAATCATGAAAAGGCATAGGATTTTGTAAATGCTTTTTCTGCATCTATTGTGATATTGTGATGATCATGTATTTTTGGTTTTTCTTTTCTTTTTTTTTTGAGACGGAGTATTGCTCTGTCACCCAGGCTGGAGTGCAATGGTGCGATCTTGGCTCACTGCAACCTCCGCCTCCTGGGTTCAAGTGATCCTCCTGCGTCAGCCTCCCAAGCAGCTGGGACTACAGGCACGTGCCACTACGCCCAGCTAATTTTTGTATTTTTAGTAGAGATGGGGTTTCACCAGGTTGACCAAGATGGTCTTGATCTCTTGACTTCATGATCCACCCACCTTGGCCTCCCAAAGTGCTGGGATTACAGGCGTGAGCCACCGTGCCCGGCTGGTTTTTCTTCTATTGATATGGTATATTACATTAATTGAATTTTGGATGTTAAGCCAATCTGTGTTCCTGGGATAAATCCTACTTGATCATGTTGTCTAGTTATTTTTATATGTTGTTAGATTCAATTTGCTAGGATATTTTTGCATCCATATCGTAAGAGAAATTGGTCTGTAGTCTTCTTGTGATGTCTTTAGTTTTGGTATGAGGGCCTCATAGAAGGAGTTGAGAAGTATTTTTTTCTCTTAGTTTTTTGGAGGAGTTTGTGAGGAGTGGTAGCGTTATTAGTCCTTTTCTTTTCTTTTTTGAGACAGAGTCTTGCTTGGTTGCCCAAACTGGAGTGCAGTGGTGTGGTCTCGGCTCACTGCAACCTCTGCCTCCTGGGTTCAAGTGATTCTCCTGCCTCAGCCTCCTGAGTAGCTGGGATTACAGGTGTCTACCAGCACACCTGGCTTATTTTTACAGTTTTTAGTAGAGATGGAGTTTCCCCATGTTGGCAAGGCTGGCCTTGAACTCCTCAAGTGACTGCCTGCCTCGGCCTCCGAAAGTTTTGGGATTACAGGCGTGAGCCACCATGCCCGGCCTTATATTAATTCTTTAAATGTTTGGTGGAAGTTACCAGTAAGGCAATCTGGGGCTGGGCTTTTCTTTGTTGGTAGTGTTTTTGATTATTCGTTCAATCTCTTTATTGATATAAGCCTATTCAGATTGCCTATTTCTTCTTCTTCTTCTTCTTCTTTTTTTTTTTTCCTTTGGAGATGGGGTCTCACTCTGTCACCCAGGCTGGACTGTAGTGGCACGATCTTGGCTCACTGCAACTTTCACCTCCAAGGCTAAAGTGATCCTCCCACCTCAGCCTCCTGAGTAGCTGGGACTACAGGCATGAGCCACCATGCCTGGCTAATTTTTTGTATTTTTGGTAGAGACAGGGTTTCATATTGCCCAGGCTGGTCTTGAACTCCTGAGCCCAGATGAGCCACCTGCTTCAGCCTCCCAAAGTACTGGATTACAGGCGTGAACCATCACACCTGGCCCTATTTCTTCTTGAATCAGTTTCTGTAGTTTGTGTGTTTCTGGGAATTTGTCCATTTCATCTAACTTGTTGAAGTTATTAGCATTTTATTAGAATTTATTAGTATTTACTTGTAGTAATTCTTTTTCTTTTTCTTTTTCTTTCAGATGGAATTTTGCTCTTGTTGCCCAGACTGGAGTGCAGTGGCATGATCTTGGCTCACTGCAACCTCCACCTCCCTGGTTTAAGTGATTCTCCTGCCCCAGCCTCCCGAGTAGCTGGGATTACAGGCACCTGCCACCACGCTTGGCTGATTTTTGTATTTTTAGTAGAGACAGGGTTTTACCATGTTGGCCAGGCTGGCCTCGAACTCCTGACCTCAGGTGATCTACCCGCCTTGGCCTCCCAAAGTGCTGAGATTACAGGCGTGAGCCACCGCGCCCAGCCGACTTGTAGTATTTCTTTTAATCCTTTAAATGTTGGTAGTCATGTCCCCTCTTTTATATCTGGTTCTAGTAATGTGAGTCATCTTTCTTTTTTTCTTGGTCAATTAGGTAGTTTGTTAATTTTGTTTATCTTTTCAAAGAAACAGTTTTGTTTTCATTGATTTTCTGTTATTTAAAAAAGTCTTGATTTTATTAATTTTCACTCTAATCTTTATTACCTTCCTTCTGCTTGCTTTAGGTGTAGTTTGCTCTTCTTTTCCAATGTCTTATGGTGGTATAAGGTTGCTGATTTGAGGTCTTTTCTTCTTTTGTAAGATAGTCATCTACAGCTATAAATATCCCTCTATGTACTGTTTTAGCTGTATCCTGTAAGTTTTGATATATCTTCATTTTCATTTACCTCAAAGTATTTTCTCTTTTCCCTTTTGATGATTTTTTAAAAATCCATTGGTTGTTTAAGAGTGTGTTGTTTAATTTCCATATACTTAAGAGTTTCCCAAATTTCTCTGTTCTATGACTTACATCTGTATCTGAGGAAATCTCTGAGCCAAAGCCCTGGTGGTGGGCGTGGGAACAATGATGTGCTTCTTCCTGAGTGACACCCCCATGTTAGATTCTGAGTGCTTGGTAGATGGGAGAGGTAGCAGTCACAGGTCTTCTTGGCTTGCCTCTCAGCATGGAACTCCGCCCATAAACTGGGGCAAACTCAATCAGAGCCCTAGTATTTTCAATGGTACCTTGCCCAAGGTAGAGCCTATTTCCACCAGTGGAGGTTGCATTTATATCAGCTGTACTCACCTGGAACTTTGCCTGCAGCAACAAGTAGTGGGGAAGGATGAGAAATGCTGACATCCCGTCCCTCCTGGGAAGATAGCTGAGGGGAGAGGCAGCCCTGTGTTCTAGGCTGAAACAGCCTGAAGTATAGTTTTTGCCTCACTGAATTGAGGGTGGGAGGACAGAGAGGGCATGCGTCTTGGTTCACATACCTCAGATTCTTGTAATTCTGAGTTTTTGTAGATTTTTCTTGAACAAATATTTCTTCATTTGTGGTATGCCCTTAAGGCCATTTCCAGAGTTTTTAAATGTTTGTTTTTGTTTTGTTTTGTTTTTTAAACAATTCTCACTAGTTTTACTGGAGAGCAGACCTTGGAGGTCCTCAGTGTCACACTGAAAGCAGAACTCTGGCTTGGGCCTGAGAGTGACCCAGGCCCAAGCCTCTGTTTATTTATTTATTTAATTATACTTTAAGTTCTGGGGTACATGTGCAGAATGTGCAGGTTTTTTACGTAGGTATACATGTGCCATGGTGGTTTGCTGCACTCATCAACCCGTCAATTACATTAGGTATTTCTTCTAATGCTATCCTTCCCCTAGCCCCCCAACCCCTGACAGGCCCCAGTGTGTGATGTTCCCCACCCTGTGTCCATGTGTTCTCACTGTTCAACTCCCACTTATGAGTGAGAACATGTGGTGTTTGGTTTTCTGTTCTTGTGTTAGTTTGCTGAGAATGATGGTTTCCAGCTTCATCCATGTCCCTGCAAAGGACATGAACTCATCCTTTTTTATGGCTGCATAGTATTCCATGGTGTATATGTGCCATATTTTCTTTATCCAGTCTATCATCAATGGGCATTTGGGTTGGTTCCAAGTCTTTGCTATTGTGAACAGTGCTGCAATAAACATACGTGCACATGTGTCTTTATAGTAGAATGATTTATAATCCTTTGGGTATATACCCAGTAATGGAATTGCTGGGTCAAATGGTATTTCTGGTTCTAGATCCTTGAGGAATCGCCATACTGTCTTCCACAATGGTTGAACTAATTTACAGTCCCACCAACAGTGCAAAAGCATTCCTATTTCTCCACATCCTCTCCAGCATCTGTTGTTTCCTGACTTTTTAATGATCACCATTCTAACTGGCCTGAGATGGTATCTCATTGTGGTTTTGATTTGCATTTCTCTAGTGACCAGTTATGATGAGCTTTTTTTTATATGTTTGTTGCCTGCATAAATGTCTTCTTTTGAGAAGTGGCTGTTCATATCCTTCGCCCCACTTTTTGATGGGATTGTTTGTTTTTTTCTTGTAAATTTGTTTCAGTTCTTTGTAGATTCTGGATATTAGCCCTTTGTCAGATGGATAGATTGCAAAACTTTTCTCCCATTCTGTAGATTGTCTGTTCACTCTGATGATAGTTTCTTTTGCTGTGCAGAAGCTCTTTAGTTTAATTAGATCCCATTTGTCAATTTTGGCTTCCGTTGCCATTGCTTTTGGTGTTTTAGTCATGAAGTCTTTGCCCATGTCTATGTCCTGAATGATATTGCCTAGGTTTTCTTCTAGGGTTTTTATGGTGTTAGGTCTTATGTTTAAGTCTTTAATCCATCTTGAGTTAATTTTTGTATAAGGTGTAAGAAAGGGGTCCAGTTTCAGTTTTCTGCATATGGCTAGCCAGTTTTCTCAACACTATTTATTAAATAGGGAATCCTTTCGCCATTGCTTGTTTTTGTCAGGTTTGTCAAAGATCAGATGGTTGTAGATGTGTGGTGTTATTTCTGAGACCTCTGTTCTGTTCCATTGGTCTATATATCTGTTTTGGTACCAGTATCATGCTGTTTTGGTTACTGTAGCCTTATAGTATAGTTTGAAGTCAGGTAGTGTGATGCCTCCAGCTTTGTTCTTTTGGCTTAGGATTGACTTGGCGATGCGGGCTCTTTTTTGGTTCCATATGAACTTTAAAGTAGTTTTTTCCAATTCTGTGAAGAAAGTCATTGGTAGCTTGATGGGGATGGCATTGAATCTGTAAATTACCTTGGGCAGTATGGCCATTTTCACGATATTGATTCTTCCTACCCATGAGCATGGAATGTTCTTCCATTTGTTTGTGTCCTCTTTTATTTCCTTGAGCAGTGGTTTGTAGTTCTCCTTGAAGAGGTCCTTCACATCCCTTGTAAGTTGGATTCCTAGGTATTTTATTCTCTTTGAAGCAATTGTGAATGGGAGTTCACCCATGATTTGGCTCTCTGTTTGTCTGTTGTTGGTGTATAAGAATGCTTGTGACTTTTGTACATTGATTTTGTATCCTGAGACTTTGCTGAAGTTGCTTATCAGCTTAAGGAGATTTTGGGCTGAGACGATGGGGTTTTCTAGATAAACAATCATGTCGTCTGCAAACAGGGACAATTTGACTTCCTCTTTTCCTAATTGAATACCCTTTATTTCCTTCTCCTGCCTGATTGCCCTGGCCAGAACTTCCAACACTATGTTGAATAGGAGCGGTGAGAGAGGGCATCCCTGTCTTGTGCCAGTTTTCAAAGGGAATGCTTCCAGTTTTTGCCCATTCAGTATGATATTGGCTGTAGGTTTGTCATAGATAGCTCTTATTATTTTGAAATACGTCCCATCAATACCTAATTTATTGAGAGTTTTTAGCATGAAGGGTTGTTGAATTTTGTCAAAGGCTTTTTCTGCATCTATTGAGATAATCATGTGGTTTTTGTCTTTGGCTCTGTTTATATGCTGGATTACATTTATTGATTTGCGTATATTGAACCAGCCTTGCATCCCAGGGATGAAGCCCACTTGATCATGGTGGATAAGCTTTTTGATGTGCTGCTGGATTCGGTTTGCCAGTATTTTATTGAGGATTTTTGCATCAATGTTCATCAAGGATATTGGTCTAAAATTCTCTTTTTTGGTTGTGTCTCTGCCCGGCTTTGGTATCAGAATGATGCTGGCCTCATAAAATGAGTTAGGGAGGATTCCCTCTTTTTCTATTTATTGGAATAGTTTCAGAAGGAATGGTACCAGTTCCTCCTTGTACCTCTGGTAGAATTCGGCTGTGAATCCATCTGGTCCTGAACTCTTTTTGGTTGGTAAACTATTGATTATTGCCACAATTTCAGAGCCTGTTATTGGTCTATTCAGAGATTCAACTTCTTCCTGGTTTAGTCTTGGGAGAGTGTATGTGTCGAGGAATGTATCCATTTCTTCTAGATTTTCTAGTTTATTTGCGTAGAGGTGTTTGTAGTATTCTCTGATGGTAGTTTGTATTTCTGTGGGATCGGTGGTGATATCCCCTTTATCATTTTTTATTGTGTCTATTTGATTCTTCTTTCTTTTTTTCTTTGTTAGTCTTGCTAGCGGTCTATCAATTTTGTTGATCCTTTCAAAAAACCAGCTCCTGGATTCATTGATTTTTTGAAGGGTTTTTTGTGTCTCTATTTCCTTCAGTTCTGCTCTGATTTTAGTTATTTCTTGCCTTCTGCTAGCTTTTGAATGTGTTTGCTCTTGCTTTTCTAGTTCTTTTAATTGTGATGTTAGGGTGTCAATTTTGGATCTTTCCTGCTTTCTCTTGTAGGCATTTAGTGCTATAAATTTCCCTCTACACACTGCTTTGAATGCGTCCCAGAGATTCTGGTATGTGGTGTCTTTGTTCTCGTTGGTTTCAAAGAGCATCTTTATTTCTGCCTTCATTTCGTTATGTACCCAGTAGTCATTCAGGAGCAGGTTGTTCAGTTTCCATGTAGTTGAGCGGCTTTGATTGAGATTCTTAATCCTGAGTTCTAGTTTGATTGCACTGTGGTCTGAGAGATAGTTTGTTATACTTTCTGTTCTTTTACATTTGCTGAGGAGAGCTTTACTTCCAACTATGTGGTCAATTTTGGAATAGGTGTGGTGTGGTGCTGAAAAAAATGTATATTCTGTTGATTTGGGGTGGAGAGTTCTGTAGATGTCTATTAGGTCTGCTTGGTGCAGAGCTGAGTTCAATTCCTGGGTATCCTTGTTGACTTTCTGTCTCGTTGATCTGTCTAATGTTGACAGTGGGGTGTTAAAGTCTCCCATTATTAATGTGTGGGAGTCTAAGTCTCTTTGTAGGTCACTGAGGACTTGCTTTATGAATCTGGGTGCTCCTGTATTGGGTGCATAAATATTTAGGATAGTTAGCTCCTCTTGTTGAATTGATCCCTTTACCATTATGTAATGGCCTTCTTTGTCTCTTTTGATCTTTGTTGGTTTAAAGTCTGTTTTATCAGAGACTAGGATTGCAACCCCTGCCTTTTTTTGTTTTCCATTGGCTTGGTAGATCTTCCTCCATCCTTTTATTTTGAGCGTATGTGTGTCTCTGCACGTGAGATGGGTTTCCTGAATACAGCACACTGATGGGTCTTGACTCTTTATCCAACTTGCCAGTCTGTGTCTTTTAATTGCAGAATTTAGTCCATTTATATTTAAAGTTAATATTGTTATGTGTGAATTTGATCCTGTCATTATGATGTTAGCTGGTGATTTTGCTCATTAGTTGATGCAGTTTCTTCTTAGTCTCGATGGTCTTTACATTTTGGCATGATTTTGCAGCGGCTGGTACCGGTTGTTCCTTTCCATGTTTAGCGCTTCCTTCAGGAGCTCTTTTAGGGCAGGCCTGGTGGTGACAAAATCTCTCAGCATTTGCTTGTCTATAAAGTATTTTATTTCTTCTTCACTTATGAAGCTTAGTTTGGCTGGATATGAAATTCTGGGTTGAAAATTCTTTTCTTTAAGAATGTTGAATATTGGCCCCCACTCTCTTCTGGCTTGTAGGGTTTCTGCCGAGAGATCCGCTGTTAGTCTGATGGGCTTTCCTTTGAGGGTAACCCGACCTTTCTCTCTGGCTGCCCTTAACATTTTTTCCTTCATTTCAACTTTGGTGAATCTGACAATTATGTGTCTTGGAGTTGCTCTTCTCGAGGAGTATCTTTGTGGCGTTCTCTGTATTTCCTGAATCTGAACGTTGGCCTGCCTTGCTAGATTGGGGAAGTTCTCCTGGATAATATCCTGCAGAGTGTTTTCCAACTTGGTTCCATTCTCCACATCACTTTCAGGTACACCAATCAGACGTAGATTTGGTCTTTTCACATAGTCCCATATTTCTTGGAGGCTTTGCTCATTTCTTTTTATTTTTTTTTCTCTAAACTTCCCTTCTCGCTTCATTTCATTCATTTCATCTTCCATTGCTGATACCCTTTCTTCCAGTTGATCGCATCGGCTCCTGAGGCTTCTGCATTCTTCACGTAGTTCTCGAGCCTTGGTTTTCAGCTCCATCAGCTCCTTTAAGCACTTCTCTGTATTGGTTATTCTAGTTATACATTCTAAATTTTTTTCAAAGTTTTCAACTTCTTTGCCTTTGGTTTGAATGTCCTCCCGTAGCTCAGAGTAATTTGATCGTCTGAAGCCTTCTTCTCTCAGCTCGTCAAAATCATTCTCCATCCAGCTTTGTTCTGTTGCTGGTGAGGAACTGCGTTCCTTTGGAGGAGGAGAGGCGCTCTGTGTTTTAGAGTTTCCAGTTTTTCTGTTCTGTTTTTTCCCCATCTTTGTGGTTTTATCTACTTTTGGTCTTTGATGATGGTGATGTACAGATGGGTTTTCGGTGTAGATGTCCTTTCTGGTTGTTAGTTTTCCTTCTAACAGACAGGACCCTCAGCTGCAGGTCTGTTGGAATACCCTGCCGTGTGAGGTGTCAGTGTGCCCCTGCTGGGGGGTGCCTCCCAGTTAGGCTGCTCGGGGGTCAGGGGTCAGGGACCCACTTGAGGAGGCAGTCTGCCCGTTCTCAGATCTCCAGCTGCGTGCTGGGAGAACCACTGCTCTCTTCAAAGCTGTCAGACAGGGACACTTAAGTCTGCAGAGGTTACTGCTGTCTTTTTGTTTGTCTGTGCCCTGCCCCCAGAGGTGGAGCCTACAGAGGCAGGCAGGCCTCCTTGAGCTGTGGTGGGCTCCACCCAGTTCGAGCTTCCCGGCTGCTTTGTTTACCTAAGCAAGCCTGGGCAATGGCGGGCGCCCCTCCCCCAGCCTCGTTGCCGCCTTGCAGTTTGATCTCAGACTGCTGTGCTAGCAATCAGCGAGATTCCGTGGGCGTAGGACCCTCTGAGCCAGGTGTGGGATATAGTCTCGTGGTGCGCCGTTTCTTAAGCCGGTCTGAAAAGCGCAATATTCGGGTGGGAGTGACCCGATTTTCCAGGTGCATCCGTCACCCCTTTCTTTGACTCGGAAAGGGAACTCCCTGACCCCTTGTGCTTCCCAGGTGAGGCAATGCCTCGCCCTGCTTCGGCTCGCGCACAGTGCGCGCACACACTGGCCTGCGCCCACTGTCTGGCACTCCCTAGTGAGATGAACCCGGTACCTCAGATGGAAATGCAGAAATCACCCGTCTTCTGCGTCGCTCACGCTGGGAGCTGTAGACCGGAGCTGTTCCTATTCGGCCATCTTGGCTCCTCCTCTCATAATTATTTCTTGAATGTGCGTTGCATTGCAGAATGACTTATGTGGGCTGGGTTTAAAAAATTTACAATTTTCTTTCTTTCTTTTTTTTTTTGAGGCGGAGTCTCACTCTGTTGCCTAGGCTTGAGTGTAGTGGCACCATCTTGGCTCACCGCAACCTCCGCCTCCTGGGTTCAAGTGATTCTCCTGTCTCAGCCTCCCGAGTAGCTGGGATTACAGGGTGCTTGCCACCACACCTGGCTAATTTTTGTATTTTTAGTAGAGACAGGGTTTCGCCATGTTGGCCAGTCTGGTCTCGAACGCCTGACCTCAGGTGATTTGCTTGCCTCGGCCTCCCAAAGTGCTGGGATTACAGGCATGAGCCACCGTGCCTGGCCTACAATTTTCTTCACTTCTTATTAGCCTACCCTCAGACCTGTCCACTGGAGCAAACCCAATTCCTAATGGTCAGTGGTAGGGATGAGGACAAGGCAGGGTTTGCCTTCCATTTGCTTATTTTATCTAAAGACTTAGGCAGAGAAGAGAAGGTATAACTATTTTATAACAAATTCAACTACTTTATTGGTGAAGCAACTCTCAGAAATTGGAACATTCTTTTAAGTCCTGTTGATGAGTACACAGTTACTTTTTGAATCCTGGTGGATTTTGAGTGAGAAGATATGCACTATCTGAATGCTAGCTTTTGTGTCTATTTTCAAAGGGAGATAAAACACTTGCAGACTGAAACTTGTTTTACCTTTCACATAGCAATCCCTCAAATTTAGACAATCACAAACAGAACCCTGGGAAATATAATCTCCAAACCATGTTAGTTTTCAAGGTGCTTTACACTCACTATTTCAGTTGGTTCTCTGGCCAACTACATAGATAGATGTGGACTGTATCCAGTTGATAAATTAGGCTCAGAATACAGGGCTGATGAGAGCCCATTTGGGGCCTTTGAGTGAATTAGAAAAAGACACCCTTTAAAACACTTTACTATCATCTGTTGAAAATTAACTCAATGACTGTACAAATCTAAGATGGTTATAATATGAGCAGCATCCCTAGAGTTGGTCCACGACCTTCACAACAGACCTA
This sequence comes from Homo sapiens, assembly GCF_000001405.40. Lineage (NCBI taxonomy): Eukaryota > Metazoa > Chordata > Mammalia > Primates > Hominidae > Homo > Homo sapiens. The sequence continues at coordinate 113,444,672 of NC_000009.12, forward strand.
GTGGCCCTGCTGGAGAGGCCAAAAGTCAAAGGTGAGCAAGTAAAGGGGCCTGGGCTTAGAACTTTGGCTCAGCCTGTCTTCATCCACTGTATCCTGACACCTCTCCTACTCCTTCTCTTTAATGTACAGCTGAGACTGGGATACCCTTAGACTGAAAGGAAGGACACGGCTATGTAGAAAAGAATTGACTGAAGGGGAGGAGTACTCGTGAACCCCTTGCTTCAGCCTCCCAATGTTCTGAGAGAGGAGGAGCCAGGTAACTGCTGCTAACTGCCATTTCCCCACCATCTGGGCCTAAGGAAGCAGAAGTAAGGCTTAATTAATAGCCAGTATTGCTTGGAGATTCACTTTACTTATTTAAACCAACAAAAAGACTTAAGATTTAGCCTGTTGGAATATGGTTCTAAGAGGCTTATATTTCCAAGAAACTAGTCCTTAGTTTCTTTTGTTCTTTGCTACTTTGTGATCCCTGCTAGAGACAGGCCACTTGCTTTGGGTTACCATAATTTTCTTTTTCTTTTTTTTTTTTGTTTTTTGTTTTTTGAGACAGAGTTTTGCTCTTGTTGCCTAGGCTGGAGTGCAATGGCGTGATCTCGGCTCACCGAAACCTCCGCCTCCCGGGTTCAAGCGATTCTCCTGCCTCAGCCTCCCATGTAGCTGGGAATTACAGGTGCCCACCACCATGCCTGGCTAATTTTTGTATTTTTAGTAGAGACGGGGTTTCTCCATGTTGGTCAGGCTTGTCTCGAACTCTGCCCTCAGGTGATCTGCCCACCTCGGCCTCCCAAAGTGCTGGGATTACAGGTGTGAGCCACTGTGCCTGGCCTGGGTTACCATAATTTTCTAAGCACACTTCCTAGTGACACCTGGCCCAGTTTGACACCTGTGTAGAAGCAATAATCAATGAAAGCATCTTCAGATATTCTAGGCCCATACTCAGAGCCAGCTGGACTTTGATTTGGTATTGGTCCCAACCTCTGGGGTGACATATGCTGTTCTTCATTGATTTTGTTTTTGTATGTTTTGAGACAGACTCTCCCCCTGTTGCCCAGGCTGGAGGGCGGTGGCGCAATCTCTGCTCATTGCAACCTCCGCCGCCTGGGTTCAAGCGATTCTTGTGCCTCAGCCTCCTGAGTAGCTGGGTTTACAGTCATGTGCCACCAAGCCCAGCTAATTTTTGTATTTTTAGTAGAGACAGGGTTTCTCCATGTTGGGCAGGTTGGACTCAAACTCCTGGCCTCAAGTAATCCGCCCACCTTGAGCTCCCAAAATGCCGGGATTACAGGCGTGACCCACCGTGCCCAGAATGTTTTTGAATTATAGAAAACCCCTTGGGTTTGGTGGGAGGGAGTGAGGGTTTCATCCATGACACAGTGACACTTAAAAAATCAGTTTATTCAAATGCACTAAAGGAATTGCTTGATAAATTAAGGACAGTAATACCTCTGGCCTTAGATAGAAATGATTAGAAGGTCCTTCTTAGATAGAAATGATTAGAAGTCCAGAGGAATCTGGGAAGGAATTTCTAAATTTTCTCTTTCCATTGACATAAGGTACCAGGGTATGAAATTCATTTGTCCTTGTATATATGCATTTATTTAACAGATATTGGGTATCTAATACATATTAGAGAATCATCCCTTAGATTATCTTGATAGAGAAAAGAAAAGTTCTGGAGAAATGGTGGAGAGTCATTCCCAGGAATATAGCTTTGTAAGAAAATTTTCCTGGATCAATTGGTAAAGTTTTCTGGAACCACTAGGTGGTGATATTACATTATGAAAATGACATGCTTTCCTTGACACCTTTCAAATAACTGCAGGCCTCTGGTAATTTCTGAGGCCAGTGTCCCCACAACCAAAGAAACGTCTTAATGAGTAAATGAAGAAAAACACATTCCATCATTTACATATATAAATTTACATATGTAAATTTAAATGCTCCAGGGGACTGGTAGTTCCTCGAGAGAAGGGTCTGTGCCTATTGTTTTCATGGTTACAACCTCAGGTGGCGTGTAGGAAGCCCTTGATCAATGCTTGATGAATGAATCCAACTCTGAACAATTTTGATGACCATTGAAAGGACCATTCCAAGAGTGTGGCAAAAAAGGTGGCACATGTCCAAAAGGCCTAGGATTTTGGGAATTAGGAGCTGTTGATGATCCTGACAGATTATCAGTTGGGCAGAGACTCAGGAAGGCAGTATTTGGAAGGGCAGAAATATCAAAAGTGATCTGAGGCACTTATAATTCTTTGTATCCCCTAAGCTTACCTTGGCCAGATTTCATCCTTTAAAAAATACAGGGAGGGGCCGGATGCGGTGGCTCACGCCTGTAATCCCAGCACTTTGGAAAGCCGAGGTGGGTGGATCACGAGGTCAGGAGATCGAGACCATCCTGGCTAACACAGTGAAACCCTGTCTCTACTAAAAATACAGAAAAATTAGCTGGGTGTGGTGGCACGTGCCTGTAGTCCCAGCTACTTGGGAGGCTGAGGCAGAAGAATTGATTGAACCCGGGAGGTAGAGGTTGCAGTGAGCCAAGATTGCACCACTGCACTCCAGCCTGGGCAACAGAGCAAGACTCTGTCTCAAAGAAAAAAAAAAAAAAAGAAAAATACAGGGAGGGTGTAAACCAATAAATTCTGATGTATGTATATGTATATATATATATATATATATATATATATATAGGCAAGGGTTGAAGATAAATAAGGTAGAAATGTCTACTTTATATTTTTGGCCTTAACTATGCCAGTGTAATTAGAATTCCCTATATTTAAAATGGTTCCTTTTACTTATTGAATATATATGTATAAAATTTTTTGGGGGTCTATATTACTTCTTGGGATGGCTTTGCCTTAGAAGGAATCTTCAAAAATCATTTTTAAAAAACTCTTCTCTGCCTCTCATTCATTGTTTTATTTGCTCATTCATTTATTTGCTATAAATTCATTCATTCCTCAAATATTTATTGAGCACCTATTATGTACAAAGCAGTGGTCAAGTTTGTGTGATCATCTTTGACCTTTTCTTTTTATGGTCCATCTGAATTCGGTTAATTAGCAAGTCATATTAGGTGCAGCATCCAAATCTATCCACTTCTCTCTGCTTTTTCTGCTATTACCCTAGTCCAGGTCTCTGTCTTCTTGCATCTGGATTATTGCATTACCCCTAGTCTTTTTTTTTTTTTTTTTTTGAGACAGGGTCCCGCTCTGTTGCCCAGGCTGCCAGGTTGGAGTGCAGTGGCACCATCACAGATCACTGCAGCCTCGACCTCCTGGGTTCAAGCTATTCCCCCATCTCAGCCTCATGAGTAGCTGGGATTACATGTGTGTGCCACCATGCCCAGCTATTTTTTATATTTTTTGTAGACATGGGGTTTTGTCATGTTGCCCAGGCTGATCTCAAACTCCTGGGCTCAAGCCATCCTCCTGCCTCAACCTTCCAAAGTACTGTGATTATAGGGATGAGCCACCATGCCAAGCCTAACCCCTGATCTTTACCCCGACCATCCATTCTTCCATCTTTCCACCATGTGAATATCATGATACATCTTTCCTTAAAACTCTCCTTTCCCCTTAGGATCAAGCCTAACCTCTTTCACTTGGTTTACAAGCCTCACAAGGCAGGGCTATGACCTGGCTTCTCTCCCCCCAGCCCCATTGCCACTCACTCTCACCTTGTTCTATGTGCTCTAGCCAAGACTTTTTTCTTTAGGTTCTTCTAATGAACCATGTCCTCTCTTACCTTCTGACTTTTTTTTTGGTACTTTTTCTTCGACTTCTTCTTCCCCCTTCTGCCTGGCTATTTTCTACTCATTCTTTAGGTCTCAGCTTACATATGACTTATTTGGGAATAAGCTTTTTCTGACCACTGTCAAGATGAAGTTCTCCTCTTTCACTTTTTCTCTCATAGCCACTATTGGGGTTCACAGCTTGTCTGTTGCCACCCTCTACTGCCAGACTGACTTCTGCGAGTGGCAGAGCTCTCTCTGTCTTCACTATATAAATATCCGGCACCTCACTGAGTGCCTGGCCCACTGTAAGTGCTTAATAATATATGTTGAATGAGTGAATAAATGAAAAAATATATATGATGTGTCTTCTTTCTTCAGTGTACTTATAATCCAGCAGTGTGAGGTAAGTGGTACAAAGAAAGAACTACAGTGATGAGAAGAAGGAGAGGTCACTTTGGATATTACCATTTAAGGCTGGGTTGGGTTTTGGCAAGTGAAGATGTTTGTGGAGGTGGCGTTTGAAGTGGAGGGAAGTGACATAGGTGGGAAAAGTTTGGGGAGCAGGCAAGGAGCATAGTGTTCCTATCTCAGAAGAGTAGGAGTGGGACTGAAGACAGCTTGTGACTAGATTGTGCAGGGCCTCGACTCTGATAGCCAATGGGAAGACATTGATGGCTTCTGAATCAGGGAGTGATAGCACTAAATCAATGCCTTAGAAAATGCTAATCTAATGGCAGAGTGAAACATGAATTGGAGAGAGAACAGCAAGACCAGTTAGGAGGCTATCATAGAAATCAAGATGGGAGGTGATCAGGGCCTGAATTATGTAGATGTCAATAAGAATGGAGACAAAAGGATACTATGCAAAGGAAGAATGAACCAGAACCCGGAAACCAGAAAGGAAGAGTGAGGGAAAGGGAGGAGTGAGGTGCTTTATTATCGGAAATGTGAAGTCAAGAGGAAGAACCAATTTAAGGAAAGATAGAGATCATTAATCAAACCTTTACAATGAAATTGTGGTTATATATACATTTTACTTATGAGAATTCCGTCAATGTGTGGGGTTAAAATGAAAGCCCAAGTGGGAGGGAGTGACAAAGAAGATGCACTGCAACTAATGGGAGCTGTTCCAGTTCTTCCACTCTGAAAATACGTCCCAGAGGGAGTGTGAGATGGGGAAGGTCAAGTTGCTGTTCCTCATTTTATGTCAACCATGTGTATTTTATGGTTGACATAGGGATTATTTAAGGATAACTGTGGTTATTCATGATTTATGTCTTATACACTGATTTTAGAACCAAATTCCCAAGCCAGATTTTGCTTTTTATTTATTTATTTTTAATTTTATTTTTTGAGACAGAGTCTCACTCTGTTGCCCAGGCTGGAGTGCAGTGGCTCAGTCTTGGCTCACTGCAACCTCTGCCTCCCAGGTTCAAGTGATTCTCCTGCCTCAGCCTCCTGAGTAGCTGGGACTACAGGTGCCCGCCCCCACTCTTGGCTAATTTTTTTGTATTTTTAGTAGAGATGGGGTTTCACCATGTTGGCCAGGCTGGTCTTGAACTCCTGACCTCAGGTGATCTGCCCACCTCGGCCTCCCAAAGTGCTGGGATTATAGGCATGAGCCACCATGCCTGGCCAGATTTTGCTTTTTATTTTTATTTTATTTATTTTTACTTTTTTGAGACAGAGTCTCGCTCTGTTGCCCAGGCTGGAGTGCAGTGCCGTGATCTCGGCTCACTGCAACCTCGCCTCCCGGGTTCAAGTGATTTTCCTGCCTCAGCCTCCTGAGTATTTGGGACTACAGGCACATGCCACCATGCCAGCTAAATTTTTTTTTGTATTTTTAGTAGAGACGGGGTTTCACCGTATTAGCCAGAATGGTCTCGATCTCCTGACCTCGTGATCCACCCGCCTTGGCCTCCCAAAGTGCTGGGATTACAGGCATGAGCCACCGTGCCTGGCCAGATTTTGCTTTTTAAAGCATGTGCCAGGCCCCAGGCTTGGCAGTAGGCAGATACTAAGAAAACACGTCAGTCACTGCATTGGAGCTGCTCACAGTCTAGTTGGGTAGAAAGATATGGAAGCAGACAGTGAGCACTACAGTCTAGGTGAGCAGTCAGAGAGAAGGGTGGAGGCAGAGGGAAAGGAGACTGGTGGCTGGTGTGTCAAGGCAGAGGTGGTGCTGGGCCCTGGGAATGGAGAGAGATCTAGGAGTCGTTAGAACAGGTGAGCGCAGCAATAGGCGTGCATGAGCTCTCAGAGGGAAAGAATATTGAGGAGGGAAGAGGACTAAAGGCCACAGCCAGGAACACACAAGAAGGTAAGCAGAGTCAGAAAACAGAAGAGTTGTCAGAGAAGCAGCAGGAAAACTCAGGCAAGGGGGATGAGGACTGTGAATAGGCAAGTGGTCTGCATAATGAGGAAGACAATGGTGACTGCGGAGTGAATGAAGTTTCAGCAGTGTGGTGAGGGCAAAATAAGGGGTCCCCAGGCCGGGCACAGTGGCTCATGCCTGTAATCCCAGCACTTTGGGAGGCTGAGGCGGGCGGATCACGAGGTCAGGAGTTCAAGACCAGCCTGGCCAATATGGTGAAACCCCATCTCTACTAAAAATACAAAAATTAGCCTGGCGTGGTGGCGTGTGCCTGTAATCCCAGCTACTCAGGAGGCTGAGGCAGAAGAATTGCTTGAACCTGGGAGGCGGAGCTTGCAGTGAGCCGAGATCACACCACTGCACCTCCAGCCTGGGCAACAGTGCAAGACTCCGTCTCAAAAAAAAAGAAAAAAAAAAAAAAGGTGGGGGCAGGCCTTCAGTGATTGGAAAGAATCTGGAAGCAAAGGCAATACATGCCACTTCTCTAAGTTCCAGCTCCAGAACAACTAACTTAGATATGTCCTCTAGTTTCCAATCAGATTTCCCTGGAGAAGGTTTGGGATCCCTGGATGCCATGACCTTTGCCCCTGTTTCTTTACAGTATGGTCTGCTATGTCCACTGGAAGGGCACTTCACCATCACAGTACATGGATCCAGAAACAGACTTTACTCTACATAAGCCTTATATTCAAACCTGAGTGCAATCCAGCTGATCTCAACTGTGGTTGTTGCATTTTAGACTACACATATCTATATTATTTTCTTCCATAAGTAGCATCCATATTCCCACATGATTGCAATTGCTAACTTGCTAATAGCTTCCCTTGAGTTTGCTTCTTGCAATTATCTAATCAGAAGGCAACATATGCAATTTATTACAGGATGCAGGGAGCTCTGGGTGTTTTTTTTTTTTAAGTCAATGGTTCCTATCCTAGTTATACTGTTCTTTTAAACAGATTTAAATAATAAGAAAAGCTATTTCATATATACCCATGTGGTTAGCATTTCCAGTGTTCTCTTTATTCCTTTGTGTAGATCCAGACTTCCATATGGTACCATTTTCCCACAACTTGAAAGACTAACATTTCTTGTAGCGCATGTTTGCAGATGATGAATTCAGTCAGCTTTTGTAAGTCTGAAAAAAATCTTTATTTTACCTTCATTTTTGGAAGATATTTTTTGCTGGGTAAAGAATTCTGTTTTTCTTTTTCTTCTTTTTGTTTTATTTTTCTTAAGAGTCAGGGGGTCACTCTGTTGCCCAGGCTGGAGTCCAATAGTGTGATCATAGCTCACTGCAGCCTCAAATTCCTGGGCTCAAGCAATCCTCCCACCTCAGCCTCCCGAGTAGCTAGGACTACAGGCATGCACCACCATATCTGGTTACTTTTTAAATTTTTTTTGTGGAGATGGGTCTTGCTATTATTTATATACACAGGCTGGCCTCAAGCCATCCTCAAACCATCCCTTCACCTCGGCCTCCCAACATGCTGGGATTACAGGCATGAACCACTGCACTCAGCCTGTTTTTTTTCTTTCAATACATTAAAGATATTGCTTCCCTGTCTTCTGTCACATAGTTTCTGATGAGACGTCTGATGTCATTCTTATTTTTGCTCCTGTGTATGTAATGTGTAGTTTTTTTTTTTTTTCTGGCTGCTTTTAAGATTTTATCTTTTCACTAGTTTTAAGCAATTTGATCATGATGTACTTTTAGGTTTCTTCACGTTTCTTCTGCTCAGAGTTCATTGACCTTCTTGGATTTGTGGGGTTTACAGTTTTCATCAAACTTGGAAAAAGCCCAACCACTATTTCTTTAAATATATTTTCTGTCCCCTACTTTCTTCTGGGATTCCAGTTATTATACATATCTATTCCAGTTAATAATATGTGTCTATTAGGCTGCTTGAAGTTGTTCCATAGCTCACTGATGATCCATTTATTCATTTATTTTGGTCTTCTTTGTGTTTAATTTTGGGTGGTTTCTACTGCTGTGTCTTCGAGTTCACCGATCTTTTTTTGTGCAATGTCTAACCCATTGTTAATCCCACCTTTTGTGTTTTTTATCTCAGGCATTATATTTTTCACCTCTAGTTGTTCAATTGGGTCTTTTTATATATATAAATATATATTATATATTTATATATAATATATAAATAAAATATATTTATATATGATATATAAATAAAATATATTTATACATAATATATAATATATAAATATAAATATATATTATATTTTATATATAATATATAATATATATAATATATAATATATAAGTATACATTATATATATTTATATAATATAGAAATATATTTTATATAAATTTACATACTCATTATATGATTATATAATATACTCATATGATTATATAATATACTCATATGATTATATAATATACTCATTATATGATTACATAATATACTCATTATATGATTACATAATATACTCATTATATGATTACATAATATACTCATTATATGATTACATAATATACTCATTATATGATTACATAATATACTCATTATATGATTACATAATATACTCATTATATGATTACATAATATACTCATTATATGATTATATAATATACTCATTATATGATTATATAATATACTCATTATATGATTATATAATATACTCATTATATGATTATATAATATACTCATTATATGATTATATAATATACTCATTATATGATTATATAATATACTCATTATATGATTATATAATATACTCATTATATGATTATATAATATACTCATTATATGATTATATAATATACTCATTATATGATTATATAATATACTCATTATATGATTATATAATATACTCATTATATGATTATATAATATACTCATTATATGATTATATAATATACTCATTATATGATTATATAATATACTCATTATATGATTATATAATATACTCATTATATGATTATATAATATACTCATTATATGATTATATAATATACTCATTATATGATTATATAATATACTCATTATATGATTATATAATATAATAAATATATATATCTTCCATGTCTTTACTTCACATACTCTTTTTTTATTTTTATTTTTAAACAGGGTCTTGCTCTGTCACCCAGGCTGTGATCATAGCTCACTGCAACCTCGAACTCCTGAGTTCAAGCCATCCTCTCATGTAGCTAGGACCACAGTCATGTGCCACCATGCCCAGCTAATTTTAAAAGTTTTTGTAAAGATGGGGTCTAAGTTGCTCAGGCTAGTCTCAGACTCCTGGCCTCAAGCCATCCTCCTGCCTCAGCTGCTCAATGTGCTAGGATTACAGGTGTGAGCCACCATACCTGGCGTACTTAACATGTCATTTCTCGGTTGGTTTCTATTGATTTTCTCCTTATTATGGTTCATATTTTTTTCTGCTTCTTTGCCATACCTGTTCACTTTTTATTAGATACCAGATTTAACAAATTTTGCCTTTTTGGGTTCTAGATATTTTTATATTCTTACAAGTATTCTTTAGCTTGTTCTGGGATGCAGTTAAGTTACTTAGAAACAGTTTGATCCTAGCTGGGTGCGGTGCATGCCTGTAATCCCAGCACTTTGGGAGGCTGAGGTGGGTGGATCACTTGAGGTCAGGAGTTTGAGACCAGCCTGGCCAACATGGTGAAACCCTGTCTCTACTAAAAATACAAAACTTAGCCAGGTGGGGTGGTGCACACCTGTAGTCCCAGCTACTTAGCAGGCTGAGGCATAAGAATCACTTGAACCTGGGAGGTGGAGGTTGCAGTGAGCTGAGATCTTGCTACTGCACTCCATCCTGGGCGACAGAGCGAGACAGTATCAAAAAAACAAAACAAAACAAAACAAAACAAAAACCAAAATCAAAAACAGTTTGATCCTTTTGGGTCTTGCTTTTAAACTTTTTTTTTTTTTTTTTTTTTTAGATGGACAAGTACAGCATTTAATCTAGGGTTGATTATTCCCCACAACTGAGGGAAGACCCTTCTGAGTATTCTATCTAATACCTCCTAAGGAATTAGAAGGTCTTTCCACTCTGGTTGATGAGCTTAAGAACTATTCCTGGCCCTGTGTGAGCTTTAAAGATTGTTCCCTGTAATTCTTTGGTGGTTCTTTCCCCAGCCTTGGGATACTTTCCTCAAACCCATGAGCTCATTAGCACTTAGCTGAAGTTGTGAGTGGGGACTCTCTGGAGACCTCTGGGGCCCTCTCTTTGTGTGACTGTCTCCTCTCTGGTACTCTGCCTTGGAACTCTAGCTGCCTTGGCCTCCCGAACTTCTCAGTTCAGGGATTTGGAGTTGGCCTGAGTTCCCTCTCCCTTTTGGAAAGTCTCTCCCGGGAATAAGCTGGGCTGATCACAGGGCACAGCTTGTCTCTTTTCTGTTTCTCAGGGATCACTGTCCTTCGTTGCCTGATGTACAATATCTTAAAAACCATTGTTTCATATATTTTGTCCAGTCTTTTAGTTGTTTCAGGTGAAGGGAAAATCCAGTTCCTGTTATTCCATCTTGGCTGGAAACAGAAGTCTATATTGTTTTTTAATTTTGAAAAACTGAGGGCCTCTGGAATGTAGGATTATGCCAGGCCAAGTTGCTCATTATCAGGCCAGGAAAAGCAGCTCTTGAAGAGGCTGAAAGGGCTTCCAGCCTAACTGCGAGGGTGCTGAGTCATTCTAGCAGAGACCAGGCACTCTGCTTTTCTGGCTCTTATCAAGTCTTTAGCTTTTATCTTTGGACTCAACTTACTAGTTCACATTCCTTTGGTGGTGAAGGTTTGGTCTCTTCCACTTTGAAGCAGTATCTCTCCGCTTACACTTGAAATCTTGAATCTTTTACTTGGTTCTCTTTAGTCCCTGTTTGTGTATTTAGGTCACTAGAGGCTTCTACATCTGGGGCACATTAAAGTTCCTCAGTGGTATTTACAGCAACCAGCATCTGTTTCTGTAGAGAACAATTAACCCAAAGATACCACCTTGTTCTACCTTGAAGATGAATTACAGAGACACTTTTAAAAGGCAAATCCTTCATTTCAAGGGTGAATAAAATACCACTTAACAAAGCATTCCAGCTGGTTAAATTTAGGACATGAAAAAAACCTGACCCAAGAATATCGTCTGGCTTTGAGTCCAGGGTGTTTTTCCTTTTAGAGTAAATTTGGTACCTTTTCATTCATGTGAAGTTGTTGCCCCCCAGCATTTTATTCTGGGATGAAAGGTCAACAGGGACTGTCTTGTTGCTAAATCTAATGGACACTTCTCAGTTATTAAACCTACTGGACCTCTTAACAATATTTGACACTGTTGACTATTATTTCCTTCTTAATACATCCCCTGACTTTTCCTTCCCCTTTCAGGCCTTTCTTCCTCTGCCTGTTTTTTCAGTTGGTACTACTCTTGGTTCTGTCCTGAGCTTTCTCACATTAAACATTCCCTGTGGGCTGTCTTATGCATGCTCATGGCCTCACAGGGAATTCCTAAATCTATATTTCTAGCCTAAGTATTTTTTGCTGAGCTTCAGACCATTATGTTCAACTGTTCACTTGACATCTTCACTTGGATGGCACATGGGTCACCCAACCTTAGCAGGCTCACAGTTGAACTCATCCATTCTCCCCTCAGTTCAGCCCTGCCTCTCATGTTCTTCATTTCTGCAAAGGGCACTTCTAAACAATTTCTCAAGCCAGAATTCCTTGCATTCCATCTTCTACTCAATCACCATGGCCTGTTGATTCTATCTCTTTCCATCCCTATTGCCACTTCCCTAGTTTGGTCATTGTCATCTTTTACCTGGATGACCAGAAAAGACTTCTAAGAGCAATTTTTGCTTCCGACCCTCATGTCATGCAAACGCCTCCACCCCTAACCAATTTGTTTTTTTTTTTTTCGTATTCTAGCCAGAGCAATCTTTCTAAAATGTGAATTAAAGGCTGTTGGGATCTTGCTTAAAATATTTGACAACTGCTCTATGCTCTTAAAATAAAGCCCAATCTCCTTATAATAAAATATGCAGCCCTATATGATTTATTTATTTTTTTTTTGAGACAGAGTTTCGCTTTTGTCTTCCAGACTGGAGTACAATGCGATGATCTCAGCTCACTGCAACCTCTGCCTCCGGGTTCAAGCCATTCTCCTGCCTCAGCCTCCCGAGTAGCTGGGATTACAGGCATGCGCCACCACACTGGCTAATTTTGTATTTTAGTAGAGATGGGTTTCACCATGTTGGCCAGGCTGGTCTCAAACTCCTGAACTCAGGTGATCCACCTACCTCAGCCTCCCAAAGTGCTGGGATTACAGGCGTGAGTCACCGCGCCTGGCCGAGGCCCTGTATGATTTGGCCCCTGTTTACTTTCTTGCATATTACTGATTCCCTCACGTTCTAAGTTCCCTGCCACATTTCCCATTGTTCAGTTCCTCAAACGTACAACGCCCCCTCTCACTTTCTGGCCTTTACATGTTTTGTTCTTTCTGCCTGTAACCCTTCCTTCCTCTCCTATACTTGGCTAAATCATACTGCAGGTGATTTTCTTTGGGCAGTCTTCCTTGACCCCCTTTATCATCTTGGTTTGCCTAGCTCCCCAGATTAAGTGAAATGTTATTCTATGCTTCCAGAGGTTGCTGTGTTTCCTCTATTGTAATGCTTACCCAATCTCCCACTTGACTATAAACTCCATCTTTTTCACTGCTATATGTATCCCCAGTGCCCAGTTATAAGGCTCAGCTCCATAGGTGCTTAGCAAACACTTGTTGAATTGAACTTTAATGTGTCAGTAGCCACAGAAGTCTCAGTCCTGCTAGACCGTAGCCTTGCCACTTTGAGCAAGAGGACTGCTGGGAGAGATGGTATTCTATAATGGTTCTCTTGCTGGGAGCTGGATTTTTATTTCCCCACTGTTTATTTACTAGTTTAGCAACCTGATTCAGTTAACAACTCTGCATCTTAGTTGCTTCATATATAAATACAAATGCTTGAACTTTCTGAAAGCAAATGGTGGGCCAGATTTTTTTTTCTTTTTCATTTCCTTGGTTACTAGAAAACCCAGGTAGCTTTTGAGGCAATTTCTATAAGACCTTCAAGAAACAGATGATGCCAATGCAATTTTGGCTATTTCAGAACCCAGGAAAAAAATGAAGATTTGTCAGTGCTAGGTAGGAAGCTAGACAGAGACAAAAACCAAATAAGGTTAGAAACAGGAAACTATAGACAAAAGGTCAAAGGTAAAAATCTCTTCATAGACCAATTTGACTGATGCCTATAGATGTAAAAATACTAATAAAATATTAGCAAATCAAATCCCACAGTGTATGCATGATCGAGTCAGTAGAGACGGGGTTTCACCATGTTGCTCAGGCTGGTCTCAAACTCCTGACCTCAAGCGATCCGCCTGCCTTGGCCTCCCAAAGTCCTGGGATTACAGGCGTGAGCCACTGTGCCTGGCCAAATTCATTTTTTTAGTTAAAAACATTTTACATTTTTCTGGCCATAGAAAAGTCTTTAACTTTAAAAATTTTCACCCAACCATTTGAAAATGTAAAATGCATCCTTAGCTCACCTGTTGTACAAAAACAGGCAGCCAGCCAGATTTGGTTGGTAGGCCATAGTTTGCCAACCCCTGCACTAATATGTTCACTAAATTTGAACCATTTTTGCATCTCTAGGATAAATACCAACTTGATCATGAATATACTGTTGGATTTGATTTGCTTGTATTTTATTAGTATTTTTACATTTATATTCATAAGTCAGATTGGGCTATGTAGAAATTTCAAACTAGCTGTGGGGTATAGATGTATTCTATTTAGCCTTCATAACATTTTAAAACATTTTGAATGAGTTATTAATATTAACAAATTGGGAAATATTACATGGATTATTTAAGATTGCTGGCTTTTCTTTAAAAAAAAGTGACAAAACTGGGAGAATGTTGGCCTAGTTTCGCCACATTTTAATAGATCTGCTCTATTGTATATTTTCTTTCTTTTTTCTTTTTTTGAGACAGAGTCTTGCTCTGTTGTCCAGGCTGGAGCACAGTGGCATTATCTTGGCCCACTGCAACCTCTGCCTCCCGGGTTCAAGTGATTCTCATGCCTCAGTCTCCCGAGTAGCTAGGACTACAGGCGCATGCCACCACACCTGACTATCTTTTGTATTTTTAGCAAACATGGGTTTCACCATATTGATCAGGCTGGTCTTGAACTCCTGACCTCAGGTGATCCATCCATCTTGGTCTCCCAAAGTGTTGGGATGACAGGCATGAGCCACTGCATCCAGCCTCTATTGTATATTTTCTATTTAATTAACTTCTATTCTTACTTTTATCTTTTACCTTTGGTCTATAGTTTTCTGTTTCTAACCTTACTTGGTTTTTGTCTTTGTCTAGCTTTCTACCTAGCGCTGACACATCTTTGTTTTTTCCTATGTTCTGAAATAGTTAAAACTACATTAGCATCATCTGTTTCTTGAAGATCTTATAGAATTAGCCTCTTAAAACTATCTGGATTTTCTATAATTTTGTCGAATAGAGTTTTGGTTTCCTTTTCTATTTTATCTATAGTTAGTGATCTATTAAAAATTTCAAACTTTTTATCAATTTTACTAATTAATACTTTCTAGAAAATCATCCAGTTCCTTTCAGATTTTCAAATTTATACAATAAGGTTGCAGTGGTTTTCTCTTATAATTTAAAATATTAGCCAGCACGGTGGTTCACGCCTATAATCCCAGCGCTGTGGGAGGCCAAGGTGTACGGTTCACTTGAGGTCAGGAGTTCGAAACCATCCTGGCCAACATGGTGAAAACCTGTCTCTACTAAAAATACAAAAATTAGCTAGGTGTGGTGGCGCGTGCCTGTAGTCTCAGCTACTTGGGAGGCTGAGGTATGAGAATCGCTTGAACCTGGGAGTGAGCTGAGATTGTGCCATTGCACTGCAGCCTGGGTGACAGAGCGAGATTCTGTTTCAAAAAAAATAAAAAAAAAGAGGCCGGGCTCAGTGGCTCACACCTGTAGTCCCAGCACTTTGGGAGGCTGAGGTGGGCAGATCACCTGAGGTCAGGAGTTTGAGACCAGCCTGGCTAACATGGTGAAACCACCTTTCTACTAAAAATACAAAAAATTAGCCGGGCATGGTAGTGTACACCTGTAATCTCAGCTACTCGGAAGGCTGAGGCAGGAGAATTGCTTGAACCTTGGGAGGCGGAGGTTGCAGTGAGCAGAGATCGCACCACTGCACTCCAGCCTGGGCAACAAGAGAGAAACTCTCTCAAAAAAAAAAAAAAAAATCACCTGTATATCTTGGCTTTCTCTTCCCTAAACTTGCTTATTTCTGGTTTTCTGTATACATTTTGCCAGAGGTCTATTTTACTGAACTTTTCAGAGACAAGGCTTTGGTCTTATTGTTGAAGTTTATTTTTTTGAGGATAAATTTCACCTTTAACCTTATTTCCTTTTAAAATTTTCTCCTGGCCAGGCGCAGTGGCTCATGCCTGTAATCCCAGCACTTTGGGAGGTTGAGATGGGCAGATCGCAAGGTCAGGAGATCGAGACCATCCTGGCTAACAGGTAAAACCCCGTCTCTACTAAAAATACAAAAAATTAGCCGGGCGTGTTGGCGGGTGCCTGTAGTCCCAGCTACTCGGGGGGTGCTGAGGCAGGAGAATGGCGTGAACCCAGGAGGTGGAGCTTTCAGTGAGCCGAGATTGCGCCACTGCACTCCAGCCTGAGTGACAGAGTGAGACTCCGTCTCCAAAAAAAAAAAAATTTTTTTTTCTTCTGAATTAGCTTATTCCTCTTCTAACTTTTTGAAATGAATTTTTAGTTAAAACACTTTAAATCTTTGTTATTTTCTAAATAAATTATCCCCTTGAACTTTCTACTCTAATTCCATCGATCTGTCTTTTCTTTTTAGTTTTATATTATTTAACACCATTTAACATCTGGTAGTACAAGTTCCCTTTGTTATTATTTTTCTAAGTTTTCTTGGTTATTATTGGGCTAGATGATATCTTAAAGTCACTAAGATTCTTTGAGAGTTATTGTGAAAATGCACCCAAATAAATCCATTTAGTCCCTTCTTTTCAAACTCAAGTATTCCTTATTATTCCAGATATAGTCAGTCTTTAAAAAAATGCCTAAAATCATTGCTCGATACTTTATTAAGTGCTTCAAATCAATCTGTATATATGCATATGGTATATATGTAGTGTATGTGTTTTGTGTGCATGTGTCAGTGTGATGTGTGCTTATATATATGCATAGGATGCATATATAATGTGTGGGGTGTGTTTGTATATGTATGTGAGGTGTGTATGTAGTGTGTTTATGTATGTGTATATGTGCATATGATGTGACTGTGTGTGTACATGGGATATGTTGAGGTATGTGTATGTATGTGTGCAGAGTGTATGATTGTTATCGTGTGTGGTATGATAATGTATGTGTGGAGTGTGTGTGCACATGTGTGAGGTGGAAGAACCCCAGGGGGTGCTAGAATGCTCAGGACATGTGAGAAAGCCAGGCTTGGTCCAACTCTCCTGCCTTCTTGGGGAAAGCAGGGCCATGATCATGAGCCTTTCTGGATGTTGCTTTTGGACAGCAGTGTGGGTTAATAGGGCCAGTCTCTCCTGAAGTGCCCTGCCCAAGCTCCCACTCACCTCTCTCCTCCATCTCTTGAGGAAAGGGTGACCGACCTGTCCTTTTAGGAAAAGGAAGCTTCCAGCACGCTACTGAGTAAAGGAGCCTTACTGGTGGTGGTGAAGGTGATACCATCAGAGGGGCCAGCTCAGGATCAGGCTGGCCTTGCAATCTTCCAACTGAATATGTTAGCTGCAGAGTGGGGCAGGAGTCAGGAGGGGACCTACAAAGCAGTAGAATCTTTGTTCCCATTACCGGGTGTAAGTGCCCAGTGTGGGCCTCGGTCTTTTCTCTCCTAGGTCACATTCAGACAGCACACCTTTGCCCAATTTTCTTTCTGGATCTCACCGTCCTGAGTGTTGTACCTGCAGGTTGCTCACAGCCTCTGGAGCCCAAGATAGTCTCCCCTTTGGGAGGAGGCTCTACAGTGGTCCCTGGCGAAGTTGTGAAGAGGTGACTATCATCTCAGGCACATCACCTTCCCTTTTCCCTGTGGGCCTTCCTTTGCTGTTTCCTGAACACCATGCTTTCTAGTTCCTACTGGGAGTGAACACACCTTGCATGGAGCATCTTCAGGCCATGGCTAACTCATGCTCCCATCTTGCTCCTGCAGGTCTGCCACGTCTCTGTGCTCAGTGTCCTCTCTACATCCTGTGGCTTGAGCCTGAGCTTGCCCATATTCCCTGGCTGGATGGAGTGGCTAAGCCCTGATATCGCTCTGCCCAGAAGAGATGAGTGGACTCAAACTTCTCCAGCCAGGAAGAGGATCACGCATGCCAAAGTCCAGGGTGCAGGTAAGTCCATCTGTCACTGGCTTGAGGCTAGGAGAGTGGACCTGCTCTTGTTAAAGGCAGTGTTCACCATGTGTGTGTGTAACCGGGGTTGGAGGGGGAGAGTGGGGTGGGGTGGGGGGGTGCAGTAAAGAGCAGGGCAGGACTTCACGAAGTGCCAGGATTCAAACAATCCTACGGCATTTATGTGATTTATCACCAGTTTGCTGATTCAGGGCTCCTTCTGCAGTTTCTGCTCCTCGCTGGTGGCCACCTGACCCTGTGGCGTTTGCTCCTTCCACCTGCTGTTGGCCATGGGGCAGATGTGGAGGCCAAGGAAGAATAGGACAATGGCGTTTGGGGCAGACAGGCCTGGGTTCAAATTTCAGCTCTGCCTATTCCTAGCTCTGCAAACCTTGGGCATGTCACCTGTCTTCTCTGCCTGAGGTTCAGATTTCTTCCTGGTAAATTGGGGCTAATACTTATTAGACTTACCGTGAAGATTAACTGAGATGATGTGTGTAAATTGCCCAGCTCAGCTCAGCCTCTGGCATCTGGTACTCAACACATAACTCTTCTCTCCACTTTCTGTCTTGCATCTCCCCATCTTGTTTTTGAGTGGATCACTGAACCACAAATATCCACTTGGCGATGAAGTCTGGGGAACAGGGACAAATACCAACACTTCCCATTTTTAGATTTACACGAGACTAACAGCTTTCCTTCCCACAGTGGCAACAGAGATTTGCAGAGCAGATGTCTTGGTGTGAAACTGCTACGAGGAGGTGTCCTGTAAATGTTTGCTGACAAAGCAGCAAAGCAGGGTTTGACCTTCCAGCTCTGCCTCCCCGCACCAGGCTGGGGGATTCACCCACCCCACTCCGTTTCCTGTGCGTTCCTCTTTCTCAGAGGCTGTGGGCCTGTCCTGCTGTCCGATGGCATCAGGCTGTGGGACGGGGGGCCATCAGGTTGGTTGGAGCAAGCTGCTCCCATCCGGACCTGTGTCAGGCAGCACTTGTTCAAGAGGAGGCTCAAGAGAGTGATCCAGGATGCAGGGTTTGGGAAGAGGATGCAGCATGGTGGGGGGCGACCTGTCCAAGCGCAGAGAACACTTTTCCAAACCTCACTGCCCTGGGCCATCGGGTGCTCCTTTGCCTTTGCTTGGATCTAATGATTATAGGCCTGAGCTTCAAAGCAGGTTATAAACCCGACTAATTGCTGGTCTAGGAGAGCTGGACGAGGAGGCCAAGCCTGCCCAGAGTGGGCACCCCGGACTGGGCCTTCTCGTGGGACTGGCATTTCCAACCGGGAGCGCGGTGCTGGGGCCGGGATACCCGGGGTGGCCGCACCGTCCTGCTGGCTCCTTGGGTGGCTGCCGTCGCTGCTCAGCGCGGGTCGGCGGCGCCGCCTCCCCCACCCCGGCCCAGCTCTGCTCCGGCAGGTGGAACTCTCCCCATTCAAACCCGCGCGGGCCAATCAGGGCCGGGCGCGCCCTGGCCGTTCCAACGCTTGGGGCAGCCCTACCTCCCGCTCGCGCTCCTCCCGCCCTGGAGACTCCGGTTACTGGGGAGCAACACAGCCGCCTCGGGTTGCAGACGCTCCTGTCCGGGTCGCAGTGGGACGCCATGGAGCGCTCCCTGCACCGCGTCTCCCTCGGGAGCCGGCGTGCCCACCCGGACTTGTCCTTCTACCTCACCACCTTTGGTAAGTGCCCGCTGGGGCTGGCGGCAGGGGCTGCTTCACCCTGCTCCCAGCGCCCAGAAACGCAGCCCCTCGTGGTGACAGGGGAGGCTGGGAGCAGGTGCTCTTTCTATCTAGGGGCACCTTCTCTGGCCCCTTTCTCCTGTGACTGCCCAGGAGGGGCTCAGGGCACAGGCTCAGTCCAAGCAAGCTGCTGGACACCACCTGCTGCCCGGCCATGAGTGCCAACTGCGGTTGGTTCTGCCTCACTTGGCTGGAATAATCACGCTCTGGTTAATCTTTCAGAGACCTGGGTTGTCACCACGGAGTTTCTCATTAGCAAGCAGCTCAGGTTAAATCAAGGTCTTGTTATAGCAACTGGAGATCTCATTCACCCACTTTCCTTTGGCTCAGGGAGCGGACAGGTGCTGGGCCCTTTGGCCCTGCTGCCTTGTGGGGAGGCTGCAATTTGACTTTGTTGGGTATCTGAGCCACAGTGGAGATGGGAGAATTCTCTCCTCCAAGAAAGAACAATCCCTTAGGAGGGTCCCAGGGCTGCCTCAGGGTTTGAGGTGGAAAGAAGTGAACAGTAGGCTTCACTCCCAAGCCCCTAAGTAGCAGACTGAGTTCCCCCAAATAACAGCTGGGCGGCAGCTGCCCAAAGGTCTGGGCAAACCTGGCCTTCCTGGTAGCCATAGTAAAGGTAACAACCCTACCCTTGAGGGTAACCCTTCATTTCCTCACTGGTCCTGCAACTCTCTGTGGAGAGGGGTTATTTTTCCTCTGTGAAGACTTGAAACCAAGAGATCTTCCATGAGCCAGTGGCAGAGTTCGTAGCTGAGCTCAAGCTTTCCAGAGATGACCTGTCCAGCGCATTTTTGTTTGAACTTGCATACAATTTCCTTCTAAAGGTTGGGGCTGTTACTGAAACATTACTGGACATTGCCCAGCTTTCAAAGACAGAGTGCCCAAGGAGTTTGGTCCCTCCCTGGGGTTCCTGGCTCTTCTGTTTTCAGGCTTACTCCTGCTCAACATATTTGGTTTTCCACAACCTGCTTTTTTTCCTTAGGGGTAGAGGGAATGATGGAAGAGCAGTGGCTTGGCCTCTGAAATTGCCTGACGTCTGGCAGCAGGAATTCACTGGTCTAGTTGGTGGACGATAAAGGGCAATTAACTAGCCATCATTTGTTGAGAACTTACCATTGCCATTCCTTATGCCAAGTGTTTTACCTGCATTATCTCACTTAATGCCCCAGCGTAGGAGGCAATTCCTGCTAACCCCATTGGGATGCAGGGCTCTGTGAGACAAGGGTGGTTTCCAGGATGATCTGTATTGGCTGGGGTAGGAGTGATCAGGAAAGGGTGTCAGGGAGCTGTGAGGCCCTCTTACCTTAGCTGTGTCCTGATTAAAAAGTAAAAATATGTTTGCTTTTTTCCTCCTTATTATCATGGTTACATGTGTTTACTGCTGAAAACTTAGTGAAAAGAAGAAAGTGAAAATCACTTGTAATCTGACTTCCCAGGGAGACCACTGTTAACTTTCTGATTTATATCCTCCCAGGCTTATTTCCACACCTATTTCTGTGTGTGTGTGTGTGTGTGTGTGTGTGTGTGTGTGTGTGTGCCTGTGTGTATTTAGGGGTCAAATTTCAACACAATTGAGATCAAGTTTGTATGGACAATTTTGTAACCCATATGTTTTCCTTAGTGGCCTGATGTGAATATTTCCTTGCATTGGTCCATGTTCTTCTATTAGATTAATCTGCCTGCCAGATCTGGGAAGCTGAGGAGGGTTCAGGCCCAGCAGGGAGTGGATCTTCCTGCCCAGCCATGGCCTCAGGGCTGAGTCTGATGGGTATCAGGGAAGGCTGCTGCTTGAACAAGTGACTGTGACCTGAGTGTGCAGGAGGCAGACAGGAGCCTGGGTGGGGTGGGAAGCCACCTGCTCTTATTCGTGCAGGCTCCTCTCACATCTCTCTAAGGATGCTTATGAGAGCATTTGAGAAATTCTCTCCTGTTTCCTGCACTGGCTCTGTTTCCCTGGGTGCCATTTGTCGTGGTGCCCCTCTTTCAGGCTGCTGATTTTCTTTATCCACTGTGATCTTCACTGATCTGCTTATGAGCAAAGATTCCTATCAGTGGTTTCCAAACCCAGCCAAATATCAGAAGCATGTGGGGAGCCTGTTAAAAATACACAGATTCCTAGAATCTTCTTCTGGAGACTCTAGTTTAATAGGTCTGGGGTGGAGCCTGAGAATATGAACACTTAAGAAGCCATAGAGCGTTCAGACTGTCATCCAGGTTTGGAAGCTATGGATTCAGAGTCAGTTTTGGTAGCAATTGGGACCACTTTTACTGTGAAGGTTTTGGCTAAGTTTTTCTCAGTTCACTGGCCTTTCCTTAGCAAAGTAGGTAGCCCCTGGCCTTCTACTGTGAGCTTTGCCTTGGTAGAACCAGATGAAGATGTTGCTTAGCTGGTAGTTTCCTGAGCACAGACATGTAAAGGGAGCATAATCATCTATGGAAATATAAAGAGACAAAACTGTTTTGATGAGAATTCCCTTCGGGGAGAGTACTGCATGATATATGTATTTGTGTGTACACATGAACACAACCCCTTGTCCCCCAAAAGGAGTATGTTCAAGTGACATTAATTGAAGGACACTGCGTTCTGAGGAGGTGGCCTTACTTCAGGGGAAGGGAGTAGGCAAGCTGAGGCTAGGACCCAACTACTCTAGAGGGATTTTTTTTTCTTTATTGTGAAAAATGATGTAATTTGAAGTCATTGTAGGTATACATAATATTTTTCTCCAGGATTGTATATTTTATTTTGATTAGGATATTTGCTGATTTTTCTTGTAACAGCTTTATTGAAATATAATTCAGATATATACAATTCACTCATTTAAACCATACAATTCAATGGTTTTTAGTATATTCACAGAGATGTGTAACTATTATCACAATTTCAGAACATTTTCATTCCCTCAAAAAGAGACATTATGCTCTTTAGCTTGTACCGTCCTCCCTTGTCCCGAGCCCAAAGCAATTGCTAATCTATTCTCTCCCTCTGTAGATTTGCCTGTTCTGGACATTTCATATAAATGGAATCGTATTTTTTTTTTTATGACTGACTTCTTTCACTTAGCATAATGTTTTCAAGTTTAATCCATGTTGTAGCAGATATCATACTCCATTCATTTTTATGGCTGAGTAGTATTCATTGTATGGCTATACCACATTTTAAAAATTTATTCATCTGGTGATGAATATTTTGGCTGTTTCTCCCTTTTGACTATTATGAATAATACTGCCATGAACATTTGTGAACAAGTTTTTGTGTGGACAAATGTTTTCATTTCTCTTCATATACACACAGTATATACCTAGGAGTAGATTTGCTGAGTCCTATGGTAACTCTGTGTTTAACTATTTAGGGAACTACCAAACTCTTTTCCAAAGTAGGTGTATCATTTTATGTTCCCATCAGCTGTGTATATGGGTTTTGGTTTTTCCACATTCCTTACCAACACTTGTTATTATCTGACTTTTTAATTCTAGCTATCCTAGTGGGTGTGAATTGATATTCACTATAGTTTCGATTTGCATTTTCCTGATGACCCGTGATGTTGAACATTTTTTCATGTGCTCATTATTTATATATCTTCTTTGGAGAAGAATGTATTCAGATCTTTTGTTCATTTTAAAATTGGGCTTTTTGTCTTGTTATTATTGAGTTGTAAGATTTCTTTATATATTCTAGATGCAAGCTCCTTAACCGATATATGATTTGCAAATATTTTCTCTCTATCTGTGGGTTTTTTTCACTTTCTTGATAGTGTTCATTGAATCCCAAACTTTTTTTGGGGATGGGGTCTTGTTTTGTTGCCCAGGCTGGAGTTCAGTGGCATGATCATGGCTCCTCTTTGACCATGCAGCCTCAACCTCCTGTGCTTAAGCGATCCTCCCACTTCAGCCTCCTGAGTAGCTGGTACTACAGATGTGCACCACCATGCCTGGCTAATTTTTCTTATGTAAAAAAAACTTTTTGTAGAGATGAGGTTTCCCTATGTTGCCCAAGCTAGTCTTGAACTCAGGGACTCAAGCGATCTCCTGCCTTGGCCTCCCAAAGTGCTGGGATTATAGGCATGAACCACTGTGTCCAGCCAGAACCCCAAACATTTTTAATTTTGATGAAGTTCAATTTACTTTATCTTTTGTTACTTGTACTTTGTGTTATATCTCAGAATTCACTGCCAAATCTAAGGTTCTGTCAGTTACCAAGAGATTTACCTGTATGTTTTCTTCTAAGAGTTTTATAGTTTTGGCTCTTATATTTAGGTCTTTGATCCACTTTGAGTTAATTTTTGTGTATGGTATGAGGTAAGAGTTCAACTTCATTGTTTTTTGTGGCTATCCAGTTGTCCCAGTACCATTTGTTGAAAATACCATTATTTCTCTATTGGATGATCTTGGTACCTTTACTGAAAATCAATTGCCCATAAACCCACGGCTTATTTCTAGGCTTTCAATTCTATTCCATTGATCTATCTGCCTATTATCATTCCAGTATCATACTGTCTTGATTACTGTTGCTTTGTAGTACATTTTGAAATCAGGTTGTGTAAATCCTCCAATTTTGTTCTTCTCTTTCAAGATCATTTTGGCTGTCCTGGGTCCCTTGAATTTCCATATGAATTTTAGGCATAATATTTTATATAGAAAATAAAAAAACTCAAGTTCACAAAAATGTTGGATAGATAGTTTTAAAATATCATCTTGAAGGGATACCAACTTATTAGTTTGACTGATGAAGCAAATTATTAATTTACCTGGGGTCTCTGAACCAAATTTTAACTTGCTTGGGATCTCTAGTCACCTGGATATGGTGAGTGGTCAGGAGAGAGAACAGGTTGCCTTTTCTGCAGGGTATCTGGGTCTGGAGATGGTGGGCAAGCTGGACATGTTCTGAGGTCTGCAGGTGGCTGTGGACATTGGGTGACAAAATGCACCTCTCTTTAGAAATGCCAGCCCCCTATGAACCTACAAAATGAAAGCTGTCGGGAGCAGCTCTAAATGTAGGCTCGAGAGGACTGCCTGGAGTCACTGATTTGCCATAGGGAAGTTGGGAAGATGTGGTTCTGGAGGCAGAGTAGACTTAGGAGTGTCATTGATTTGCTCAGCATTTTTTTTTTTTTTTTTTTTTTGCCTCATGTTTGTTGTGTTGGTACAATGTTAGCTGGGGCCTGTTTCACTCCTTTCTCTGCCTCTCTTTAGAAGCCGTGGAGATAAATAATTCATTTTCTGTAGTGAGAGTGAAGCTTGGGAACAGATGTCAGCCAGCTGCGTGGTGTGTTGGGCAGTGCACGGTCAGGCCCTGAACTGGAGGCCTTCAATGTGTCCCTGCCAGCTGCCCCTGGCTGGCACGTGTTTCCAGTCCCACTGCTCTGAGCCTGGGAGATTCCCTGGCATGGTTGGGGAAACCTATCCAACTGTTTCTCAGGAGCTCATCATTTGCTGGTCATACTCCTCAGCATTTATTGGCTTTTCTGTCATTCAGAGTCCAACTGCTCAGGAGCTTTCAGAAATTCCTCAAAGTTTCTGGCCCATAGATAGCCCTTTGTCCTCTTTTCCCATTCTGCTTTGTGTGTTCTTCTTAAACATTTAAAAAAGTTTGAAATATTATACAGACAGACAGAAAAGTGTCCCCCCAATAATGTGCAATCCAGTGACTTCTCACAAAAAAAAAACCTTTGTAACTTTCACCAGAGTCAAAAATTGAACATTTCTAGTATTTAGAAGACGCATGTTGATAATGCAGTTTTTTTCTTTATCATTTACTTCAAAATATTTTCTAATTTTCATTGTCATTTCTTTTTCAATCCTTGGGTTAGTTAGAAGTATATTTCTAAATTTCTAAATATTGGGGATTTTCTGGTAATATTTTTATATTTACTTTGCATTTTAGTCAGAGAATATACTCTCCATCCTTTTAATTCCTTGAAATTAATCAAAATTTACTTGATGCCTCAGCATATAGTTGTTTTTTTTTTTTTTTGTCGTTGTTGTTTTGAGACTGAGTCTTACTCTGTCACCAGGCTGGAGTGCAGTGGCGCAATGTAAACTCACTGCAGCCTCCCCTTCCTGGATTCAAGCAATTCTCCTGGCTCAGTCTCCCATGTAGCTGGGATTACAGGCACCCACTACCATGCCTGGCTAATTTTTGTATTTTTAGTAGAGATGGGGTTTTACCATGTTGGCCACACTGGTCTCGAACTCCTGACCTCAGGTGATCCACCTGCCTTGGCCTCCCAAAGAGTCAATTTTTATAAATGTTCTTTGTGTATTTGAAAAGGATTCTGCAGCAGTTGGGTGCAGTGTTCTTTGTGTATGTCAAGTTTAGGTCAAGTTTGCTCTTTATATTGTTCAAATATTCCGTATCCTTGTTGATTTTTCCTGTTTTCTCTGTCAGTTCCTAAGAGAGGTGTATTAGAATTCCCACTGTGATTGTAAATTTGTCTATTTCCCATTGCAGTTCTGTCAGTTTTTCCTTTACATATGTTGAAGCTATGTTAACAACATACAGATTTAGAATTATTATCTTTCTGGTGAGCTGAAATTTTTATTATGAAATCTATTATTGTTATGAAGTCTTCTTTATTTCTAGTAGGTATAAAGTCTAATTTTCCTGATATTAACATAGCTAACCATGCTTCTTTCATTTAATATTTGCCTGACATATCTTTTTCCATCCTTTTTCTTTCAACCTTTTTGGATCTACATTGTAGGTGTGCTGTGTCTGCTGCAAAGAACAGGCACATGGCTGGGAGTGGTGAGTGGCCCATGCTTATAATCCCAGCACTTTGGGAGGCCAAGGCAGGAGGATCACTCAAGCCCAGAAGTTCGAGACCAGTGTGGGCAACATAGTGAGAGCTCATCTCTACAAAAAATAAAAAAATTAGCTGGGCATGATGGTGTGCACCTGTGGTCCTAGCTACTTGGGAGGCTGAGGAAGGAGGATCACTTGAGCCTAGGAGGTCAAGACTACAGTGAGCTGTGATTGTGATACTGTACCCTAGCCTGGGTGTCAGAGTGAGACCCTGACTCAAAACAAACAAACAACAAACAAACAGTATAGGCAGAGAGTTGTTGTTATTATTATTATTTTCTTCTCAATGCAGACCTAGGATGATATTTTCCTTCAAAAAATCTTTGTTCGTTTGTCAGGTGCCTAGGGTCACTGGGTTAGTCTTAATTCAGTGTTGGGACTGAGAGTACTTGAAATCGAGCTGTAGTCCCTGGAGTAGCTGTGTCTGATTACAGTTCACTCTATTCCTATGGAGCAACCCTTCAGGGTCCCTATGCAAAAGGTGGGGCTCAGAAGAACCCTGCTTCTTGGTGGGCCCTGGTCCCTAGTTCCTATTCCTCTAGCCCTGAGAAGCAGGCAGAAACTCACTCAGTCTCTTGATCTCTCAATCAGCCCTCTGGAATTTGAAAACACCCCAGGAGGAAATTAGCCCAGAAAAACACTAGGTTTCCTTCTACAGTCCTCCATTCCCCTAGATCCTGCCTGGTAGCTCCTCTCTCTCTTGTTGTTTATCTAAGAAGATGCTTTAACATATTTTGTTTAGCATTTCTAGTTTTCCTCAGTGGATCTGTCATCCCAGAAATGGAAGTCCCCTACATATATTTTCTAAGCTTTTTTGAGTTGGTTTTTGTTTTTTTTTCCCTCCCTTTCTGCCTCTCTCCCTCCTTTTCTCCTCCCTCCCTGCCTCTTCCGTCCCTTCCTCCCCTCCCCGCTCTCTCTCTCCGTCCCTCCTTTCTTTCTCCCTGCCTGCCTGCCTACCTGCAGTTGTCCGAGCAGGCATTACTGGGGCTGGAGGGTCCCTTTCCAAGATGGCTCATTCACATGGCTCTCAGCAGGAGGCCTCAGTTCCTTGCTACCTGTAATTAGGAGGCTTCTGTTTCTCATCGCATGGACCTCTTCGTAGGATTGCTTGAGCTTCCTTATTATGTGGCAGCTGGCTTCCTTCTAGGCAAGTGATACAAAAATGAAAGCAAGAAAGAACTCCCATAAAAAGATGAGTAACCCAGCTCAAAAATGGGTAAAGGATTTGAATAGACATTTTTTTCCAAAGAAAAATGGCTAACAGCATGTGAAAAAATGCTCAATGTCATTAGTTATCAGGGAAATGCAAATCAAAACCACAATGAGATACTATCATACTAGAATGACTATAATAAAAAAAGAGCCAATAACAGGCGTTGAAGAAGTTGAGGGGAAATTGGAACCCTTGTACACTGCCGGCCGGAATGTCAAATGGTGCAACCACTTTGGAAAAGTTTGGCGGTTCCTCAAACAATTAAATGTAGAGTTTCCATTTGACCCAGCAATTCCACTCTTAGGTATAAATCCAAGAGGAATGAAAACACATGCTCACACAAACATGTGTACACACACACATGTTCATAACGGCATTATTCATAGTAGCCAAAAAGTCGAAATAACCTGAAATATCCATCACCAGATGAGTGGATAAACAAAATGTGGTATATCCATACAATGGAATATTATTTGGCCACAAAGGGACTAAAATACTGATACGTGCTACAATATGGGTGAACCTTGAAAACATTATGCTAAGTGAAAGAAGTCAATCACAAAAGACCATGCGTTGTGTGATTCTGTTTACATAAGTATCCAGAATAGGCAAGTCCTTAGAGACAGAAAGCAGATTAGTGGTTGACAAGGGCTGAGGGGAGAAGGGAATAGGGTGTGACTGCGAAAGAGTATGGGATTTCTTTTAGGGGAGGATGAAAATGTTCTAAAATTAGATAGAGGTGATTGATTACAGAATCCTGTGAATATACTAAAAGAAAATTACATGCTTTAAATTGGTGAAGTGTGGCCGTGCACGGTGGCTCAATCCCAGCACTTTGGGAGGCTGAGGCGGGTGGATCATCTAAGGTCAGGAGTTCGAGAGCAGC
Organism: Homo sapiens; assembly: GCF_000001405.40. Classification (NCBI taxonomy): domain Eukaryota; kingdom Metazoa; phylum Chordata; class Mammalia; order Primates; family Hominidae; genus Homo; species Homo sapiens. The sequence goes on from NC_000009.12 coordinate 113,472,846, forward strand.
CTGGCCAACATGGTGAAACTCTGTCTCTACAAAAAATACAAAAAATTGGCCAGGTGTGGGTGGTGCATGCCTGTAATCCCAGCTACTCAGGAGGCTGAGACAGGAGAATAATTTGAACCTGGGAGGCAGAGGTTACAGTGAGCTGAGATCATGTCATTGCACTCCAGCCTGGGCGACAGAGTGAGACTCCATCTCAATAATAAACAAAACTGATGAAATGTATGATATGTTAATTATATCCCAATACAGCTGTTAAAAAAAGAAGGAACTAATAATACCTTTAATATCCTAATGTTGAAAGTCATCCACTGTCATTTCTACCACATTCTATTTGTTAGAAGCAAGTCACTAAGTCCAGCCCATGTCTGAAGGGAGGAACTAGGCTTCACCTCTTGAAAGGAAGAGTATCAAAGACTTTGTGGACAAATTTTAAACCCATGATAGGTATAGAGAGGCTAACAGTGGGGGCCCTGGACTGCCTAAATGCAAACCCCAGCTCTGCCACTTACTGGCTGTGTGATTTGGACAACCTGTTTTAGCTATTTTCTTTTTTTTGAGTTGGGGTCTCACTCTGTTGCCCAGGCTGGAGTGCAGTGGTGTGATCATGGCTCACTACAGCCTCAACCTCCTGGGCTCCAGTGATCCTCCCACCTCAGCCTCCTGAGTAGCTGGGACTACAGGTACACACCACCACGTCCGGCTAATTTTAAAAAAACGTTTTTGGAGAGACAGAGTCTTGCTATGTTGCCTAGACTGGTCTCAAACTCCTGGCCTCAAGTGATCATCCTGCCTCAGCCTCCCAAAGTGTTGGGATTACAGGTGTGAGCCACCATGCCCAGCCAACCTGTTTACCTCTTAATAATCTTCAGCTTCCTTGCCTGTAAATTGGGATAAAAGTAGTAACCATTTCACGGAGTTATTGTGAGGAGTAAAAGAAATAAAAAGCTTATAGTAAAGTGCTGAGTACCTAGTAAACATCTAAGAAACATTGACTTTGTTCTCTCCATGTGTGTGCCTAGCCTGGTAGTTCACTATGGCCCTGAACTCTGGGTTGAGATGTGTGTGAATCCTGTAGGATGTTTGGATCTGAGCCCCACAGGACTGCTAGTGGTGTTATGATCCAGCCAAGATTAGATGCTGACTGCAGTAGATTCAGGAGTTTTATTTTACCAGCTTGCCCAGGACGGACCTAGAATCCCTTGTGAGTGATCCATGGGAATCTAAATTATCAAGAGACTGAATGCTAATTTATTAGTTTATGCTGAAAAATAGAATTTCTGAGTAGACTAGAAGACTTATGCTGGCCGGAGCAATCTCTTTCTGTAAGGAAAAAGAGCTTGGGAAACTACATTAATATCAGCTTTCACAGGAAGCAGAGAGGCCAGGGGATTGAACTGACCCATCACAATTTTTATGCCAGTGCTGTGTGTCCTATGTCCTCACCTTCGCAAACCAGGGCCACTTTTTTGAATGGAACTCAGGGTTCTCCTTCTTTTAACACAGTAGCCATGGGAAATTCTCCTGGGTTATGTCCATAGAGCTGTGTGGCTGCCTGTTTCCCAGCGCCACTGCAGCCTACCATTTCTCCCTTAGATCAAGCAGGCAGTGAAATTGGTAAACACATGCTTAACCATTTCTGAGCCTGGATCAGGGCTGGGGTGTGGATGAGGCAGCTGAAGACCACAGAGAGAGGGCGTGCCTGGCATCTGGCTGGGCACCCTCCCTCCTGCGAGGAAGACTTGAGTACAGACGTGTCCTCATAAACGGAGGGGAAATCTGTGGATGTTAGCGGCTGGCTAGGCTCCATGTAGACCCAACTGCCTTCATATGTTTGTCTGGATATCATCACCCTTCCTGTAGCTTTTAACATGTGACAGTTCTTAAATGGGCAGCGGCTTCTGGGGTGAATTGGATTTTAGGATGCCTGCTGCTTCATGCTAGCCAGGCAAGTCCATCATAGATGTATTCTCTGCACATCTCAGGGTGGCATGGGCTCCCACTGGGACACATTCCGGCTGATCCCTGAGTCTAGCAAAGGTGTGCAGTCCCCATCTACTTCCTTTATTTTCTGAGTATGTCTCTTTCTGACTGTGGCCTGTGGGTTAGAGTTCATCTGTGGTTCTCTACTGAGTATTGTCTGCCAGACTGAATTTCTTTAGCTGGTGTCCACATCCATTTAAAAGTGCCCAGTAAGTCTGAGCCCTTCAAGTCCTGTGCCCAGCAGAATTTGGGTTTGTTGCCTTTTCCAGGCTTTCTGAAGCTCATTCCCATCCAGTATTTTTCCTGCCATATGGGGCCCTGTCTATTCTCCCTTTGGCTCTGGGCCCTGGTACACACTTGCAGCCTCTCTGGGCATCCATCACCACCACCTTTTGCACATAGTGTTGGTGCCCAACTGCGATCTCATGGGAACAGGGGACATGCCCTGTCCAAAGGCCCTGCCCAACCTCGATGAGGATGACTTCAAGCCCTTTAGCCTGACTGCTCCCTGAGTCTAGGGAGGAATGGGGAGTGTTGAAAAAAACAGAGGTGTAGGAGCAAGAATATTATTGGGAAAAGTTTTAGGTTTTTGTTTTTTGAGACAGGGTCTGGCTCTATCATCCAGGCTGGAGTACAGTCGTGCAATCATAGCTCACTACAACTTCAACCTCTTGGGCTCAAGGAATCCTCCTGCCTCAACCTCCCAAGTAGCTGAGACTACAGGCACGCACCACGGTGCCCGGCTATTTTTTTAATTAATTTTTTGTAGAGAAGGGCTCTTGCTGTATTGTCCAGGTTGGTGTCAAACTCCTGGACTCAAGCAATCCTCCCACCTCAGCCTCCCAAAGTGCTGGGATTACAGGCATGAGCGACCACACCCCACAAAGACAAGTTTTTAAAGGAACAAGCAAATTTCAGAACAATACATAGGGTATGTATCTGTGGAGGGAGGTTGGGTGGGGGGGGTGTTCTGAAAGGATGCCAAATTAGCTGGTGCTTCGGTGAGCTGAAGACTCCAGGGATTCAGCCCTACTTCCCCTTCACCTGGAGGTTTCTTTCTCTAGATTGGAGACATTTCTAGGAGGCTGCCCTCTATTTTTTTTCTTTTTCTTTTTTTTCCTTTGAGACAGGTCTCACGCTGTTCCCCAAGGTCCAGGCTGGAGTTGCAGTGGTGTGATCATGGTTCACTGTGGGCTCAACCTCCTGGATTCAAGTGGTCCTCCCACCTCAGCCTCCCAAGCAGCTGGGACTATAGGATGTGCCACTATGCTCAGCTAACCTCTTGGTTTCTTGAGAAAAGCTGTGGCACCTGGTGCTGTCCCCGATGGTTCTCTCTACCTCTGAATCTGAAGGTTGTGTTGGCAAACGCAGTGGGCACAGCAGAGGAGGTGCGTGCTAGAGGGCTGTGGGTGTTCCAGAAGACTGTGCACAGGAAAGAGTGCTGGAGTGGGGGTAGAGTTCTAATCTCCAGCTCTGGATTCTCTGGGCCCAGAGCAAATCACCTTCCATCTCAGGCATGACCGTTCTGGCTACAAAATGAGGAGACTGGACAAGATGACTTCAGGGGCCTGTGTGTCAGACATTTGGTGGAGTAGCATGATGGGGGGAAGGAGGGGACAGGCATGGCCGAGGGAGGGATCTTGTGAACTGGGGCAGGTGTGTCCTGGCCTGGGGAGCCTGGAGTCTGGTCTGCTGGGTTTGGTTTCTCTGCTGTAACAGGGTACAGGGCACCCTGGCCTTCCTGAGAAGCCCCTGGCTGGCAGGGCCTGGAACGGGAGCAGTGCAGTGTGGTGCAAACTCATCTCAATCCCGAGTCAGCCTTTGCCCCTGGGCCTTTGTCAGCCTCCAGCTTCTCACTTGGCCTTGCCCAAGTCCCTGTCCTAGCCACTGGGCTGTGAGCCCTGTGAGGGCAGGCACCTGCCCAGCCTCGTGCAGATGCCCAGCAAATATTTGCTAAATGGAATTAGTGACCATTTGTGTCTGGAGATTTCCTGATCCTGACTTCTGGGCAAAGGGCCACTGTTAGTTAGGTGATAGGTGTTGTGGAGCACAGGGGTTCCTGTGGCTTTCGGATCCAAGCATGTTTGTGCCAGAGCTGGCTTTGCACAGGTAGTAGTTTCAGAAAAAATGTTTCATGTTAAACATAGGTGTCTTTGAGTTGGTGAAATTCAACCCATGACTGCGGGCTTCGTTTGCCTGTTTCCAAACCTCTCTCTCTCCCACCCCACACTAGATTGGGCACAGTTTTCATAGGTTTCTCAGCTCTAGGAAGCCACAATGAAGTAATTGCTCAGACTTTGAGATAATGATACCGTCAGTTCTCCCGGCGCCTTTCATCCAAGGAGTCCTCCTCACCTGCCAGCATTATCTGATCACAGCTTGGAGAGTGCCATAACCCCTGTTATTAGCTCTACCTCACATCCATGGCCACTGTGGTCCTGAAAGAAGAGGGCAGTTAGGGCTGGAACTGAAACAGGATTCCTGGGCTTCTGAGATCTGGGTCCTGGACAGGAGAACAGCAGATATTTCTGATGGATGACGGGCTGGACCAGGGTTTGCAGGAGCCTGAATTGCTTGGGACTGAAGCTTAACCACCAGAAGTATGAGGGTCAAGTGATGTCTGGGTCACAGTGATTGGTGGACTTATGCAGAGTTAGGAGACATGAAGGGTTCTCCAAACCTGTTCTCTAACCAGAAACAAAGCAAAGCCCCAGCTGCCAGCCTAGTTTCAAGAGGCATGTCCAGAGCTGGCCAGATGGGATGATGAGGGGATGTCTCACTGTGCTGTGAGGGATTGTGGAAGGACTTTGGAGTTCAGGTCTAGAGGAAAGAGCCCAGAGAATGCAGAACTAGATCCGGGCAATGAAAGTTACCGAGAGGCCACTGTTGGCTTAATATAAGATGCAGCATTGAACAATCAGAGCTCTTTCAAAAGGGAAAGGGCTCCCACCACAGGAAGCAAGCTCCCCATTGCTACAGGTGACTGGGCAGAGGGAGGGCACAGCTAGCCAGGGTTGTCACAGATGGAGCCATGCCTGGGCTTTCTGGTAGACGGCCCTGCCCTGCTTTCTGATGTCTCCAGTGCCTGTCCATGGGGTGGACTGAGTTCAGCAGCTTTTTGAGGTCCCAGGGAAAGTCTACTGGACTGAGAGAAACATTTTCGATGTCACCGAGGAAGAGGAGTGTGACCCTCTCTCTCTTCTCTGTCTTGGCTGGAGGCCATTGGGTATCTGTGAGGATGACCTGAAGTTTTGTCCTGTTTTTTCTTTTTTTAAAAAATTTAAACAAAAATGGGAAAAGCCAGGGGATAAACCTCACCCGGCCACTCATTCTTGCCCTGCCTTCCAGCCCCGTCCTTCTGTTCTCTTTACATGTCCCCTCCCTCCCTGTTCTCCTCCCTTCCTCCCTGCTCTTTCTCTTCCTCCCCTCCTTTCTCCTGCCTCTTTCCTTCTTCCTTTGTTTCCTCTTTCCTTTCTTTTTAATTATAGAAGTGCTATAGTTCGTGGATATATTTGAATTATTAAAACAACAATTGTGATAGATTGAAATTCCTCTTGACTACCCTCCTCCAATTCCTAGTCTGTTCTCTAGCAGGGATCACTGTTTTTAATTTGGCATCCTTTCAGAACCCTCCCTCCCCCGCCAGATACATACCCTATGTATTGTTCTGAAATTTGCTTGTTCCTTTAAAAACTCGTCTTTGTGGGGCGTGGTGGCTCATACCTGTAATCCCAGAACTTTGGGAGGCTGAGGTGGGAGGATCACTTGAGCCCAGGAGTTTGAGACCAAGCTGGATAACACAGCAAGACCCCTTCTGTACAAAAAATTAATTAAAAAATAGCTGGGCACCGTGGTTCATGCCTGTAGTCTCAGCTGCTTGGGAGGTTGAGGCAGAAGGATTGCTTGAGCCCAGGAGGTTGAAGCTGTAGTGAGCTATGATTGCACGACTGCACTCCAGCCTGGATGATAGAGCCAGACCCTGTCTCAAAAACAAAACAAAACAAAACAAAAACCTAAAACTTTTCTCAATAATATTCCTCTGCCAGGTTGTATGGTGCTCCTCCATTCTTTATAACAGCTCATACTATTCCATATACAGCTATAGATGGTTTACTTCACTATTTCTATATTGATGAACATTTCAGGTGTTTCCAGTTTTTCCTTAAACAATGCTGTAGTGCCAGCCTTTGTGTGCACGTGCTTGTGTTTGTCTACGACAGTGACCTGGAATGAAGACTTTTAGGTGGAAGAATATGCACATTTAAATTTCAGTAGATCTTGGCAGAAATTACCCTCCATTTTCACTCCTTCCAACAGAGAATGACAGTACTTGTTCTCCTACACCTTTACCAACATTTGACAACGACCCAGCAGTGAGATTTCCCAGCATCCACCTGGCTGCCTGTACAGTAGTGAGCTCCCCATCACCAGAGGGGCACAAGCAAGGCTAGAGAACCACTGCTGGAGGCATTCGAAAGGGACTCCCGATGTGGTGGGCGGGGCTGAACCCTGTGGCTTCTGAGGTCCCTGCCAGCCAGAGACTTGTGTGAGTCTTTGAATGGCTTCACATGAACAAAAGAGCATTTCTGTCACCTTTCCTCTAGTTTTTTCCACCACACCCACCAGGGAGCTGAGGCAAGGTTGTTTCTGTTGCTGTTTCCTTAGGTCAGCTGAGGCTGTCCATTGATGCCCAGGACCGGGTTCTGCTGCTTCACAGTGAGTACGGCTTTGTGCAGGCTCACCAAGGAAGGGGCGGGCCACTCAGCTTGCTGCCTGGGGCTGGGGTTGGGGGATGGTGGCACCATGGGCCAAGGCTTCTTTTCTCATCCTTGTATAAAGGATGTGTCCATTGATAAAAGCCAGTATTCACCTGGGGCTCTTTCTATAGAGCAGCCCTGGTCCTGCCTTGGATGTGTCTGGAGTCCACATGGTAGACCTTTCTCATTGACAGGCTACAGCTGCCCCTGGGTACCTCAACTTCCTTCTTGGCCCCAGCAGAGCAGGGCCACAGAAGAGTTTTCCTATCTTCCCTCCCTTCTTTATTCCATCCTTTCTTCTTTTCTCTATTTTTCTCACTCATTCATTTATTCATTGGTTGACAGGCAGCATAGTATCATGGTTAAGATCATAGTCTTTGGAGCCAGACCACTATAATTTGAACCCTGGCTCTGATACTTGTTGAGTGGCCTTGAACAAGCTCCGTTTTCTCATCTGTCAAGTAGTGGTGGTAATACTATGTATCTTACAGGTTGCTACAAAGATTAAGTGAGTTACTGTTAGTAAAGTGCTTAGAACAGTGCTGAACTTGTAGTCAATCCTGTGTAAGTTTTTGTTAGATAAAATAGAAAACTGGCTGGGCACGGTGACTCATGCCTGTAAACCCAGCACTTTGGGAGGCCGAGGCGGGCAGATCACGCGGTCAGGAGTTCAAGACCGGCCTGGCCAACATACTGAAACCCCGTCTCTACCAAAAATACAAAAAAATTAGCCGGGTGTGGTGGCAGATGCCTATAATCCCAGCTACTTGGGAGGCTGGGGTAGGAGAATTGCTAGAACCCAGGAGGTGGAGGTTGCAGTGAGCCAAGATCATGCCATTGCACTCCAGCCCAGGCGACAGTACGAGACTCCGTCTCAAAAAAAAAAAAAAAAAAAAGAAAACCATACATTCCAAAAATAGCGATTGAGCATTAGCTCTGTGCTAGGGGCTGGGAACACCAAGGAGAAGCACCCACCCCTGTCTAGATGGTGTTGATGGGATGCCAGGGAAGACTTGGCGGAGGGGGTGATGCCCACACGGTATCCTGAAGGAGGAATGGGCCTGAGCCAGGCAAAGAGGAGCAGGGAGGGTGTGGCTAGCACTTCATGCACAGGGCTAGCAAGTGCAAAGGCCTGGGGGTCAGAGAGAGCAGGATGCATTTGAAGAGCTGTCTAGCATGGCTGGAGCACAGCACAGGAAGAGTTCATACTCCACCTGTTTGTCTGTCCATGTGTCCATCCTTCCATCCGGCACATGAATAGTTACATGAGTTGCTGTCATGGCCCCCACTGCCAGGACTCTTCTGTTTAGCCCAGAAGGCCCTGTCTATCTCTCCAGCCTCCCTGGCTCTTGCCGCTGACGGTACCCTCCACCTCCAGCTCTATCCAGTTACATGCACTCCCTTGAATACATCTTGCTTGCTCCTGCCTCTGTGCCTTTGCACCTGCTGTTCACTGTGCCTGGAATAACCTTTCTTTTGTTTTGAACCCCTTTTGAAAAATAACTCTCCACCTGCTCTGATTTTGCAAGAAATATGCCTGCCTTCATCATCATTAAGACTCAGGAAGGAAGGGTCATTTTGCCTTATTATTTCCCCCTCCAGGAATCATCCCCCTGACCCACCTGTCTGGGCTGGGTTTATTGCTTTCTCCTTTGTGTCTTTGTCACAGCCCTGACTATACTGTGCCACCTGTGTCTGGCCTCTCTGCCAGACTGAGAATGCAATGAGGACAGGGACTGGGTGTGGTTCATTGTCACTGCTGGCCAGAGAGACCCAGGAGGTCACCAGACCTGGGTCCTGCCCTCAAGAACCACGCCCTCGAGGGAAATGATGCACACAGGAACAGTAACCAGGATACTGGGCAGAGTAGACTAGTAGGCGCCTGGGTCCTCTGGTCATGGCCATGGGGGGCCCAACGTGAAGTTCCCAAGGAGCAGCAGAGGGGTGTTCTCTGCCTGCCAGGGCCTGACTCCAGCTGTGCAAACAGTTTTTGCAAAATGCATCTTGGCCTCCACCACTCCATTTGTCCTGCACAGTTTGCTTTGGCTTCACCCCAGTCTCAGGCCCTTCATCCCTTCCCACCGGTCCCCACTCCTTCCATTGGTTTCCCAGGCCTTGCACCTCAGACTACTGGGAGCACTGTCTGAGCCAAACCCTAGGGCTCAATGAAAACCAGACGTAAGGCTGGGTGCATTGGCTCACGCCTGTAATCCCAGCACTTTGGGAGGCTGAGGCGGGCCAATCACCTGAGGTCGGGAGTTCGAGACCAGCCTGACTAACATGGAGAAACCTTCTCTCCACGAAAAATACAAAATTAGCCGGGTGTGGTGGCACAAGCCTGTAATCCCCGCTACTTGGCAGGCTGAGGCAGGAGAATCACTTGAACCCGGGAGGTGGAGGTTGCAGTGAGCCGAGATCGTGCCATTGCACTCCAGCCTAGGCAACAAGTGCGAAACTCCATCTCAAAAAAAAAAAAAACAAAAAAAACAAGAAACAAACAAACAAAAAAATCCAGACGTAAAAGAAAATAGAACTGAGGCTCAGGTTCTATCAGGTCTATTGTCTTCTTTCTATAGACCTCAGGCAAATGGTGCTGCCTACTCTTGTGACCACACCTGCACCCACCCCACACCTCTCCCCTTGCCTTTATTTATTATTATTTTTCTTTAGCAAACATTTTTTGAGCAATTACTTATTTGCCAGGCACTCCTCTGAGCACTTCAGGCACATTACCTCATTTAATTGGAACAACTACCATGTGAAGTGCATGTTATTATCACTAAACCATTAAAAATGGCAAATTCTGTCCCATGCAAAGCAACTCACTCTAGCTTATATGGTGAGTAAGCGGTGCAGCTGGGATTCATGCCTGGGTCCGTCCACCCCTGAGGCCCCAGCTTGTGACTCCTGTGCTGTGCTGTCCGCCAGCCACAGCACGGCTCACGGCACACCGTGAGTGCCACGGCATGGCTCATGGCACATGGTGAGTGGCCCCTTCATTCCTAGAAGGCAGTCTTGTGTGGTAGAGCACTGAGCCGGGAGTCAAGAGACATGGGTTCCAAATCCAGCGGTCATTCCCATTGTTCTGTGATTGTGGGCAAGTTTCTTACTATCTTGGGTTCCCCTCGAAGCCTCATTTTCCCCATTACATGAAGGGTTAGATTCTATAAACTGTAGTTCTCTTCCAGCTGTAAGATTCAGGGAATTGAATGTACCTCGTAATGCATTGGTGAGGGTGCTGCCAGAGAGTGGAAGATGGTGGGAATGGCCTAGACCAGAGCAGGTTCATAGCCAATGGTGGTTATGCAGATTAAGGGCCTAGTAGCAGGGGCCATAGCCCTGCTACTCACAGATACGCTTTTCTTTTCAGGTCTCTTTATTCGTGTGGATGGATATGTCTATGTGTGTCTCTCTTTCTCGCTGTGTGTGTGTGTATGTTTCCATTCATCCACCCCAATGTCTGAATTCTCTTTTAGTTATAGAAGGTAAAGGCCTGATCAGCAAACAGCCTGGCACCTGTGATCCGTATGTGAAGGTATGTGGTGGGGCCGGAGATGGAGAGTGGGATATTGAGGGGCCATGTTACTGGGCTCAGTCCCAAGGTCCCAGCACACCTGTGGGGCTGGTGACCTTTGAGGAGGCAGTTGCCATCTCACTCATCTTCTCAATAGGCATTTATTGGGCCCAGTGCTGGGACAAACCCATTCCCTTAGCTCGGCTGGGTCCCTGGGGCTTCCTGCAACAGCCAAAATCTTAAGGGCGATCTTGGTCATCTATATAGGTGGGCAGTGAGTATGTGGATGGCTGAAATCCACAGGTAATCCCAAGACCTCTTGTGAAAAGCACCGTTTTCACCCACTTTCCCCCCAAACTAGGGGCAGGATGGCCAGATTTGGGCAGTAGAGTGGAGGGAGTGTCTCTGAGGGCTGGAAGATCCTTCTGGGTTGGGCTTTTGCTGTAAAGACAGGGTCCTTATAGGGGTGGGGCTCTACTTTCAGTGAGAGCCAAAGGCCAGGAGCTTCCTAAAGTGTGGCAGCTGGGGTTCCAGGTGCTGGCCCTCAGCATTCTTCCTGAAGCCTTCAGGCTGATCAGAAGCCCCTGCTGGCAAGGAATTTATCAGGAGCAGGGCTAGAACAGCCCTGGGTTGAGAACATGGATTTGGGGCCTTGGCAGAGGCTGACCTGGAGCCTTCGTGAAGGGAGCACTCAGCAGCTGCTGGGACCTTAGAAGAGAGGAGTCCTTTCGCTTCTGGGGAAACCACTCTGCTTGGGGGAAGAGCAGAGATGATAAAGTTGTACCCCAGCTCTGGCTGGGCCGTGGCTGCCTTTTTGGTACCACCCACCATGAGGCCCTGTCCTGGCATCTGCCTCCAATGTCTCTTGCCCTGGGCTCCTTGTTCCCTTGCAGCATCTGACAGGGGACTCTATTCTGTCCTCTGCAGAGGCTGACTTGAAGGACCCTGGGAAGCCTTTAACTTGGAGATGTGCAGAGTCAGCTGCTGGGCTTAGGTGGGCCATGAGATCCGCTAATCATGCTTCCTTTTTTCCAATTCAAGATTTCTTTGATCCCTGAAGATAGTAGACTACGCCACCAGAAGACGCAGACCGTTCCAGACTGCAGAGACCCGGCTTTCCACGAGCACTTCTTCTTGTAAGAGTCTGGTGCAGCTGGGCCCTAGAAAGGAGAGGGAAGGAGTGTTTATCTGGAAACAGCTCTGTTTGCCAAATCTAGAACTAGATCTATGCAAAAAAAAAAAAAAAAAAAAAACCAAAACAAAAAAAACCAGTGCCTTCTAAAGGATGTCTTTGTTTTCTCACTCACTTGTGTCCTTGCATCCCTGGCACCAGGCCCAGCAGCGAGGTCCACAGTGATAAGGTATCACTTGGCTAGCTCTCATAACTAAAATGCCCAGCCTGGGGCTGGCAGCCCATAAAAAGTGTAGGCAATTTCCCACTGTGCCTTGGGCCAAGCTTTCTCCTTTAGCCGAAGGAATTTTCCAAGCTGAAGGATGTTTTGCCTCCCTGCCCCCCTTTTTACTTCAACTTTCTAACCTCTCTGAGCCTTGGCTTCCTTATTTGTAAAATGGGGCTAATAATAGTAGCAACCTCAGAGAGCTGTGGGGTATAAATGGGACAGTATAACATAACACAGGGTACCAGCTATTATTGTTATTATTTCTTTCCCCAATCTCTGAACTCTGGGGCCAATGGGAAGGTAATGTACATTTTGTATTTTCCTATTAGTGAAAATTAATATTTTGGTTTTTCTCTTACTACATAAAGTAGTTTTGGTTATGATAGGAAAATAGAAAATATAGATGAGTAAAAAGAAGAAAATAGAAAACACCTATAGCCCTCCTACTCACAGATACGCCCTACTGTATTTCTTTTCAGACCTTTTAAGGTCCTTTTCAGACCTTTTCAGACCTTTTAATGTGTATGTTTGCGTGTGGGTGTGTATGTTTGCATGTGTGTGTGTATATGTCTGTGTGTGTATGTTTACAAAAATGGAATTTTTTTTTTTGAGATGGAGTCTTGCTCTGTCACCCAGGCTGGAGTGCAGTGGCACAATCTCGGCTCACTGTAAGCTCCGCCTCCTGGGTTCACGCCATTCTCCTGCCTCAGCCTCTGGAGTAGCTGGGACTACAGGCGCCTGCCGCCATGCCTGGCTAATTTTTTTTGTATTTTTAGTAGAGACGGGGTTTCACCGTGTTAGCCAGGATGGTCTCGATCTCCTGACCTCATGATCCGCCCACCTCTGTCTCCCAAAGTGCTGGGATTACAGGCATGAGCCACTGTGCCCGGCCCGAAAATGGAATTATTTTATAATAGCATGTTGTAACCTCCTTTTTGTCCTTAACAACATAATATAAACTGTTTTATGCATGGAGGTAGTCATCTCTTACTTTATTTGTAATATAGTTTATTTAACCAGCTGTTGACGTTACTTCCACATTTTTGGAATTATGACTGACTCTATGAGTCAGCTATGGCCTGGAGCTCAGCCCTTACTAACACTCCGATGGTCTGATTGATTTCGCAGTCCTGTCCAAGAGGAGGATGATCAGAAGCGTCTCTTGGTTACTGTGTGGAACAGGGCCAGCCAGTCCAGGTGAGGAGAGCTGCTGAGCTGGAGGGGGACTCTGCTCTGGGCTAGTGGGTGACAGCCAGGTGGCCAGCATACACCAGGGGTTCGATTAGTGCTTTCTGGATAAATGAGTGATAGTGGCAATACTAAATTGCAGAGGCTGCCCCTCCTTGAGTCTCCATCATTCCAGGTGTTACCAAGGACTGTGTTATCAATGAGCATTTGCTGAGCACTCGGTATCAAACAAGGCACTGTGCTGGTCACTGGGGAAGCCGACCAGCCTACACATGGAAATTTATTCTCAAGGTGTCCACTGTTCACGTGGGGACACCAGGCACTGCATGGAGAGAAATTACAATAACAACATGTACGTGCTCAGTTCTACAGGACTCTAAGCACCTTGAAAAACAGGACTATTTCTTTTTTAGTCATCACAGTACCTAGTGCCTGGCATATAGATGTTTATTAGATATTGGCTGCATGAAGAAAAGAATGACATGAGTAATAAAGGCCATCAGTATGGGAAGAGGGAGAGTTCACTGTGGTCTGAGATGATCAAGGAAGGCTTCATGGAAAAAGTGGAATTTTGAACTTGGGCACAGATGAAGAATAAGACAACTAAAGAAGAAGGTTGGAAATGGCATTCCAGGCAGGGCAAAGCATGAGCAAAGGCAAGGAGGCAGAAATACTCACTGTAAGCTAAGGCTGCCATGATGAGGCCAGGTAAGGGAGTATAGAAGTTTTGTGTAGGAGAATCCAAACAGGCTGATCTTGCAGGCAGTGCAGGACACAGGAGGGCTGAAGTGGCCATTAGTGACGGCAGTTAGAGCGGAGCAGGGGAGGAGTGCCGGGCAGGTGAGCATGAGAATTGGCTGTTGAGTGACAGCAATGCACTGCCATGGCCCACTGTTAGCGGCAGTGGCTCATTTGGCTGGTGCAGCCTAAGGAATCTGGGATACCCCATGGTCAGTATCATTTGCGGAGCAATCACATCACTGAATGGTGACTGAAAAGGGGCTTCCGTGAATGAAAATCAGCTCAAGTCACCAGCTGAGACCTGGAAAACATTTTTGGGTTCAATGCTCTTTAGTACTCTAAATGTTATTAGCTAATATGTTTTTTAAAATCGGGGTGTATTTAACATACAAAACGAAGGATTTCTCTTTTAATAAAGTATCCACTTTTCATCCTAGGGTAGTATAGTACAATAAACCTCATTCATTCATTCATCCAGCTGCCATTTCCTGGGTATCACTGTGGCAACAACATGCTGGGGATGCATGCATAGGGTCAAAGACTTTCCTATCGGATCACCGATAGAGACTTGGAGCTGAGAGTGAGGAGGGGGACGTCATGTTAATAACAATAGCAATTGCTGACTGGGTGCTGACCTGGAGCCAGGGGTTAACAGTGCATTGTCTCATTTAATTCTTTTTTTTTTTTTTTTTTTTTTGAGACGGAGTCTCGCTCTGTCGCCCAGGCCGGACTGCGGACTGCAGTGGCGCAATCTCGGCTCACTGCAAGCTCCGCTTCCCGGGTTCACGCCATTCTCCTGCCTCAGCCTCCCGAGTAGCTGGGACTACAGGCGCCCGCCACCGCGCCCGGCTAATTTTTTGTATTTTTAGTAGAGACGGGGTTTCACCTTGTTAGCCAGGATGGTCTCGATCTCCTGACCTCATGATCCACCCGCCTCGGCCTCCCAAAGTGCTGGGATTACAGGCGTGAGCCACCGCGCCCGGCCTGTCTCATTTAATTCTTACAACAGCTCTAAGAAGAGTGTGGTTTTGTCCTAAGTTTTCAGAAGAGGAAACTAAAGTTTAGAGAGGTTAGGAATTTGCCTAAGGTCATACAGCCAGTTAACAATAGAGCCGGGATGGAATCCAGGTGGTTGGACCCCAGGGTCTTTCCTCTCAACACTGTACTGACTCATGGGTGGACAGGTGAAAGGACAGAAGAAAGAGCCAGTAAAGTAGAGAGGGAAGGGCAGGGCAAGAGTGGAGTGAGGAGGGATCTGCAAACTCATTGACGTTGCTGGAAGGTTAAGTACAAAGTAGGGACTGGCTAAAGATTAGCTGAAGAGGTTGGTATAAGCCAAGTCAGATGATTCTGTAGATTCTCTTTGGAGTATGGGGTTTCTCCTAAGGGCCGGTGGTTCTCGATCCTGGATATACATCAGAATTCCTTGGGATGCTTGTCAGGAACCTAGATTCTTAGGTGCCGCGTCAGATTAATTACATCCAACTCTTCATGGGCAGGGCTGAGAAATCTGCATTTAAACATGTTTGCAGGGTGAACCTCCTGCAGTCACTTTGGTGTTTGGGAATGTCTGGCCATTGGGAGATACTGAAGTGTGTCAAGCCAGGGAATGATGGATGCACATTCTAGATCTATCACTTTGGTAGGTCTTTGGAAGGTTGAGGTGAGAGAGAGGCTTTGGGGCTAGGGAGGGGAAAACAGACTCAGGCCATATTTAGGAGATTAAATCAGTAGTGCTTAGTGGTGATTTGGCTGTGAGAGCAGTGTGAGAAGTCAAGGGTAACTCCTGGGCGGCTGGTGGTGTCTCCACCTAAGACAGAGTTACTGGAGGTGGAGGTGAGTCAGCTTGGGATACGGTGAGATGCAGGTGCTTGGAGGGGAGCCAGGTCAGAGCTGTGAAGTAGGGCTCACCTTTGCCTACCTGGAACTTGGAAGACAGAGATATGGGAGCCATGAGCAGGAAGGCAGTGGGTGAAATTCTGAGCAAGTGAGATTGTCAAGGAAGGTCATCGAATGCTAAGGACCAAGGGTCCGCTCCCTGTCTTTGAAGGGACAGGCCAATGAAGGGAAGGTCCTGAAGGAGACAGCAGAGTGTCAGAGAGGCATATGGACGCCCAGAAAGCCCTTTGGGTGGAGGCAGACACCAAACTGCTGGAGAAGGAGCCGGTCATGCCCTTCATGGCTTTTGGAAAAGAAAATGAGGCCAGGGAAAGTGAGTCAGCGTCATGGGGCAGTGTCTCCACGTGTTGCCTATTTTGGGAAAGTGAGATGCCTTATTAAACAAACTACAGCCAAACTCACGGTCACAGTCCCAGCCCGAAGCTCAGGAGGATCAGGGCCTTGGGAGCAGAGGGCCCTGTGAAGCTGTGAGCAGCACGCAGGCCGGCCTGGCCTCCTTGCGCTCTCCTTTTCCTCTCTCCTTTATCGATCCATTTCGGAGCGAGAAGGCCTCTGAGCTGGAGGAGGCAGACAGAGTGATTGCAGGAAACTTCGGCTCTGCTGAATGCTCTCAAATCAAATTGTGCCTCTCTGAAGGATGGACATTCAACTTATCAACATGAAAGACAATTGTGGAAGGAAGGAAACAAACATTTATGGAATTCTTCTCTGTGCCAAGCACTTTACATACATTATCTCATTTTATCCTCATCATGATCCTAAGAGGTAGGACTTATTATTGCCCCTCTCTTCAGAGAAGAGGAAACTGAGGCTTATGAAAGCCGAGGCACTTGCTTGAGGTTATGTAACAGCTCATATTTACCAAGCACTTACTGTGTGTGGACATTAAGCACATGGCACTCGTTCTCCAATTTAACCCTCACAACAACATAAGAGGTAGGTATTATTATTTTTGCTCTTTTATAGGTGAGGAAACAGGCACAGAGGCGTTACATAACTTGCCTAAGGTAACACAGATAGGGTGCCGTGAAAACAAGATGTAAATGCAGGCAAGCTGACGCCAAGTCCAGGTTCTCGCAGCTACATTACGGTACACTTGACCATCTCACATGGATGATAAATGACTCCAAAGCATACTCTTTCTGTGTCAGTATGCTTGCTCCTCAGGACTCAGGGTGCTTCTCTTTGCATTTATAGTGTAGTTTCATTGATTGATTGAGACAGGATCTCACTCTGTCACCCAGGCTAGAGTGCAGTGGTGTGATTAGAGCTTACTGCAGCCTTGAACTCCTGGGCTCTAATGACCCTCCAGCCTCAGCCTCCTGAGTAGCTGGGACTACAGGTACATGCCACCACACCCAGCTACTTAATTTTTTTTTTTTTTTTGTAGAGACGATGCCTTGCTATGTTGCCCAGGCTGGTCTCCAACTCCTGGCTGCAAGTGCTCCTTCTGCCTCAGCCTCCTAAAGTGCTAGGATTACAGACATGAGCTACCGCAGAATTTATAATGGAGTTTTATGTAAATTATTCAGCCAAATGTGTGGTGGTCACATTTTGAAACTGATAGGAGATAACAGGAAAGCATCTGTTTCACTAATTCTCACGATCCTTCCAGGGATGGCTGTGAACTTGTGTTAGAGAAACAAGATGATCTACAAAGAAGTTCTGGGGAAGGGCCAGATGATTTCAGTTCATCATGGTGATCACAGTGGGAACTGAGGAGAACCAGGCCTCAGCACAGTAGATTTTGGCTTAGCTTTGACTAGCTGTATGACCATGGGTCAGTCCCTTCCCTGCGCTGAGCCTCAATTTCCTTGTCTGTAAAATGCAGTGATCACTAATGTTTCTTTCAGCTTCAAGTTTCTGGGAGTTTTTTATAGGCACTTTCAAATGTGTGCAGAGGTAGAAAGTATCATATAATAAACCCTCATATACTCATAGCGGAGTTTCATCAATTATCAATATATGGCCAATCTTATTTCATTTACACCCCATCCACTTTCCCCTTCTCCAGTGAATTATTTTAAAGCAAATCCCAGACATCTCATCTCATCGGTATATATTTCTAAAAGATGGCTTTAAAAAAAATCATGATGACATTATCACACTTAAAAATTAATAGTAATTCCTCAATATGCCATTGAATATGGAACTCAGCTTTAAAAATTCTGTTTGATAATATGGCAAAAGACAAATTGAAGCTTCCAGTATTAATCAGAACTTGTGGCCAGGGAACAGACTTGGAGAGAATTATAATGTTATGTACTAAGGTAAAAAATGCATATATGTATTATATTTATACCTCCAAAGATTATGTTCAATATATAATATATTATTATAAATTATATAATATATAAAATATAATATATTATATTATATTTTATATTGGTATATATAATTATATATAACTTAATTATAATTATATTGGTATATATAATTATATATATAACTTAAATATAATTATATATCGTTATATATAATTATATATAACAATTATAATTATATCAGTATATATAATTATATATAACCTAATTATAATTATATATCAGTATATATAATTATATATAACCTAATTATAATTATATATCAGTATATATAATTATATATAACCTAATTATAATTATATATCGGTATATATAATTATATATAACTTAATTATTATATATTGGTATATATAATTATATGTAACGTAATTATTATATATTGGTATATATAATTATATATAACTTAATTATAATTATATATTGGTATATATAATTATACATAACTTAATTATAATTATATATGAGCATATAGAAATTATATATACTAATATATAATTATTTATATATTATATATATTCTTTATATATTATTATATATTAATTATATGTAAACATTATTTATATATGTAATTAAAGAATGTTATATATATGTAATTAAAGGGCATAATCTTTTTTTAAAGTAATTTTTTTTTCTTTTTTTTTGAGATGGAGTTTCACTCTTGTGCATAATCTCAGCTCACTGCAAACTCTGTCTCCCAGGTAGCGATTCTCTGGCCTCAGCCTCCCAAGTAGCTGGCACTCTGCAGGCGCATGCCACCATGCCCAGCTGATTTTTGTATTTTTAGTAGAGATGGGGTTTCACCATGTTGGCCAGGCTGGTCTCCATCTCCTGACCTCAGGTGATCCACCCGCCTTGGCCTCCCAAAGTGCTGACATTACAGCCATGAGCCACCGTGCCCAGGCAAGGACATAATCTTTTTTTTTTGAGATGAAGTCTCTCTCTGTTACCCAGGCTGGAGTGGAATGGCGCGATCTCACCTCACTGAAACCTCCACCTCCTGGATTCAAGTGATTCTTCTGCCTCAGCCTTCCAAGTAGCTGGGATTACAGGCGCATGCCACCACGCTTGGCTAATTTTGTATTTTTAGTAGAGACAGGGTTTCACCATGTTGGCCAGACTGATCTCAAACTCCTGACCTCAAGTGATCTGCCTGCCTTGGCCTCCCAAAGTGCTGGGATTACAGGCGTGAGCCACTGCGCCCAGCCAGGGCATAATCTTTTATACTAATAGTAGGTACATTTAGGGAGATTCTACTTGTGATTTGCCCTGCACTGTCCCAGGCACTGTAAGTGTATGCTCTCCTTTAATCTGTTTTATAAATGAGATCTCAGTGCCAAGTACAGTGGCCTAACGTCAGAAAGCTTGTGACCAGTGATGGGTACTGAGCTTAAGGAAAAAGTGAATGGAAAAATCTAAGTTCAATTTAAGTCATCAAATTAAATATAAATTAGGATTAAATGGTATAACCCTGTAACAGAAATAATTTACCTGAGAGGGAGAACTAAAGTGCATTTCCTCAAAAAATAATCTATTTTTTCATCTTGTAATGAGTCTGCAACCCTATGCTCAAAAGTAAACTGAATACTATTCCCCATATGTGCTGCATGAAGTTACTTCAAAGCCTTTGTAACGGCTGTTCCCTCTGCCCAAAATGCTCTTCATTCTCTCTGGCTCAGTTCATAGGTCTTCTTCCAGCCTGTGAGCCCTAAACTACCTCTTGTGTCCCCGAGCCTTCAGAATTTGTTGCCTGCACTGTTCATCTGTCAATCGCACCCTGTCTTGTGACATCCCCTGTATTGCTGTCTTGAACTGCTATTTAAATTCCTGGATGTTTGTGTTGTTTCCTTAACGCTGTGGCTCCTTGCCCAGTGCCTGCCAACCGTGGACGTGATGGATTCATCCATTTGTCAAGCCTTCACTAAGTGCACCAAGCCTGGAGCTCAGGGACTGGTAGTCAGAATTAACCAAGGCTTGGTTCCGGAGACTTTGCATCTAGTGAGAGTTCAGGCACTCCCGAGGGTGAGCGCTAGTTCCCAAGTTTATAAACTGACTGCTGTATTGTCATATACTCAGGTTGCTTTAAAAGAAGTCTTTCTTCCTCCAAAGATTTTTCAAAAGCAGGCATAAGAAATAGCTAATTGAAGAACACTTAGAGAGAGGTTCCTGCTTATGGACATTAATTGTGGCAATTTACGCTGCCTGAGTTACCATGAAAGCATGGGAGGCCCCTTAGCAGGAAGTAAAACTCGAGGGAGGCTATTAACCATTTAACATTCTCTAAACACCAGGGAATGAAGATTTCGCTTAGTGAAGAGCAGAGAGAGGTTGCTGAGCTAATGCATTGGCCTGGAGACTTTGAAAGTTTCAGCCCTACCCAGTAGGAAAGAAGTGTACAACAGAGTAGTATGGGCACCTGGATAGCAGCTGGAGTTCTCTTGAATGTGTGACAAATAAAATGAAATTGGTATGAGGACTTTGGCAAAGTCTTGCCAAGGCTTTTCTGGAATGGCAGCTCAGATTAGTTTTGGCTGTTTATGATAGTCACTGCAACTGCCTCCTATTAGTGCTGACTTGGCTACTTCCCAAGGGGGAGGAGTATTTGTTTTTGGTGGTGGGCTGGGGAGGTGGATGTGGAAGGGCACTTTATTGGGGTGAGAGCATTGTCCTTTTTGAATAGATTATTAATAGAGCCTTGGATGATGAGAGAGGCAAGGAAGAAGGCAGCAGATGGAGCCAAGGCTGAAGGAGCTGGGAGCAGGAGTGATGAACTGAGAGCAGCTGTTGAGAGACAGCCAGAAGCAGGGGCCTCAGCTCTGGGCCATGGGGCAGAGCATGGGTTTGCAGGCAGGTGGACCAGTTTTGAGGAGCAATCCCCCAGCATCCTGCCTCCCCACCCCTCGCTTGACTTGGCTGCCTGTGAGAAGCTAGTTTTGTTTTGCTTAGGACTGTCCGGTGGTAAGCTGCCACGCTTTCTGGAGAATCTGAACAATATGTCTTTTTTGAGACCTTCTAGATCACTGGTCTTTGACTGGGGCAGGCATAAGTGGGTGCTTGGCAGGATACCCTGGAGAGCTTTCTCCAGGCTCCCATGCTCGAACCCCACCTTGGACCAACTAATTTTGGGTTCTCAGGAAGAAGTCCTGGAGCATATACCTCAGACAGGCTGTTCAGGTGGTTTTGTGGTACACTTCTGGATAGAACCACTGCTCTAGCTCAGGCCCCCTTAGACCAGGTTTTGGAAAACACATCTCTAGGGAGTTTACTACCTATCCAGAAGCCTGTTCCATCTTTGGTTTTGATATTGTGCCTTCCATAGGACATGCCAAATCTCTCAGCTATGTGGGTCCTTCAGCTATTGAAGCCAGCCTCCAGGGTTATGCTCCAGCCTAAATATCCACGATGTTTCTTGATTAATAGTTATTAAACCAACCTATGAATTAGTCCAAGTTGAGGATGGGGTAAGAGAGAGGAGAACAGAAAGATGACATTAAAAAAAAACTCTTACTGTCAGGATAGAACAGGATGTGGCACAATAAAAGTCCTTAAAAGTATATTGATACTGTCTTTTTTTTTCTCCTGATTATAAAAACGATACTTGTTCCCTATGCAAACAGTGAAAACCCATAAAGGAAAATTAAACCCCTAGTAATCCCACCTACCAGATATGACCATTGTTAGTATTTTTGTGGGTGTCTTTCTCATTAAACTCACATTACTCATTAAATTTACAGCTTTGTAAACTTCTTTTTCTCTAACAATATCAAGATATTTTTGGACTTTATTAATATTAACTGATGTTATCATTATTATTTTTTTGAGACAGTGTCTTGCTCTGTTGCTGCAACTGCCTCCTGTTAGTGCTGACTTGGCCACTTCCCAAGAGGGAGGAACAGTAACACACAATCACAGTTCACTGCAGCTTTGACCTCCCAGGCTCAAGTGATCCTCCTACCTCAGCCTCCTCAGTAGCTGGGGCTACAGGCTCATGCCACCATGCCCTGCTATTTTAAAAATTTTTTGTAGAGATGGTGTCTCCCTTTGTTGTCCAGGCTGGTCTCAAACTCCTGGGCTCAAGTGATGCCTTCCAAAGTGCTGGATTACAGGTGTGAGCCACTGCACCTGGCCCATGCCATCATTATTAAAAGCTGCCAACTCTTAGTCCCTGATTATTGGACATTGAGCCTCAATGGTGGACATTCTTCAGGAACTCTGAATTCTTCTTCTTCTTCTTCTTCTTTTTTTTTGAGATGGAGTCTTGGCTCTGTCACCCAGGCTGCAGTGCAGTGGTGCGATCTTGGCTCACTGCAACTCCACCTCCTGGTTTCAAGTGACTCTCCTGCCTCAGCCTCCTGAGTAGCTAGGATTATAAGCATGCACCACCACGTAGGGCTAATTTTTGTATTTTTAGTAGAGACAGGGTTTCACCATGTTGGCCAGGCTGTTCTCAAACTCCTGACCTCAAGTGATCTGCCTGCCTGTGCCTCCCAAAGTGCTGGCATTACAGGCGTGAGCCACCGTGCCCAGCTGTGAATTCTTTTTAACCAAGAAGATTGAATTTAGCCCCTCGCCATAGTCTGACATCCCCATGAGGCCTGACCCTGGCCCATGCCTACCTGCCCTGCTGGTGGCCAGGTCAGATTGGTCTCAGCAGCTTTTGTGTCAGGTTGGTTTGGACCTTGATCTGTAGCCATCTAAGAACTGCTCAGCTCCTTCCTGGACCTGAGATAGAACTTCTTGAGCTTGAGGTCCCATAACTGTTCTCCTCCACTGAGCATCACCAATGATGTGGGCAAGGAGGTTCCCTGTGGGGACCAGCTCTTCAGATCTACCTAGCACCAGAACGGTTAAAACTCATGAAGTACCGCTGAGCTTCTGTGTTTGGTAGAGGCAGTGCTGAACTTGTCCTGTGACCTTGGGAAAGGGACCAACTCTGAGTCTCCATTTTTCCCTCTGTAAAATGGAGATAATAGCTCCTCTCTATCCTGCCTCACAGAGTCAGAAGGATCAAACGAGATGATGTGGGTAAAAAGCTTTGTAAACCACAGTGCATCAGGCAAACCCATGCTATACTTGATAATGGACCTCCCGATAGAGCCCAGAAAAAAAATGCTGACTCAAGTCTCACTTGTTCTCCCAGACAGAGTGGACTCATTGGCTGCATGAGCTTTGGGGTGAAGTCTCTCCTGACTCCAGACAAGGTGGGTCCTAGGGATGCTTCTGTCAGGATCATCCCAACTGGGCCGGGGCTGGTACAGGCAGAGTTTCTCTGTCAGCTCTTGGGCAGGGCTTCTCTCTGTGAGATGGTGCCCCACTGAGACAGGTGCCCTGTGGGGTGGCCTGCATAGCAGCACTGTGTTTATTACCTGCCTAGCTGAGAGTTTGGGTCCCCTTCTTGGTTTGTCTTGCCAGAGAGCAGTTTGTTAGGCAGCCCCAAGTCTTCCCAGGAGGCTCTGAGTCTGGTGTCTGCTGTTGAAGACATTGGCAGATCCCTTGGGGCCCAGAGCACTCCTGGGCCTGCCCCAGAAGATGAGGGCCAGGTGCACCCGTGGTCCGTTCCAGGGGTCCTCTTCATGTGTCTACCAGGCCTGATATTTCTGGGCCTAACAGGTGCTCAAGGATGGAGTGAGCAGCACCATCCTCTGTGGAGCTTTCCTTCAGGCTGGAGGAGGACTCTTTGGGACCCAAGACTCCTAGCTCTGGGTCACTGGTCCCTTATCAATTTCTACGCTGCACTGGACTCCCCAAACTGGAAGGTGGAGGGTGGGGAGCACTCCTTTTGCACATCCCTGGAAATGTCCTGGTGGCTTGTGGCATGGCCTGCCACGCAGATTTTTGTCCTGGGGTGGGTGGCTGAGGACCCTTTATCCTGCATGTGAGTCCTAAAGAGCTTCTCTCTCTCTCTCTCTTTTTTTTTTCTTTTGAGACGGAGTCTCACTCTGTTGCCCAGGCTGGAATGCAGTGTTGTGATCTTGGCTCGCTGCAACCTCCGCCTCCCAGGTTCAAGCAATTCTCCTGCCTCAGCCTCCTGAGTAGCTGGGATTATAGGCATCTGCCACCACGCCTGGCTAATTTTTGTATTTTTAGTAGAGATGGGGTTTCACCATGTTGGCCAGGCTGGTCTCAAACTCCTGACCTCAGGTGATCCACCCGTCTCGGCCTCCCAAAGTGCTGGGATTACAGGTGTGAGCCACCGCGCCCGGTCTAGAGCTTCTCTTGACTGCAGCCTTGGCTTCATTCTCCTAGAAAAGATGTTCCCCCTGGAGACTGCTCAGGAGCCACAGGATGCCTTTTGGTCTCTCCATCCCTCTTTCACTCCTTCACTTCTGTTCTGTCAACAAATATGGCTCCTACTGTATACCAGGCATAGTGTGAGGCACATCAAAGAGCCTGTGCACAACTTAGTGGGGGAGACAGGCAAGTAGATGGTTGTCCTCCAGGGATAAGAGGCTGTGGGAATTTGGCAGAGGGGAGAGCCAGATCTGCCCTGAGCATCACGGAAGGCTTCCTGGAGGTGCAGGCATGGCAGCTCGGGGCCAGGAAGGCTGGAGAGTCTGTCTCTCCTGTGGGTGGGTGTCCAGTGGCTACTTTTGGAGGGGGATTGGTGGCTGCCTGACCTGTGCTTCTGCCTCCTGTGTCTGAGCGTGCCATTCCTTCTCTCGTGACAGGAGATCAGTGGTTGGTACTACCTCCTAGGGGAGCACCTGGGCCGGACCAAGCACTTGAAGGTGGCCAGGCGGCGACTGCGGCCGCTGAGAGGTACCTGCACACCCCCTTCAGCTTCCCTTCCCAGGACCTGCCCCCTCCCTCCTTTCCTGCATAGCGGCATCAGTACTGGTATTTGGTGGCCCCTGCTACTGAGAATGCTATCAGCCTGCTGGGTGCAGGGACTTCTCAGGAGCACTTGCTAGAGTGCAGGCTGCAGGAAGCCTCTTGCCCATGCCTCCACTGTTTATCTGGTTGGACTTTTACTGTAGAGGCTATGGTCTGACCCCATGTGGTTTAGCTCCCTCCCTTGTGGGGTACTTTATGCTTCCCCAGTGGCCCCTTCCCAGCTCCATGTCTCAGGGATCCCCCAGGCTGCCTTGCTCATCTTGGGATACCCACCTCTACAGACAGGGCGTTTAGGTCCTGCCATGATCCCTAAGGCTCAGAATGTGGATTTCATGACCCTTTTCCATGTTCTGCCTTTCCCACATGCAGCCCTGGCTCCTGAGTCCCTGTCTGGATTGAGCCTCAGGTGTCCCCACATCCTGAGGCCAGGAGTGGCCCTGGGCAGCCCCATGGGCCTGTTTCCCAGTGCTGTCCTCTGGGTGGTCCGAGGAGGGGAGACTTCTCTGCCACCAGAAGTTTTCTGATTCTGCTCTGTCACCTTCCAGACCCGCTGCTGAGAATGCCAGGAGGTGGGGACACTGAGAATGGGAAGAAACTAAAGGTAGGTGGGGACAAGCTAGGGCATTGCTCCAGGAGCTGGATCTGCTCCTTGACAGCCCCTGGGCCCGGGAAACCCCTAAAGGGGCAGCATTTGGTGCTTGAAACTCAGCAAGTCATGTACTCAGAAGGAATAATTTCTTGATTTTCCTGAGGTGTATTACAGGAAATAAATGCTCTTCTCAGGGTATCCATGATCGTGGCAGGGGTGGGGAAATGGCCAGGCCCCCACCTCTGGAAATGGAAGCATCTGGATCTTACTAACTTTGGGCCTCTAGAAACCGAGTCCTCCCCTTCCCACAGACTTCTCGGCCCCCTGCTTCCCCTGGGACTGAGGCCGAATCACCCTCCCAGGTTAGGCCTGCTTGATGTCAGGGGGCAGCTGCGATTCTGAACCTGAGACCAAGGTGTTCTAACTCTATTAGGGCTTCAAGTCTGGAAAGGAGCCTTTTTCATATAAGGAGTTGGGAGAATTCTCCAAAAGTCATTCCATCTCTTTGCAGGGCATGGCAGGGGATCTACGGTTTTCTTTAACAAGTAAGAGAGGGAATTACTTGGCCAGGTGTGGTGGCCCACGCTTGTGATCCCAGCACTTTGGGAGGCCGAGGTGGGCGGATCACCTGAGGTAAGGAGTTCAAGACCAGCCTGGCCAACACGGTGAAACCTTGTCTCTACTAAAAATACAAAAAAATTAACTAGACATGGTGCTGGGCGTCTGTAGTCCCAGCTACTTGGGAGGCTGAGGCAGGAGAATCACTTGAACCCAGGCAGCGGAGGTTGCAGTGAGCTGAGATCATGCCACTGCACTCCAGCCTGGGTGACAGAGCAAGACTCTGTCTCAATTGAAAAAAAAAAAAAAAAAAAAAAGGACCGGGCACGGTGGCTGATGCCTGTAATACCAGCACTTTGAAAGGCTGAGGTGGGCAGATCACTTGAGGTCAAGAGTTCGAGACCAGCCTGGCTAATATGGTGAAACCATGTCTCTACTAAAAATACAAAAATTAGCCAGGCATGGTGGTGTGCACCTGTAGTCCCAGCTACTTGGGAGGCTGAGGCAGAAGAATCGCTTGAACCTGGGAGGTGGAGGTTGCAGTGAGCGGAGATTGTACCGCTGCATTCCAGCCTAGGCAAGAGAACGAGATTCCATCTCAAAAAAAAAAAAAAAAAAAAAGGAGAAACAAACTCCCAGCAATTCATTAGCCCCTGTATACCAGGTGCTGTTACCTAATCTTCACTGCCCGCTCTAAGGCAGCTGTTACTTCCGCATCTCACAGATGAGAGGGACATACATGGTTCAGAGCATTAGGCCCTCTCTGTGGCCACACAGCTGGCAGGTGGTGAAGGCAGGCTCTGAGTGAGGGCTGGCCACCTTTTCAGTGTGCTGTGGCACACTGCCTCCTGTGCATGGCCTAGCTGGGAATATAAGACATTGCTGTAGTTCCTAATAGTATTTTACGTATTACACAATATCGGCGTATTACAATCTACCAAACATTTTCACGTTCACTGACTCAAGTCATTCACTCATTCATCATTCATTAAATATTTCCACCTATGTAGGCTGGGCCCTGTGCTGGGTGCTGGGATGCAGCTCTGGACCTGTCTAAGGCCCTGCCCCATGGAGCAGTCTAGAGCTGTGCTGGCCAGTGTGGTGACCACCTGCTACCTGTGGCTATTGAGCACTTAGTGGCTAGTGTGACTGGGGAACTGAGTGTCAACTTTAGTTTTAAGTAATTTCAGTTTACCTGGCACATGTGTCTAGCTGCGACTGGGTTAGACAGAGAAACTTGCCAGGAGTAACTTGTCAGGTTTGTTTTCTGTGGTTTCATTAGTTGAAAAGCTTTCCTCTGGCTTCTGTGGGGAACTGCAAAGACCTTTCCTCCTCTCTTTCTACTTGCCAAGCACAGAGAGGATGGTGATCAGGGGGCCTCCCTCGTGATTCATGGAAATTACATGGGCATCAACACCGTAAGTTTGCTTCCTCCAACATCACAGGTTTCTTGGTGGCTTGTAAAGTCCTCCTGCGTGCTGGATTCTGCACACAGGCCCTGAGCCCCTTGTTCTGAGGTGCACTGGATTTTCCTGAACTTATGTGCTCAGAGATGTCTGTGGGACTCAGCAAAGAGGGTGTGCTTCTCAGAGGCTTGGTTGGGGCCGGGGGAGAGCCCCCAGAGGCCATCTCTTCAGCTCCTGTGCTGTGCAGGTGGGGAGATGGAGGCCCAGAAACCTGGGTGACCTGCCCACAGTCACACAGCAACCAAAGCTGGGTTGAACCAAGGAACCCTCTGTCATCAAGGACTTGAGTGTGTGGCTGGGCTTCCCCAGGGGCTCTGAGATGGGCAAAAGCAGCTGGGCTCACCATGCGCTGCTCTGCAGGATGCTATCCTGGGACTGCCAGGCAAGAAATAGGACCCAGGTTCTGGTCCTAGCCCCACACTGCCCTGCTGTTTGACCATAACCTCTCCAGGCCTCAGTTTGTTTGTCAGTAAGATGAGGACGCTGGGTTGTCTGATGACCTGGAAATCCCTTCCACATTTGACTTTATGGTCCATGTGTATCACCAGATCCTGACAGCAAACCACTTCCATGGACAAAGGACAAATAAATTGACTTTTTTTTTTTTTTTTTTGAGACAGACTCTTTCTCTGTCACCCAGGCTGGAGTACCGTGGCATGATCTCAGCTCACTGCAACCTCTGCCTCCTGGGTTCAAGTGATTCTCCTGCCTTAGCCTCCCAAGTAGCTAGGACTACAGGCGCCTGCCACCACGCCCAGCTAATTTTTGTATTTTTTAAGTAGAGACAAGGTTTTACCATGTTGACCAGGCTGGTCTTGAACTCCTGACCCCAAGTGATCCATCTGCCTTGGCCTCCCAAAGTGTTGAGATTATAGGCATGAGCCACCACGCCTGGCCGAAACTGACTTTTAAGTAGTTTCCAAGTGGCAGGCAGGTCTTCAGACTCCAAATGTTTTATGTTCCCTGTCATGAGATGGGATGTCTGTGAGTGCAAACCCCCCCAAGGTATCCTTGGATTCTTTAGGCTGGGGCAGTCTCCTGGATTTCTAGCAGGGTCCCTGGGACTTGCAGGGGGAGGAGGTGTTGTTATAGAGCAGCCACGTTTTCTGCCTGGGTTCTCCTCCAGTGAGGGGTGTTTGTGAGAACATTGGAATCACAAAGTGGCCCATGGCGGAGAATGCAGCCAGAACAAAGGCGCCCTCTCCCCGCCGGGCCCGGGGAATACTAACTAGTTGACAGGAATTTTAATATAAAACTCTCCCTCTTCCTTGTCATTCTGAGGTTTCAGGAAGCCTTCGGGCTTATCGTGCAGAGGCACACAGCACAGACAGGGCTTGGGGAGGTGAGAGGTGATTTCCTGCCATTCTTCTGTGGGGCGGGCTTCCCAGGGTGCTCATGCCAGGCTGACGGGTCCAGTGCGGGCTCCCGCTGCTGGGGGAGAGCTGGGTTTTCATGGGGCGGCAGCCGAGGCAGGACCCGCAGCCATGAACCGCTTCAATGGGCTCTGCAAGGTGTGCTCGGAGCGCCGCTACCGCCAGGTGGGTGCTTGGCCTCTTGTGGGGAGCCTGTGGGGTGTTCAGGGATAGGGGTAGAGGGACCATCTGAGAAGGATCTCGCTCCTCACAAGGTCTTCTTTGACCTTTCCTGCTCCCTGCAGGCTCACTTGGATATGGGGAGGAGGATAGAGACAGGAGCTGGACCCAAGGCCCCTTTAGGGCCCAGCTCTGTATGGAGTCCTAACCACTGGCTGGGTGGTGTTTTTGGTGAGATAATCCAGCTAGCTTTCTGTTCTTTTTATCTGGGGAGGGGCTGTGGGTGTGAGATTGAAAATGCCATGGTTGCTGAGCAGCTGGGAGCAGAGTTTGTATTTTTGCTAACTTTTCCTGCTTCTGACAGGACAGCAGTGCCCATTCTGCCCCCTGTGCGTGTATGTTGGCACGTGCTCATATGTGAGATCGGGTGTTTTCGTGTATATGTACATATGTATAACTTTCCTCTCCCCTACTGCTGATGCCTCACTATGGCTCAGGATTCCTTTGGCTTTGGAATCCAACTTTACAGTGAGGGTTTGGCCTCTTAGCCTCCGGTCTTAGAAAGGGGGAAGACTGGGCCATTATGATCCCATTAGCTCCCCTGAGCCTCTTCTAGAACTGTGATGGGCCATTTTTTCTCATAAAATAGGAATGGGGTTAGGGATGGTGAAGGCAAGTGATATCTAATCTGGAAGGGAGTTCTGAAATTGTCCTGATTTTAAAAAATCACATAGAGAAGCCCCTCTATTTGTTTTAATGACCAGATTGGACTGTGGGTCTTGACTCCTCTGACTGGCAGTGCTTAGGTCCCAGGGAGATGCCCAGAGGGGTCCCTGCCCCCCCACCTGCCTGCTAGGGGATCCAGTGTTTTCTCTCTAGCCCTCCCCCGCTCTCAGGTTCTGCCCTTCAGGCCCCACTCTGTGTTTCCTGCCCTCATGGGGCTGGGAAAAGCAGCCCCTGCGACACTAGCGTCTGGATGGCAGAGTGGTGAGACAGAGAGAGCACTGGTTGGGACATCTAGTAGTCCTTGGTCACCCTGGGGCTATGGGCTAGAAGACTGGGCATGCTGGCTGTCAGAGTGGGGCCAGGAGCAATTGTGGGCTGGACCTAGGGCTCAGGGACTCAGAGTTCAAGATGGTTTCTGTGTTAGAAACCAGTGCAGAATTGAGAGCAGCAAGCTTTTTGTCAGGTCTGAGCTCAAATCTAGCTCTGTTCCTCTTTAGCTGTGGCTTTTGAGCAAGTCACTGTTCCTCTCTGAGCCTTTATCTCCTAGTCAGTAAAATAGGATAATGAAATCCAGCGATGGTGCCATGGGAGTGAATAGGATGATGTGTGTGAAGAGCCTGGCTCAGTGTCTGCTGTGCATATTTATCTAGGAGGTGTTTAATACATGGCAGAATTTGGGGATTACAGTCTAGGCAGGACAGAGGAACAGAAACTAGACAGGAGAGCAGAGGTAAGGGGCTGGCATGGGTGAGACCTGGGAGCAGTGGCTGTTCCTGCCCTGGACAGGAAAGAGCGAGAACCACCCGCAGGAAGGACAGGCTCTGTCAGAAGCCGCCAAGGCCTCGGGGCAGGGCTGCTCCTTTCACCTCCAGGTCAGAGCAGGGCTGAGAGCCGGAGGGTGGAGGGGGTGGCACTTCGAGTCTTATCTCCTTGTCTGTAAAATGGGCATACTCATTCCCCTAGGGGCTGCAGGGATGGTCAGGTTCTTTGGACACTACCCTCTCAATGTGGTCAGTGATCATGGTGGACAGAGTGTAATTCTGCTTCCTCCGAGCTAGGAGGTGAGCTTGCCTCCCGGCACCCTCTCCTCTTCCCCTCCTTCACACTCCCATCTGGCTTGGACTGTGGTCTGGGCTGGCACTTCTTAAGCTGGTGCCCAGGAGGGTGAGGGGCCCCCAGCCCACAGTCCTGCTTGGATGTGGGGTCTGGGTGTGGGAGGAGGAGGCTGTTTTCTTGGAGCACACTCCTCCCCAGACCCCACTCTCCAGTTACTGCCCCATAACTGGCCATCCAGAGCCCAGGGTGCTGGGATGGGTTTTCTATGCAGGGGGCTTTGGCCCTGGATGGGGTAGGGGTGGGGAAGTGCTGGATAGGCTTTGGGACCCCAGCTTGTGCTTGGGTTGAGGGTTGGCTTGTGAGGCCCCTAAAAAATCCCCGCTGGTTCCATGGAGGGGGCCAGGCTCCTGGCGTCTTCCCTGGCCTCAGGCGGGCCCGGCAACTAGTGGCTGCTCCTTTCCCCCAGCTTTCCACACTCGTACCCGCGTTTGTTTTTCTTTCTTTCTTTCCATTTTTTTCTCTTCCTGTCTTAGCTGCGTGTTTTCCCAGAATTCTTATGGGAACGGGGTATTTTCCTGCCTCCTCCCCCTTCCCCTTGTCTGTCAGGTTTCCTGTTTTACAAACTTGCTTTGAATCCAGGCCCGGGGCTGGTGGGAAGCAGAGCCTCAGAGGTCCCTGCAGCTTCCAAGGCCCTTGGTCACTCTGAGCCCCCTCCCACTCACCTTCCTTATGCCTGGCCCTGGGATGGTGGGTAGGTGAATGAGTGCAGGTGCCTAGTCTTGCAGGGACAACCCTCAAAGGAAGGAGACAGAAGTCTCCTGACAAGGCTTGTGCCCTTGACCTTTTCCAAGCTTGCTGAGCTGGCCTTTGTCTCAACTCACTTGGGACACCCTTCCCTGTGCCTCACCAGGGCCCACCCCAAGTCCCAGTTTCTCTAGGGGGTCTCTCGGGACCCCTTGAATCCCTTTTCTGATTTGTGCTGCCTTTAGCAGCCGGAATGGGCTGGCAGACCACCCTACATCCTCCTGTGTGTGGGACACTGCCAGGCTGTCCTCCCTGCATTAGCCTCTGCTGAGTTCCTACCATGTGCCAAGCATGGCGTCCATAGTCGGAGCATAAAGGACTGAGAATGGCCCAGTCCTCCTGCTTTTCTTTAGTGCCCGCTGTGCCCTGCTTCACTCTGGAGAGGTTTGTGTACCCTCGTGCTCCTCTGGGAACCAGAGACCAAGGCTGCATGCCTCTGTATGTCCACAGAGCCTGGCATGCTGTAGGAGCTCAATAATTGTGTGCCAGTTTGAAAAGAGCATCCAGATGGCAAGGCCCTCTCATGGACTTCTGAAAGTAGGAGTTGTGGACCTGTCAAGCACATGGGCCTCAGCAGGCACATGAGTCAGTGGCTAGTTCAGGTTCAGCCAGGAAGCCTATCTGTGACCTTACCTGGGAGTCCTCATGGGATGCCTTGGGGCCCTGGCCACAGATTGGCCCCCAGAACCTCAGCTCTCTTCCTCTGACCCTTGGCCTGAGATGGAGTGAGTGTGTCCCAGTGTTTCCTCCCCTGTGCTCTGGGAGGGCAGTGACCAGGCTGGCCTTGACTTTGGGCCCTTAGCACAGGGCCCGCCCCAGGCTAACGCTCTGTGAACCTCTGTGAGAAAGGAAGAAGGGAGCCAGGAAAACAGTGGATCAAAGGTGAGGCTGAGTCATGCAGTGCTGGTGGGCCCTTGGATCAAGGGCTGGGGCTGCTGGGGCTCAGGATGGCAAAGTTTGCTTTTCCAAGACCTTGTCCATCCCAGGCCCTCCCCACATCAGCCTGGGTTTACTTGCTGAGCTTTGGGCCTTCCTGCTTGGCCCACAACCCAGTGCTCAAGTTGTCTGGGCTGAGATAGGGACACTGAGGGGCTGGCTAGCTCCTTTGTGCCTCCAGTTCCCTTGGAGAGGAGGGTGGCTCTTGGCAGGGGTGGGCTGTGGGCTTCCTGACCTTGGGGTAGAGGCAAGAGCCTCCAGCTTCTGGCAGTGACCGGGCAGGGCTGTGTCCTAGATCACCATCCCGAGGGGAAAGGACGGCTTTGGCTTCACCATCTGCTGCGACTCTCCAGTTCGAGTCCAGGCCGTGGATTCCGGTAAGTTATTGACAGGGGGATGCCAACCCCACTTGCCCACCACACATGTGGGCTTTGCAAACATAGTCTGGAACTAAAAGGGGAGCCCCAAACTGGAGCAAAGTGTCCTGGCTTTTCAAAATGAAAAGAATAATATTTTTAAGTGACCGTAGATGAAACTGCCATTTATGAAAATATGCCCACTTTTTTTTTGTTGTTTTTATCAAAATGAAAATAGGTTTTTATATTTTGTTTCCCAATCAGTTTGAACAGGAACTAAACCTATATTTTCAGCAATGGCTGCAAGGGAAAATGAGAGTCATTTGTGAACTCTATTTGAAGCTGTTTTGTATCCTATCCAGAGCCTGATCAGCACTTAAAAAGAGCCATCCTTCCCTACTTTTCACAAATGAAGATTTCTCTTAATCACAGAGTGAGCATCTCAAAGACAGAAGCCAGGGCTCAGTGGTCAGGGTGTTTCCAGTGCCTACACAAGGGTGGGCATGAGGTTCGTGCACAATGATTGGCAGAGAAGGAATAAATGTAGTGTGGGAGCCTGGCCCCAGGGAAGGTTCTCAATGGGGTAGGAGGCCCTGGGGAGGGGTAAGGGCCCGGGTAGAAGGGTGGACTGCAGAGAGGTAAGCCAGCAGTAGGGGAGGTAAGCCAGCAGTAGGGGAGGCAAGCAGGGAGAAGGGAAGGCAAAGGGATGCCTTCTTTCAAGGCTCTTGAGAGGCACCAAGTTCAGTCCCTCATTTCACGGATGAAGAAACTTAGAGAAAAAGGGAGGTCCTTGTCTGAGGTCACCATGGCAGCAAAGGACTCCAGATCCTTTGAAGGGGTCTTAGGCTTCAGGGGCCCCTGAATGGCTTTTCTTTGTCCCTGCAGGGGGTCCGGCGGAACGGGCAGGGCTGCAGCAGCTGGACACGGTGCTGCAGCTGAATGAGAGGCCTGTGGAGCACTGGAAATGTGTGGAGCTGGCCCACGAGATCCGGTGACAGGGGACAGCGGGTGGCCTGGGGCCTCAGGCTGATGGCACACCCTCCCCACCCCTGGGCACACTGCCTTGCCTGGCCCAGCTCTTGCTGCTCCCTCTTTTGCCTAGCTGTGAGCAGGCAATTCCTTTTGCTCTTCAAGGAATCTGTTTCTTGGCCTGAGAATGGAAGGTTCAGGCTCAGAGCACTTTTGGATTCCAGAGCAAACAGCAGGGAAGATGCTCTCAGACTCTGTGGTTCAGGACGGGGCACCAGGAGGTTGCTTTCTGCTTTAGCTAATTTTTGTTACCTAAGAGCTAAGCCCATTTGTTATTTAAGGGCATGAAGATGTTGCAAATGTTTCAATTGCACAATTAAAAAAATATTCTTGAAAACATTGGAGTCTCCCAAATTTTGATCCTCTAGGGTAAAACCCCGATGGCCCCATTTTAGGTCTGCTTCTGGAATAACCAGATGAGGGCTTGCACTTAGGTGACCTGCTAGCTTTACTTGCTTATATCTTGCTTTTGATAAGCATCATGGATTGAGTATGGAACTCTTTCCTGTTGAAACTGGCCTGGCCTCAGGGTCCTTCTCAACCACTGCCCGTCAATAGGAATTGACCTAGGTGACCCATTTGCTGTCTCTTCTTTAAATGGCTTCTTGCATCCCTTCCTGCCCTGACACTGGGGGCTTCCCCTCTGGTGTCTGCCTCCTCTTCCCCCATTATCCTCTCTGCCCTGTGGGCCCTCACTCTGGCTGATACTGGCTTTCCCCAGGCTCAACCTGTCTGTGTGATCCCCCACCTTCCAGGAGCTGCCCCAGTGAGATCATCCTACTCGTGTGGCGCATGGTCCCCCAGGTCAAGCCAGGACCAGATGGCGGGGTCCTGCGGCGGGCCTCCTGCAAGTCGACACATGACCTCCAGTCACCCCCCAACAAACGGGAGAAGAACTGCACCCATGGGGTCCAGGCACGGCCTGAGCAGCGCCACAGCTGCCACCTGGTATGTGACAGCTCTGATGGGCTGCTGCTCGGCGGCTGGGAGCGCTACACCGAGGTGGCCAAGCGCGGGGGCCAGCACACCCTGCCTGCACTGTCCCGTGCCACTGCCCCCACCGACCCCAACTACATCATCCTGGCCCCGCTGAATCCTGGGAGCCAGGTACGGACAGCTGGTGTGGGGAAGGTGAAGGGTACTGGGTCCCTGTGGGAGGCCAGGAAGACTTGAAGACCCAAAGTTGTGTGATGAGCAGCCTGTGAGGGGCTGCGATGTTGGGCAAGGAGATGGGGTATGTGCTAGCTCTGCCTTCTGCAAGGCTGTTCTTGGTAGGGAGGACAGATGGGTCTATGTGGCCTCAGGGCACAGATTCAAGACCAGGGCATGCACAGGCTGGAAGATTTCAACTCACAGAAGGAAGAGCTTTCTACTAGCCTGTGCTTTTCCCCAGTGGAATGGGCTGCCTTGGTAGGTGGTGAGCCCCCATCATAGGAGGTATGAAAGCAGACACTGCATGATTGCATGGTGGGATGATGGAGTGCGCTCCCCAAAACATTAGTCCCATGAGATGCTCTGGGAAAAAGGTGTTCTGAGGTCAAATAAGCTTGCGACATATCCCATACCCTCTTCCTCATCTAGGAGATTCTCAATGCAAAGGAGCCTAGTAGAGGCTCTGCTGGCATCCTGTACTACAGCAGGTGTCAACCAAATAACACCGCATTTCCCAAACTTGCCTAATGGGGGCACACTTTAGGGCGTGGTTGGTACCGTCTTACCATTCCAGTGTTCCCTAGAATGCACTTTGGAACCAGCTGCTGTAAAGGAAGTTGGGGACTTGCCAAGGGGTTAGGCTTCATGACCCATAAAGCCTCTTTCAACTTGAATATTCTGGGATTTTGTGTTCTCTCCCAGCCTCCTCCCTCAGCTGGTTACCAGAACTGCTGTTTTTCTCTTGTGCCCTGAGGTGCTCCACTTCCTCTCCCCTGGGGCCCCCGTGTCCAGCAGCCTCCTGGGCTGTCCTGCCCTGTTCCTGGGGCTGAGGTGGTTTTCCTGTCTTTCCCTTGCAGCTGCTCCGGCCTGTGTACCAGGAGGATACCATCCCCGAAGGTGAGTCTCCTGCTGCTGCTGTGCCCTCCTAGCTCAGAGAGGCAGCAGGGGTCAGCTGAGGCCTGGCCCAGCCTCCGCCCCTGAGTTCTGAGGCCTTTCCAATGGAGTCAGGTCACTTAGCCTATCGACACAGACTCTCTTTCCACGTGGTACCTTTTCTCCCTCACGGAACCAATGTCTTTCTTCCTTGAAGCCAGAACTGAGAAGGAGGAGAGGGGATCTTACCAGGGCATTTTGAGAGACCGTGTGTCCAGGCCTCAGGCATTCAATTGAGATTCATCCAATTTTACAGAGCAACCGATATATATTAGGTGCCAGAGGCAATGTGGTTGGGCTTGCATGGAAGGGAGTCAGGGAGCGTGGAGGTGGGAGGTCTTGAGTTGGAGTTCTAGCTATATGACTTTGAGCAAATCATGTCTCCTTGGTCGGGCGTGGTGGCTCATTCCTGTAATCCCAGCACTTTGGCAGGCTGAGGTGGGTGGATCACGAGGTCAGGAGATTGAGACCATCCTGGCTAACACAGTGAAACCCCGTCTCTACTAAAAATACAAAATCACTACTGGGCGTGGTGGTGTGCGCCAATAGTCCCAGCTACTCAGGAGGCTGAGGCAGGAGAATCACTTGAACCTGGGAGGCAGAGGTTGCAATGAGCCGAGATCATGCCACTGCACTCTAGCCTGGGTGACAGAGCGAGACTCTGTCTAAAAAAAAAAAAAAATCCTGTCCCCTCGCTGAGCCTCAGTTTCTTCATTTATAAAATGGGGTCAATAATTCCTACCTCAGAGGGTTGTTGGGGGGATCCCATGAGAGAATGGTTATGAGTAGTTGCCTGTATACTGAGAGAGGCTATACAGAGGGTAGCTGTCTTTGAAGTGCACAGATGTCTCTGCTGCTGGATGGATTCTTCTTCTTTGGCTTTTAAAATCCTGATCAGGGGTGGAAGCTGAGCTCAAAACCACTTTCTTCTCCCAGGAAGGCTGAGATATTGGTCTTGAGGCTGAAGCTGGCTGGGCATTCCTTGAGATCCTTCGCGTGCCTGCCAGAAAGCTTTGACTCAGAAGTCCATCTGGTGTCTGGACCGCCTTCCTTGACAGTGGCTTTTGCTTAGCCACTCACAGACTTGCTTCCTTGCTGTTCCCCTCTCAGTGGTGTGAAGGCGATGCTTCTAGGGGGTAGTTGGAAAAGTGCTTGTGCCTTTTGCGGGTGTGAAGCGCTCCCATCAGGCTCAGGGATGCTGATGGAAGACATCTTCTTTCTCTCCGGTCTGGGGCATTTGGGCAGTTGAGCCTGGTCAGTTGGAAATAAATCTGTGTTCCTTCTGGGGAGAAGTCCGACAGCAATTCAATGATGAGTTTTATTTTTATTTTTTATTTTTCCATAGATTATTGGGGTACAAGTGGTATTTGGTTACGTAAGATTTTTAGTGGTGATTTGTGAGATTTTGGTGCACCCATAACCCGAGCAGAATATACTGCACCCCATTCGTAGTCTTTTATCTCTCACCCCCCTCCCATCCTTCCCCCGAAGTCTGCAAAGTCCATGGTATCATTCTTATGCCTTTGCGTCCTCATAGCTTAGCTCCCATGTATCGTTGAGAACATACAATGTTTGGTTTTCCATTCCTGAGTTACTTCACTTAGAAAAATAGTCTCCAATCTCATCCAGGTCGCTGCAAATGCCGTTAATTCATTCCCTTTTATGGCTGAGTAGTATTCCATCAATGATGAGTTTTTAAAAAGCTTTTGGTTGGCACATTAGGTTAGAGTGGAGATGCTGCAGCTAAGTAGGGACTTCATTAGGGTCAAGGCCTGGGCCTGGCTTATTTCTGTAGGTCCAGTGCAGGACCCAGGGCCTGGCGG
Organism: Homo sapiens; assembly: GCF_000001405.40. Lineage (NCBI taxonomy): Eukaryota > Metazoa > Chordata > Mammalia > Primates > Hominidae > Homo > Homo sapiens. The sequence continues at coordinate 113,510,440 of NC_000009.12, forward strand.
ATGGCAGATACTCAGTAGAATTTTGGTTGTGTGACTGACTGAAGGAGAACGACTTGGGTTGCCTCTGAGGCTTTGGAGTCTGGTCGTGGAGGAGGGGGGCTGGAGAAGTGTGCTGCCTGGAGTGGGCCCATGCACACAGGCTGGTGTCTGGGGTTGATTCCTTCTCAGTTGAGAGGTACTTCTGTGTCTCCCTTCTGTGCTCCCAGCCTGTATCCATGTTTCATTCCCCTCTGAGAGTATAATACATAGTAAGTCAGCAAGAGCACAGTTATCTAAGCCATGGGGAAAGGGACAAGTGAGGAAATGATGATGATATTAATAACCATGCTAGCTCTTTGAATGCATTGTATTAAGATCCTGACCTTACTTTATGTATTCTTCATAATAATAAATCTTCACTCTTTACCAGGGATCAAGTCTTTGTAGCTCACAATTTTAGGATTCAGAGGAAAGGGTGAAATTCAGGGCACACAATTTCCCTTAAACACACTTGGGATTGTCCAGAGGTTAAGGCTGTCACCAGGGTGCTGGCTTCTTAGTCCCCCTCCTCTGGCTGGGCTGCCAAGAGATAGCCCTTCAGGAGTGTTGGGTCATCCTGAGTTGAATAGGAGGGAGAGTTAAGCCATCCTGAGTTGAATAGGGTCTGGTGCCCTTCCGGAGCCCAGAGTGCCTGCCCGGCTGTGGTTGGCATGTTTCCCAGGGCTGCTGGTGCCCTTGGCATTGTCCCTGCCCTGTAAAGGTGACCTGGCCTCAGATTCGCCACTGCCAGGGCAGGGTGGCTGCCAGGGCTCGCCTCAGAATCTGGGAGCAAAGCCCTGTAATTACTGTATTTGGTCGGTGAAGCAGGTGTTGGAGGAGAAAAGGGTGATATGGGGGTTTGGACCAGACATCGGTAGCAGGTGGGAAGTAAATGAGTTTGCCTTCACAGAGCTCAGTAACTGGGTTGCAAGCTGTACTGTTCTAAAAAAAAAAAAAAATCAGTTTTACAGAGCCACTCCCACTAGCCACATATTATCCAGGGGTGGGTGGAGATTGGGCACAAGGGCATGACTGCTGCATAGGTTGGGTTAATCCTGCCTTGTATAATTTACTAGCCAAATGACCAGTCACCCTACCATTCCAGACCTCAGTTTCCTTGTCTACAAAATGGGGCTGAGCCGACTTTTCCTCTCTGAAGGCAGAATTATGTGTTGGGTACTTCAGGTGAGGCCCTTGGTGAGGATTCTGTGACAGCCCTGGGCCCCTGGGCTAGAGAAGGGAAGAAATCAATTTTTTAAGAAGTCCGAGACTGGGGGCCCAGGACCCAGATTTTGGCATTTACAGTTGGTACCCATCTTTACTTTTGGTCTATTTTGTTCCAGTCATCTGCTTGTCAGTCCTGCATGGTTTTGCCTTCTCTGCTGTAGGCTTAACCATGTTAAATTAGACTGTCTAGATCCAGGCTGGCCATGGGGTTTCATTCACAGCATGGTTTGAGACCGAGCAGCCCTGCCTATCCTTCTACTAACCCTGGTAGGTGGATTACTTGGAGGCTTAGGATTTGTGATAATCCCCTGACTACTCACACTGTGGTACAATCCACCAAGCTCTTTTCCATCAGGTCTCTTGTGTGAACCTCCCACTGGCCCTGGGGCAAGCGAGGCAGCAATCAGTATTATCTCCACTTCAAAGTGGAGAAAACTTTGATTCAGAGAAGGAAGGAAGCTGTTCAGGGTTACACAGACTGTCTCTGACTTGGGAAGTCAGTGATCAAGCTCGGGTGTCTTATCCAACTCAAATTCAGTGATGATCTTGAGACTGAGGATGGTGCTTTAAACAAAGGGTCCAGGGCCTGGCAGCACACATCCCTCTGGGACTGATATGTAGGGCCAGATCAGACAAGGAGCTATGTGACATCTTCCTTGTATCTGTTCCTCCTGTGCCCATCCAGGGCTCATGCTCATTCTACTCCTCTCTCCGTGACTCACAGAAGAGGCAGGAAGTGGTTTGAGTTATCATGGTTTGAGCGCTGCCCCCAGATTTGTCTATGATCAGTGGTCACTTGTCAGGGGCACGGGGGGAGTCAACTTGTTTTTCTTACCTTGCTTGGTGAGAAGGGGCTGGGGGTGGGAGGAGGAAGCAAGTGTGAAACCTTCTGAGGTGAGTTTTATCTCCGAGGCTGTGGGTGCGCGTTGGTGGGGAGCTTCCCTGAGGTATAGCTGGGGTCAGGCCACCTGTTCCCCCCTCGCTGCCAGGGCTGCTGGCAGCAGAAGACAGCCTGCACCCAGGACCCAGGCTGGGCACCCAGGTCAGTGAGGACCTGGTAGTTGCCCATACAGTAGCAGGAATGCCTTAGAAGGGGCCCAGGAGTGTGTGGAGCCTGACTGCTTTGGAGTTTCCCTCCCACCTGCTTGGTCCAGGAACCCCTGACTTTTTAGCGACTTTGTGTTTTGTCCCTCTGCCTACTAGACGGAATGTAACAAAAACCTGTGCACAGGCTGGGCATGGTGGCTCATGCCTGTAATCCCAGCACTTTGGGAGGCTGAGGCGGGCGGATCACCTGAGGTTGGGAGTTCGAGACCAGCCTGACCAACATGGAGAAACTGTGTCTCTACTAAAAATACAAAATTAGCCGGGCGTGGTGGTGCATGCCTGTAATCCCAGCTACTTGGGGGACTGAGGCAGGAGAATCACTTGAACCTGGGAGGTGGGGGTTGTGGTGAGCCGAGATCGGCCACTGCACTCCAGCCTGAGCAATAAGAGGGAAACTCCGTCTCAAACAAACAAACAAAAAAACAACAACAAAAACGTGTGCACCACCCCTTGTTCAGGGTGAGGGGTGTGTGTCCATCAGTGTCCCCTTAAAGAGGGACCCCTCCCCCCACACCGCCGTTGCAGCCTCTGCTGTCCTTCCTGGGGGTGGTCTTGTTTCTCTGTTTCTCTCTCTCTCTCCTTATGATTAGAATGATTTGTGAGTTGGTGGCCAAGCCGGAGTACCTCCTGGGTACAGTGAAGCCTGGGATTCCCAGAGTCCTATGGGGCACCTGACTCCCAAACTTGCTTTTCCAAGTGGAGAAATCACAACAACGAAACAACACTGAGTTTGCAGCTAACTTTTATCACACACTTACTAGGTCCCAGGCACTGTTCTAAAGACTCTAAGTGAACTTAGAGTATTTCATTTAATCTTCACTGTAACCCAGTGAGCTTGGCACTATTGTTACAGTTGAGGAAATCAAGACTCTGAGGGTGAAATAAGTTGCCCAAGCTCACTGAGCTGGTAAGCAGGGGAGCAGGATTTGAGCACAGCCACCTGGCTTTGAAGCTTGTGCGCTTTCCTGTGACCTGGGGCAGCAAGTGCCACTCCTTATTCTAGACTGACTGGAGTGGGCCAGGCTGCTCTAGCTCCCTTGGCTACAGAGGGAGGACTCCAGTACATCCTGGGAAAGCCTTTGGTCTCCGCTGCCACTGCTGCAGAGAGTGGATTTTTGTCTGTGGGGCAGGGAGGGAGGAAACAGATTGGGCTGGGCTGAGCTTGTGCAGGGAGTAGTGGGAATGGTGTGGGGGTCTGTTAAGGAGAGCGCGTACCCTGCCACACAGGCTGGTCACCACTCTGCTCCAACTGATTGTTCCACGTGGGACTGTGGGCTCAGTGAGGACAGATCTTCTGATTTTTCAAATATGAGCGATTTCTTGATTTTTAAAAGACTGAGGCCAAAATGGAAATTCTGATCCGGGGCCTGGGTCAGCAGGTGGAGTGTGCTGCCTCCATCATAGCTGGTGGTGCCCAGCGCTGTGCTAGCCCTGGACTTGCTTGCTCACGTGTCAACGTCTCTCACTAGAGTGCGAGGGAATTCCTTGAAGCCCGAGCCCATGTGAAGCCTCCCTGTGTTTCAGCATCGTGCGCAGGGCCTGGCACAAAGTAGCTGCTCAGAAAGTGGTTGTTGACGGAATGAGTCCGTGTCCCCTGTTTCTACAGAGGGGACACCTTTGCAGGAGTGACGGAAATGTCTCATAGTCCCCCATCTCTGTTTCACAGAATCAGGGAGTCCCAGTAAAGGGAAGTCCTACACAGGCCTGGGGAAGAAGTCCCGGCTGATGAAGACAGTGCAGACCATGAAGGGCCACGGGAACTACCAAAACTGCCCGGTTGTGAGGCCGCATGCCACGCACTCAAGCTATGGCACCTACGTCACCCTGGCCCCCAAAGTCCTGGTGTTCCCTGTCTTTGTTCAGGTGAGCCCGTGGCTGGTCTTAAAGGTTCCCTCAGGAGGAACGGAGAAAGAGGAGGGCCCTTGCCCCAGGACTCAGGGATGATGACTTATCCCAGGACTGAGGGCCCTGTTTTGGGAAAGATAAGTAGCTTTAGATGCATAGGATTCTAGGGGCTTATACTGAGGGAGCAGAGATTTCCAGGGAGATACACAGGAAAAAGTGAGGCCGGGATAGCCCAGTAAGGAAAGGGTCCTCTCCTTCCCCCACCTCGCCTCCCCTTTCTCTGGGGAAAGGGCAGGTGCACCCCAGCTGCTTGTTGCCATGTCACAGGGACTGTTTGCCAAAGCTCCCGCTCCCTGGCTCACCCAGTGGTTTTTTATTTGAAAATAACTGAGGGAGACCCTTGGGGTCTGTGCCTTATCTGCTCTCCCTGGTCTCTGCAAACAAGTTTGGCCTGTATTCACTGGTGGCCTGCGATTCACTAGATCGCTCTTATTCTCCAACGTCAAACAAAGTGCTTGAAGAAAGATAATGAAACAAACAGCAAGCTGGGCCTGAAATCCCAGCTACTTGGGAGGCTGAGATGGAAGGATCGTTTGAGGCCAGGAGTTCGAGGTTACAATGAGCTGTGATCATAACCCTGCACTCCAGCCTCTTCTTCTTCCCCCTTTTCCTCCCCATTTATCTCTCCTTCTCTTTAAAAATAACCTTTATTGGGCCAGGTGTGGTGGCTCACGCCTGTAATCCCAGCACTTTGGGAGGCCTAGGTGGTGGATCACTTGAGGTCAGGAGTTCAAGACCAGCCTGGTCAAGATAAAAACCCCATCTCTACTAAAAATACAAAAAAATTAGCTGGGTGCGGTGGCAGGCGCCTGTAATCCCAGCTATTCGGGAGGCTGAGGCAGGAGAATCGCTTGAACCTGGGGGGTGGAGGTTGCAGTGAGCCGAGATCACACCACTGCACTCCAGCCTGGGAGACAGAGTGAGACTCTGTCTCAAAAAAAAAAGAAACAAAACAAAAACCTAAAAATCTTTATTTATTCCATCACCCAGATATGATAGTGTGAACATTTCAGCATCTTTTCTGTGTGCATATGCACATTAAAAAACAGACCTTATTCTATATTTTATATCATGTTGCCTTTTTAAAAGGAAAATTGTAGCATGAACCTTTCCCACACCACTAAATGCTCTGTGTTTTACGGTGGTTGCCCACTCTTCTTTTATATGGGTATACTGTATTTATTTAACCAGTTCTGTATTCAGATACTTCTGTCTACTCTTTTGCTATTGTAAATAACCCTGTGATGAAAATCCTTGCGCATGGATTGCCTCTCTGATTATTTTCCTTGGGAGAGATTGCTGAAAGGGAAATGACTGGGTCATGGGTCATAAACATTTTAAAGGCTCTTTACACATATTGACAAATTGCTTTGCAGGAAGATTCTAATGGTTTATCGTCTTATCAGCAGCATAGACATGACTTGGCCCCACGGGCTTCATTTCTGCCTGTGCCTCTCTGGTCTCCCTGGCATCCCAGTCTGAGCCTGTCACTGTCCAGTAGGCACACTTTGTTAGGATGCAACACATCTCTGGGAGCTCACACGCCTCCCCTTAGACAGCTCTGTCAGCAGGGCCTGGCCTTAGCCTTTCTGTGGGTCTCTTCTCTTTCTTAGCATGTGACACAAAGTTCTTGGCATCTACAATGTCTAATTTTCTTTCTTTTTCTTTTTTTTTTTTTGAGATGGAGTTTCACTCTTTTTGCCCAGGCCGGAGTGCAAGGGTGCGATCTCGGCTCACTGCAACCTCCACCTCCCAGGTTCAAGCAATTCTCCTGCCTTAGCCTCCCAAGTAGCTGGGATTACAGGTGCCCACGACCATGCCTGGCTAGTTTTTTGTATTTTTAGTAGAGACGGGGTTTTACCATGTTGGCCAGGCTGGTCTCGAACTCCTGACCTCAGGTGATCCACCCGCCTCGGCCTTCCAAAGTGCTGGGATTACAGGCATGAGCCACCACATGCGGCCTGTGTCTAATTTTCATGTTCATTTTAATATTTGTATAAGAAACTACTTCTATTTAAGAGACAGTCTCTCGCTGTGTCCCCCAGGCTGGAGTGCAGTGGTATGATCACAGCTCACTGTAACCTCAAGCTCCTGGCCTCAAATGATCCTTCCACCTCAGCCTCCCAAGTAGCTGGGATTTCAGGTCCAGCTTGCTATTTGTTTCATGATCTTTCTTTAAGCACCTTGCTTGATGTCATGTACTTAGAAGCCATATTAGAAATATACAGTCATAAGGACAAGTCCTGCTGGGTAATCCAGAGCTTAGGGAGCTTCCTCTGGGCTGGGCTGGGCAAGGTGAGGGAGTAGGGTGAGAGGTTTGGGTGATAATTGACCCTTGGGGGATTGCCTGAGAAGGAGACAGTTCAAGTGTGCTATGAGTGCAGAGCAGGGACTGGCCTGGCTTTGAAGGGACTCAAGTGACCAAATCTCTTGGCATGTGGCTCTCAGGATGCCTCTTGGTCCTGTGAGGCATGAACAGGATAGATGGGGGATGGCGGGGGCTGGGAGGGCCCAGGAGCCCAGTGCAGTGGGGGGTGAGAGCTGGGGCTGAGGACTGCAGAGGGCCTAAGCCTGTGGTTAGACTTCCTGTCAATGAGTGTAGCTCTCACGGTGAGGGTTGATGGGGAAGGTGGCAGCAACAGTTCCACAGGACAGCAGCGTCTCTCTTTCTGTTTCCATCTTATGTATGAGGGGGTGTGTGGGTTCTCGGGTCGGTGGCGGGCTGACAGTCTTCTCTGGGTCAGAGGGTTCTCTGTGGCTGGCTTTGACAAGCTGCTGCTTCCTCCCCCCGGGTCCTCACCCAGCCTCTTTTTGAACTGCCCACTCAGCCTGCTTTATTTCCAGCCTCTAGATCTCTGTAATCCTGCCCGGACCCTCCTGCTGTCAGAGGAGCTGCTGCTGTATGAAGGGAGGAACAAGGCTGCCGAGGTAAGACTTTCACCTGCATTTTTTAGGGGGCTTTCTGGGTGGGCTTCATTGGCATTCTCCAGGCCCCTCACTTTGGTCTCTTCCTGAGTATCTTAGAATTGTACATTCTCAGGGTAGGGGAGACCTGAGAAGGACCCCGCCACTCTCCCTAGCAAAGGCTACCCAGCTTTTTCTTGTACATCTCCTTTCAAAAGCTGTCGAATCCTTCTTTGATGGTTAGAAAGTTTCCCCAGCCCCTAAAGACACCCCATTGTTTATCCCACCTTCCTCTCAGGAGCAGAAGAGATGGCAATTTACCCTGGCTGTGGGGAGTGACTTTGGTGGCAGGAAGAGTAAAGCTATTAGCCAAAGTGAATTTTTAGACCAGCATCAGTTTACCTGAGTTTTCTGGGCCTGTTTTAACCCAAATCCCATGTCCTCTTCTGAGAGACGAGTCTATGATTTCGCCTGGGTTGTAGCTCTGCCTGTGGGGTGCTGACATGGGACCTGTGTCACCCTTCCTGGGAGCTGGCCTGGGATGCTTTTCTCTAATTGGGAGAACTTCATTCATCTACACAACCCCAGAGCTGGTCAGTTCAGTCTCTGAGCTTAAACTACTTGGGTACAGAAGTTGGAGCCCTGGGCTCTGCCCTGGCTACCTGGGGCCATGGGGTGAGGGTAGCAGGCTCTTTGCAGATCAGGCCCCAATGTAGAGCTGCCTTGGCTGAGTCGAGTGGCAGCTTGGGGTAGTGGAAAGATCAGGAAACTTGGAGACAGGAAGTTTGTATCGAGACCCAGGTCTGCTGCTGGCTCACATGTGATTTCTTCCTTCTTCCTCAGTCTTTCCATCTGAGCAGTAGGTATGTGTGTATTTGAGGCAGTAAGGGCAGGGTCAGAGGTTGGTCTGTAAGGACGCTTTAAACCTCAGCCTTCTGGGACACTATGTGTGACTGTGGCTGAAGCAGGAGGTTGGTTTGTTTTTTAAGTAAGCAGACTGGACTGGAACTCATCTATTCCAAATGTACATTATCTTTTTCAAGGGAGTGCCCTGGGGGACTGCATGCTCCCTTCCACCGCTCGCTGTTGCCTACTGTATTTCTGGACCTCCTCTTTTCCGAACCTCCTCTTGGGAACTTTGCAAACTTTGGGAACTTAACAATCTTTGCATATCTTCTGAATTGTCTCAGTGGGAGTAAAACTTCATCTGTTGGGAGGGATTTAAGTTTTAGGGATGAGAAGTCACTTAGAGCTATGTTTGGTGAATGAGAGTGTGGTGGACCTAAGTCTGGCATCCAAGGGTCAGAAATTGAGGTGTGGCCATAAATTCACAGACTCATAAGAAGCCAGTTAGAGATGGCAGCCACCCTGAAACATATACATAAGTCTAAATTCACTCTTCTGTTTGTCCACTTACCCTTGAATCTGCAAACATTGAGCACTTATTGTGTATCCTCATTGTGTATGCATTTTACATACTTGACCCCAATTAGCTCTTGCAGCACCCCCATGAAAGGCACGATTGTCCCCACTCTGTAGTTAAGGCAACTGAGGCTCCAGTGAGATTCACTGGGACCCAAGAGTCTCCAGGCTGGTAAGGAATGGAGCCGGGTCATTTCTGGCTCAGTGATGCTTTCCATGACCCCACACTGCTTCTGGCATGTCTGCATAAAGACAAACTAAGGAACACAAGCTGAAGCCAGAGCCTTGTGACAGTTGCAATTCGTCCAGAAAACCCTGCCTTATAGATCTCTGGAGACTTAGAACCAAGAGACCCCTCTCCCTTAGCCTTGAAGATTGAAGGAAACAATTTGAAGACAAGTAAAATAAATATTAATGTATTCCTTTTTGTTGAAGTATGATGGCAACCAAACATGTAGATCTGGGCATCCTGTCATATTACTCACACCAAAAAAAAAAAAAAAAAAAAATTCAAAGGGATTTGGATAAATTCATGAAATCTCAGCATTGGTTAGGCTTTCAGGAGTCATCCATGCTAATTGCTTCCTTGTAACTTTCCAGTTAAATGGTTTTCTGATTGGTGCTTGAATCTTCTAGGGCAGCCCATTAGAGCAGTGGTTTTTTTTTTTACTGGGAAGGGCTAAATTGTAGAGCATTCTCCCTTACACTCAACAGAAATCTTTATTTGTGGAATGTTCCTCCTTGGTTCTTTGTCCCATCACTTCTCTGGGCATGCTCAAGTTTGCTAACATCTGTGAGCTGATCCAGTCCCGCACCGTGAACTACCCTCATCACAGCCCCTTCCAGAAGTAATAGACTTGATTAATGTGCCCTGAGGTCTATGGCCCTGTGCGAGGTTCTGGGAATACCATGAAGCACAAGACAGACACACCCTCCCTTTACACACTGACTCATGGAGTTTACCATTAACTAAGGCACCAAAGTCTTTTTGGTAAACTCTGCTCTTAGGTCAGATTCCCAAGAAGAAGCTTAGTTAGGGCCACTTGGGAGAAGCCACCCTCCAAGTGGTAAGGACCCCCTTACCAAGTGATCCCTCAACTCTGACCCTTTGGAAAATCAGATGTGTCCTTGGAGCAAGTGTGGGGAAGACACTGGGTGACCCCCGTGGCCTGTGGAAGGCGACAGGTGATTGGGCCATGGAGATGGGCATCACTCTCCCATGGGCTGCCGTGGCCCCTGCTGGTGCTGGTGAGATGGGGGAGTCCACATGCCCTCCCCGGCACGCTTGCCCCTCTGCTCTGCCTCCAGCTGTGTGCCAGCTCTGGCCTTTCCCTGACCCAACCTTTGGGAAATTTTTCATTTATGCCTTAATCACTTCCTGTCTAGACCATATTCTCAGCCCTGGGAATCTGAGCCAGAGTGGTGGCCTGGGCCTTTTCTCACCTTGCTCATGGTTCTTCCCCAGTTGCTGGTGGCTCCTCCTACTTGCCCTACTTCCACCCCTCTCTGGGCCTGGGCTGTTTTTTTTTTTTTTTTTTTTTTAAACTTTCTAGGCTCCTGACAGATTGTCGGCTCCAGCCCTTCCCCTGCCAGCCTCCCTCTGGGTCTGGAGGTGACTACCAGATTTCCCTTGAGTCAGCGACACGTTTTGTGGGACCCTGAGGGTTTGCTTTGTGTTTCTGGCTAGTTTAGAGCCTTCTTTCCATTGCTCGGACTTTGAAGTCTTCTCAGACAACCAATTCCTTGACTCCTTCTGAGCTCTTGAGTCATTTTCTTCACCTCATCTCTTAACATTATTATTATCATTATTATTATTAATTATTATTTTTGCCTCATTTGCTCCACCTCTTTGGTCTCTGGATTCTTTCACATTCAGGAACTGCACAGCTGTAAGCACATTGGTATCTCTCTGTATAGTGATAGCTTTAGGTCAGCTATACCTGGGTAATGGTCCCTGGCTGTGTGGCCATGGACAGGTCACTTAACCTGTCTGAGCTCTAGGGTCCTCATCTGTAAATGAGGGCAGTGGTGTTATTTATAAGTGAGGATCCACTGAGCAGAAAGGAAGCGTTCAACACTTGAAGACTTCTCTTGGGCTGCACTGAGACAGGGCTGTGGTGGGAAGGGTTAGGGTCACTACCAAGATGCCTTATAGCCCAGGGTTCTGGAGTCCTCATGTTTGGGCCCCATTGGAGAAGCCAAAGCCCCTGAGAGCTCCTTCAAGGACGTCTCCCTGTTGTCTCTGCAGCCCAGATTTCCTCAAGCCTCTGTATTTGTGCTACACTCAAGAAGCCAAGCCATATTTTGATATATATTCTATATTTTTAAATTACAAAAGTAACAGTGATTGCAAATATAATACACATTAAATCAAAATGTATCAATTAAAATCCCACTCCCTGGAGTGAGGAGTGTGGCATCTTAACTATTTTAAAAATGTATAACTATAGAGAAATGTGTTGTTTTGTTTTACAAAATTGGATTCTATGCTAGATATTTTTGCACATTGTACTATTTTGATTTACGATAGACAGATTTCTATTTCTGCCCACATAGCTCTACTTTATTTTTTAATAGTTGCATAAAATTCTGCCGTATGAAGTTAGCACAATTCATTTTATTCATCTTCTCTTGATGAATGTTTGTTATTTTCTTAAATTACAAAAATGCTGCTGAGAACATCCTCATATGTTCATATTTATACCTCCTTGTAAGTATTTCTGTAGGATAGAGTCTCAGAAGTGAGGCTGTGGGGTCATCTTTAACAGGTTGATAGCTGAATGTCAACCTGTTGGCTTTTTAAATGTCACCAACAGTCCAACACACACTCACGGTACCCTTCAGTGCATGCCAAGCCCTTCTGGCTGGTTCTTCTTCAGAAGAGACAAGGTGTCAGGTGTTTGATATCTCAAAGGGAAGTTCACATACTTAATAACACTTTGTTTTCTTTGGAGAATCTAAAATTGGATTTTATTGCTTTTGACTAAAGGCCACTGCAGGATTTGCAAAACAAAGAACAGTGTAATCTTTAGTGGCATTAAAGGATCAAGTGGATTTTCTTAGCATAAAAATATGCTGAGCGTGCCTGTTGGTTTACCTATAATGTCTAAGAATAGCCTCTGCCTTTATTTTTGGAGCAGCTAATGCATGAAAAAGATAAAAGTGATGTCCATGTCTGTACTAGAGTGTGAGTAACTGGCTGTTTCTTAAACTGATTTCTCATTAATGCAATTAAACTTATCCACAAGGAATTTGATAATATTAGCTCACATTGTGTGGCGCTTTACTAGGTCTGCAAAAAGCTCTTGGAAGGATCCTGTAAGAATGCCAAGCAGGGACTCTTCTCCCTGTTTGGGCTGTTGAGAAAACTGAAGGGGTTAAGGGGTTTAAGCCAATATTTTTGTGGCTAGTTGGTGGCAGAGCTGGGATAGGAGCCTCCTGACTTCTGACTTTCAAGTCCAGTGCTCTTTCAGCCAGACACTTAGAGCAGAATAAAAGCAAATATGGAAAATCTTACAGCTTAAGGATTGCTCCAAGCCCCAGGTGCTGGGCTGGAGGCTCCAGGAGCATTTGGTCAGAGATGTAGGCTTCGGGGATCAGGCTGTGGAGAGGCTTGCAGAGACCAGCTGCCATGGAGGGTGAGGGCCACTTTTCCCCTTCTGTTTGCTTTTTTCCTACTTTGAGGAGTGGAAGTATAGGAAGCTGGAGGGTGATGGGGCCATCTTGACTGCAGGTCAGGACTGCCCTTGGCTGAGGCTGTACTGAGCACTGCTCCTGGTTTTGTGTGAGATGATGAGGATGCATTATCTGGGGAGGCTGTGGCTCCCCACCTTCTCGGGGAGGTTGTGGCTCTCAGCCTCCAGAGGACAGCAAAGTAGCCAGTTCTGTTTGCTCTCTGTCAACCCAGGTGACACTGTTTGCCTATTCGGACCTGCTGCTCTTCACCAAGGAGGACGAGCCTGGCCGCTGCGACGTCCTGAGGAACCCCCTCTACCTCCAGAGTGTGAAGCTGCAGGAAGGTAAGCAGATGCCGTAGGTGCCCAGAGCCCCTCTCAACTTGCCCCAGTCCCACTGCTCTGGGCAGCCCTCTGGGATCTGGCTGCCAGTCATCCGTAGGGCACTGGAGTGTGTGCTGCTGGGCTCTGTCCATGGGCTAGTAGGTCTCAGACACTGGCATTCTTTCTAGGCTGGTAAGCCTTCTGATATACCTGAGGTTTTCAGGGAAGTTTCTATTCTAGAGACTTTCCAGAGAGGCTGTGGAGTCGGGTAGGAAGAGCTTTGGATTCAGACAGACCTGTGCTCAAATCTTGGCCCTGTCCCTCCATACTGGGATGACTGTGGGCACTGTACTCAGCCTCTCTGAGACTGTTTCCTCCCGTGTAAATAGGGATAAAAATAGTAACCGAGAAGGTTGCTGTGAAGATTAAGCTAGGTCATAAATGCAAAGTGCCTGGCCCATAACAGGTGCCCAATAAATACTTGTTGCCACCCACTCACCCCACAGATCTGTGGACAGAGACCGCAACTCGGCTCTACTCAGCTGCATGGCCCTGCGGAGCCCAAGCCGCTGGGGCTCAGGCACATGTGGGAGCGTGGAGGGAATTTCTAACCCAAACTTTCCACCACGCCCTCCACTCGTGGGAGGGGAAGCCAGCTGGGAGTATCTGTCAGTGGTTTGGTTTGGCGCCTGAGGTCTCTGCTGAGAGGGGCTCGGTTTCCTCTCCCAGATCATGAAAACAACAGACCCGTTTGAGGATGGGTGACAGGGGCAGAGAGGAAAATATTACCCAGTGAAAGAATTCTGTTTTGGTGGGGTTTGCTCGGGAAAGCTTCCTGGCTGTTTGCAAACTGTCCTGCCTGCTTAGTGCCTGAGTGTTCCTCCTCCTCGGAAACCCATTCAGTATGAGAACCGCCACTCTCACTTCCCCACAGGAAGCCACTGACAACTTCTCCATCTCGGGCTCTGGCCTTTCCCCTGTCCATGGAAGGGAAAAGCAAGTCACCTCACTGGGTCAGCTCCTCCCTCCAGGCGGGCTCAGCCTGACCACAGGGCGGTGGGAAGAAGCCGCCTGAGCAACTCCAGTTCCGGCACTGGCATTCCCAGAGTTCCCCATGCCTGCTGGAGGGCATTAGGTTGGAGTTCCAGTGGCCTCTGTTCCTGGGCTTTCCTGCCATCCTCTCCATACCCCCAGCCCCTCCCTGGCTCCCTCACACCCAGCTTCCCATATGCCCATTCTCCAGCCTGCAGTGTGCATATTCACACATGCACTCACACCGAGTCCCTTCTTCTCTGCTTCCCCCTCCCTGCCCCCAGCCCAGACAGTCTAGGACCCCATCACATTTGAGGGAGGAGCACTGGATGGGCCAGGGCTCAGTAATATGCCCTGGTTGGTACATGAATGGAACCCTCTCTCTGTTGTGCACATTACAAGGCTGAAGCTATAACCCAGGACCCTGGTTTGCTCAGCTTCCTGCGAGAAGGAGGGAGGGAAGAGAAGCAAGGCTCACACTGGCTACAATTTGGGTGGAGGTGGAGGTTGCGGGGAGAAGGTAGTAGAGGAGCTGAGGGCAGTGGCTGGGAGTCTGGGATCTGGGCGTGGTACTGCTGTGCTGTGCTGTGTGGCTTCAGCTGGCCCTTTCCCTTTGCCTTCAGTTTCTCTGACTGGGAACTAAGGGTGGGGCCAGCGCTTTGTGTCCCTCCCAGCTCTGATGCCCTCACACAGAACCCCAGAGCTTGCTGTGAGCAGCTGCTGGACCATGCCTATATTATCCTGCCTCTACCCCTCTGGGGGCCTGGTTGGGGAATTGGTTGGGATCTCCCCTTCTGGAGGCCCCAGGCCCCAGACTTGAAGCTAGGGGTGGGGTGTGCTCCATCCTCCACTGGGTTGTGATGGTCAAGGTGGGTGGTGTGGGGCCTTGGGGTGTCACAGAGACTCTCCAGGTGCTGAGCTGCTTTTGAGCTGCAGCCTTGTGTAAGCTTGGCACTGTGGCTTCCTCTCCCTGCAGATGGAGGGCGAGCTGCACAAGGGCTGAGGATGGCCAAGGCAGTACTTCTCAGGAGAGACCACCATGGACGGAAGAGCCCCTTGGGTTGGTGTGGGAGAGGGGCCTGTGTGTGTGTGTGTGCATGTGTCTGCCTGCCCTGGATTTTTTTGGATAGATGGTTTGGGGCCAAACTCCAGGGAGCCTGAGAGCTGCTGAGAGGGATGGAAATGGCTCCATTTCTAGGTGCACAATCCAACGCTTAGATTTCTTTCCAGGCACCGATAGAGCCCTTGCCTTCCCCCAGCTGCCCCCACTCCCCTGAGACAGGCTTGTGGGCCCAGAGGCTCATGGAAGTTTAGTGACCCCTTCTCCTGCAGTCTAAATTGGAGCCGCAGGACCCAGTGTTCTGAGTCCTGGCGTCCAATTTCCTGCCTGCTTCCCCTGTGCCCCAAGAGACCTGCTGCAGCAGCAAGGGCCTGAGGCTTTTAAGGGATGCATTTGGGACCTCAGCTGGAGCCTCTGTTGGCAGAATGGTCTCTGATTAATATTGCTCATGACTCCTAGGTTTCTTATTTGTCTCTTTCAAACCACCATGTATGCAGAATTCAATTTGGGGCAAAGAAGATGGCAAACAAGGAATGCACCCAACCTTTCTGGCTGGTTGGGGCTGGCAGGGGCTGCTCCCTGGCAGGGGAGAATCAGCCCCATGCTAGGGACCAAGGTATCCCTGTGTAACTTGTCTGAAGAGTCCTTAGCTCCATTGGCCAAGCATACTCCCAGGGCCTAGCCTGGGGCATGGAACACTGTGGGTGCCTAATCAATGTTTGTTGTGTGAATGAATGACTAAAAGGAGAGCAGAAGTGTTGCCTCAGTTCGGGAGCTGGGGGTGCACCTCTCCCCCAGGGCTCCTGGGTGGTAGTCACTTAAATCTTGTCTGGCCCCGTCCTGCCCAGCCTCCCCTAGGCTTCAGCAGGGCTGAATGGCAGTGTAATGGGAACAGGCGGAGAGCTGGCGCTAACAATTGGAACATCTCCGGTCAGCCGGGGCCCATTGTGGTCTCTTCCTGCCTCTGCTGCCCGCTAGCTTTGCTACTCTTTGTGTTGCTGCCTCCCAGGTGGCCAGCGTCATGCCCATAGTGTGTCTTTCTGGCCTGCTCTGGTGTCTCAGAAGTGGCCTGGAAATGTTTTGCTGATTATTAGGCTCTCCAGTCACCTTAGAGCCAGGTAGGCAGTTGCAGAAAGTCAGTTGCTTTGGTCTCAGCTGCTGGAATGTTTGGAGTTAACTCTTGGTTAGTCCTCATTTTCTGAGCATGTCCTCAGAACCCACATCAGTGATAGCAGTGCTGGGGTGGTAGCAGTGGAAGGGACACGTTGCCACCTCTGGGGCTCATAGCCTGGTGGAATGCAGACGAGTAACCGTGGAGGGGTAGAAGTGTGACATGGTGGTCAGGACGTAGGCTCTGGAGGCAGGCAGTCCTCACTTCAAAGCTCGGCTTTGCCACTTACTCAATGTATGCCCTATTCATGTTGTTCTCCCTCCCTGGGCCTCAGTCTCTATATCTGGAGAATGGGGACAATACCCCTTCTGCTTGCCTCAGACAGCGAAGGGGGTTTGCTTAATGGTTGAGTTTTGGATCTCAGATCAGGTGAGAGAGGGCTCTGGGAAAGTGACGGAGGGGTCAGACCTGGGCCAGGAAGCTATCTCTGGGGCCCACCCAGCCCGTGATTGGGGATCCCTCCTGCATGGTCCATGTATTCCTTGCGGGAAGCGAGGTCCACTCTGGAACCCAATGGCTCCTTGTTGCATTTCAAAATGCCAAGGCAGTTGGAATGTTTAAAGGAAAACCCAGATGCGTGCTGCCCTTCTCCTCCCTCCTAGCCCCCAGTTCTAATGTTCTAGAAGGGGCAGAATTTCTCTCCTGGGTCAGCCCCTTGCAGCCTGTTTTCTACAGCTGCAGCTCCTCTCCGGCACCCTTGGCTTCCTCAGTTTGTTGTTCTTTTATGAGGCTCTGAACCATGCTGAGTGCTGCCCCCATTCCGTCCTCCTCTCAAAGTACTGCCAGCACAAGGCTGTGACGTGGAACAGATTTCAGAGAAAGTTTGCAGTAATGCAGGGAGGTTGGGGAAGGAGGCAAGGGTGTCACAGCACAGAAAAGTTGTCAAGGCAATCCATCCACCATTCCCTGCCATAGGAAATATGTCTCAGGGAGTGTTCCCCCAACCTCAGCCTCCTATTTCCCTGCAGCTCTCATCTCCTGGACTTTCCTCTCCCTTCTAGAACCTTCTCTTTTCTTGCCGCCAGCTTCTAACCCCCAAGTTTCTGTTATTTTCTTACATAGATCCTTTTGACTCTTACTTGGCACTAGGATCTGCTTCTGGAAGGCCAAAGAAATGTCCCAGTGTGTTCTCTTAAACAAAAGAAACCACCTCCTCTTGTCTCCACCCTCAGCAACACAAGGAACCAGCAGAAGCTTTGAAATTACAGTTTTCTTAAACATGATGGACTTCTTAGGCAGGACTCCCTCCCTCCCCAGTCCATCGCTAGGTGGGAAGAAGTAGAAAGATTTATTCTCCCTAAGTCCGAAGTGAACCCTCATTTACATAAGGGAGATTTTTTAATCTGGCTGTGCCTGGCAGCCCTTGGCCCTAGGGATAGCTTTGTCTCAGAACTGCCCATATACCTTGCTTCGAGGGGGCCTGGCCTTCACCCACACCAGGGCCCTCATTCACTGCTTTTCTTAGGAATTGACTTGACCCACAGTCTCTATTTTTATCTTGCTGTCTTCTCTTTGCAACTAATTTTGCTGTCTTTGACAATTTCTTTACTTCAAGTATGTGTTAAGGGTTCTACCTTGAGCCCAGCACTGGCCTGGTGCTTTGAGAGGACAGAGGAGCTGGATAGGGCATATGTGGTGGGCATTTGAGAGGTGGGCTGTGTAGTGGTAGGAGTGTGGGCTCTGGATCCAGGCTACCTGGGTCTAAATCTTGATTCTCTTCCTTACTCCTGGGCAAGTTACTCAATTCATCTGTGCCTCAGTTTTCTCAAGAGTCTTGGGTGAAAAGAGCCCTGTCTTCCAGGGGTTGTTGTGAGGGTCAAGCATATCCATGGGAAGCATAAGGAACAGTGGTTGGCATGGAGCACTGTGGTGCGCTAAGGTCCTGTGGCCCTTTAAGCATTTACTGTTTTACGTGCTGCGTGGTTGCTTCCCTCAACAATGACAGTTTGCCTAGTGAGACCCATTGCACGGTCACAGGGAGTAACCATCCCAGGACCGTGCCCAGACAAGTGACCTAAGCGGGAGTGCTGCCAGGCCCTGAGGAGTGGCTGCAGTGGGCAGGGCAGGTGTCCTGGAGGGAGGGACCAGGCTGCTTCTCTGCACTTGCTCTTCCTTGAACACAATTTGTGCTTCTCTTGGAATGTCCTTTCTTCCCACCTTGAGTCCAAACTCAACAGGGCCCTCCTTCAGGAAGCTTTTCCCAGAAGCTGGGTGTCATCTCCTGGTCCTCCTGCTTCTGAAGCGCTCTGAGCAATCACCTTCCCTCGGCGTTGACATTGGACCTTAGCTCCTCTGCTGAAGGAGGCAGTTGCTGACAGCCCTCCCAGATGCCTCCCAGGTGGAGGGGAGTTAGTGAATGGTTGCAACTGGGATCCTGGACTAGGGGTTAGGAGGCTATAGGAAAACATACAGAGAGGTGAAGCCTGGGCCTGGAAGCTGTCTCTGGGCTCCACCCAGTCTATGACAGGGTATCCACCTGCACAGCCCACCATTCCTTGGCGGAAAACAAGCCTCCCTATTGAATTTCAAAATGGCAAAGGCAGTTGGAGCATTTAAAGGAAAATCCAGATGTGTGCTGCCTCCAGGTCTCTCACTGCAGAAATCATGGAAGGGAGGAGGCCTCCTGGGATGGATGAGGGCTCCCCCCAGTACCTGATGCCCAGAGGGTGCTGCTGGCTACCTCTCCTGGGGATGAGGTTTCAGCATTCCTTGGGCCAGGCTGACCCGCAGGCAAATGCCTTAGAGCTGTACATTACCCTGGTTAGTTACGTAGCCAATTTTCCTCCAGAGACTTCCCTGCCTCCCATGCCTGCCTCTCTCTTTTCCCAGGAGGTGCCACACACAGCCTTCTGGGCAAGACAGCTGACTGTGCTGGAGCAAACTGCTGAGGCTCTTTATCCAGTTCTAATGCAAATCTTACTTTTTGTTCCCTCAAAGGTTCTTCAGAAGACCTGAAATTCTGCGTGCTCTATCTAGCAGAGGTGAGTCCTTTCCTCTGGATTTGAGGAGAGAGATCTTCGACCTGGTGCTTGAGGGGAGACACTGGGCTGGGATCTAGACCAGTGTTCTGATGCCAGCCTCCATACCCACTCATGCCGAAGTCCTGGGCAAGGCCAGAGTAGCGGTTTTTTGCTAGGTAGAATGGGACTAGCCATTCCTGCCCCTGCCTCTCTCACCTCTGTGTTAAAGAGCAGTGGACAGGAAAGTGCTTAGAACAGACCCTTGAGATTTTCTGTGCAGGACCTCCTGAACTGCAGGAATCTCAGTGGGGGTGTGGCCGGGCAACTGTGCATCACCCTGTTTACTGGTTAATAGCCCTTCCTCTAGAGATCGCCCTGATTCCTGTACCTGCCTCTTGCTTCCACGTTTTCCAGGAAGTACCACCAACGACCCCTTGTACAGGGTCTTGTCAGTGTTTCAAAAGGCCTGAAGGTATTTGTACCTTTACCTGGGCCAGATAATACAGGCTAAAACAAACATCCAGTGTCTGGGTTTCAGGCTGGAATGATACCCACTCAGTGTGGTTGAGATTCCTGGTTATCTCAGTCTGATCAGAAGCTTAGATAGGCAGTGCTGTGCCTTTGCTGAGCAACATCTGGCAAGTAACTTATTACTTGATTTGGTTTGGTAGATAAAATATCATTAAGGCTGGGGTTTAACCCAAGAGATCCTTGAAGATGAAAAAGTTGAGAGCCACTGAGCTATACAAATACTTTTCAATTTTCGGTGAATTTTCTATTCACTGCAGGGCGGTGTCTGTTCAAGCAAGGATGCATTAGACACATTCCTGCCTCTGCCTTCGCTTAAGTTTGTCTCATGCAACAGTCCAGGGAACCTGTTTTGTGGGAGGTGGGACATGGTCTATATTGGCTGGCCAAGAGGAACACACCCCTTTGAGAAGGAACTGTACACAGTTTGTGATTGAAAATCATTCTTTCAGTTCCTGGCTAAGAAGTGCAAGGCCTAGAGAGAGTTTTTGAACAGCCCCCTGGAGGAGAAGACAGTTGATGAGAAGTTAGCTTTAGCGGAGGGCAGAGAGTTCCAAAGAGGCAGTGGACATTGCTGGGGCTCAGCTGGGGAACTGGGCTGCCTGAAATACAGACCTGAGGGCCAAGAGGGCATTGGATGTCCTCCCCTGTGTCAGGCACATTCCCCCGGAGCACAGGAAGTGGCTGATGGAATCACTTCAGTGCTGGAGGGTGTTTAGTTCCACAGAGCCAAGCAAGCAGAGAGGAGAAGCCATGACCAGGCTAGGCTCTTCCTCCAGCCTCACCACACTGGGTTCTGATTCTCTGGGGCAGTTCCTGAAAGGAGGCTCCAGGTTCTTTAATGCCAATAGAGCTTCCTTCCAGGTTGGGTTAGTTTTTTCCCAGAGAAAAGGACTTCTGCTCCATTAGTTTCCTGGGATCTGTGACGTGCTGGCTTCCAGAGATTGTGAAGGGATATTGATTTGCGGCTTTTTGTTTCAGTAAAGTGCCAGGTGATCTGATCTCCAGGGGCTGTGGGATTGAGCTTACAGGCAGCTAGAAGCCTCTCTCTTCTCTTAATGGGTTGCTATTTAGAAGAAGTACTATAATTCAGGGAAGACAAGATGCCTTCTTGCTCTGTAGCCTGGACCACTCTTAACATGGGTGGTTTTGGATCCTATCAAGAGCCTGAAACTCACATCTTAGTTGGAACTTCTGACAAGTGATTTCTCTTCATTGCCTGACATGCAGGTGGCATCCAGAGAAGAAAAAGAGAGTCAGGATTTGGAGAAGTTTTTTGACTCTGTATTGAGAAAGGCCCAATTGCCTGGGTGATGGCAGCTCTGATTGTTCTCTAGCTGCAAGATCCTGGGTGGTGTTATCCGAAAGTAGTCCTGGGCTCTGGGTCTCTATTGCCTGGACAGGTGTGTTTCTCAGTTCCTGCAAATACACTGGACAGATGCAGCCCACAATTGGCTTCAGAACACAGAAGGCTCTGAAGTCAGTTGGGTCCATGGGCACATTGGTCAGGGACTATTCTCTAACCTAGAATCTGATGTTGGCTCCATTAATTTAAGAGTCTTGGAGTTAGGAAAACCTAGATTTGAATCTTGGCTCTGCCATTTTCTGAGTGATCTGGGGCCAGTTACAAACTCATCTCTGAAATGGGGCTGGTTCTACCCTGCAGGGTTGTGGTAATGATTAAATGAGATTCAATAAGACTTGCATCCAAAGCACTTAGCACAGAGCCTGGCACACAGTGAGCGCTCAATAAATGGTAGCTATTGTTATTGTCAGTTTCAAAACAAGGGGAAGGGCTCTTCATATTCATTTACTCTCCATTAGAGAAATCACAAATGATTTATTGGTCTTTTAAGAAGAAAGCTAAGAGGAATAGCTCATATTCTTTGTAATGTGCATATACAGTTATACAAATATGGTAAGATCACAGACTCTGGAGGAGGCAGAAGACAAACAGTGAATCTCTCCTCTCCCGAGACCTCCTGGGGCCAGTGACATAACCTCTCTGAGCCTTAGTTTTCTCATCTGAAAAATGGTAGCAGCTGCTTTCCTTCCTACCTATGTCATAGGGTCATTAGGAGAACTGAATTAAATGACAGAATTTTTATCAAAGCAAATGAACCAACTTAATTTATGGCTGAAGAGGTTTTGTTTTTTACAAAGATACAGTTAATTCAGGAGCAAGGAGGTAAGGCAAGAGCGGGATTTTAAAGAGGCCAAGAGGAGCTGGGTGTCTGGTTGGATTTCAGGATGCCCATGTTTAAATGCACAGGTCTGTGCCCAGTGCTTCTGGGCCAGGGCCAGTGCATCTGAAAGGTCTGTGCTTGGCTGACCACCCCATAGTCAGGAGGCACCGTCTGAGTGAGTTATGTGAGGAAGCCTTCAGGGTGGCTTATGGCCTTGACCACAGAGCCTGCTATTGAGGGCACAGTGGGCATCAGTGTTGGGACTGACGAGTTGGATCACACCCTGGATTAAAAGAGATGGTTTACCTGTGAGGGAAGCCAGGAAGGTAATGAGTGTCCCCAATTTAGACAGATTTAGGCAGATGGGAATTCAGCCTCCCTGGAGGGAGCTGGCTTAGTGCTCTCTCTCTTGGCTTGGCCAAGAGAGAGAGAGACCAAAGCTTAGGTCTCCCGAAAATGTTTGCCCATCTAAGCCAGCCAGCTCTGCCCCCTGCCTTGGAAGCCTTCTGGGTCCTCTAGTATTACAGCTTCAAGCTCTGAGAGCCAGAGACCCAGCCCTACACTCTGCTGTTGAGACAGGCAATACGGTCACCATCTCAGGTGAAGAAATAATGGCTTTCCAAAGGAGATTCCCATGGGGCAGGGCAGCAGAGGGTGGTTCTTGTGGTGTCAGCAAAACAGGCATAATCATGGCTATTACCTTGCAGTGTCGTTGGAAGAAATGTCGAGGTATCACTGGTAAGGGGCTTAGCACTGTGCAGGGCATGGGATTTGAGGGGGCTGCCTCAGTATTGAGGGTAGGTGGCTCTCTCACTGTGAGAGGCCCTCCCAGGATGGGGGGAGCTCTTTCATACTTTTGTAGGGAGGGGGACACCATCCTGGAGCTTAGAGCAGTGGACAGTTATACAAAAAGCTGCCAGCGAACTCTGCAGCTGCTCTGAGACCCAGCTACCTACAGAATTTCTCCTGGAGGCTTTGCATTCTGGTCGCCTCTTGGTCCAGTCTGCAAGAGGGAGCATTCCTGCCAGCCACAGGTGTGGCAGCCTGACCAGGTGATGAGACCTCCCCAGGTGTTGGAGATGAGATCCCAGCATGTGGTTCTCCAAGGCTTTGAGCTGGAGCTCTGCTCCTCATTGGCGATGAGACTCAGGGAGGTCCTTAGCTGCTCTGAACCTTGGCCATTCCCTTCCATAAAATGGGGACAACAATCCATGCCCTTCCTGCCTCTTCACTGCATTGCCAAGATCAGCATGAGATCGTGGGTGGGAAAATTCTGTTTTTTTTTTTTTTTGAGACAGAGTCTCACTCTGTTACGCAGGCTGAAGTGCAATGGTGCGATCTCAGCTCACTGCAACATCCGCCTCCTGGGTTCAAGCGATTCTCCTGCCCCAGCCTCCCAAGTAGCTGGGATTACAGGTGCACACCACCATGCCTGGCTAATTTTTGTGTTTTTAGTAGAGACGGGGTTTCATCGTTTTGGCCAGGATGGTCTCAAACTTCTGACCTCAGGTGATCTGCCTGCCTCAGCCTTTCAGAGTGCTGGGATTGCAGGCATGAGCCACCGTGCCCAGCTGGAAAGTTCTTTTTAAAATTGATAATCAGACAAAAGGAATTATTAGTAAGGCAGAATTCCTGCTTCAGAACAGAAAGAAAAGAGGACATGGAGGCCCAGGGAGATTAAGGAATCTGCTGAAGCCCACCCAACTGGGTAGAAGCAGGGCTGGGAGGCTCGGGCCAGGGCCAGGGCCAGCTTCATGGAGTGATGGCCTTTCCAAGCTGGAAGGGACCACAGTTCCTGCCTCACCCCCCACCTTTACATGGGAACACTGGAGACAGGGAGCAGAGGGCCTTCTGGTCAGCATCTGCCTCACCCGGCTTCTCCCTGGGAAATCTTGGGGTCTTTTGCTGGCCATATCCTTCCCCTGCCATGGGCTAGAGGACTCTGGGCAGCGGAGGGAAGCTGTTGTTAAGTAGAAGCTCCAGGAGTGCCTCAGCGCACCACCCAGTTCCCTGAAACCAGCAGGCAGGGCTTTCTTTCCTCTTTCCCCAGATGCTCTTAGGAAGATCAACTTCTGAGCACTTTTGGGCCTGAGAGGAATGGCTGGCACTCAGCATGGGAAGTGCCCCCACTCTGAAGGGTGGCATTCCTGAGGGTTGGGTTGGATGCAGGGTAGAAGAAGTCCCTAGATATTATCAGCTGATGTGATAGTCCACCCCAGCTCAAGGCCTGCTTTCGCTGCTTCTGGAACAGCTTCTCCCAAACATTGTTTTTGCTGGCCCCTTCTTACCGTTCATGCCTTAGCTTGTGTGTTGCCCTTTCTAAGAGGCCTTTTCTGATCACCTCAAGTATGACCTCTCCCTTTATGACCTTGGTGACATTTTCACAAGTTGTAATTACAGTTGTCCCTCAGTATCCACCAAGGATTTGTTCCAGGACCCCACAGATACCAAAGTCCAAAGATGCTCAAGTCCTTGACACAAAATGGGGTAGTATTTAATATAACCTATACACATCCTTCCATGTACTTTAAATCATCTTTAGATTACTTATAATATCTAATACAATGTAAGTTCTGTATAAATAGTTGTTAAACTGTATTGTTTAGGGAATAATGGCAGGAAAAGAAATCTGTACATATGTAGTACAGATGAATTTTTTTTTTTTTTTTTTTTGAGACAAGGTCTGCCCTGTCGCCCAGGCTGGAGTGCAGTGGCACAATCATTGCTTACTGTAGCCTCAAGCTCCTGGGCTTCAGCAATCCTCCCACCTTATCCTCCCAAGTAGCTGGGACTACAAGCGCACACCACCACACCCAATTAATTTTTTTTTAAAACTTTTGGTAGAGACTGGGTCTCACTGTGTTTCCCAGGCTTGTCTGGAACTCCTGGGCGCAAATGATCCTCCTGCCTTGGCCTCCCAAAATGCTGGTTTACAGATGGGAGCCACTGTGACCAGCCTAAAATATTTTTTCAAATATTTTCCATCCTCTGTTGGTGGACTCCATGGTTGTAGAAACCATGGATAGGGAGGGCTGTATATTATTTCTTTAATTGTTTATTTGTATAAATAACAAATATTATTGTCTTTGCCCCTAACCTGAGAGCATGGGCTTAGTCTGTCTCATTTACCTCTTTATTTCCAATGCCTAGGACTGTCTCTGACACAGAGCAGGTGCTCAATAAATAGTTATTTTATTTTGTTTTTTTTTCGAGGCTGAGTCTTGCTTTGTCACCCAGGCTGAGTCTGGCTTTGTCACCCAGGCTGGGGTACAGTGGTGCGATCCTGGCTCACTGCAACCTCTGCCTGCCAGGTTCAAGTGATTCTCCTGCCTCGGCCTCCTGAGCAGCTGGGATTACAGGCACATGCCACCACGCTGGCTAATTTTTGTATTTTTAGTAGAGATGGGGTTTCAGCATGTTGGCCAGGCTGTTCTCGAACACCTGACCTCATGATCCACCCGCCTCGGCCTCCCAAAGTGCTGGGATTATAGGCATAAGCCACTGCGCCCAGTCAATAAATAGTTATTAAACAAATGAATTACTGAATAGTAATACTAGTGACTGTTTGTTGAGGCCTGATTGTTGTCCTCCTTGCTTGCCCTCCTAGTAGCTCTGAAAGCCAGGTGATGCCATTATATCCCCATTTCACAGGCAGCTTGGTACTTTCCTGAGGTTGACAGCTGGGAAGTGGCACAGCTGGGATTCAAACCAGGCCTGTCCAACTGCAAAATGAGAAAGGGCTGGATAGAAACACTGTCTTTTTTTTTTCTGTTCCAAGGGATCAGCTGATGCTCTTAGCTCCCTGGCTGAGTTCATCTAATCGCAGCCCTTTGGGGTTATAATCAAATTCTAGTGGAGGCAGACAGAGCTTGTACTCCCCTGATGAGAGTACCCGGTTGTGGGTGGCAACCCTGGGCATGTACCACCATCCCTACCCCGCCCCTAGCACACTCTGCTTTAGGGGTGGCTCTCTGGGTCCTTGAAGCTCCCTGGTGCTTGTGCCAAAGCTGACCTGGATTTGACCTTATCCCAGAAGTCCTTCCTGGCAACCAGAGCTTACCAAGGCCATTGCTTGCTAAGCACTATATGAGGCCTAGATGAAAAAGGCCTTTCTAGGAGGGGTTTGTAGTTTAGTTGGGGAGACGAGACTGTAGTACTTAACAAGGTTGAATAGCGAAGCGGGACCTAAATGTCAGCAGTGCCTGGGATGTTGCTGCCCTCGAGTGAGCTGAACAGTCACAGATTAGACCAAGATCATGTGCTGGGCAGTGGGGCTGCAGAGGGCCACATGACTCTGCCCGTCAAAGACTTTCCAAAGGACCCTGAGTTGCTGTTTGGGTTCTGTTGGTATGCCCGTCCAACCACCCGTTCAGCCTTGGCCTTGGGATCAGAGAAGAGCGCTGTGAGGAAGATGGGTTCTGTGAGCCAGGGGAGGTGGGGAGGGTTCCTGGCTCCACAGAGAATCAGCCTGAGGCCCTGGCCCTCTGGGCTTCCCACGTGCTCCCTCAGCTGCTGCTTTGTGCTGCCTGCCCCTGGGGGTGACCTCATCGGCTCTGTCCTGCTCTCCACAGGCCTCTGCTGTGTTGGGAGCCACTGCCTTCCTCCCCTCCCCCAACCTGTGGGCCCACAGCTCGCCAGCTGGCCCTTGAACCCACTTCCCTGCGCCTCTGGCTGCCTCAATGTCACTGGGGATTAGTGTGCATTTGCGGCTTTTGGCGGACACTCCCCTCCTGGCTGCAGCCTCACCCTCTGGAGCCCAGGGATGGGCTTGGGCCTGGGAGCCCCCTGAACCAGGGAGCAGCCCTGACCGTCCGTTTCTCTATTTTCCCTGACGTCAGAAGGCAGAGTGCTTATTCACTTTGGAAGCGCACTCGCAGGAGCAGAAGAAGAGAGTGTGCTGGTGCCTGTCGGAGAACATCGCCAAGCAGCAACAGCTGGCAGCATCACCCCCGGACAGCAAGGTAAGGGCCTTGACAGTGGCTGTGGCCTGGCTGCCTCGTTTCCCCTCAGCCAGCCTAGACCCTTGAGCCTCTGCATTGAGCTGGGGGCCAGCCTGAGCTTCCAACTTGGCTCTGGGCAATGAGCTCTTGGCAAGCGGGGACCTGTGCCCGAATGTCTCTCCCCCTTGGCATGTCATTGGGTCTGCTGAGTGGGTCTGACAGTGCTCGTGTAGAGCGACAGAGCCAAATTAAGCGTGGCCCATCAGTTCTGCACTCTGTTCTTCGGTTTGCCTATGGCAAGGTTTAATTCGGGCTGGCCTCCCTGATGCTGCCTGGCATGCGTTCACCTCTGCCATTGGGTAGCCTGTGCCTGGGGGCAGCACACTGGTGTTTAACATTGGCCCCAGGCGGATGCGATAGAGGGGATGTTTGCGGCAGAAGCTGTTGTATGCTGTATAGTTCCATGTGGGCCAGAGCCAAGTAGAGCTGAGTGTGGACTGCTGGGGTCTGGGGACTGGCTGGCAGGAGCACCGGGGAAGATTAGAGACTCCCAGGGGAGGCTGTTCTGGGCTGGGCACTGCTCAGCCCATCCAGTGCCTGGGGAGAGGGGATGGGATAGGAGCTGGACCACACAGCCTTCCCCTTTGACACTCCGATGCCAGCCACAAAGTACAGTTATATTACCCCATTTGTGAGTCATTCAGGTCCCTTCTTTTGCTAAAAGTGCTGGCCATTTGGGAATTGGGTCTGGTTGGCTGCAAAAGTTGCTGAGGTGGTTGCTCTGCTGGATCTGGGCGAAGAGGAGAGATGAAAGAAAGCTGCAGCCTGTAACTTGCTGGCCTTTTCACTTCTCCCTGGTGCAGTCAGTCCCCTATGCCATGGGCAGCAGGCCTATGCAGGGGGCAGTTGGGGGGCAGGCCTGCTGAAGCAGGAGGTAGGGAAGAGGCAGTTGGCAGCCTCTTCTGAGGGCCAGAGGTGGACAGCAGCTCCCCAGCTATTCCCGAAAGGAGTGAGGATCTGAGAATTACATCATCTTAGCTGTGAACGTTCTCTTGTTTTACACTAGCTAGTGGCAAGAATAACTTGGATGAGGGAAGACAGTAGGAAAAGCACGGACTTCTGAGCCACCCTCTACCACCAACTGGCAGTGGGAACTTGGGCAAGTCACTTTGCTGCTCTGTACTTTGATGTCCCCATCAGTAACCTGGGACAATAGTCCTTCCCTCAAAGGGTTGTTGTGAGAATGAAATGAGAGGGTGCATATACGGGCTATAGCACAGTGCCTGGTATGCAGTAGGCACTCACTCAACCATAGCTGTGGGGAATGCATTGCCCCCTGCCCAGCCCCAGGTGGTTTGTTGCAGCACTGGCTGGTTGCCACTGTCAGGTTCTTCTACTGAGCAGAGACCTGTCCCCATGCCTATAGGCTGCCCTGCCCCACTGATCCTGGGTTGGTCACAGTCAGAATCCAGGCCGCTTCCTCTTCATTGGGGTGGCCTCTGGGACGTCGAATGGCTGAACCTATGCCCCAGTTTTTTTTCCTTTGGGCTTGTGCCTCCTTTTCTGGGGGAAAGAGCTCTTTGTGCCTCGCTCTCAGAGTTTGCTGACTCTGGAGTGTGTTAGCAGCAGCCTTCTCAATACCTTGGAGAATCTCTCCATCTTCAGGTTTGGGAGGCCAGAGGGTGACTGAAGGCAGGCTGTTTCTGAGGCAGGTTGTGGTCCCTGTAGGGCTTTGGGCTTGGCTGGCTGACCCTGGAACGGCCCAAGGGTTTGAGGCCTGGCTTCAGGGCCACACTAGAATGTATGGGAATCCTGAGCAGAGCAGTTTGGACACCTCTTCAAATCCAAACTCTTCAAACGCGTGTTCCATGGAGAAGCTGTGTGCTGGACAGGAGAAGGATGAAGGAGGGGGCCCAAGTGCTGGGACAGCCTCAGAATTACCTCCCGGGCCTAAGAACTGGGCCTGGAGCCACACTGGCATACCCCACTTGGGCCACCCTCCTA
Organism: Homo sapiens; assembly: GCF_000001405.40. Taxonomy (NCBI): domain Eukaryota; kingdom Metazoa; phylum Chordata; class Mammalia; order Primates; family Hominidae; genus Homo; species Homo sapiens. The sequence goes on from NC_000009.12 coordinate 113,538,902, forward strand.
AGAAGGCCATGATGTAGCTGTCTTTTGTCAGGCTGGCCCTAGAGGTCTCACTGCTCAAAATTCCCCATCCCTATCACCACCATGCACATGCAAAGAGTCTTAGCAACTTACTCCTTCTAGACACTTATGGAATGCTCCCTGAGAGGAATTCCAGTAAATAGATTCTCTCCAGCCCTAGGTAGTTCTAGCAATGCTTTAGCAACCTCACTGACAGGGCCCGCCTGGCTTTCCAGCTGGTCCACAGCATTGTCCACTTGCGCTCAGTTCCGTCAGTTCCTGGCAGCCTCGGGGTGACCAGGAACCTCTTTACCAAGGGCTGGCCACTAAGGTCTCCATCTCTAGGGCAGAAGAGGAAGGGCCAAACGGAGCCCGGAGGCTGGCTGCTTGCTCTTCAGGTATAAGGGTCCTGCTGGACCGATTTGCTCTGAGATGGAGTGTCGCTCTGTCACCCAGGCTGGGGTGCAGTGGTGCGATCTCAGCTCGCTGCAGCCTCTGCCTCCTGGGTTCAAGCGATTCTCATGGCTCAGCCTCCCGAGTAGCTGGTACCACAGGCACATGCCACCATGCCTGGCTAATTTTTTTATTTTTAGTAGAGATGGGGTTTCACCATGTTGGCCAGGCTGGTCTCGAACTCCTGACCTCAAGAGTAGCACACCTTTGAATGCCTTTTCTGTGTTCTTTCTGTGGATGCTCCACCTTCTGCTGAACAAAGGAAAACACTGCCTAGACCCCCACCCCACCCCTGCACCACCCAAATGCCTCTCTGGGAAAAGGGGGTTTGTAAGGCAACTCCCCAAACTCCCATGCTCTTTTCAAGAGTGTCTGCTGACACCCAGATGTGGGGGATTCTTTAAATGTCTTAAGGAATGTAAAGCTCTTCCCAAATTCACAAAACGTAATAAGTGCAATTTACCTTGAAGATGAAATATATGCTTGTTGGGAAGGTAGAGGGAGTCAGGGGAAGATGGACTTAAAGAACAGTTGGGAGGTCACTCCCTTGCTGTGGGACCTTCAGCAGCCGCTGGCTGCTGTGGTGTCAGTAGTCCCATCTGGGCACTGGGCCCGTGGCTCTTTCTATCTCTCCAAGCTTTGTGATTTTCGTGAAAGCTGAGGGCCGGGGGCCATCTAGTATCCATTTTTTGTAGAAATAAATGAACTACTTTCTCTCTTGTCTCAACTTCCTACTCCTGTTCATCACCCGCTCCTTCCTTTTCAGAGCTCTGCCCCTCTGTTGCTTCATTATCTGTAGCTGGGGGGCGCCTACCTTTCTTCTTCTGCCTGGGAATCCTTGTACTAAACTCCCTGCATGGGGACTGCTGCGAGGCTTCTAATCTAGAATAACTCAGAGCTGGGCCCACCTGTGGCCATTCAGGTTCTAAGCTAGAAGGGAGAGACAATTATATATTCTTTTGATTATTCAAGCAAATATACATAATAAATGCCTTCTCAGTGCCAGATACTGGTTTAGATCCTTTGGGATCACAGAGATGAATGAGACCTGGTCCCTGTCGCTATGGAATTCTCCTAATAGGAGAGAGATGAGGAGGGCACTGGAGTGGTGATCTAAGCATGAAAGCCATGCTTGCGGGTCCTAAGAAGGATCCAGTGGGGTCCTGGCTATCCAAGCATCATCCGTGCCGTGAGCCTCCTGCTCAGTACCCTTCATGTGCCTGGTGCTGGGCTGGGCTCCAGGAAGCCTTCTGAGAAGCATGGAAACCAAGCCTTTAGGATGAGAAGGGCAGACACAGTGCAGTGGGGCCTGGCCCCATTCTCAGGGCAGGTCCTGTGCTCCACGGGGAGGGACGCACAGAGCAATCCATCACCCCCTTTCCTCGGGAGATCACAGTCTGGTGGCAGAGACAGACATGACAGATAGTTCAAAGTAACACAGTAAGCAATGTGACCTCAGGTGAGCCAGTTAGCCTCTCTGAGACTCAGTTTTTGCATCAGTAAAGTGGATGGATTAAGAGGCTTCTTGTGAGGATTGAACTCAGGATGTGCTTTGCAAAGTGGCATGCAAGAGGAGCTCTGAACTAGCCGCTATCGTTCTCACTGTCATGGTTTTAAAGTGCTGTCCATATGGGAAGATTCATCGGGGGCCTTGTTCATTGAAGCTGCTGCTGGTGCTCGGAGCACATATGACAACTGCTCCATGTCACTTCCTGGTAGACATCTGCCATATTCCAGGGGCCCAGGCAGGGAAACTGAGGCCTCCTTGTCTGCTCTGGCTCTAAGACTTCTCCCAGATGTGACGGTGAGGTGCGTGCCACCTTGTCATCTCCACTGGGGCCACTAGAGACAGCCCTGGAGATGCCAGGGTGTGTGAGTGCCTTAGAAAGGAACAGAGGCAGGTCCTGCAGTCAGGCAGCCCGGCCTGAGTAGACAGCGAGCTAATTCCAGTTCTGTCTGGTTCCACAGAAACTCCACCCTTTCGGCTCTCTCCAGCAGGAGATGGGGCCGGTCAACTCAACCAATGCCACCCAGGATAGAAGCTTTACCTCACCAGGACAGACTCTGATTGGCTGAGCAAACCCAAGGGCGGGACTCTGCTTCTGGCAACTTAACCCTTTCTTGGGCATCCCCTACCACACAGTAACCTCACCTCAACTGGACCTGAAACAGAGGACCAAGATGGTGGGTCTAGGGTCATCTGAAGGGAGTGGTCCCAAGGGTGCATGTGGATGTCAACAGAAGGACCACAATGGTGTGAGAGGCCTTGTGGGCATGCAGAGACTGGCAGCAGAAAGTCCCAAGAGGAGAGGACTCAGAGGCTTCTTCCTTCCAAGGAGGAGGAGGAGGAGGACATTCCACATCTGGGCTTCCAGTGGTGGCTCCCGGACCTGCCTTGGGGGCAGCAGGAGAGGTTGGGAGAGGTCACCCTGATGAAGAACAATGCCATGATCTGCTGCTGCCAGAGGACATCTCCGCCCATCCACTCATTTTCCACCTGTACACATTGGCTCATTCATTCGATGGATATTTCGGGTGCATCTACTTTATGCCAGGCTCTATGCTAGGAGCTGGGGATACTGTGGAGAAAAAGTCGGATATGGTCTCGCTCTCATCAAGATTTCAGTCTAGCTGGGAGTGAGCGTTAAATAAGTCAATACCAACACACACACGTGCACACACGTGATGGCAAGCTGTGATCATCTATGAAAGAAAAAACACAGATTTCTTTAAGAGGGAATTGTACTTAGAGTGCTGTGTGTGGGGGTGGGGATGGGGAAGGACATAACTTTTAAACCGAGACTTGTGGGCTGGAGAGGAAGGAGCCAGTCCTGGACTTGGGGAAGAGTGTTCGCGGTGGATGGAATAGCACGTGGAGAGTCCCTGAGATGGGAAGGAGCTCAGTGGGCTGGAGGAATGGCGAGCAGGCCAGTGTGGCTGGAGCTTAGTGAGGTGCAAGACACAGTGGGTGAGGTAGTTGATGTCTTGTTGATTTCATTCTAGATACACTGGAGAGCCATTGAAGGCTTTTGAGGAAGGGAGTTGCAAGTACATTTTTACAAGATCCGTTTACACATAGGAGGGGCCCAAGTGGGTGTGAGATCAGTTAGGGGGCTCGTTCAGTTCTCTAGGTGAGGACTGTCCTGGTGGCTTGTCCTGGATGGTGGCTGGGGAAGTGGATGCCTGAATGCCAGGCTCTGGAGAAGAGATGACTCCCTGCCCCATCCCCCTGCCTACCCTCCTCCTCAATGGCCCCTCTCTCAGTGGATGTGAGTGAGGATTAGGACCTTCCCCACAGAGCCACCTTTTGGCCAGGCCTCGTGGGGGATAGTGGGGGCAGTGCTGAGTTCTAGGAGTGTTCCTGGAAGTTGGGGGCAGTGAGTGCTCAGCCTGGCCCAGGTGGGAGAGTTCACTGCTGCCCAGGCCTTAGCAGGGGCTGCTGTGCTGTCTTTCTGTCCCATGCTGAGCATTGTGATAGGAAGCTGCCACACAGTGCCCTGGAAACTGACTTCGCATGCTTTCCATGGGGCTTCCGAGGGCCAGGGACTGGGCTGGGGGTGGCCTAGCAGCTCTAGTGGAGACTGTGCTGCCGCAGGGCTGAAGGAAGACCAACCAAGGGGACAGCCGTTTGAGCCCAGCCCACTCACTGCCTGCTGCACCTCCAGCTGGAGCCCAGGGTTGGGCAGCTCTCATACTCTTATCTAACTGCCAGACCTAGAGGGAGGGAAGCCCAAGGCTGCAGGTCTGAGGGACACGGCTCATGGGCAAAAGGGTATCAAGAGGATTAGAGTCACTTGCATAGGAAAAGAGGGTCAGAGAGGCTGAGGGCTGGCTGAGGCCAGAGAGGTTCCCTGACCTTGGACATTCTTTGTGTTGTGTAAGACCTCGGCATCTTTAGAGAAAGGTTCTTGTGCCCCTGTGAGCTTGCTCAGCTGCTATGGCCACTTGAACCCCAAAAATGGTGGCCTAGAAGAGAATACACCCCTTACTTCCCACTTATCCTCCTCTCAACCTAGGAAAGATCAGACATATTGACTCAACAGTCTAACAGGGGATGGGCTGGATCTGCCCGTGACCAGACCAATGCCCCCCACCCAGCAAGGGAGTAAACGCTGCCTGAAGTGGGACCAGTGATACACAGCATCTCTGTCTGCCAGGGCTCAGCCCGCGGGGGGGATTTGTGAGAGGCTGAGCAGCTGGGTCTGCACAGACAGCAAGCTGCACTTTGATTTCATTTGATTCCCTTACAAAATGACATTAAGGGGAATGTGAGGCACAGGAGACTCGCCTGTCTGGGAAGGCAGCAAGCTCATCTCTCCTGGACCTGGTGACCTACCTCTGTCTACCAGACAGGTGCAGAGGACAGGAGCTCTGGCCACAAAGAAATGGACAGTCTGAATGCAGCACACAGCCCTGGGGACAGGACTTTTCACCCAGCCTGTCCTGACAAGCTGCTGAGTCGAGCAGATGCTCACATCAGGGTCCCAGGTCCGGCTGTTAGGGAAGTGGACATCAGTTCCTGGTGGGCCCTGGGCAGTGACTGTGGTGAGCCACAGCACCATTGCTGCTCTGCCTCTCAAATCGATCGAACAATTAATTTGGCTCCACAGGCTCGAGAAGATGAAACATGACCTGATGGCCACTGCTGTCCAGCATCCCAGTCCATCCTAGCTGTCCAGGATGATGAACAAGCTATGGAAATTGCACTTGAGAGCTATAATCACGGGAAGCATTGCCGAGCCCCTCCCTGCTACATAAATCATGCTAAGAAGCACACAATGGCCTCTTTCCTGATGGGCTAATTGTCTTGGTTTGGTGTCTCAGGCCCAGGAGCTGGGAAGATGGGAGCACAACCATTTATTGTTGGAAAGACCATCTGTGCAACTTGAATACAAAGTGATTCTTTTAGTTCCCCACACACCCCCGACCCTCTGATCCCATTTTCATGTTTTTTTTTTTTTTTTCTTTTTATGTCTCAGGCTCTGGTTCTTTTAAAACTCTTCATCTATCCTGTAAGCCATCAGGCCTGGATCTCTGCTGGCCTGGGTCTTTTGGCTATTTGGGGGTTGGGACATTGCAGACCTTTTGGAAATAATGACATTTATTTATATATGTCTTATATTTTTATTCTTTATTTTTCCCCATAAATTCTATTACCAAAGTCCTCATTTGTCACACATGGCACCAAGGCACCAAGAGGGTTTTTGCAAAGTGAAAATGCAGGCAATTTTGCAACGTGGAAGGGCTCCCCACAGCGAAAGTCCCACAGTGAGAGCCTAAACTTTGGAGATGGCAACTGGGGTCCCCAGGCATGATCTCCCCCCAGCCTCCCAGCAGCCTTGTTTTATGGATGAAAGACACCAAGGCTCTGAGAAGTTAAGTGTTTTATCCTAGGTCACACAGCTGGTAAGGGCCAAGCTTGCCCTCAAGCCAAGGCCTTTGAACCTAATCTACCACTCATTTCTGATAAAAAGGTTTGTCTTTTAGGGATAGAAGTAAGAGAAATCAATAATCTCCAGGAAGAGGCAAGAGAGGGATATCCGGCATGTCAGAAGCTGTGGCCCATCAAGCTGTAGAGGGAATGCTTTTAGGATAAATAAAATGAGATGCCTTATTTTCCACCCAGTGGAGAATAAACTTCCAGAATGCATTTTCCTGAGGGTGGCACAGGCTGAAAAGATCAATAGCTTCCCACAAGATTTGAAAAAAGCCTAAAATGAGAGATCAGTTTGAGCTCCTTAAGACAGGTTCTCAGGGAGCTCTGGAATGGTTAGGTTACACCCCTTCCCCTTTTGAATTTGGCATCAAAAGGATCAGCAGACAGAGTCATGGAGTGCTTGGCAGTGATGGAATATTAGCCAAAGGCAGAGAGGTATAGCTTCAGGCTCAGGCTGGCTTGTGCCCAGCGTAAGTACTGGAAGGAGGCCTTTGACCTGAGACCAGCTGAGGGCACAGAGAGGGCCTGCCCATGTGGAACCTGCCAGGTTTTGTGCGCAGATTTTGCTAATTGACTGATTTAGTATCTCAGCCCTGAATAAAGGGGAATCAAATGGATCTGATTTCAGCCATCTCCCCTAAGAGATGCAGACTCTTCTCCCTAAAAACTGTTTCCAGGCAGCCACCAGCTCTCCTCCCCATTCCTTGCTGCTGTCCTATCAGTGGACAGACTGCCTTCTTCGCTGTCTTGCTCTTGGTCTCAGCCATCTTGCTATTGTTTTTTTTAGCCCCTGAAGAAGACAGTGCAACCTTACCCTCTATCCTGTCTTCGCCTTCTCTTCCTCGAAGACTTTCTCTGAATAGGGCCATCCATCCTCCAAACTGTTCCCAGATCCTTGGTTTTAAAGGTAGAATGATAACATAAGGTAACCTGGTGGGCACTTACAAGATGAGCCAGGCACAGGGTCAAGCTTTTTACCTACCCTGTCTCATCTAATCCTCATGCAGACTTACAAGGTGTGTTACCCCTGTTATACATTTACTCTCATTATGCCCAATTTAGATATGAAGACGCTGAGTCTCAGAGAAGTTAAGAAACGTGCCCAAGGTCACACAGCTAGTGGGTAGCTAGGATTGAAACTTGGACAGCCCAGCTCCAGGGTACCTGCTTTTGATTATTTTGCTATATGGCTTTCCTGTAACTGCAGACCATCCAAGCTGGAAGGGCCAGGGAGACTGGACTGTCACACTCCTGCTTAAAGACCATTGTGGGAGGCCACTGTCTTCAGAGTAAAGCTTGGCTTTCCAGGCTCTCCTTGGTAGCACTACACTCCTGCTTTGCACCTGGAGCCCGGCCACACCATAAATTTTCCCCTTCTCTAAACTCACTGTGCACATTCACAGTTAGGGTGTTTGATCTGCCTGACGTTGACTGCCCTCCTTGGCTGTCCCTGCTGGATGCAATCCTCAACCTTCAAGGCTTAGTGGCTCCTCTGAGAACACCTTTCTCAGGCATGCATCAGGAGTCCTGACTTCCCCCTTCGTGGTTCCCAGAGTACTTTTTCCCCCTTAGCACAATTCATCCTTAGCATCTGGATGACTGTGAGCTTCTTCGGAGCAAGTAGATGTTATATTTTATTTGTCTTTGATTCTATTGTTGTCCGGTCCGTAGTAGGTGCTCAGTAGAGGTTGTAGGATTGAATTAGGCTGTCCAGTTCAACTCTCCTATATTCTAGAATTTAGACAAGGAAACAGGTGCAAAAAGAGAAGTGACCTGGCCAGGGTCATGGGAAAAGTTAGTGTCAGAGCCAGGACTAGAGCTCAGGTCTCCTGATTCTTTGGATTCAGAGCTTTTTCTGTTGCACCTCAGCTTTGTGGAGACCAGAGCATGGATCTGCACTTGGTTTATGAAGGTCTGACCAGGTTCACTTCAGGGTCATGGATACCACTGTGTTCCCATGCTGACACTGGGGAATTCCCAGAGGGAAAGGAAGCCCAGCTGGAGCTGCTGCTGTAGGTTGCGGGGCTCACCTCTCACCGAGCCCCTTGCTTACAGAGAAAACCAGCGAGTGATTCTGAAAATCTTGCCTCGAGTCCTCATTTTGCTGGTATTCACCGTGTGACCTTGAGCAAATTGCTTCACATCTCTGATCTTCTGTTCCTTTACCAAGAAAAATGAGGGAGTTGAATTCAGATGGTCTCCAGGAGTCATCTGATTCCAGAATATCAGGATATAACAATAAAGATGAGGATAAAGTAGCTACTCCCCTCAGAAAAGGTGGAGATCCAGATCTAGGGGGAGAATTGGCTAGGTTCTTCATCACAGTCACTGTCTTGAGACACATAGGTGGTCCATGGAAACATTTCCATGAGGGATTTCAGAGGGGAGAATGGGCAGACTGCAAAGCCTCGGTACTCTAATACCAGGCAAAAAGAAGAAAGGGAACAGGCATTTTAGTTTTCACATTGAAACAGAGTGTATGTGTATGGCCCTATGCAAATGTTGTTCCTGGTGAATATTCATCAATGTACTCATCACACATAGGTATATTTAGACAGAAAGGGGTCCTCATCACAGACACCCAAATTATGAGCACATTACTGCCTCCTCTCCCCTAGAGGTGCTTCTTCCAGCCTCCCCCATTGGAGGCCAGCACAAGACGGGCTCTCCAACCCAATATCTTCCCCTTCCCTCCTTCCTTTCTGCTCAGGTGGCTGAGTATACACATTGAACTCTTTTGTTTCAACTTCACGTGTATATAGGTTGGTGCAAAAGTAACTGTGGTGTTTTCCATTAAAAGCAATGTCAAGAACCGCAATTACTTTGGCACCAACCTAATATGTATGCAAGTACATTCTTTAACCTTTCCAACTCCCAGTCCAAGCCATCAGGCTAATTTCCGCGTGGAATTTGTGGTCACTGGTTTGCAGTCCTTTCATTTCTGGTGTGGTCAGAAGTCTCCTTCAGACTCTTCCCGATAAGTTGCCATTGGCTTTTTCATCACCTTTAGTACCTACCCACTTTTGCTGGGATAACACTACCCAAGATAAATTCAAAAAAATTGTCCTAAGTGTTAGTGTGTTTCTGTTTTGGTTGAAGTCTATTATTGCTATATGGTTTTCTACTGTTTCTACTTGATGGAAGACTATTAAGGGTTAAGTAGGCTGGCCTAGGAAGCTGACCACCATTTATAACATACTTTTGAGTGGGAAAATGCATTCAGAGGCCTGTAATCAATACTTAGGTGGACTTTGGGAATATAGTATTTATTTTATGAGTGACTAGAATATTGGTAGAACCATAGAAACTTTGAATGTGGAGCTGGAAAGCCTCCTCCTTCCCCCACTGAGATCAATTGATTAACAAGCTAGGTTGTAGAAACCAAGTGAAAGAGGCAAAAACTTGGCCAAGGGCATGTAGTCGGGGACTTCTGAAGATTCTGCTGGGCTGGGGGCAGGAAAGGGGTCACAGACGGTCTTAGGGTTGTCTCACTCAGCAACTCACTGTGTTGGCCTTGGGAAATGTAAGTCACTGTGTTGGGCTGTAATGGAAATATTGAGAAAGCAGCTCAGCTAGTGGCGTGGGGAGAGGTTGTCTAGTCCTCTGGCTTATCTGTAAATTCCTGGCATGTGCTTGTTGGAGCAGAATGAATGGGGCTGCTGTGTTTTACCTGCAGCTAGGAGCATGGCTGGAGTGGTGGAGACACTCCCTGTGGTCTGTTCTAAAAATAGCAGTGGGAACAGAGCTGAGGGGAAGAGGAGGGGGCTCCTTCGGGAGCTGGGTGGGGAGGCCTCACCCCCTTCCTCTTCCTGCCAGGCCCGATGTGAGGAAGTCCCATGGAGTCACATAATTCCATCTGGGAGAGTCCTGGAGCCATCAGCCCTCACACCCCCTCCTCATACAGGCGAGGAGGCCCTGGAGGCCCGGAGAGCAGAAAGCACTGGCTGGTGTCAAGCAAGCCCAGAGAGAAGGGCCCAGTTGGCAGGCTGTTTTTCCCTGGCTGTTTCAGCACAGTGGCTGCAGGCCTTGTGCTGAGGTTTGCTGTCACTGCCTTTGGGCGCACAGAGACTGGGAACTCCTGGGACCGGATGTGGTCAGGCTTCCTGAGAGTCGCCTGGCAGGCGAGGAGTCCCCAGCTGGCCCACCCTGAGCCCTGACCTCAGCCAGCCGGCTGTCCAGTGCCACACCTCCTCTTGCTGGTGTCCCCTCCCTTGCTGACTTGTCCTCCTTTCTTTGGACTGTCTGCAGGGAGGGAGGACAAGGGCCAGCCTAGATCTGGCCTGCAGGACAGAGGCCTCAGTGGCTCAGGACCTTTCCCTGCCCCTCCCCAGGAACAAGCAGAGGCAGCTGAGGTAGTAGCAGCCTCCTGCAGGTTTAGAGACAGACAGGCCAGGGTTCAAATCCTAGCTCTTCCTCTCACTAGCCATGGGATTACTGATGGGTCACAGAGCATCTGTAAAATGAGACAAGAACGCTGATTTCACTGGGGTCTTGTGAAGATCAAAGGGGATCTGTTGTAATGCCTGGCATGCAGTAGGTACTTAATAGTAGCTCTTGTTGCAAAACCAAGCAGTGAACATGTATCTGACTTTCTATAACCCCCTTCCTTGGGGCCTCCACTCATGAGGCATGGGAAGGTGTTTTTTTTCTTTGTTTGTTTGTTTGTTTGAATGCAGTTGACTTTTTTTTTGTTGTATTGTTGCAAAAGTAATCCATGTGATTGATGTTTATTATGAAGAAAACATTTAATACAGATGAACCAGGAGAAGAAAATGAAGTTCATCCTTAATCCCAGCACCCAGAGATAAACCACTGTTAACATTTTGGAATGTGTCCTGTCAGGCATTCGTTTATACACACATATATCTTATTTGCAAATTGGGGTTACTGGTGCAATTTTTCTAACCTGCTTTTTCTCCCCCATTTAACAGCGTAGTGTATCCATGTTTCCATTTCAATAAATATTCTTCTACAACATCATTTTCAGTGCCTGTGGAGTATTTCATTGTGTAGATGAAACGTGCTTTATTTAAGTAATCTTCAGTTGTTTATCATTCAGGTTGCTTGCAATTTTTCTTTGTTACAAAAATTTCAGATAAAAATCCTTGTACAGGAGGCTGAGATGGGAGATGGCTTGAGCCTGAGTTTGAGGTTACAGTGAGCTATGATTGCACCACTGCACTCCAGCAGTGAGACCCTGTCTCTGAATGAAAAAAAAATCCTCTTAGGTGTATCTTGGCATGCCCAGCATCCAGTTCAACACCTAGTACGCATTCGACTCTAAATAAATATTTGTTGGGCGCGGTGGCTCATGCCTGTAATCCCACCACTTTGGGAGGCCAAGGTGGGTGGATCGCTGAGGTCAGGAGTTCGAGACCAGTCTAGCCAACATGGTGAAACCCTGTCTCTACCAAAAAATACAAAATTAGCCAGGCATGGTGGCGCATGCCTGTAGTCCCAGCTACTGGGGAGGCTGAGGTGGGAGAATCGCTTGAACTTGGGACGTGGAGGTTGCAGTGAGCTGAGATTGTGTCAACTGCATTCCAGCCTGGGCAACAGAGTGAAACTTCATCTCAAAAAGGAACTAAATAAACAAATATTTGTTGAATGAATGAATGTTTTGTTAGAATAAATGCCTGTTAGTAGAGTTTCTGGGTCAAAGGTTATATATTTATAAAATGGATTATTGATCCTATTGCCAAATTACCCTGCAGAATGGTTGTACTGATTTCTAATCTCATCTGAATTGACTAGCTCATCCTACTTTGCCTGGGACTTTTCCCTTTTTAGCATTGAAAATCTTGCTTGCCAGGAAACTCCTCAATCAAATCAAGTAAACCGAGATAGTCTGGATAAGAAAATGTTTATTCCTCCTCATCATTACCAACATGGTATATTGTTACATTTTTAAATAGGTTCTTTTTTTCGTTATTAGAGATGTTGAATATTTATTTATATGCCTTCTGGTCACTTGTGTTGCCTCTTTTGGGAATAGCCTGTTCAAGTCTTTTGCTCATTTTTCTATTGGGATTTTTATAGTTTAATTATTAATTCACAAAGAGCTCTTTATATAATAAGGATATTTGTGTGTTAGCCTTTTATTTTTATTATTTCTTTAAACTACAGATGTTTCTGACTTATTAGTCATATCTATCATTTGTTTTAGAGTAGTTTTATTGAGATTTAATTCAAATATCATACAATTCACCCATTTAAAGTACACAATTCAGTAATTTTTAGTGTATTCACACACTTGTGTAACCATCACCACAATCAATTTTAGAATATTTTCATTATCTCAAAAAGAAATCATACTACTTAGCTATCATCCATTATTTCCCCCATCTCCTCCAACCCTAAGCGACCACTAGTTCATACTTTTCATCTCTGTAGATTTGCCTATATTGGACATTTCATATAAAGGGAATTATATAATATTTGGACTTTTGTGACTGGCTTCTTTCATTTAGTCTAATGTTTTCAGGATCATCCATGTTGTAGCATGTATCAGCAACTAATTCCTTTTCATGGCTGAATAATATTCTGTTGTATGGAATATCACATTTTGTTTAACCGTTCATCAGTTAATGGACATTTGGGTTGTTTACACCTTTTGGCTATTCTGTGTAATGCTGCTATACATATATGTGTGCAAGTTTTTTGTATGGACATATATTTTTCTCTTAGGTGTACACCTAGGAGTGGAATAGCTGGGCCAAATGGTAACTCATGTTTAACTTTTTGAGAAACTACCAGACTGTTGTCCAAAGTGGATGTACTGCTGGGCGTGGTGGCTCATGTCTGTAATCCCAGAACTTTGGGAGGCTGAGGTGGGCCGATTGCTTGAGTCCAGAGTTCAAGACCAGCCTGGGCAACATGGTGAAAACCTGTCTCTACTAACAACAACAACAACAACAAAAATTAGCTGGGTGTGGTGGCAGGCACTTGTAGTACCAGTTACTCAGGAGGCTGAGGCAGGAGAATTGCTTGAACCTGGGAGGTGGAGGTTGCACGGAGCTAAGATCATGCCACTGCACTCCAGTCTGGGCAACAGAGTGAGACTCTGTCTCAAAAAATAAAATAAATAAATAAACAAAGTGGCTGTAGCATTCTACTTTCCTACCATCAGTATATGAGGGTTCCAATTTCTTTAAATCCTCACTAACTCTATTTTTTCATTTTAAAAAATTATAGCCATTCTAGTGGGAGTGAAGTAGTATCTCATTATGGTTTTTATTGCATTTTCTTAATGACTATAAATCTTGAAAAATATTATTGCCTTTGGCGTATGATATTCACTCTAGGATTATATAATATTCACTTTTTTCCCTTTTAATTTTATGGTTTATTTTTTAACTCTTAATATTTTAATCAATTGGGAATTTACTTTTGCATATAGTATGAGGCAGATTACTTTTCATTTTTCCCAAATAGTTATTTGCTCCAATTCTTATGCATTATATTAGGACAAGTACCCTCTTATTAGTTTTCTTTAAAAATTATTTCCCCCCTCTTCTCATACATTTATTTATTTATTTATTTTTTTGAGACGGAGTCTCACTCTGTCGCCCAGGCTGGAGTGCAGTGGAGTGATCTCGGCTCATTGCAAGACCCGCCTCCCGGGTTCACGCCATTCTCCTGCCTCAGCCTCCAGAGTAGCTGGGACTACAGGTGCCCACCACCACGCCCGGCTAATTTTTTGTATTTTTTTAGTAGAGACGGGGTTTCAATGTGTTAGCCAGGATGGTCTCCATCTCCTGACCTCGTAATCCGTCCGACTCGGCCTCCCAAAGTATTTATTCTTTTAAATGAAATTCAGTGTACTTTTTAATTGTAGCTTTATAATTCAGTCCTTATCTTCTCCCTGCCCCTCCCAAAAATATCGTTGAGACTTTTATTGTAATTATATTTCAAACTATACATTTAAAAGGGGAGTATTAAAATCTATACAATACGGTCTTCTCATTTGAGAACAGGATGTGTCTCCTCATTTATGCAAATTTTAAGATTTCCCAAAGTTTTAGAAAGAATTTCATATAGGTCTTGCACATTTTTTGTTAAATTTATTTGAGGGAATTTAAAGTTTTAATTTATATTACAAATGAAAATATTTATTTGGCATTATATTTGGTTTTTTAACTGGTAATATACATGCACAAAACTTGTACCAAAAAATTCTAAACATTACTAAACTGAATAAAATAAAACCCCCATTCCCCAAGCCCATTTCCAATCAATAATTACTAATATATGTTTGATGTGGTTCCTCCAAATTTTCCCCCATGCACATATGTAGACATATGCTATGTTTTGTTTTACTAAATAATATCATATTATACATACATTTTTGTAACTCATCTATAAAGATATAGGCCAGGAATGGTGGCTCACACCTGTAATCACAGCACTTTGGGAGGCTGAGGTGGGATGATCACTTGAGTCCAGGAGTTGAAGACAAGCCTAGGCAATATAGTGAGACCCCATCGCTACAAAAAATAAAAAAAATTATCCAGGCATGGTGGCATGTGCCTGGAGTCCCAGCTACTTGGGAAGCTGAGGTGGGAGGATCGCTTGAGCCTGAGAGGCCAAGGCTGCAGTGAGCTGTGATCACACCACTGCACTCCAGCCTGGGCAACAGAGGGAAACTCTGTTTAAAAAAAAAAAAAAAAAAATATATATATATATATATATATATATATATATGTATATATAATATTATATATAAATATATTATAGAAATATATATTATATAATTATAGAAATATTTTCGTGGCTGGGCGCTATGGCTCCCACCTGTAATCCCAGCACTTTGGGAGGCCGAGGTGGGCAGATCACCTGAGGTCAGGAGTTCGAGACCAGCCTGGCCAACATGGCGAAAGCCCATCTCTACTAAAAAATACAAAAATTAGCCAGGTGTGGTGCTGGGTGCCTGTAATCCCAGCTACTGGGGAGCCTGAGGCAGGAGAATCACTTGAACCCTGGAGACGGAGGTTGCAATGAGCCGAGATTGTGCCGTTGCACTCCAGCCTGGGCGACAAGAGAGAAACTCCGTCTCCAAAAAAAAGAAAGAAATATTTTCCATCAGCACCTAAACTTCTCCCTCTATTTTGAATAGCCAGTGGACCATAATGTATTTAATTTATTGATGCATGATTAGATTGTTTCTAATGTTTTGATATTCTGAACAATGTTGCAATAAACATCTTGCCGCACTTTTCTGTTAGGAGAGAGTGTGGCACACACTACCGAAGTGCTCTAAAAAAGCTTTCCTTCTGTTTACACATGTCATCTCCCCAACACTATTGTTCTTATCCTATTTTATAGTTGAGAAACCAAAGGAACAGAGGTTAAGTACATGTACAATTTGCATTCCTACTCACAGTGAATGAGAGTGCCTGCTTCCCTACACCCTGCATAAAATGGAATGTTATTGCTTTTAATTCTTTGTTGGTACAAGAAGTGAAAAATTATATTTAATCTTAATTGACATTTATTTCATTATTAGTGAGGTTGAGATTCATTTTGTTTTATTTTTGGAGATGGAGTCTTGCTCTGTCACAAGGCTGGAGTGCGGTGGCGCCATCTTGGCTCACTGCAACCTCCACCTTCTGAGTTCAAGCTATTCTCCTGCCTCAGCCTCCTGAGTAACTGGGACTACAGGCACACGCCATCATACCCAGCTACATTTTTGTATTTTTAGTAGAGATGGGGTTTCACCATGTTGGCCAGGCTGGTCTTGAACTTCTGACCTCAAGTGATCCACTCACCTCAGCCTCCCAAAGTGCTGGGATTACAGGCGTGAGCCACTGCGTCCAGCCTCATTTTATGTTGATCAGTCACCTATATTTCTGCTTTGGCTTGTCAGTTCATTCATGTCATTTGCCCAGTTTTTTACTGAGGCGTTATCTCATTTGTAAGAGCTCTTTATGTGGTTAGACTATTAACCATTTGCTTATTATATGGGTTATAATTATTTTTCTAGTTTGTCATTTGCCTTCTAACTTTATAGTATCTTTTATCATTTAGAAGTTAACTTTTTTTATAATCAAGTTTTTTTGGGGGGTTGAGAGCACCTATATTTTCTAAGGTCTTTCCTACCCCTAGATTATGAGAAATATTCATCTAAATTTTATTCAGCTACTTTTATTCTTTTATTTTTTGCATTTACATTTTAAATTCATCTGCAATTAATTTAATGCCTGGTGTCAGATGGAACTCTTATTAATTTTTTCCCCCAAATGGTTTGACCAGTTTTTCCAACCCGATTTTTTTGAATTGTCTTTCCTTTCTTCACTTATCATAGACCAAATTTCCACATATGGATGGTTTGGTTTCTAAGCTCTCTCATCTCCCTCTTTGATCTGTCTATTCCTACATCAGGTTAGACTTAATGACTTTAGCTTCAGAATATGGTTTAGTAGTAAACATCCCAAGGCCAACCCCTATTATTCTGCAAAATTTCCTTTGGAGTTATACACCCTAATTCTAGTCTGCTAGTGGCTTTACCCTTACCTTTGTCACAAACATATTTCAACATCAGGAATGACACCAGATCCATAGTAGCCTGTCCTCGTGGCCTCTAACCCATAATGATCATGTCGGCTGGACCATACTTCTCTGCTTTCCTCCATACCTCCTAGGTATTGTTATAATTGTCTGGAATTTCGGTTTCCGGTTGTGACTATTTTTTTTTTTTAAAGACAGAGTCTCGCTCTGTCGCCCAGGCTGGAGTGTAGTGGTGCAATCTCGGCTCCTGCAACCTCCATCTCCCAGGTTCAAGCGATTCTCCTACCTCAGCCTTCTGAGTAGTTGGGATTACAGGCGCCCGCCACCACGCCCAGCTAATTTTTGTATTTTTAGTAGAGACAGAGTTTCACCCTGTTGGTCAGGGTGGTCTCGAACTCCTGACCTCGTGGTCTGCCTGCCTTGGCCTCCCAAAGTGCTGGGATTACAGGCGTGAGCCACCCTGGCCGGTTGTGACTATTTTTAAACATTAGCACTATTCTGTTTTAAGAATTATTTACTTAAAATTGCACTTAACTTTCAGTTATCAGTAGTTAAGGCTCTAAATGTTTCCGTTTTCATGGCTTGCCTCTGTCTCTCACATACCACGTCATCTCATTCTTGACTTCTCGATTTTAATTCACTTTTGTCTGTAGAGCTTTCTTGAGTAATTTTTCCAGAAAGGGTCTGTGGGTGGTATCCTTTCTTATCCTTGTAAGCCTGAAAACATTTGCCCTCATGTTTGAGTCATAGTTTGCTTGAGTAGAAAATTCTAAGTGAATCGTCCTTCTCTCCCAGAAGCCTGAGAGCAGTGTTCTGTGGTTTCCCCAGTATTTAGTGTTTTAAGAGCAGTTTTTCCTTGATTCTCTAAAATTTATTTATGGAAACAACCAGGATTCCTCTTTCCAATCTTTGGAATTCAGAAATTTCCCCAGATGATTTCTAGTTGTTTGTTTTCTTTTGGTAATTTTTCCTGGTCCTAACTAGGTAAGTCCTTTCAGTCTGAAGACCCAAGTCTTCCTTTCGTTCAGGGAAATTTTCTATTAATTTAGGAATGGTTTCTATTCTGTGTGTTCAATCTCCTCTTTCTGGACTTCCTACTACAAATAATAATAATAATAATAATGGTGCCTAACATTAAAGCGTGCTTTCTTTCTGTGATAATATATAATCTTCCCAGCACTATTGTTATTATCCTCATTTCATAGATGAGAAAACAAAGGAAAAGAGAGATTGAGCAGATTATACAAGGTCGCATAATTAGGAGGTGCAGGCCAGGTTCTAATCCCAAGCACCTGGCTCCAGAGCCCGTGTCCTTAGCTGCTAAACTATACTCCCTGCCTGTCGGGTCCCAACCCCAGAGCCCACCCTGCCCTTCCCCCCAGCACTCTGTAGTGACAATGTTGAGTGTCGACAGGCAGGGACTCTGTAATCAGTGGGGGAAAGCTTGGGGATGCTAGGATGATGGATCTGAAACAGACTGGGCTACTGAGGCCAGAGAGGGGCAGGGATTGTCAGAGGTTCTCCAGTGAATTTAGAGTTGGGACTCTTCCCTCCCTCCTCTTCCCTTGGTCTCAGCCACCTGCTTCAGGCCTCCTCTTTGTCCCTGGGACTGCTGCATTGCTTCTTGTGGGTCTCCCTCTTCCTACTCCTGTCCATGTAGTCACCTCTGTCAACAGCAGCTGCGATGACTCTTCTTATAGAACACACGCAGTCACCTTCACACTGCTGAGTGTTTGTTGAATGACTGTATGAGTGAGCAAAGAAGTTTACAGTGCCTAATGTGTGTCAAACACTGTGCTAAGTACTGTTGATGCAGTATGCATTAGTCAGCAATCTACCAATTGCAAGTGACAAATACCCAGCTTCCAGGAGTAAATGGAATTTACTGGGTTAGGGAGGGTAGCCTTCAGGCCTAGTTGGATTCAGAGCCTTGAGCAATGTCACTGAGAAGGCCTCAGCCTCTTCATTTCTTGGTTCTATTTACTTAGGTGTTGGCTCACTCCCTTAGTGGTAGCAGTGCTGCTGCCAGAAGGGCCAGGGTTATGGCCATGGCCTTGGAGTTGGACTCCCTCAATCATTTCATCAATAGTCCCTGGGCCTGATCCTCATTGGCCCAAGTAGGATCACGTGCCCATTCCAGCCACTGAGGACAGTGGGATGGGTTAAACTAATGGACTGAGGCCTGGGCCATATGCCTCTCCCTGGAGTGGGAGATGGGTTGGTTCCTTGTGAATCACCTGGCTTGAGAATGAGAGAGGGAAGGCTAGTTCCTCAAGTGAATGGGGTCTGGTCAGGCAGATCTCAGATGTCGTCTACTTCTCGGCTCATCAACCAGCATGGTCCTCACCCCACAGAGCTGACAGTCTAATGTGGGGTCCAGTGTGGGGCAAGGACACCAATCATGAACAGCATATGAAAAATCGATGACAGTTGTGCCAAAGGGCCTAATGAGAGCGCCTACTGGGAGGACCTGGGGAAAGTTTCTGAGGCAGGGGAGGCTTGGGATGTAAGGATTGTTCTAGGTGGGGACCCTAACGCAGGCCAGCATAGGTGGGAAGACGAGGAAGGGGAACAGAGCATGAGATGAGGCTGAGGTGTGTTCAGGATCAGACAGTGCTGGTCTTGAGAAGCTGTGGGAAGAAGTGTGACTTTATCCTGAGTGCAGGGGTTGATGGGTGTTGTAGAAAGCTGATGCTGGCCTCATAGAGAATGGTGAGGAGGAAGGCAAGTCGAGAGGCAGGGAGCAGTGTGGAGCTATTGGCCTCGGCCAGGGAGAGCCGATGGTTGCTTGGACTAGGGCTGAGGCACCAGGGATTGAGAGAGGTGAGAGATCCACAGGATGTATAGCAGGAGGGGTCTGCAAAATTCTGTGATTAATTGCACGGGGAGTGTTTGGGAGAAGAATGGTGCTCAAAAGTCTAGCTCAGGCCAGGCACAGTGGCTCACGCCTGTAATCCCAGCACTTTGGGAGGCCTAGGCGGTGGATCACTTGAGGTCAGGAGTTCGAGACCAGCCTGGCCAACATGGTGAAGCCTTGTCTCTACTAAAAATACAAAAAATTAGCCGGACGTGGTGGTGGGCGCCTGTAATCCCAGCTACTTGGGAGGTTGAGGCAGGAGAATTGCTTGAACCTGGGAGGCGGAGGTTGCAATGAGCTGAGATTGTGCCATTGCACTCCAGCCTGGGCAACAAGAGTGAAACTCCTTCCTAAAGAAAAAAAAAAGTCTAGGTCAGGGAAACAGATGGTGCCATTCTCTGAGCTGGGAGCAGTGGAGGGGAGTGGTTTGGGTGGCAGGATCGAGTCCCACTGTATGTGTAAGTATCATGATAGGGTCCAAGTTAGTGAGTTCTCATGAAACAAAGCCATTTAAATCAGGGCTCCTTAAGCTACCTGTGGTGAGGGGCTTTGACATTTTGTAGCATCACACTGCATGTGATTTATTATGCAGGCTTGAGAACACCTGAGCTAGCCCATGCCCTATTCAGTGAGACCAGTCCACTCATCTCATGCTTAGAGGTGGCAATGTCAAGTTGAAGTTCTTTAAACACAATCAATCTTGCTACCTATCTCACTGCAGACTGGTAACAAGCAGCCTGTGAACCCATATGATTTTGCAGACCACATTTTGAGTGGACTGATCTAGTTCAACCCCAGTGCATTTTAGAGACAGGGAAACTGAGGCTTGGAGGTGGTGGGGGGGATTGGCCTTGCCCCAGGGTTCGCAGAAGGCAGCAGCAAAGTTAGCATTTCAGTCTTTCCCCCACTGACCCTTTGTTTTGATGGCTTGGGCTCAAGCCCAACAGTCCAAACAGTGGGTGGACCCAGGGGAGTGTGTGGAGAACTGTTTCCAGCAACCAAGGTCACAGGCCTGGCCTCCCCGTAGCTGAGTCAGTGGCTCTGTGCTGAACACTTCCCAGGAACATGGGCTGACAGGACACAGCCTGGCCCTGGAGCTGGCACAAGCACAGTGGGTCGAGGATTGCTCCCAAAAGCCCGAAGTCTCCGGCCAGCATGTGGCTGGTTGGACCGGAGCCAGGAAGGGAGACAGTCATGGCTCCCAGCCATCCTGAGCTGCTACAGCTGCCCAAGGTCAGACTGATACTGCTGAGGTGACTGCAAGGCGTGCCCCAGGATGGAGGCAGAAGCCAGCCAGCAGCAGGCCTCTGGGCTAGCTCTGTAGGGGGACATTTGGTCTCCTGGCTTTTGCTGCGTGTGGGCTTCTCCTTGCTGGGTTGGGAGCCACCGTTTCCATTAGCAGGTTGGGAATCATCCATTGCGGTCTCAAGTTGCTGAGAAAGAGGCAGATAGCAAGGGGGAGACATTTGGGGAATAAGAGATTAAGGGCAGAATATACAGTTAAGAGCATGGGCCTGGGAGCCATGCTGCCTGCTGGGCTTCCGCCTTGTAACCTTTCTGTACCTCAGTTTCCTGATCTGTAAGCTGGGCATGATGAGAATAGCCTATTCATCAACAAATGGTAATGATTCTCAGCTATTAGTACACGCCAGGCCCTCATCTGTTAGCCCCTCAACAGGTGTTATCACATTTAATTTTACCATTTACATTAACCTTCTCAAGGTGAATTCTGTCTTTTCACAGATGATAGCAACAATGACATCATAGCAATAACAATGATGGCTCTTATTTATTGAGCACTTACTGTGTACCAGGCATTCCACATACACCACGTCGTCTAGTCCTCCTCAGGGTCCGTTGAGGCCCATTTTACAGATGAGGAAACTGAGACTCAGAGATAGTAAAGGGACTTGCCCAGGATAATTTACACTCAGATTTTTTAGACTTCAAAGACTGTGCTCTCTCTAAATTCCACTGACTGAGCTGATTCCTTTAGTGAGAGGGCCTGAAGGGGCATGGGACTGTCCATGGGAGGGGAGGAGTAGGGCTGGGGCCACTGGACAACCACTTCCTGGTCTCATTTTAGAGATGGAGGACTGAGATCAGGAAGGGGAACGGGCTTACCCTGGGTTCTGCAGGCCACAAACCACAGCTCCCTGTGAACTTGAACCTGAGGATACCTGCTCTGTCTTACCCCACCCCACCATTTGTGTCAGGTGCCCCAGAACAAGGCCCGTGCCACCAGGAAGAGCAAGACCTACACCAAGCAAGCAATAGGAGAATGTGTCCCCTGCCCAGGTGCTAGGGTCCTAGAGGCCAAAACACAGCATGGCAGCCCCCGTTTGCAGCATCAGCGGCTTCATCTGCCATGACCCCCTCCAAGTTCCATCCCATGGGCGGGCTGCTCCGGCCAGCTCTGTATCCTTAGTTCCTAGTACCGGCTCCGGCACAGAGCAGGGATTCAGTGGTTATTGAAATAACTAATTAACATTTCTTGGCCGACTCTGCAGTGGGGAGGGCCTTTTTGCATAGAGTCTCTAGACTCCCAAACCAGGGCTGTGAGCCCCAGGAAGTAAAAGCTCAGAGCTTTCTAAGTGAGTTAGCAGATTCAAAGCTTGGACTGGGGTGGCCATATACAGACACTTCCATAGAGTTTCAAAGAGCAGCCTGGGGTGGTCACTTTCTTCTGCAGTGAGTTGGGACAGTGGCAGGGCTCTGCAGAAGTTGAAGCCGGTGTGTACCCAGCACAGTCTTGGGGTATCTGGGGATGATGAAAGCTAAGCAGCTTCTGGCAGGGGCAAGGGGCTAGTCTTACTCTGAAGTGCTCTGGAATTCCTGGGACCACATCTTTCCCTGACTTCTCTCTCTCTCTTTCTCTTTTTTTCTTTTTGAAATGGAGTCTTGCTCTGTTGCCCAGGCTGGAGTGCAGTGATGTGATCTCGGCTCACTGCAATCTTCACCTCCCAGATTCAAGCAATTCTTGTGCCTCAGCCTCCCAAGTAGCTGGGATTAGAGGCACATGCCACCATGCCCAGCTACTTTTTTGTATTTTTAGTAGAGACGAGGTTTCACCATGTTGGCCAGGCTGGTCTCAAACTCCTGACCTCAAGTTATCCCCCTGCCTCCACCTCCCAAAGTGCTGGGATTACAGGTGTGAGCCACTGTGCCTGGCCTCTTCTCTTCCCTTCTCTTCTTTTCTTTTTCTTTCTTTCCTTTCCTTTTCTTTTCTTTCTTCTCCCCCTCTTTCTGTCTCTCTCTCTCTCTCTGTCTCTCTCTTTCACGGGGTCTTGCTCTGTCACCCAGCTGGGAGTGCAGTGGCACAATTATCACGGCTCATTGCAGCCTCAACCTCCTGGGCTCAAGCGATCCTCCCACTTCAGCCTCTTGAGTAGCTGGGATCACAGGCACACAGCACCATGCCCAGCTAATTTTTAATTTTTTTTTTTTTTTTGTAGAGATGGAGTCTTCCTATGTTGCCCAGGCTGGTCTTGACCTCCTGGGCTCAAATGATCCTCCCACCTCAGCCTCCCAAAGTGCTGAATTACATGCTCGTGATGGGGTCTTGGGAGCATAAACCCATGAGGTGCATTGGTCTTCACGCAATGGAAGCAGTAAAGGAAGACAGCGGAAATCTCACTGTGGTGTGGGCTGTAGGGGAGCAGCCTGTCTCTGGCACCTGGCTGCATCCCAGGCTGTTGCTGCATCCCCCCTGGGGCCTGTCTAAAGACTTGGGCTCTGCTTGGGGGTACTGTATTCCAAAAATAGGAGGTGGGTCCCTGCTGAACCTCGCTGGTCCTAGCCCTGGGAGCTGCTGCCAACCTGTCTGAACAGTGTGGAGTTTGCCTGTGTGGTTGGGCTGTACAGTTCTCTGTGTAACTGATGGGCTCATCTGTTCCATGGGCTGCCCTGCGCCATGGTGCAGGACACAGTGGAAAGTGAAGTGGGCTTCATCTGTAGCCCTGAACTTACTAGAGTGTGACCTTAGTCTCTCTATGCCTCTGCTTACACATCCATAAAATGGGGATATTAGAAATCATATCTGAGGCTGGGCACGTGGCTCTTGCCCGTAATCCCAGCACTTTGGGAGGCTGAGACGGGCAGATTGCTTGAGGCCAGGAGTTCAAGATCAGCCTGGCCAACATGGTGAAACCCCACCTCTACTAAAAATGCAAAAAATCAGCTGGGTGTGGTGGCGCACGCCTGTAGTCCCAGCTACTAGGGAGGCTGTGGCATGAGAATTGCCTGAATCCAGGAGGCAGAGGTTGCAGTGAGCCAAGATCGTGCCACTGCACTCCAGCCTGGGTGACAGAGCAAGACTCTGTCTCAAAAAAAAAAAAAAAAAAAGAAATCATATCTGATAGGGCTATGAGGATTCAATCAATCAGTCCATCAATCAGTAATCAGAAAGTGCTTAGAGCAGTGCTGTCATGTGTCAGATAAGTGTTTGTTATGTATGAAATATGTGGATCAGTGATTGGGGCCCAGTTCCTGAGTACCCGGGTGCTGACCCCTGGGCCTGTGGGCCACCTAGATCTTACCACTCTCTAGATCCCAGTTTCTCCTGTACTGAACAGCACCATCATTTATGTACCTCTGAGAAGCACTGGGATGTGGTGAACAGAGCACTGGACTGGGAGTTAGCAATCCCAGCCCTGCCACTCAGTTGCTGTGTTTCCTTGGGAAAGTTACTTTCCCTCTCTGGGCCTCAGTTTCACTGACTGTAAATGGGAAACAACAGTGAAAGATCTCCAAGGGCCCTCTGGCTTAGAAAGCCTGGCTGCCAGTGACTCCCCTATCCTGCCCTAGGCTATACACTGGGAGGCCCCCCAGCCCTGTTGATTTGTGTCTGGAGCTATGGGAGGCAGAGGGCAGTGGCTGCCCCAGGGCTCCTCCAGCCATGGGATGCTCTCCTATCCTGGCCTGGCAGGCTCTGGGCCTTGGGGCACTGAGCTGCTCTACCCTTTCCTCACCATGCTATGGTCCAGAGCATTGATGAATGTATTCTGGACTCGTTCTGGACTCAGCACACTGGGTTGGCAGAGCTGCTTTGCCCATCACAGCATAGGGCGTAATTTTGGAGTCATTAGTCTCACTCCATGGCTAATGTCTGCCTCCCTCACTGGACTGTCAGCTTTGTGAATGCAGGGCCCTGCCTATTGGTTCTCTGCCAATCCCCAGGGCCTAACACAGAGCCTGGCACAGAGTCTATGCTCTGTAACTGTTTGTTGATTGAAAGAAGGTGACAACTCAGCTGAAGCTCGAGGGCACCTCTGACGTGAAGGAATCCTATATTCAGGCTCCCCACCCTAAGAAATCTTATCCCACACACCAGAAATTCCATCCTAGAAACCAGCCAGCCTCATTGGTGATTGTTTAGCTCCATCAGAATTGGCCATCTCTTGAGACTCACCTCCTTAGCTTCCCAGGCCAAGGGTGAATCCTGCTTTTCAGGAGCCAGCAGGATGACAGCCTTCCAGTCTAGAAGGTTCCTAGGCCCTGCAAGGACTGCCTTGGTTCTGCCCCCAGGGACAAGATGAAACACTGGTTGGAGTTTGTAAGTGACCAACTCAGAGGAGGGCTATTCTGAGTCGACCCGATAAAGAATGTTTTCTTGTAGCAGTGTGCATGTATATGCTTGTGTATGTGAGAGAGTCAGGAATACAGAGTCAGAGATAGACAGGGGCAGGGATACAGGCAGAAACATCCCGAGACCCTGGGGGGTCTCTACCATAGGGAGAGAAAGAGACAGAGACACCGTGCTTCAGCCTAGGTGGCCAAGGTGGGTGGGGTGGGCATGGGAAAATAGAGGCTCCTTCTGTCCATTTTTTCTGTGCCATCATCCCAGGATGCCTGCTGCTCTGGTGGGAGCCAGCCACAAGTTGGGCATTCCCAACTTGGGCCTCAGGGACAGCCCAGGGTGCATTTGTCAACATCATGACAAACTGCAGCACCAGAGAACAGCTCTGTGCTGGCACAGCAGCATCTTGCAGTTGTCTGGCTGTATGGTGGTTAAGAGCGGGCATGGTGAGTAGGAGCAACTAGTTTTCAGTCCTGGCTATACAGACAACTGGCTATGTGACTGTGGGCAACTTCCTTTGCCATTCTGTACTTTGGACTCTTCATCTGTAACTGGGGTAATCATAGTCCTCCCCTCCTCACAAGCTGCTGGTGAGGATTCAGTGAATTAATGCAGGCAGAGCTCTGGGAACAGGGCCTGGCACGGAGTTCATGCTCAAGAAAGGGTAGCCAAGAGCCAGCTCAGAGAATCCTCTATTCATCCCACAGGTGGGCAGGTTAAGGTTAGCAGCCTCCTTTTACAGATGAAGAAACCGAGGCTCAGAGAGGGGAAGGAACTTGCTCAGTGACACCCAATTAACCAGTGCTGGAGCTGGAACTGGAGCTGGGGACCCTCTCCTCCCAGTCCAGGGCTTGTTCCACTGCCCCCGCAGTTCCTCCTTGGGGATGTCTCTGTCATTCAGGGCTGTAACTCTCATTATAGCCAATATTACTGTAACAGGATGTTACAGTCCAAACTGCCCTCCCAGCTGGCTGTCTCCGGGGGAGGAAGCCCCAGGTTCTCTTTCCACATAGGATTCTGCAGAGTTTAGCATTCAAAGATTCAGCTGTGTGCTGGGAAGGGACTGAAGCTGCCACCCCCCACCCTGGGGGCAGTCGCATTCTGGAAGTCAGCGTGTGCTGGCTGCAGGAGCCTGGGTTCAGTTGCAGCCTCCCACTGGGACAGGAACAGCGTCGGGGTGGGGGTGTGACAGGGAAGCCTCGGTGCCTCGGTGATTGGCTTGGTCTTGCAGGGAGCGGCTGCCAGCAGGCCGGCTGGAGGCGGCTTTGCGCTGCCCCAGCCTGGGAGCCCTCAGGATGTGTGTGGGGTGGAGCCTGCTAGGGATCCCAGTGCCAGGGGGTGCCGTTGTGAGGGATGGACGCCTCTCCCCCGGAGCAGCACTTTGGGGCCAGCTTGGGCCCTGGGGATGAGCCACAGGGGACCCACAGCCTATGCGTGTGAGCATGTAACCCGGGAGCCAGCTGGGCCCCTCGCGGGGTGGGCAGAAGGACGGGCTGGCCCAGGACCCTCTTCTTTGAGACATCCCGGACTCCATCTCGGATGAAAGTGCTTTGAGAAACCACAGAGTTTTCTGTTTAATGGAAGAAAGAAATCCAGCCTCTCTCCAGAGTGGCGGTGGCCGGCTAGACAGGGTGTGTGTTTGGGAAAGGCGCTGGAGGAGGAGGAAGAGGAGGAGGACAAGTAGGAGGAGGAGGAAGAGGAGGAGGGACGGGTGATGCAAGGGTTTTGAAAGCGCTACCTAGATGTGGGAGGTGGAACCTGGTCATTTGGTTCTGCTTTTCCTAGCAGGTATCGCTCCCCTGGGGAACTTGGGTAAGTCCATAAATAGCTCTGCTGACACAAAGGAGCTCTGTCTGGGGAAGGCAGCCGCTTGACACGGCCGCCAGGAGCTGCCACAGCCACGGCCGCCCGCCTGCGGGAGGAGCCGGGTGGAAACCTGGGCGGGCGAGCTGGCAGGAGCGGCAGCCAGGAGTCGCCTGGGTCCCTGCTGGAGTATGCTGGGTAGGTACCTTGGTGACAGGACTGTGTGTGTGGTGGGCGGGCATCCAAGCCACCCTGTGCCCCTGTTTCTATTGTTTCTTCCCCAGGGCAGCCATTGATAGGCATGTTGCAACCAAACCATTTGTGCTCTGTTCTGAGATAGCTCTGTGTGTGTGTGTGTGTGTGTGTGTGTGTGTGTGTGTGTGTCTGTCTGTCTGTCTGTCTCAGGGGCTGGGAGCCCTGCAAGTTTTGGGGGATGCTTCCTCTGTTGGCTGCTCCCCACTTCTAGGCTGGACAGCCAGCTTTTCTTTCTCAGAGAAACAAGAAATGTTTGGTGGCCAAAAAGTCGGGACACTGCATGGGAGGGGAGCGCTCAGCCAGCAGGGTTGGCTATTGTATCAGGGGTGCTGGCCGCACACCAGGCACCAGGGATGGAAGCTCGTGTCTAGTTTCACTGGCAGGGGAAGAGGTGGTCTCTGGAACTAGTCTCAGCGGGTTGCCTTTGGTCCCTGAGACGGCCTCTGCTGAAACGTCCACTGGAAGCACAAGCAAAGATGCTTTGCCTCTGACCTCCAACCCCATGGGAGAGGGCCTGCACCTGCTCCCTTGGCTCCAGCTGAGACCCATCAGGCAGGGGGTGGTGGTAGAGACAGGCTCACACCACAGAGCTGGCCACTGTGAGCAGACAGAGGCTAATTCTTTTCCCAGCCTGGAGGGTCCACATCTCTATTCTTGTTCCCAGGTGTCCAGGAAGAACCCTTGAACCCTAGGACTCAGGGCAGGAGGATAAATCTGGACCCAGAAAGGGGAGGAGCCTTGTCCAAGTTTGAGCAGCAGGTCTGTGGCTGAGCAGGGACCAGGATAGAGAACTTCTGCCTCCTAGAACAGCAAGAACAGGACATGTGGGAAACCATTTCCCTGACCTGAACTAAGTATTATAATTCAGCTTCAAATCTGACCTTCCTGACCTGAGAGGCTTGGTACACCAGGCCCCACAGCGATGCTTGAAAACTTTCCACATCCTGCTGCCCTCAGGCCTTCTGGCTGGGTGGCTATCTGGCGTCCTCTCCCAGTGCTAGAGTGGGTACATCTCCTCAAGGGAAGGAGCCGCAGAGGCTGCCCTGCTGGTGCCTGTGGGATCCCAGCCAGGGCACTGCAGGCATAGTCAAAGTTTCCACCAAGGCCCCTTGAGTCCTCTGTGCCCAGCCAAGGGGCACCTCCCCTCTTCCCCAGCCCTAGCACATGGTGTGGCTTAGCCTAGGGCAGGCCCTTCAGGGAGCCGAGTTCCACAACAGGGCTCACTGCAAGCCCAGACTGGCTTCTGAGAAGCAGGCAGATTGTGAGGATGAGGCAGTTGAGGCAAGTGACCACTCCTCGTGAGAAGTCTCCAGGGCTTTGAGCCAGAAATTGTTGATGGGACTTCTGATTATAAGTATGTGGTATCAGTGAAATCATTGCACTTCCAGGCTTCCTTGCCTTTGCAAATGCTGTTCCAGCTGCCTGGAAACCCCTCCCCTCCCCTCCCCTCCCCTCCCCCTCCATGTCTTATTTTATCCAAACTTCCACAACTAGAGCAAATACTCCAGCCAGAATGAGTCTGTCCATTGGTGGTGGCACCCATGGATATTGCTTTGTGTCCTATGTATGCAGAATCTGGGCCTTATTCATTCCTTAGTCGCAAGGACCTGGCCAGGGGCCTGGGGCATGGTTGGAGAGGGGCGTTGCATTGTCCTGGCTAGGGCAGGTTTTCTTTGAGGACAAACAGTGACATGCAAGTCAGCTGTGTCCGCCCATCTCCTAGCTCTGTGCCTGGCATAGAGGGCCTGTCGGGGAGCCCCTTTAGGAGAGGCCTAGGCTCTGAATGTCAAAGTTGCATCCATAGGGCCAAGGGATGGGGCTGGGTTTGATAGGAGGTGAGGCGGGGAGAATTTTGGCTTCATCCTGGCGGAGACCATAGGGAGAATCCACTCAGGGGTCATGCTGGGCTAGGTGGAATTCACAGCATAGCCTGGGCCATGGAGGGTGGAGGGGATAGCCCTGGCTTGTTGAAATGCAATGCTGAAGGACCTTTGCACAGACTACAGGGGATTGGAGCTCAGCTCCCTGGACCCTCTTGGGATGGTGCCAACCAGAGTAGGTCTGGGGTTATTGATCCTCAAGCCAGTGGTCTGTGTGGCTCCCTCAGAAGAGGCACAGCTGAAGAGAGAGTGCCTATCCCCAGCTGGGTCCCTGGGGGCCTTGAGAGCTGCTTCCCATTGGCCTCTTAAGGCCCTGGAGATGGCAGTCTCTTTGCCTTCTATTAGGTTGGTGTAAAAGCAACTGCGGTTTTTGCCATTAAGAGTAATGTAAAACCGCAATTACTTTTGCACCAAACTATAGATAGATAGATAGAGAACTGAGGCAGGAGAGGAAGGACACTTGCCTGAGGTGACATGCGACTCAGCAGGAAATCAGGGACAAGAACTCAGGTTCCCCTGCCCAGGCCTCTCTGTACTGCACCAACTGGATGTCTCAGAGTATCCAGGTTTCATCTTGGGGCTCTCTTTCTGGACTCACCAGTGACATGTCCCTTTTGGACCTTCGGGCTCACTGACTAGAGCCCTGCTATCCTCTGGGAAAAGCAGCATGTGCAATAGACAAAGCCCCTTGGTCGGTGGGCTGGAGACTGCGGCACCTTCTCGTCCCTTCTTACTGATGATTTCAGGCAAATATGCCTTGTTTCTCACCTCAGTTTCTCCTTTGTAGCAACTAGGGACTGGACCAAGTACTGCCAGGTGCCTTCCAAATATCCAGTTCTCTGATTCTTTGCAGGCCGTCTCCTCTTCCTGGCTTCCAAAAGTCAATGGTCAGGGCCAGGGCTTGGTGCAGCAGAGAAGCAGCCCCCAGCCTGTTCCCCAGGCGCCTCTGGGCAGGAGCCTTCGCATGCAAGCTGCAGCCCAAGCCGAAGCTGGGAGGTTTGTTGTTGTTTGTGGAGCCAGGCAGTTTCCAAGATGTCATTGCTTAGGGAAAACCATCATTCCTCCCAGGAATAAACAAGGCTGCTTATGGCTCAGCCCCCTAAGCCTGGAGAAGCTGGAGCCACTCACAGCAGACCAGCCAGGCTCAGCCTCAGGGAGTGCTGCCTGCCCCTGCACAACCAGCTGTACCCTGGCTTCCAGGATTGGAGTGGGGATGGGGGCAGGATGGTGGGAGGTGTGCTAGAGCCATAAGCCTCTTGGGAGATCAGAGCTTCCGGGCACAGATGAGAGGGAAGAGGGTCCCAGGACATGCTCTTCCTTCTGGCAGTGGGCCTAAGTCATCACTCGAGATGTGTGGATAGCTGCCAGGTATGCTCCAGATGGCCCAGGGCTTCTCCCCTCTCCCTGCCCTCCATGGGCCAGCCCGCTTGCACCTGGTACCGTGGCTCAGGCTGCTGCCGGAGAACTGTCAGCGGCTCCCAACTTAGAAAGGGGGGTGTGTATTTGGAACTGGGCATGCTTTTCGCCACATAGCCAGGGCTCTCTGTGGTGTCCTCAGTTACCTCTTACTGGGGTTAGCCTTGGGCAAATAGCAGAGCTCGGGGACTCAGGGAAGGGTGGCAGAGGGTAAGGGAACAAGGAGAGAGGCAGAGAAAGGTCTTGGCAGTGCCTCTGGGGACCACATGGCTGGCAGGAACCTTGACAGCAGGCCGAAGGCAGCCAGGAGAAGGACTGTGGAATGGGAGGTGGCATGGCTATGCCACCCCTCAAGTCAAGGGTTGGAAGCAATGTTCAGCCAGGCCATGAAATCTTCACTTCTCAGACCTCACTTCCTGCAGTTCCCAGTTGATTCAAATAGCAGCAGCTCTGTACTGTCCTCTCTGCCTGTCTCCCTTCCGTGTCTTTCCTTCTTTCCTTCCTTCCTTCCTTCCTTCCTTCCTTCCTTCCTTCCTTCCTTCCTTCCTTCCTTCCTTCCCTCCTTCCTTCCATGTGTGTTAAGCACCTACTGTGTGCCATGTACTTACAAATTACTAGTGGCATAGATCTAAAAGGCCCAATCTTTAATCTAGTGCCAGGATGTTCAGGTAATGGACAGTAACAACACAGCTTTAATGGAGAGGCATGGGGTGGGGAGGGGGGTGCTGTGGGACTCCCCAGGGAAGCACTCAGTTCAGCCTGGGAGCCTCAGCAAAGCTTCCTACAAGAGGTGAAGCTGCATGTGATTGTACAGATGCTTGCCCATTGAAGAGCAGGTCTCCATCCCAGTCTATCCACCCCTCAGAGGTGTAGACATGTTTCCCGCCTATCCATGGAAATTGCTTTTGTGTGTCCAGCCACATGCTCCTCCTTGTCTAGGGAGGTTGTATAGGAATATGGGCTCTGGACTTGAGGGAAGGATCTCTCCTACCTTACAGTCTTGTGCTCTTGGACAAGAATGGAGCTTCTCCTGCCTTCATGTCCTCAAGCAGTGGTCTAGCCTCCTCGAGTTAAATGAGATAATAGCTGTAAAGCACTTAGACATGTTTCATGTGAATGGATTCTGTGTCCTGATAGCAGTGGGAGTGCCACTAGCGCCCATCTCATAGGTGGCTGTTATTAAATGCAGCGATGTAGGTGAGGTGCTTGGCGTGGATCTGACACTGAGCAGGCATTCAGGAGGCAGCGCGGCAGCGTTTTGCTGGAGGGAAACAGTTGGAATGCGCAATCAGAGATGTGTACAAAGCAAGGAGCTCACCGAGAAGCAGTGAGCCTCAGCCCAGGGAGCAGAAGAGGAGACACTGGGATGAGGGGTTTTATTTGTTTTTAAAATAAACCTTT
Source organism: Homo sapiens (assembly GCF_000001405.40). Lineage (NCBI taxonomy): Eukaryota > Metazoa > Chordata > Mammalia > Primates > Hominidae > Homo > Homo sapiens. The sequence goes on from NC_000009.12 coordinate 113,570,485, forward strand.
TAAATTGAAGTGCAGCATACTTCCAGAAAAATTAGAAGAATACAGCCAATGAATTTTCCACAAAGCGTACCCCCATCCAGGTCAAGAAATAGAACATTCTGGTACCCTAGGAATCCCCACAAATAACCCTCTTTTAGTTACTATGACCTCAAAGGTAACCCCGTCCTGACTTCTTTTTTTTTTTGAGGCAGAGTCTCGCTCTGTTGCCCAGGCTGGGGTGCAGTGCACTGCAACCTCCATCTCCCAGGTTCAAGTGATTCTCCTGCCTCAGCCTCCTGAGTAGCTGGGATTACCGGCGCGTGCCACCATGCCCGGCTAATTTTTGTATTTTTAGTAGAGACAGGTTTCACTATGTTGGCCTGGCTGGTCTCGAACTCCTGACCTCAGGTGATCCGCCCTCCTCAGCCTCCCAAAGTGCTGGGATTACAGGCATGAGTCACTGCACCCGGCCCTTGTCCTGACTTCTCTCATCGATGAGCGTAGCCTATCCTTGAATTTTGTGTAAATGGAATCATTGGGTACATATTATTTCATGCTGACTTCTTTTGATCAGCATTTTGATGGCAAGATTCATCAATAATATTGTATCAAGCTTTATTTTGTTTATTCTTGTTGCTCTGTGGTATTTCCTTGTATGAATATACCGCCACAGTTTATCTAATCTACTGCTGATGAACATTTGTGTTGTTTACAGTTTGAGGCTATAATGAATGGTGCTGCTATGAATATTCTTGTACTTATCTTTTGATATACTATGTTTGCTTCTGTTAGGTGAATACCTAAGTTTTGCAATTGCTGAGTCATAGAGTTGTAGAGAGTTAGCTTTAGTAAATACCATGATATTATTTTCCAAAGTGTGACAGGAATATACTCCCTTTAAGCTGTACATGAAAGAGCCTATTATTCCATGTCTGTACCAACATTATTGGTATTAGATATTGTGATATCTAATTGTGGCTTTAATTTGAATTTCCTTGATGTCTGGTGAGGTCGAGTCCCTTTTTCATGTGTTGATTAGCCATTTGGATGACCTCTTTTGAAAAGTGCCTGTTCAAGTCTTTCCCCCATTTTCCTATTGGATTTTTTTTTCTGATTAACTTGTAGGAGCTTAAACGATATTGTAGATATGTGTTTATTGTTGGATGTGCACATTCCAAATATCTCTTCCCACTCTGGGATTTGCCTTTTCACTCTCTTAAGGGTATATTTGAAGAACACAAGTTCTTAATTTTAATGCAGTCCAATTTGTTAATCTTTTTTCTTTTATGGAGAGTGTTTGTTGAGTCCTGTTTCTCTGCTTATTACAAGGTTATGGACATATACTTTTATGTATTCTTTTAGATGTTTTATGTTTCATATTTAGATCTAAAATCCACTTGAAATAGATTTTTATCCATGTATGAAGTAGAGGTCAAGACTCATTTTCTCTGGATAAATATTCAATGTATTCAAAATCCATCCTGTCTCACTATAGGGCAATGTCACCTTTGTCAGAAATTGAGGGGCAATACGTGGGTGGGTCACTTGAATTTTGAAGAATGAGTAGAGCTTCAGCAGGTGGACAGGGGAGGGGAAGGTGCTCTAGGCAGGACGTACAGTGTGAGCATAGGTTTAGAGGGGCCTGAGGGTAGAGTGTAGCAGACTGGCTGGAGGGAAAAGAGGAGAAACGGTGTGGTGGAGAGGTTGGCGGGGGCAGAACACACAGGGTTAGAGGATGGGACTTTATCCTAGAGGGATGAAGGCATTTTGAGCAGGAGACCAATATAGGCAAGTTGGTGCAGGGCCAAGGGAGATAAGAGAAAGTCTCATGACAGAGGGAGGCAGGAGGGTGGGTTTGGAGAAGACTGTAAATTCAGCCAAACCTAGCCCTGACATCACCCCCAAGCAGAGATAGGGTGTGCCTGCCTCAGGAGGCAGCGGTGAGGCTGAGTGTGCCTGAGGCTCGGGAGGGTGACCTTCGGCCACAGGGTTGTGGCTTAGTCTCATGTCCACATGTCCACTCCAGTGTCCTCGAGTGAAAAAGCCTCTTTTTTTTACTGGATGGGCACCCCACCACCACCCAGTGCCCCCAGCGCTGCAGGCCCTGAAGGAGGAGGGCAGTGGGGCAGACTGGGGCAGACAGATAAGGCAAGGGTGTGTATCTGGAAAGGGGGACCTTTCTGTTCCTCCTGCCCTTGATGCCCCCACAAGGAGACCTGGCTATGCCTTGGGCCCTGAACTCTGATCTTTCTAGGCTAGCTGAGATTCAGAACTGGACAGACATGCTGGGAAGAGCAAGACCCAGTGAGGGGAGTGATTTGGCCCAGGCCATGCAGTGAGCCAGACTGACCCAGCCTAGGGGCAGGCTGAGCACAGACTCATCTGCCTTCTCAGCTTCCAAGTTTCCCCCCCTGAAACCTGCAACTAACAGGACTCCTGTCCTAGGCTGCTGTAAGGGTCAGAATACGTCAAGTGCCCTGTCCCGGAATTGGATGCAGGAGAGGGAGCTGATGATGTCGATGATCGTCATGAGAGTAACAATTATGATTACAGAAATTGCAGATGCTTATTGAGCACTTACTAGGTGCCAGGCCCTATGCTAAGCCCTCCCCACAGAGCTGTGATGTGGGTACTCAGTATTCACATTGCCATTTTACAGATGAGGAAATCGAGCCTGAATAGGTTAAGCAGCCTGTGCAGGTACCTTGACGTAGGAGGTGGCAGAGCCAGGGTTTGAAGCTTGATTTGCCTATCTCCAAGCCCCAGTTGTTCATCAGCAATAGGCTTCCCTCCTTCCACCTCTGGCTTTCAGTCCTCCCTATTCTCAGAGCTGTTGCTTGGAGTAAAACCTTAGTTTTTGGGTTGGTCCCTGGTGCCCACTCATGAGAGAGTCAAGCTGTGGAGAGGAAGGCAAGGAGCAGAGGGGCACCACCATGGGCTACTGTGTGCCAGGCACTGCCTCCATATGCCCCGTAGCAGCCGTGAGGAAGCGGCACACTGGCTGTGAGGGAGGCGGCACATGGATAGGAATTGGGATTCACCCCCAGGCCCTCCTGCTTCCAAAGGCTGACCTCATGACTGCAGTGCTATTTGTGTCCTTCCCTGAGGTCATCCTGGCATGGCAGAGCTTCTTTGATTAACCTAGCAGAAAACATCACAGAGAAGCCACACGCTTCTAGCTCTCCCCACCTGGAAGGGGACCCTGGGAGGGAGAGGATTTGGGAGGGTCACTGGGTGTACAGAATTCTGCACTGCCCCTCCCAACACCAGGTGTCAGTCTCCTGCCCCTCAGTCTCCAACCATGTGGAGTCCGAGCGGGGCCCCTGCGTCTGGTATTGCTCTCCACTGCCTAGCACAGAGCCAGGCCCAGGTTTGTCCTCAGGAAGCATCCTTTGAAGGAAGGGAAGGAGGAAGTGAAGACGGCAGGAAAGGAGATCACAGAGGAGTAGAAAGAGCAGGGCTTTGGAGTCAGGCAGACCATGGTTTCAATTCTGACTCTTCCACTGACTTGCTTTTTGATCTTGTGTAAGTTACTTAATGTCTCTAACTCCTAGTTTTCTTATTAAAAATGATACTGATCTCATAGGATTGTTGGAAGTAGAGCCTAAAGTATAAAACAACTGTCACAGTGTGTGGCATGCAGTAGATGCTCAGTTAATGATCTCTCTCTCTCCCCTATCTTTGTCATCATTATCTGTTTTGAACACCTCTAGCTTCACCTTCCTTACCTCTGCAGCGCTAAGTAAACATTGCTTTCAGGGTAACGTTGGAATTCCTTAAAATATCCATGCTCCTGCCTCATCCAACCACCTCCACTTCCTTGAATGTTCCCTGCTGGCTCTGGCTCAGCCTGGAATATCCTGTCCCATCTTTTCCCCCCTATTACCTCCTCCCAGAGCCATCCTAGTTGTCCCTGCTGCCTCTACTTCCACAGCCTCCTAGCATGGTAGCAGGTGGGTGAGAGATGGACCTGGCATCTCCAAGGCAGAGAACATGGCTTGTTGCTGTTTGGCAGCAATAGCCAACACAGGCCCTGGCGCATGGCTGCAGCTCTGTAGGTATTTGCTGAGTAAGTCTTGGGGGAAATGGTGTGAATAAGCCAGACATGATCCTGATGAGCCAAACAGGACCTGCCCGGGGCCATGACAGCAGGGCAGGCTGGGTCTTGGCAGGGGAGCAGAGAGCCTTCTAGCCAGGGCATCCGAGGCAGATTGAACCAGTGCTCACAGGGATGGGCAGGAAGTAGACTTGAGGGATAGAGAGCTTAGGGAAATGAGAGGTCCCAGTACACACACACGGAGCAGGCAGAAAAGCAGGGTGCCGGGTGGGAAGGGGAGTGAGGATGGATCCCACAGGCAGACTGGTTCCTCAGCAGAGCCCCAGGGGGCCTGGAGTTCCCCTTCTCACAAGGCATCAGTCACCACTAGCTCAGGAAGAAGCTAGGAACCCCCCTGCTCTCAACTCTCAACTCCCTGCTTTTCAGAGAAGAGAGCTGGAGGAGTAGAAGGGGTGTTTGGGGTGGTGGGTGGGGACAAAGACTACGAGTCCACCCATGTTGAAGCAGTGGTGTCAGAAATGGAGGCGAGAGGAGAAGGGACCTGGTGAGGGGGTGACAGGGCAGCACCGTGCTGAAACCCAGACCCCGGGAGCCGCCTCCCCGCCCTGGGAGAAGCTGGGCATCCAGGCAGGTGGTGGTGGGTCTCCAGCAGGCTGCAAGCGGCATGTCCTTCTGGCTTGGTCAGGCGATAGCCAAGAGTAGGAAGGTTTTCTGAGGGGGCCCTCGTGTCTCCTCTTTCCTCAGGGATTCCCTTTCTGTGAGTGTTGGCTTTGTCCTGAGAGTCCCTGCGCGGGGGTGAGCTAACCTTCTGTGCCTCAGTATTGCTTTCTGTAGAGTGGGTGCACTCCCTGCTGTGGTGTGCCGCCCTCCTGAGCCTCTGACAGAGGAGCTTCAGTCTGTGGTCGAATTCTTCCTTTGCCCCTCTCTCCTCCTGCAGTGGGGCCTCTGTTTAGGGAACGTGAATGGGCAGCTGCCTCCAGGGAACTTGCCACCTCCCCCGTCCTGCTCCAAGGTCATGCCTCTTCTGCACAGGCTCCCCACTATAGAGAGGGTTCTATGTGTTGGAACTGGTCCTGGGCGAGGTTCTGGGCTGGATTTTAGTGCTGATTCTGTTGTATGACCTTGGCCTTATCACTTCCCTTCTCTGGGCCTCACGTAACAGACAGTCACCTTGCCTGTTACCTGACGCCACTCTCCAGAATTGTCTCGTCAGTCAGAAAGAAGTAAAAAGGCCTGGGCCTTACTCCTAGGGACTGTGATGCAGTAGGTCTTAGATTGGGTCCAGACAGGCATTTTTAAGATACTCCTCAGGTGATTCTAAAGTGTACTTCTCCGTTAAGAACCAATAGTCTAGGTCGGTGTTTTTCAAACTTTAATGTGCAAATGAATCTCCTGGGATCCTATTAAAGTGCAGGTTCCGATCCAGTGGGTGTGAATTGAGGTTTACGAATGTGTATTTTATGAGGTCAGGAGATCGAGACCATCCTGGCTAACATGGTGAAACCCCGTCTCTACTAAAAATACAAAAAATTAGCCGGGCGTGGTGGCAGGTGCCTGTAGTCCCAGCTACTTGGGGGGCTGAGGCAGGAGAATGGCGTGAACCCGGGAGGCGGAGCTTGCAATGAGCTGAGATCACGCCACTGCACTCCAGCCTGGGCGACAGAGCGAGACTCCATCTCAAAAAAAACAAAAACAAAAACAAAAAAATGAGTGTGTATTTTATATAAGCTCCTGGGTGATGCTGCTGCTGGCTCTTGGGCTGCACTTTGAGGCTAAGAGTCTAGATGGTCCTGTGAAGTTCACTGGATTGTTCTTTCTTTTTTTTTTTTTGAGACAGAGTCTTGCTCTGTCACCAGGCTGGAGTGCAGTGACGTGATCTTGGCTCACTGCAACCTCCGCCTCTGGGGTTCAAGCCATTCTCCTGCCTCAGCCTCCCGAGTAGCTAGGATTACAGGCGCCCACCACCACGTCCAGCTAATTTTTGTATTTTTGGTAGAGACGGGGTTTCACCATGTTGGCCAGTATGGTCTCGATCTCCTGACCTTGTGATCTGCCCTTCTTGGCCTCCCAAAGTGCTGGGATTACAGGCGTGAGCCACCGCACCCAGCGATTGTTCTTTCATTCATTTATTCATTCAAACACTTCAGGTGGGGAGTGGTCAGACGTGAGGCTACAGGGAGACAGAGCCCAGGGTCTTCCAGGGCTACAGAATTTGGACTTTATCTGAGAGGTATTGGGGAGCCAGCCACAGCAACGTTTTAAGCAGAGGAGTGACAAGTTGAGGTTTGCATGGAGGCAGCTCCCCTGACATAGCACAGAGAATGGCCAGTGGGGTCTGCACCGCCACTGTGAGCCCCACATCATCCTGGTGGGGGATGACAGTGGTCTAGAGGGAAGTGGCAGCAGTGGACATGGAGAGAGTAGAAACATTCTTTTTAAAAAAGATTAATCAACTTTTTAATTTTTTGATTTTTTACTTTTGAGACAGAGTCTCACTCTATTGCCCAGGCTGGAGTGCAGTGGTGCAATCTCGGCTCACTGCAACCTCCGCTTCCTGGATTCAAGCAATTCTCCTGCCTCAGACTCCCAAGTAGCTGGGATTACAGGTGCGCGCCATGTTGCCTGGCTAATTCTCGTATTTTTAGTAGAGACAGGGTTTTACCATATTGGCCAGGCTGGTCTCGAACTCCTGACCTGAGGTGATCCACCCGTCTTGACCTCCCAAAGTGCTGGGATTACAGGCTTGAGCCACCGTGCCTGGCCTCAACTTTTATTTTTTAGAAATTAGCTTTAGAAATTAGTGCAAAGTACAGAGAGTTCCAATATACTTTGTCCTACTTATTGCCAACCTCCCTAGTAAAAAGATCCTTGAAGTTGTATAAGTGATGATCAGGATTTGAGGATTGACCATGGGGGTGGTCACGAAGGAAAAGGAGAAAATGATGGCCAATTCCCTGGTTTGGGCAACTGGTGGTGGCTTCATTGATACAGGGACCATTAGAGGAGGAATGATGGACTTGCGGGGAGATCACACATTCAGTGTAGGGCTTGTAGAGTTGGGGGTACTGATGGGATATGCAGAAGGAGGTCTCCATCCATGTCCCTGGGATGCAGCCACACAGCTGTCCTCTGTGTCAGCAGCATGCTAAGGCTCTTCCTGGCCCGGGGCTTTGGCCTATGCTGCTTCCTCCCCTAGTGAGCCCCGCCCTGCCCCTTGAGCAGATTTCGGTCTCCAGCCATTCCACAGGGCGGCCTTCCCAACACTCCCCTGGACTCTCTCACAGCACCCGAGGGTTTTCCTTCACACTGCAGATCTTGGTTTCTGTTTATCCTGTGTTTATGGCAGTGATGACTTGGTCAATATCCCTCCTTCCTCTCTAGTTCGTAGGCTCCACAAGGACAAGGATCATGTCTTTCTTATTCCTTCCTTTATGCACAGAGCCTAGAACAGTGTCTGGATGCAGAACTATTCCATGAGGATTTGTTGAATACTTGCCTGTGGCATCTCAACTCAGGAAAGCGGTCAGGGCTGGCAGAGTGGACTGCGAGTCATCAGTGGCCAGATGGTGCAGATAGCGATTGTGGCCTGGGGAGTGGGTGGGTTCCCAAGGGAGTGGACAGGACTGTGATGAGAGGGGCCCTGCAGCAGGTCCTGATGGACAGGCAGACAGGCCCATGAGAGGGTGGAGAAGGGGTGAAATTCAGGGAGGGAGATGTTAAGGCCACGCTGTGCTGGAGTGACCATGGCTATCGTTTATTGAGTGCTCATGGGTGCCCTCATGGTGCTGAGCTCTGGATACTCATTAGCTCATTTATTCCTCTAACAACATTGTGAGGAGATTCTAGAAATCCTATGTTATGGCTAAGGAAACTGAGGCACAGAAAGGTTAAGCCAAAGGTCACCCAGCAAGTAAGTGTGAAGTTAGTATCTGGAGCTCCCCCTAATGTAAGTACCGCCTCCATCCTCCTGAATTTTGCCAAACCTGCTGTGTTGGAGACAGTGGAGGTAGAGGGGAGAGGAGTATGGCCTGGAGGGTCTCTGAGCTGGTGGCGGAGGAAGGACTGGGGGTGTCAGCCTCTGGGTGGTCAAGAGGCCAGACCTGGAGGAGCTGGGCTGACGCTGAGCCAGGAGAGCTAAGTGTTAGCTGAGCCATCAAGGTTCCTGGAAGCTAGCATTGAGTCAGGGACCTGAGGCTAGGGATCCAGAGCATGCCAAGCTTGAAGGAACAGCCCATCTTGAAAGCCTGGGGGTCCAAGGCAGGGCAGGAATTCTAACAGCCTCTCCCTTTCTCAAAGGACTTTACAGTTCACAGAGTGCCTTCCTGCCCTTTCTCACTTGGTCCCCTTAGGTCTCTGGCACAGGAAGCAGCAGGCATCCTCACCCACTTTCATGGCAGAGAAAACCAAGCTTGGAGTGGGGTAGCTTGGGATCACACAGCTAGCAAATGATGGAGTGAAGATTCCAGTCCAGGTCTTCTGGCTGCATGTCCAGTGCTCTGTCAGTAAAATCCTGGCTGTTAAGGGCCACCCTGAGACAGAGGCAAACCCCAGTTTACACCCCCCCAGTGCAGGAAGTGGTTTTCGAGGGCAGATGCAGAGCCCGGCATCCGTGGTGGCTGTGATGAATCATCGGAGTGAGAGCTGCAGGTTGTCCCTGGGTCAGCAAACCTGGCTGCTCAGTGAGTAGCTGTGTGATGTTGGACAAGTCACTTTCAGCAGCCCACCACTACCCTCAACCCAACATCCGGTGGGCATCTGGGGCCCAGGAGCCAAAGCTGGTATGAGTGTGAACTCTGGGTGTCATAGCTGCCATCCCTCCTTAGCCTATTCTGAGCTCTGGATTGGATTTGGGAGAGGATTTGATTAGGTCCTAAACAGTGACTCCATTTAGAGGGCCTGGTTCATTTCCTGTGTGCTTACAGCAGATGAGACATGGGCAGAATTAACCTGGTCCAGCCAAGCCAAAGAAGTGATGGATGGGAAAGACACAGACCCCCACCTTGGGAGGGTGGGGCAGTGGCTTCCAGCACTCTAGACCCAAGGCCCTGGGTGAGCAAGCTGGTCTTCCTGGGGCGCCCTGGCTGGATTCTTGTTACTTCAGCTGTTGCAACAGCTGTCTCACTGGGTCCCCAGCTGCCTGTACTTCCTCTATCAGAGCAGTCCCCATGCTCCTTCAAACTAGTTGTCTAACCTCTGTTTTTTCTACTTAACTGAGGGCAGAGATTGTGTCTGACTTGTTCCCTGCCGTCCTCCTAGTACCTACCTCAGTGCTTGGAGAATGCATGAATGTATGCGTGCCCCAGTCCTCCCTGCCATCCACACATCCTGCCCACATTCCCCAGAGCAGCTTTGACACAGCACAGCTCTGCCTGTGGCATTTCGTTGCTCACAGGGCAAATCCCATGCCCACCATGTGTTCTGCAACCTCCCCCTCATCTTTGCCTCCCCTCCTGCCCTAATTTTCTCCTACACTTGCCACCCTCCCACCCCTGGGTTTCTCGGGTTTCCTATAATTGCTCCGGAGCTCCCGTCAAACCACTTCCCACCCCAGCTCTCCCAAGAACAGGGGCCTTACCAAACCTGCACGCAGTCCCTGTTCATACAGACCTGCCTGGGAGCACAGAAAGAACCATGAGCTCTGGGCCCTGTTCGCCAGCATCTGCTGATGTGGGATGCACCCAGGTGCGGGGCCTCAGGCAGCACTCCAGGCTGTTCCTCCTCCTTCTACAGCCCTCTGAGGTCCCCAAACACTTGTGTGTAAGGCTCCAAGGAAACAGGGAGAGACCCTGGGCAGGAGATATGAGTTCTAATCCTGCATCAGCCTCTCATTCTTAGGTAATTCCTTTACCCTCTGGGACCCCAGGTTTCTTATCTCTAAAATAAGACCACTGATAGCTCCCATTGTATCAAAAGCTTTTCCAGGGCCAGGCACTGTGAGGAGACTCAAATAGTCCTGTGAGTCCAGTATGATATCACTGGGCTCAATTCCAGATGAGGAAACGGAGGCTCTGAGGTGTTGAGAGGCTTGGCCAGAGTTGCACAGCTAAAAAGTGGCCCCATTGGGATCAAAATCAGCCTGGCTCGGGTATCTGAGCACATAACCACTGGGCCCTCTGAGAACCCTTCCATCTTGGTTAGTTTCTCGGCTGATCTCTCTGGGTAGGTGCCCTCTGGGGGCAGTACCCCTGCCTGAGTGGCACTTCCCCTCCTGGCTTTGTTTGGTTTGGCCTCGATTTAGAACAGGGTTGGCAGAGGCAGGCTGACTTGCATTTCTGGTTTTGGGTTTGTTGCTGCACTTTCCCCAAGGGGTGGGCGGGCTCTGACTGACAGTCACCACTGGGACAGGCCTGGGCCCCACCCTCACCACCCAGGAAAGGGGAAATGCGGCCCGCTCCCCACTCAGTGCCACTCTGTGCCACTCCGTGCCAGGCCCTGAGGGCACCCGGTTGCTGCTTCCTTCCGTCTTTCCCCAAGGACTATCAGAGGCAGGTGGCTGGGCCAGGGGGTGGGTCGGGGGGAGGTCTGGCCATGTGGTAGGGTGATAGGACTGAGGGGCCCCAGGGAGCTGGCTGCAGGGCAGTTTGTTTCTCCTGATGGAGAATGCTCCCTGGTGGGTGGGGCGATGGGCTGGGGACTGGTTTGTTCATGGGGACAGAGATCAGAAGTGGGCTTGAGAAGAACAGGGCCAGAAGGCCTGGACTCTGGCCCCAGCCTAGCCCCTAATTTGTGCAGGGTGGCTTTGGGCAAGTCACTAAGTCACTGTCTAGACTGGGCCCTCAGCCTTCCTGTCTACCCAATGGAGGGTCTTTCTGTCCACCTGGGAACAGCCTGATAGGACTGAAGCACAGCCCTTAGTTTCCAGATGAGAATTCTGGACTGGAGGCCCTGACATTACAATTGCCAACACTGACTCTGGTGTTTGGCAAAATTTGGTGTATGTGGGAAACACGTGCCTCTGGTTGAGGTCCTTAACTTCAGAATTTCCCTCTAGATCAATGCTTTTTAAAGCACTAACTCCAACACCACCATCTTCTGTAGGAGCTTTCGAGCTTTCCAGCTTTTCCAGCATACGCTCCTGATCTGTTACTCAGGCATGCTGGTTATCCCATTTCATACGTGGACACCTTGAGGCCTAAAGGTTGGTGACTGGCTCTACCTGACACCTCTGTGTGATTCTAGGTTGCCCCTTGCTCCTCTCTGGGCCTCAGCCTTTCTGTCTATGCAGTGGGGATTTCGGATCGCTGTTGTTTCAGAGTCTGAGGCTATGAGGTCTGAGAGGGCCCTTGTGTGGAGTCACCTCTGAGCTGCAGGCAGGATTTCCAGGGCAAGAAGGCCACAGCATCAGCAGGCACCTGTCTTTGGCCTGTGAGCCATAGCCTAAGGCGTGCCCTTCCCGACCTTGGCCAGATCACGCTAGAGTCCTCCAAGGCCTCCCCTCCCTTGCCCAGCCACCTTCTCTGCTCTGCAGGGCTCCACTTTCACTTTCACACTCCCAGGCTGTGGCTCTTACCCGTGCCGAGCTTTCACATCCGCTCACATCTGTGCTCCCAGATGCCAGCGTGACCCCTGACACGTGTGTGCAGCAGCCTGCAGCTGCCCCAAGCCATGGCTGAACACTGACTCCCAGCTGTGGGGCTTCACCATTACAGACTCCCCAGGGCTTCAAAGACTTCTCAGCTTCGAGCATGGCTTTTGGCTGTCAGGGCAGCTGTACAATAGTGGGTAAGTCACCGGCCTTTGGGCTCAGTTTTCTCATCCATCAAATGGACATTAATGATTTCTACAATGAGAGCTCTTAACCCATGTTCTGGGGGTACTTACCCCTGAAGTTTTCTGCCAGTGTGCGCGTGTGCCCGCAGGTGCACACATTCCCAAGCATCTGTTCAGTTCCCGAGTATGGGTGAGGTCTTTCCCTTTCATTAGTTCTCAGCAGCTATGGCTTCTTGAAGACAGAACCTGGGCTCTAAATAAATAGTTCCAGCTCCGGCATTCCTGGTCCTTGACTGGGAGGGGCCCACCCCAGACTTGAGAACTGCCTCCCTGTGTGGTTGTGGCACCATGGACACTCCTGACTTTCTCGGGGCCCCAATCTTCTGGTGACATAGCTGCTATTCAGACTTTCATTAAGAGAAATGTTTTTCTCTTTGCACATGAAATCTACTGTCGAAACTCAGCAAAACCCCCTAGGATCCCGAGGGTTGTGTGTGAGGCAGGAGATGCTGTGTTTTTTGAGGAATCCCTGAGCTTCCTCCAAGCAGTTTAAAAATCCCTGGGTGGGTGATTCTTCAGGGAGGTTCCGTGTGTCTGCGACATCTGGTGAGTCCAGGTGTGGACAATATTTTAAAGTTCCGGTTTCATTCCAGTTTAATAGTTTCAAAAAGATACTTAAGCGTTCAGAGCACATTCTTGTTTGAATGACTCATTAGGATTTTTTAAACTTGAGTTCAGGTAGAAGACACCCTGGGCTGGGTTCAGTGACTGCCCTGGCTTGGTTCTGGTCCATAAGCAGAGACTGCCTGGTTCTCCTTTATCCCCAGAGGCAACTTTGACCCTGTTTCCTTTTCTGTAAAATGGGGACAGTGATGCTTCTTTTATAGGGTTGTCGGGAAGGCCACATAAGAGAGTGGGGTCAAGCTGGCCTGGCACCTGCCAAAGCAGGAGCTAGATAGATAGTGGTTATCTCTCCCTCTTCTCCTATAAATGACCAGCTGTGTTTTTGATGGAGCAGAAAGTTCAAGCAAGAAGACAGGGTGAGAATTGTTACCCAGCTAAGTCAAAGGGGCTTTGGGGGTTCCATCTGGCACCTCAGCTTTCAGACTGGGGGCCCGGGGTTCAGGCCACTGCCTGATTTCATGTCAGCTCATGCATGGTGTCTGGCATCTTGGAGCCTCCTCTTCTGAACTGTTCTTGTTTTCTTTTTGTTTCCCAGATGTTTGAGACGGAGGCAGATGAGAAGAGGGAGATGGCCTTGGAGGAAGGGAAGGGGCCTGGTGCCGAGGATTCCCCACCCAGCAAGGAGCCCTCTCCTGGCCAGGAGCTTCCTCCAGGACAAGACCTTCCACCCAACAAGGACTCCCCTTCTGGGCAGGAACCCGCTCCCAGCCAAGAACCACTGTCCAGCAAAGACTCAGCTACCTCTGAAGGATCCCCTCCAGGCCCAGATGCTCCGCCCAGCAAGGATGTGCCACCATGCCAGGAACCCCCTCCAGCCCAAGACCTCTCACCCTGCCAGGACCTACCTGCTGGTCAAGAACCCCTGCCTCACCAGGACCCTCTACTCACCAAAGACCTCCCTGCCATCCAGGAATCCCCCACCCGGGACCTTCCACCCTGTCAAGATCTGCCTCCTAGCCAGGTCTCCCTGCCAGCCAAGGCCCTTACTGAGGACACCATGAGCTCCGGGGACCTACTAGCAGCTACTGGGGACCCACCTGCGGCCCCCAGGCCAGCCTTCGTGATCCCTGAGGTCCGGCTGGATAGCACCTACAGCCAGAAGGCAGGGGCAGAGCAGGGCTGCTCGGGAGATGAGGAGGATGCAGAAGAGGCCGAGGAGGTGGAGGAGGGGGAGGAAGGGGAGGAGGACGAGGATGAGGACACCAGCGATGACAACTACGGAGAGCGCAGTGAGGCCAAGCGCAGCAGCATGATCGAGACGGGCCAGGGGGCTGAGGGTGGCCTCTCACTGCGTGTGCAGAACTCGCTGCGGCGCCGGACGCACAGCGAGGGCAGCCTGCTGCAGGAGCCCCGAGGGCCCTGCTTTGCCTCCGACACCACCTTGCACTGCTCAGACGGTGAGGGCGCCGCCTCCACCTGGGGCATGCCTTCGCCCAGCACCCTCAAGAAAGAGCTGGGCCGCAATGGTGGCTCCATGCACCACCTTTCCCTCTTCTTCACAGGACACAGGAAGGTGAGAAAGCTAAAGGGGGAGGGAGAAGGATACATGCAATGTGGGGAGGGCTGGCCCAGGGGCTGCAGGGAATGAGAAGTCACCATGTTCCACCCCCACTATCCTGGCAGCCTCCCAGCGAACTTTCCACCTGTTGGACAGAAGATAAAACTGAGGCCCAATGGGACCAAGAAGGCAGAGCATGGACTTAAACACATGACTTTAGGATTCCAGATGCTGTGTTCTTATAGCTCCACTGGTCCCCACAGAAAGCAGAGCAGGTGTAGCTTAGCCCAGGCCATTGTGTATTTGGATTTAAAAGATCTGAGATAGTAGCTGGAGAAATAGAGTTACAGCCTAGCCAGACTAGAAATCCATCAGCCAGTCACAATGACAACACACATTTATTCCGTGTCCACATTATCCTAAGCAGTTTACATTAACTCATTAACTCTCACAACAGCCCTTTGAAGTAGATAGTATTTTTGTGCCCATTTTACAGCAGAGGAAACCGAGGCAAAGAGAGGTTATCTAACTTGCTCCAGGTTACACAGTGTATCAGTGTCTGAACTAGAATTAGAATCTGGTTCCAGGGCCAGTGCTCTTAACCAACCACCACACCGTTTGCCTCTCGTGAATATTTATATGTAGATGAATAAGTATTTATGGATTTCCTGCTGTGTACCAGGCCCTGCGCTCTGCAACATGGCAGGAGCCACAGAAGTGTGTGAGGCTGGTCTCAACCTGAGAGAAATAAGTTAACTGTGTGAGCCTTGAAAGTGGCCTAACAGTGAACAGATTGCGCCATGATCTTGAAGCCTACCAGCTAGTTTGGGTCTGGGCTCTGTTTCTTACTATGTGGCTTTGGTTGAGTCACTCAACTCCTCTGAGCCATAGTTTTCTTCTCTGAAAAGTAGGGGTTAATAGCACTCACATCCCAGAATGGTTGAGGATGAATGGAAGAGGCTGGTGCCTGATAACACTAGCCGCTTGAGAGGCGGCCCTCAGGGAATGCTGGGCCCCACTCCTTCTCTTGAAATGCAACAGCCAGTGCAAGGTGTTGGTGTGAGGCTAGGTGAGTAGGGGTGCTCAGTGCCCATGGAGCACAACTGACTCAGAGATCTAGAACTTCAGGAGGACAGACCCCAGGGCCTAAAGCCATCAGGGAAAGCTTCTGGAGGAAGATACCTCTCAGCTTGGCCTTGAAGGATGAACAGGATTAGAATAAACAGAGAGGTAGAGGCAAGCATTCTTTGGCTAGAGCAGAGCATTCCTAAAGGGCAGATGCCTGGCACAGGTGCTGCTATTCCTCCCTCCAACCCATGGCAGACATCATTAATGGATTCCAGCATACTTCCTCACCAAGTTGGGACATGTCCTCAGAAGCCTGCTTAGCTTCTTAGCCACTAGCAAGAAGGCAGACTTACCTTCTGGGGAGATGCCTTCTGCTGAAAGCTAGTCATTCTGACAGGGCAGGCTGGGGCCCTCCAGAAAAGGGTCTTGAACTTTGGCCTTGGAACTAAATCTCCGTTTCCTCATCTGTAAGCGTGTGTGGTTCTCACACTGTGGTGTGCTCCGGAATCACCAAGGGGAGGTAATTAATATGTGATTCCTAGTCCCCATACCCAGAACTCTGGAATCAGAATCTCTAGGGGTGGTGCCCAGACCCTATATTTTAAACATGCCCCGAGGGATCATGATCTTGCCAAAGTTTGAATATCACCATCTTAGGCCATTTCTTGATGGTTTCTACAGGAGAGAGTCCGGAACGCTGTCCTTCCAAGGCAAGGCCTCAGGCTCATTCAGATCAGGCCTGGCCACTCCTCTTTGGAGGGCGGTTGAGGCCCACCTGCCTTGGGCTTCCCAATCCTGATTCCCCCACTACACCCTTCCCAGTTCTATTCCCCTCACCACACTTGCTCCAATAAAACTATTTATATACAGATAAATTCACACACATTCATATGTATGCATTTATCTAATTCCCCAGCTCAGTTGACCTCGGCTCCTATTTTGGGACACATACTCCTGCCTGGGAGTCTAGCAGGCCTGGACCAGCTCTCTCTTGTCTCAGCTTCCTCCTTTGGGTGCCCAAGGTTCCCACTGGCACCCTCCCCTGTCCCACCAACTTTTAGCCGGTCACTTCCTTTCTTGGGTTTGAGTGGCTGAGCTGGCAGAGACATCAGAGGCTGCCCCCAGCCTGGTGGTGGCCACCCTTCCATGTGGCTTCCACACACCAGTTCCTGAGCCCTTTGCCATTCACATCCTGCCCTCTTCCACCAGTAGCTTCAGTAGGAAACTTGTCAAGAGGAGATGAAGCCCCGGATGGGACAAACACCGTGGTCTAGCTCCATCTCTTACTGGTACTGGGCCTTGGGCAAGTCCCTGCCCCTCTGTGAGCCACAGTTTCCTCCTTGGTGAAATGGGTATGGTAATAATGCCTCCTTCCTAGGGTTGCTGGGAAAATTAAATAGCTTAACACAGGTAAAACATTTAGGGCAGTACCTGGCGCTCAGCACCTGGTGGGTGCTGCATAAATGGTAATCATGTTATGTGGAGGGGGAGGGGGAGAAGAGCAGTAACCAGGGTAGTACTGGCTGTGCCGCCATTCGAAGTACCACCAGACCCCATTTCTCACCTTCCTGACACTGCTGCAAAGTGGACAGGCACTTGGCTTACAGTGGGAGGCTGAGGCTAGTGAGAGATATTTTGTCCCCAGCCACACAGCAGCAAGTGATGATGGCACTGGACAAGGCCTCACCATTGTCTAGTCAGTCCTCTGTGGCTCTGCCCTAGACTCTGAGACCTCATGCTGATGAGGGGCCGGGGGTGGGGGACTGGCAGAGGGACAGTGGCAGGTTCCCCCATGACTTCTATCTTCCTGGCTTTGGCCTGGCTCTTCTGGGAGGGTCCCCTGATGCTGATGGGCCACTATTCCTAGGCAATGCCAGGCAAGAGGTGAAGAGGGGAGGGGTGAAGTGTTCAGGCTGTGGAGTCAGACAGACCCAGGTTCAAGTCTCAGCTCTGCCTCCTCCTCCCTGGCTCTGAGACCTTGGCCAAGTTGCTTCTTTCTCTGAGCTTCGGTTTTCTCTTATTAATGGAACACGGAGTCCCCCGGGAGTTGTCCCAAGGGTTCCAGGGCGCAGTACGTAGAAAGCTTGGGCTGGTCATTTGTGCTGCTGTGCGGATAAGCTGAGGCTGCCCAGAGTACATGCTGCCTGCCACAGGGTGACATTCAGTCTCGACGTTGTCTCCGGTCCACACCCCTGTTATCCTGCCCTCTTATGTGCTGAGCAATTTCTACTGTGAGTAGGAATGTCAGAACAGGCAGACCTCAGAGATAGTCTGCTCGACCATGGTGATCTCACAGATGGGCTGACTGAGTCCAGAGAGGGAGAGCCCCCTGCCCCCACTCCCCGCCATGGTTCTCCAGCTGGCCATCCCCTGGGTGTGGCGCCCTGTGCTGAGTTGAGTGGTCTCATGGTGCCCCCTGCCGCCAGACCCCTGCCTTCCTGGCTGCTCCCTGGAGGCCCTGCAGAGCAGATCACAGGCCTTCTTCCTGGGGAGTCAAGGAAGCCCCGGAGAATAATTGTGTTTGGGTCCAGGATGCTGCCATTGAATTCTAGTCCAGCCTATCTGGCTCAGCACAGAGGGTCATGGGCTATTCTTTGACAGTGAGGAGACCACAGGCTGCAGCCCTTCCCTGGCCCTGCTTCCTTCCTCCCCTGCAGGGGACTGGCCTGGGCAGAGGTGGTCCACAGAGGGTGCCAGCCCTGTTTCACTAAGCTCCCACGTAGGTCAGAGATCAGACGAGAGGACCCCAAAAATGCCTTCCAGCTCCAAGACGATAATACCTTCAAGCCTCCTATTTTTAAAAAGCCTAAAGAATTATTTCGGATGTGTAAACAAGTAAGTATAGAGTTTAAATCCACTGTTTCCACGTGGTTCCATGGGGCCTGCCAGCCTGGGCTGGATCGGAGAGGGCAGCCATGGATGGCCAGGGAGCCCCAGAAGTCCGACCAGGACCAATAGGGAAACCAGCTGAGCCCTGCTCACAGACGAGCGCTCAGTCACTAGTGGGCTCTGGACCCAGACCACAGTTCTCTGCTACTTGTTAGTTCAGAGAGCCCAGGCCAGTTATCAAACTGCCCTGGGCATCTGTTTCCTCAGCTGCACACTGAGGGGAAATATCAGTAACTAGCTCTTAGAATCGTTGCCAAGATTAAATGAGATAAAGTATGTTAAAACACTTTGGCCCGGCACCTGACATGTAGTGAACGCTCAATAAATAATGGCAAAACCCATGCTAGCTGAGAGTACTTGCTCACTGCTGTGTGTTGGGCGCTGTGCTGAGCACGTCCCCGTGTTAACTTACATAATCCTCACCACAGCCCTTTGAGGGAAGTCCGGTTATTACCCGCATTTTACAAATAAGGAAACTGAGGCACAGAGAGGGATGTAACTGAGCTAAGGTCAATGAGCTAATAAATGATTGAGCTAAGCTTCAAATCCAGGCAATTAAAAATCTACACTCTTAATCATTACTATAATTACAGTTATAATTACAGTAAGAATTATAATTATTGTTCCAAGAGGTGGTGAGCTCCTAGTCCCTGGAGGTGGCTGGATGAGGCTGGGCAGGGCCCAGGGATTCTGCCTGGAGTGAAGGAAGGGCTGTATGGTCCTGGACTCACCTCCATCTGCTTTTCAGCTGGACAAGGTCACATAGTGAGACAGTGGGGAGAAGATGGAAAGGAGAATCCCTTTGGAGGGCCTTTGCAGACTAGGCCCTGGGCAGGCATTGATGCAGCTGTGGGAGGGGAGGGAAGAGTCTGAGGAGCCACTCTGGCCCCCTCCAAGGTCAGAGGCCAAAGCCTCCCTGCAGCTATGGTGAGTCCCTAGGGCTGGGAATCAGAACCCGATTTTTTCACCTCAATTTCTCCTTGGCTCACAGGCTCTTTTTGGTGCTGGGGTTTCCCCAGCAGCCCAGGGGGCTGACTCCTAGGGCCAGAGCTGCCCAGCCCCTCTGTCAGGCTGCTAGGCTTGGGTCAGTCCCTGCTGAAGACACTCTCCTCCCCACAGTGGAAGGAAGAGCCCATTTCCCAGCAGCGCAGAGGCTGAGGATGGCGGCTGGGTGGGAGTGGTCCCCAGGCCCATTGTGTGGAGCCGATAAAGTACGGAAGCTGAGGTTAGAATGGGAGGAAGCCCAGGGCCCGAGGGCTCTTTCCCACGGGTGGGGGCCTTGGGCATGGCCTTGCCAGGCCAGCATGAGTGCAGCCTGTATGTGCACTGAAGGGTGCCCTGAATGGTGACAGTGGTAACACTCACTGGGCAATGACCACTGGTTACTGAGGTTAGCGTGGGTGCCAGGACTGGGCCTTGGGGTCCAGAGTTTATCCTGGTGAACCTTCCATCAGCCCTGTGAAGTGGCTGTCACTATGCCTAAGCCATAGCTAAAAAAATGGAAGCCGAGAGGCTAGGAAACTTACCCAAAGTTGGTGAAAGCAGGATTTATATCCAGGTCTGGTTCCAAACACTTGCTCTGAAATCACACACCATACGGTGTGTGCCTCTGTGTGCACGTACACACATGTATGTTTACAACTCTGGTGGGGCAGCATTCTCAGGAAGGAGGCAGCACTTCCCGAGTCTTTCACAGGAAACATTAAAATGTGTTCTGACCTTGCATTTTTGAGTAGCAGCATCCTCTGGTGGAGAAACACAGGCCTTGAATTGAGGCAGATTCCAGCTCTGTCACTTACATGCTGGGTCTCCTTGGGGAAGTGACTTAAATTCTCTGAGCCTCTATTTACTTTATAGGTTTATTGTGAGGTTTAATGAGATAGTATCTGAATTATGCCCCATCCAGGGTCTGGCCTATAGTATGAGCTAAATGAAGGTGTAATTCATCCATCCATCCACTCATCCACTCCTTCATCCATCCACCCACCCACCCACCCATCCATCTATTCACCCATGCATTCATCTACCATCCACCCACCCACCCACCCATCCATCTATTCACCCATGCATTCATATATCCATCCACTCATCCATCCATCCACCCATCCATCCATCTATCCACCCACCCACCCATATATTCATCCATCCATCCATCCATCCACTCATCTATCCATCCACCTATCCACATATCCATCCATCCATCCATCCATCCATCCATCCATCCATCCATCCATGCAGGTGGGAGACTCACAAAAGCATCCCCCGAGGAAGGAATTGCACATGGAGATGAAGACCTTCTGTTGGTTGGAAGGCAGAGTTGAGGAGGTTGCTGAAGTAGGGGCCAGGCTGGAGAGATAACTGAAGGAATAACTGAATGGAACTTTCTGCCCTGATCCTAAGATGGTAGATCCAGTCGTGTTACGGAGTTTGAATGTTATCCCGAGGGCACTAGGGAGCCATGGAAAGCTATAAGGCAAGAGAGGTGCACTCAGGCCTGTGTAATGATTTATTTTATACACTGCTGACCATCTCAGGTCTCCTTTGAACTTCAGAATCCTGACTTAATCATTATGATCCTGATTTTAGAAATTAAGGAATAGAGGCTTAGAGAGGGGCAGGGATTGGCCTAGTGACACAGCAGAAGCCCTGCCCTCTCACCTGCTCACTGCCTGCAATGAAGCCTCTGTCCTGAGTGCCAGCCGTCTGGCTTCTCCCCAGTGAGCTGGGGACCTGACTGTCCCAGGAGGAGATCCCTGTGGCCGGAGAGTCTGCCAGGCCGATTCCACTTCATGGCCAGGCTGTTCCCAGCAGTGGGGTTTCCCTCCCTCACCTGTGTGCCGCGGGTGGGGGCTTTGGGGATGGAAGGGGCTGGTGGCAGGGAATGTTGGGTCTCTGAGCCTCTGTTTACTTAGGCAGGAGTTCCTGGGTGCCCAGACTGCATCGTGTCTGTCTTCTCTCCGCAGATGAGCGGGGCTGACACCGTTGGGGATGATGACGAAGCCTCCCGGAAGAGAAAGAGCAAAAACCTGTACGTTGGGAAGATCCCTGGCTTCTGCGCTCCTCTTCCTCCCTTGCCCCAGGGCTTGTCTCTCCTCTAGGGGTCCAGGTGGGGAGAAGAGGTTGTGCCTGGTCCCGCCCACAACCCCAGACAGACACCAAGGAAAAACTGGATCTTGGAACTTTGCAGTGACCCCAAAGTGGGGTCACCTGGGTCCTGAGCATTCTCTCCAAGTGAGGCAAAGTGCTGATTCAGTACCCGGAAGCCACAGTGAACCAGAAGCAACCAGCCCGTTTGCCCTGGCTTTAGCCCAGCTTCTGAGCCAAGCAGGGACCAAGTGACTTCAACAACTCCTTTGCTCCCTCTGGGCCCAAGAGTGACCTGAGAAGGGGTGGAACTGACAGTCATTGGCTCCTCTTTCTCTTCCTGAGCTCCTGAATGCTAATAGTCTCAGGCATTGCCAGGAGGGGGCGCTGCTGGCCCAGCTGCCGAATCCCGCACTCGCCAAGCCTTTCTGGCCACACTCAGGCCTTCTTATACTATAGGGTGTTTGTTAGAGGTGTCAATGAAAAAGATGTGTGTGTGGGTTCTCAGGTCTTCTTCTACCCCCAGGCCTAAGACCCTGGAGACTCGGGGGAGGTATAGGGAGGAGGCAGTGGGGTGCATGCACAGTGACACCTCCAGAGGAAGCCCCTCCCCACCAGGTCCTGTAGCACCCACCACTAGGCAGGAATTGGGCTATAGGGAGGAGCCTCCTGCAACCCTCTTCTCTGGCCTTGACCGTGGGTGGGGTCCACTACCCTAGAAAGCCTTCCTCACCCCAGCTGCCTTGACCTCTCCAGCTTTCTGCAGCAACTGTTGGCTTCTCTTACTCCACAGCCAATTGCATTTTCTTAGCAAGGTGAAATGCATAAACCAAAACAGTCCCTTGCACCAACCATCTTCACTTAACCTTTTGTAGGATGAGAGAGGATCCAGGGGGTGCCAGGACTGTTGAATGTGGTGCTGGAAGTGGGAGGTGTAGGGAAGCAGTGTGTGGCGCAGAGGGCAGGCATCCCGGGTGCTGGAGCAGCCCTGTCTAGCCTCCTTTCAATGTAGGTGCTGCCTTTTGAATTGCCTGAAGCCCACACTTTTTTTTTTTGGAGACAGAGTCTCCTTCTGTCACCCAGGCTGGAGTGCGATCTTGGCTTGCTGCAACCTCCGCCTCCCAAGTTCAAGCAGTTCTTGTCCCTCAGCCTCCCAAGTAGCTGCGATTACAGGTGTGTGCCATCACACCCAGCAAATTTTTTTTGTACTTTTAGTAGAGATGGGGGTTTTGCCATGTTGGCCAGGCTGTTCTCAAACTCCTGGCCTCAAGTGATCTTCCCGCCTCGGCCTCCCAAAGTGCTGGGATTACAGACATGAGCCACCATGCCTGGCCTCTGAAGGTCATACTCTTAAAAGCTTAGACGAAGAGTCTTAGAACATCTACGGTAATAATAAGAATAACCATTAATGTTTATTATGCCCCGCACTGTTCTGTGTGTATTTCATATGTAATCTAATTTAATCTTTACCACTACTTTTATTTTCCGTTCTGTTCTTTCTTATTGACCTTACCCTTATTTTACACGTGAATAAACTACTGTGCAAAGAGGCTAAGTTACATGGCAAGAAAGTGGTGGGGTTGGGACCTGGAGACCTGGCCTGCTGGCTTCTGTTTGAGGAAACAGCTTGACAGAGAAAAAACCTTGATAGGAAACTTGAGAGATCAGGAAACGTGTCAAAGGGCACACAGCTGGTAACTGCTGGAGCTGGGATTTGAACCCAAGACTAGCTCCAGAGCCTGGGATCAGCCTCCCCTGCAGGACTCTCCTTCATTAGACAGGGTGTCTAGGTCTTAGTGCCATTTTAAGCTTGAATAGCATCAGAAGTATAAATGCTTCAAACTTACCAAACCCCCTTGAAAGTTTAATTATTAAATTTCTTTTGCACGTCTTTAGTTATGTGATTTTTGAATAATCAATTTTTCATTTTCATTTTTGGTTTGAGTCAGCATTTTCCATCTTTGGGAGGATGGAGACCAAAACTTAAAGTGAAACATTTATTATTCGAAAATCACAAAACCATGCACACAACATTAAATAATTAAACTTTAAAATGGTGTTTTTGTAAGTTTATAGGACTTGTACTTCTGAAGTTATTCAGGCTTAAAACTACTAAGATGTTGGGGTCCTGCTGTATATTCATGACTGGATGTCGCCAATGCAGGTGACTGAGGCTGAGAGGCCGGCTGGCAGGAGCCATTCTCTGGGAGGTGCCCTGTACAGGGGGTCTAGGGAAAAGAGGGGCGAACATGAGCAAGAGGCATTTAACTCCTTTCTTGCCAGCAGTTTCACCCAGTGCTGAATTCTGCTGCCTCCTTGGGGACCGGCAAGGCTAAAAATGGTTCTTGGCTAAAAATAGCCAGTCCTGCCACCCCGGTGGTGGGCAGTGCCTCCCCTGGCTCCCTCCTTCCCTTTCAGCAATTTGCTGACTTGTCCCCCACCCCCCACCACTGTCTCCCTGCTGCCATGGTAACGAGGAGGCCAGTCACAAATAGCTGGGACTGGCTTCCTGCCGGGGCGGCCCCAGAGGCTGTCCCTTGCAGACACATGCCCCTTTCACGGCTCCCTCTCAGGGTTGGCCAGAAGGAATTTTTTTTTCCGCTCCCCCTCCTGGTCCCTCCCATTTCCTGGCTCCTCCTGTCTGAGTCCCAGCCCCGGCTTGTGCCTGGGAGTCCAGTCATCAGGCCAGGATTCCAGAGAGCGTGTGTGGCTGCAGCCTGCACCGTTGCTGCCCGCTGCCCAGGACGCGGGGTGGGGGACAGGAGCCAGAGTGGTGCCTCCTACAGACCAATCTGCGGCCCCAAGGTGGGGGGCCCTACAGAGATGCTCCGAGGCATGTACCTCACTCGCAACGGGAACCTGCAGAGGCGACACACGATGAAGGAGTAGGTGCCCTCGACCCAGCTCTCCCGACTCTGGATTTGCAGGGGCGAGTGGGCCAGGCTGAGCAACCCTCTTTTCTGCTTCTGTCCCCAGAGCCAAGGACATGAAGAACAAGCTGGGGATCTTCAGACGGCGGAATGAGTCCCCTGGAGCCCCTCCCGCGGGCAAGGCAGACAAAATGATGAAGTCATTCAAGTAGGTCCTCCCTGGCACCCTGGGACCCTTTGGGGAACTCACTGGCTCCCCGGGGAGTAGGACTGAGTGGTAGGGTTGAGGGGAAGGGGCTTGCCGGCTTGATCCAGCTCTGGGGGAGACAGGCTTTCACAGAGGGAGCTGGGTACCTGGCAAGCAGCTACCCTCACAGGGAGCAGCTGCCCTAGGGGGAAGGCTAGGTGGGGTGGAGATGGGGGCTGGAAGGGACCCTGGCCCCGGGAAAGAGGGTGGGCCTCCTTCCTGGGCGCCCCAGCTGGGCTCAGCTGCAGACTGGGCCCAGGGCAGTAAACAAAGGCCGCCTGGCCCAGCTTCCCCCAAGGTTCCCAAGCCTCTCAGTGCCCTCACTGTGTTTCCTCCCTCACCCCTCAGGCCCACCTCAGAGGAAGCCCTCAAGTGGGGCGAGTCCTTGGAGAAGCTGCTGGTTCACAAATGTAAGTTGGGCCTGCCTGCCCACTCCCTGTGCCCTCTCTCCCTCTCCCCTTCGCCCCCATCCAGACCCTGTGTAGCTGGTGCTAGAGAGGCCGCCTTCCCTCTCCTCGGCCGTCAGGGTGTCCTTGCTGTTGCGGAGGGGCTGAGCCCAAGCTGAGGCCCTTGGTCTGGCCTTGGAGCCAGCTTCTGCCAGCCCCTCCCCGTCCATGTGAGCTGGCACTGCCTGCCGGAGGCCCGTGGGACCTGTGTGCTCAGATCCATATTCCCAGAATAAGAATAAACATTTCTACGTACTGAGGGCTTTCACGGCGCCAAATGTGCCTGCCATCTCATGGGCAGGGTCCCATCGGCTCCTCCCAGGGCTCCGGGAGACAGAATCGATAGTCCCCATTTCACAGATGAAGACACTGAGGCATAGAGAGGGGGAGACCCCACTGAGACCCTGAAAGAGGCAGTGGCAGGGCTGGGGCCACATCCCAGGGCTCCTGGCTGTCGGGGACGGGCATTGTACTCAGCTCCCAGCACGCCCATCTTTAAAGTCCTGTAGGGGTAAGCTGAGGCATCTTAAGGGCAGGAGAGGCTGAGTTTGCCTCTTACCCCAGGATCCGTTCTCCTCACAGACGGGTTAGCAGTGTTCCAAGCCTTCCTTCGCACTGAGTTCAGTGAGGAGAATCTGGAGTTCTGGTTGGCTTGTGAGGACTTCAAGAAGGTCAAGTCACAGTCCAAGATGGCATCCAAGGCCAAGAAGATCTTTGCTGAATACATCGCGATCCAGGCATGCAAGGAGGTAGGACCTCAGGGCAGACCCTCCGCTCCTCCAATCCCCAGGGCCCAGTGGCCCTTCAGCTGCAAGGTGGCAGCCAGCAGCACAGGAAGGGGAGAGGCCAGAATGACTCCATGAGCCCAGGTACCCAGCAGGGAAGATGCAAGCTAGGATCAGGGGAAGAACAGAATCCCAGTTAGTAATAAAAATGGCCACCACCAAGGCACTGCCGCATGCCAGGCATGTGCTGAGCCCTTTATGTATGCGTTCTCATGTTTAATCCACACAACAACCTGTGAAACGAAGAGACAGGCTGGGCACAGTGGCTCATGCCTGTAATCCCAGCACTTTGGGAAGCCGAGCCAGGCGGATCACTTGAGGTCAGGAGTTCGAGACCAGCCTGGCCAACAGGGCGAAACCCCATCTCTACTAAAATTACAAAATTAGCCAGGTGTGGTGATGGGCGCCTGTGGTCCCAGCTACTCGGGAGGCTGAGGCAGGATAATCGCTTGAACCCGGGAGGCGGAGGTTGCAGTGAGCCGAGATCGCACCACTGCACTCCAGCCTGAGTGACAGAGACAAATCATAATTGCTCCCATCTATTGAGTGCCTACTGTGTGCCAGGCACTATGCGCAAAGCACATTATATGGATGATCTTGCTTGGTTTTCACGCTTTGAGGAATGTACTATTATTCCTAGCTGGTAGATAAGACAACTGAAGCTCACCGCACTTAAGTAATTTGCTTCAAGTCACACACCCAGGTGTGGCACTGCTAGGATTTGAACCCAGGAAGCCTAACCCTCAGGGTGGTATTTTCAGCCTTATAAATGCTGCCAGCCCTACAGGAAATGACTGAGCCAGGACTTGAATCCTCTGGTCTGAGGGTCTCTACTTCAGATGAACCTTAAGATGTGGGGCAAAGGGGCTTGGAGGTGAGAGGCTGGATGGGTCCCTTCCAGGCACATGGGCCCTAGGGTCAGTCCCCAGCAGGCAGCCCTGACCATGTCCCCCTCTGCCTCCCCAGGTCAACCTGGACTCCTACACGCGGGAGCACACCAAGGACAACCTGCAGAGCGTCACGCGGGGCTGCTTCGACCTGGCACAGAAGCGCATCTTCGGGCTCATGGAAAAGGACTCGTACCCTCGCTTTCTCCGTTCTGACCTCTACCTGGACCTTATTAACCAGAAGAAGATGAGTCCCCCGCTTTAGGGGCCACTGGAGTCGAGCTCAGCGTTCACACCAGGCGGGCTGGGTCCCCTGCCCACCTGCCTCCCTGCCCCCTGTGACGGAGGGGGCAAGCAAGCCCCCAGAGGCTGTGTCTCTGGACAGACGGATAGACATACGGAAGCGAGGCCTGGACCAAGAGAGGCCCAGGCTACTGGAGGAGTAGAAGGATGGGCCCCGTGGGGTCCCCACTGCCCCGGTACGAGGGGGCCCAAGACCCTGGCAGGTCAGGGGCCCTGGCCAAGCCAGATCTGGAGCTGCTGCTCCCTGCTGCGGAGACCGCGGAGGCTTCGCGTTGACCAAGTTCCTTAAAGAACTGGCTGATGGGGCAGGAGGTCCAGGCCTGGGCTCTCGGGCCCTCCTAGAGGGCCATTGGAGCTTGCAGCTCAGACCCCCACTTTGAGTTTTATTTATTTAAATAGTAGTTGGATGCTTGGCACGTCGTCCTGTAATAGGAAACCCTTGCCTCATCAGTTTTCCTGATTTACAAGTGCAATATTTTAGCCAATGCCTTGGGAGAAGCTGCCATGCAAAGGTGGACACCATTCTCCAGCTTCAGGGGATATGCTCGTCCCGGGCACCGGTGGCAGGCAGCTGGCCTTCTGGACTAAGGCAGCCTGGGGGGACACTGCAGTCTGGCTACACACAGAGATCTGGCACCCCCTGGGTGGAGTGTCCCTCGGGGGCTTTGGGAAAGCATGGCACCCTCAGACCACACAGTAGCCAAGTTCTGGAGCAAATAAAAGGCCTGTGTTATTTCTTGTTCTTGACCCTTTTTGTGTGTTCCTGGTCTTGAGCCTTCCCAGGGTGGCTGGGGCTGGGAGGGTTGGTCGTTGGGCTGTTGATTCAGCCACTGCTCTCTTGCCATCACCTGCCCCCATCCTGGAGCCCGATACACTGATACACTGGTGAGGGCTGCTCTCCCATGCCTTCCTCTGTGCCAGGCACTGTGCCACTCATCCTAGTGGTCACTGCATCTCCTCCCCAAGCCTGGGAGGTAGGGCTTATCCCCATTTTACAGATGAGGAGATGGAAGCACAGACAGGGAAGGTCACGTAGCCAGCAGGTGGCAGGGGTTCAGCCCAAGTCTGACTGTCTGCAAAGCCTGGGCTCTGCCGGCTACAGGATGGAGTCCTTGCTTATCGCCAGCTGGCCACATGTCTTTCAGCAAGTTCCTTCAATTCTCTGCCTCGCCACACCCTGAGGTTTGAATAGAACTTTCACGTGGTGCAGGGATGGCTGGTGAAGGTAGACGGGGCCAGAATCTCAGGAAGGGTGGTGGTGGGCTTATGGAGGCCTCTGGGCAGAAGGAACAGCTGTGGAGACAGGAGATAGGACTCACAGAGTCTTTCTGTGGCCCTGGGTAAGGCTTTCCCCACTGTGCCTTTGTTTCCCCTCCTACCTAACAGAAGATGCGAGTTTAGGAAAGGCCCAGGGCATCCTTCAAGGGAGGACCTGGGCCACTTGCCTAGAAGTGGGCAGAAGAGGCCCAGAGTCCAGGCCAAGCTGAAGGCAAAGCTGACCCCACATATATAACCTCCCAGGGGCCAGGGCATGGCCCAGGGTGGGGTCTGGCTCAGCAGGGCTGTCTTAGATTAAGCTAGATGGAGTTGATGCAGGAGGAGCTGGGCCCCGTCTCCTTGGATCTTGTTCCCTGCCTGGGGTCCTGCAGACTTGGAGCTGCAGACGACATGGGGCTGTACAGCTCCCTCCTCCCTGCCTCCCCTTACTCATCTCCCTGGGCAAGGCCAGCCCTGTTGGCCCCTCTGCACAGTGAGAGGATCAGAATTGTTGGTCTCTGGAGGCCTTCAGGGAGTTGGACTGAGCCCTCTTCAGGGTTACAGGGGACTAGAGCCAGGGCCTGGGTGTGGAGCAGAAGCTGAGCAGGGCTTCATCAGGAGGAAGAGGTGGGCTGTCTGACTGCCGCTCTGACCACACCTGACTTTTCCTGCCCCGCTTGCAAATGGGACCCCTAATGCTTGCTCACCCTTGAAACCCATTTGGAAGAATCTTCTGTGCAACAACAGTAGCCTAGGTCAGCAGAGAACCCCCTTCCCTCTGCTCCCCGGCAGCCGTGGCCTCTCCTTGACTAGCCCGTACTGAGTCAGGCATGGGTTTTTCTGTCTCCAAAGGCTTTGGAATCAGGCAATCCTGGGTTTGAGTCTTGTCTTTGCTACTGACTTGCTCTGTAACCTTGGCAAGTCACTGCCCATCCCTGAGCCTGCAAAAATGGGGATGATTCTATTGTCTTCTCAGTGCTGGGATGAACAGCCAGTGAGCCAGTTCTGCAGAAAGGTCCTAACCTGGGGCCAGGTATACCGTAGGTGCTTGATACATGTTGGCACCAGAGGGTGAGCCCCTCCAGGAGTGGTGCTGGGTCTTTCTCCAGGACCTGGCAATGAGTGTCATTGGGCTTTATAAACTGTGAAGAGCTTTCCCACTGTAGAGATTCAGTGTCTCACAGAGGCTGGAAGGGCCTGGGAAGAGTCGTGCTTCTAATTCTGAACAAGGGCACCTTCCAGGTTTTTTCCAGGCCTGAGATTTGGGGACCTGACAGCTGGGAAAACTGGGGCCCAGGGAAGACTATAATACTACTCCCTACTCCCCCAAAATGGTAGAGGCAGTACTGGGTCTGAGCCCAGGACTTCCCTGCCTGACCTGGCCTCTCTCGCATCTTCTGCTGGGAGGAGCCACTGGGTCCACAAGGAGACCCACCTTTCCAGTTCTTTATATTCTAGGGATTCAGTTTAGGGCCAGGCCTTCCCTCTTCCACCTTCCCAACCTCCTGGTTCCCAGAGTTGCCATGGAAACCAAAGTCCGGGAGAACAAAGTCAGGCAGATGGAATTCCCATTTCGGAAGGCCCCACTGCCTGGTTTCCATTACTCACACCCTGGTTCCCTTGGCCTCCGAGTGGCTTTGGCTGTGCAGAGCAGCTGGAGGGCAGACTAGAAAGGCGTCTGGGTCCCCCTGCCCTGGGCCCTGCCTGGGCTCCCTGGAGGACCTTGGGTACATTCTCTGCCCGCTTAGGCCTCAGTTGCCTCATCTGTACAGTGTCATTTGGGCTGGTTCCCATTTTCTTTCACAGGAGAGGAAGGAGCAGTGCTCTCTAGTCTCTGGCAATTCCAGGCGGTCAACGTGGGATCACAGAGCTGTGATGTCATTTCAACCAGCTCCTCCCCATCCCACAGATGGGAAGACTGAGGGGAGGGAAGGGAAGCAGCACTCTTCACTGTAGAGCTGAAGGGCCTTGGAGTCAGGCTCTGGGGCTCAGTCTCTGGCTCCACCATTTACTAATGGCTGCAAACCTTTGAAGAAGTCATGTACCCTCTCCTTCCCTCCGCTTTCTCATCTATAAATTGTGCGCATTGGCACTTACCCCAGAGTTGCAATGACTAAGCGAGGTCGTGCATGCAACAAGTTTAGTTCAGTGCATGGCGTGGGGTAGGTGCTTCATAACCGTGAGCTGCTGTTAGCGATCTCATTATTCAAGGTCACAGGTCACATTCTCCACTTGCCCAGGCCTGAGAAGATGGGGGGGGCCTTTGGTCTCAGACCCCAGATCCTTGTCCTTCCAGGAACAGTTTTGCTGGAGGACAAAGCCAGCCAATTCCAGGGAGTAAGTGAGAAACAGCCTGTTCCCGTACTGCTGCCCAGTCTTGGCCCTGCTGGGAGCAGTTGGGGTCAGCTGGCAAATAGGTTGTGGTGGGTGGAGAGGCAAGAGGGCACAGCAGTGCCACTCAGTTGGATGCCAGCAGGAGGGGGTGCCACTCAGTTGGATGATAGCTGCCGAGGTGCCAACTGCAGCCAGGCTCCTGGTGGGAGAGTCAAGTCCCTCATGCTCTCGGCCTCTGCCATGTGAGTGACGTGCTCTCTTGACCTGTCTTGGGCCAGCTATGACCTCCCAGACTCTCCAGCTTGGAAGAGACCATTGAGTCTAAACTGCTGCCCAGCACTTAGGACCCCAGAGTTTCTGCTTGATTCCTTCCATGATGGAGCTCAGGAGGGCCTGGGAGCCCCTTGGGGGTTCCAAAGTTCTCTCCATCTGAAGTCGGGTCCTGGGGCAGGGTGGGGAAGGAGGGATAGGTTAGTCCTACCCCTGCAGGTCTCCTGCCCAGGCAGCCACCTCTGGACCCACCAGATTCTCCAGCTTCACTCCTCCCTGCTCCTCTCGCTTGCACCAAACTCTCAGCTCCCCACCCTACCTCCCTGCCTCTGCACCCCCTTGTCCCTTAACCTACTGTCCCCTCCCCAAACTCTTCCCACTGACATCCCACCCCTGAAGGCCTCTCTGCTTCACCTCCCTTCCTGCCCAAACCTCAGGCTCCTGGCGACTCCTCCACAGCCCCACCGCTCCCTCAGAGCTCTCAGGCCCTCAAGCAATGGACCTGACAGGGGTCTCAAAGAAGCCACCTGTTGGTTGTTGTTTTGCTAACAACTGGCAACATTTGTGGAACATCTGGCTTTGCCTGTCCTCTCCCTAGCCAGGGAAGGGAGGAGGAAAGTGGTGCCCCCTTCCTTGGGTGGGAGGAGGCAGTGGGGGATTGAGGAACAGCTGTGGGACTGATCCCATCTGCCGGGTACAGAAGAGAGTGGAGGCATGGCTGGGGGTGGGGAGGGCAGTGCCAGGTGGCAGGTAGATATAGGAGCCAGGACCACGCAGAGGCACACACCACGCATTCCATGCCTCATTGCCATCGATCCTCACAAAGCCCTGGGAGGAAGGGCTGAGTATTATTTTCAGTTTACAAATGAGAAAATTAGGGTTCAGAGAAAGTGGACAGCCCATCATGGCTGAACAGGGATGGGGACCTCTATCCCTGACTTCCAGGCAGCCTCAGCCAGGGCTTTCCAAAAGAATCCACACCTGCAGCCAGTCTGTGAGACTTAGTGGTTCAGCTGGAGTTGCAGATGGGGGCTTTTGATGCTGGTTCTCTTTGGCTTGTGGGCAGAATTTTTCTAAGGAAGTCCGAGGAATAGGTGAGTTTATGAATGTGCGGATGTCCGGTCCTGCAAGGAATCTCAGTTCTCAGAACTGTGTGACAAGTTGCTTTACCTCTCCGAGCCTCTGTTGTTTTAACTATGAAATGGGAATAATAATTCCACCTCCTGGGACTCGCGTGGACTTGGCAGGTTTACGAATATGTGTGAACCCTCAGCACAAGGCCAGGCACAGAGGGAGTGTGCCCTGCGGGGCAGAGGGAGGGAGGCTGGTCCAGGAGGCACTGTCGGGCCAAGCCCCAACCAGCTGTGCAGGAGGAAGCTGCCCCCGCATCTGCTCCAAGGCAGTGACTCAATGACACGACATGGGCAGGGCCCCAAGGGGGCGGGGTTTGGGCCCTAGGTTCCACATGGGCTCAGCGGGGTCCTGCCTGCCTGCTGTTTCAAAGGCAACCAAATAGCATCTGCCTCATCAGGTAGCTGGCCTGGCAGTCAGGAGTTCTGGGCTTTGAGCTCAGATCTGTCCCAAACCTCTGTGTGACCCTGGATGAGGCCCCTCTCTGCTCTGGTCCTTGGCTTCTTCTCTTGACACACAAGGAGAATCCAGCTTTTCCTCCTGCGTGAGGACCTTCGGAAGGGGCAGATGGTGCTCTGTGGGGGTGTGGGGGGCTGGGATCCAGGCCAAGCTGCCTCTGTACGCGGCGGGGTGTGTGTGCACGTGCGTGCGTATGCACAAGTGTATGTGAGCTGTGTATTCGAGTTGCTAGGGCTCTTTTTAGCTGCTTCCCAGGGGACTGGAAGGCCTACTTGGATGGAGCAGTCTGTTTATCAAGGAGCTCCACAGTCTACAGGGTTCATGCCCCTGGGGACACTGCCCTCTGTGTCCTCCAGCCAGGCTGGGGACCTGATCTGCTGGTTTTTCACAAGCTCCTGCCCTTGAGGCAAAGTCCATCCCCACTTTTTACCCCCAGCACACACAAACACAGCACCTGCTGGAGCCACCCCTCTCAGGGGATTCAGCTCAGTTTGCTATCCCCAGGGAGATATAAAAAAGAAGGGCCTGAACAAGGCACAGCCGATGCCCGCCCCCAGACTGGAGGGGAATACAGCCTCCAGTCTGGGAATATAAGTCCAGTTCCACTGCCGATCTGTCTGTGGCAAGTCCCTTTCCTCGCTGGGCCTCACTTTCCCCATCTTAAAAATGGGTGGGGCGTGTTCAAAGTGCTCTCTAGGAGCCATCCGACTCTGATGCCTCAGGCTGTATAGCTTTTCCTTCTGAGGTGCTATTGCAGCAGGAACTGGCTTGCTCTCGAGTTCTGTCCATTCCAAGGAAGGGGAGGGTGGTAACTGGGGGCTTGGGCTTTGGAGGCTGACAGACCTGGGCTTGAGTCCAGGTTCAGATGATTCTTTATTGCGTGACCTTCGGCAAGTCGCTTAACCTCTCTGGGCCACTGTTTCCACATTTATAAAGAGTTAAAGAGATTATAACCAGTTAATAATAGGTGTTACCTAGTACAGTTGTTGTGATCAAATAAAAGCAGGGGTGAACTATTTGCATTCAGCCCTGCTGGTCTGCCTTCTGGTCCTCGAATGCACCACGCTTCCTTCCATTTGGGGCCTTTCACGTGCAGTCCTCCCTCCCTGGAACACTCTTTCCCCTGCTCCCTTAGTTAATGACGATGAGGAGGAGGAGGATGAGGATGATAGCTAACATTTAATATTTTCCAGGCACTGTGCTAAGTACTTGACTGACATTTTCTTTTTTTATGCTCCCCAAAATCCTGGGAGTTAAGAGCTATTATTATTAATCACTACAGCCTAGTGCCCCGAGGCCAGGCCTGAGGACAGATTGCTCAGGGGAACTCCCAGCTCTTCCACTTAGTTGTGTAAACTCGGGCAACTTACTTCACTTTCTGGGTCTCAGTTTACCCAGTACTCAGTATCAGGCTGGGCTTGCTCTGAAGCCTGTGCTCTTGAGTAGTAGGCTGTATTCCTCCCCCTCTTCTCCAGAGCTTGGTTTAGATGTCACTGCCTCAGGGAAGCCTTCCCTGATAACCCTGACTATAAGAGGGCCCCTGCTGACTGCTCCCAAAGCCTCCTGCTCCTCCTCTTTCATGGCTCTTGTCACAGGTTGTAATTACACACACGCATA
Source organism: Homo sapiens (assembly GCF_000001405.40). Lineage (NCBI taxonomy): Eukaryota > Metazoa > Chordata > Mammalia > Primates > Hominidae > Homo > Homo sapiens. The sequence goes on from NC_000009.12 coordinate 113,604,060, forward strand.
TGTTCATTCATCGCTGTCTCTTCCTTTCAAGCTTAAGCCCCTTGGGGCAGGAACCCTGTCCGTCTTCTCACTGTATCCCCAGGCTTATCAATCACAGTGCCTGGCGCATGGTAGGTGCTTAATAAATACTTATTTATTGGATAAAAGGCCATATATTGCTTAGCATGGTGGGTTGCACAGGACAAGCCCATGAACAAAAAGTCTGGATAAGAAGCCACTGCATGAGTAAAGATTGAGTTCTGTTGTAAGTGACAAAAACACAAGGTAGAAGTTTCTCTCTCTCCCATAAAGGAAACTCAGGTAGAAGCAGCCTAGTGCTGGCATGGCCTTTTCGTGATCATCAGGAACCCTGATTTTGTCTGTTACTTTGCCGTCCTCAAAATGTAGCTTCCACTTCCTGTCCAAGATGGCTGCTTGAGCTCCAGCCATCACGCAAGGCTGGAGGCCAAGAAAGAGGGGGTAAAAGGTAAATTGCAGTTATGTCTTAGAGAAGGTGCTCAGAAACTGTCACATGACACTTTCCCTTACACCCCATTGGCCAGAACTGAGCACATGGCCACACTTGTTTAGAAGGAGGCTGGGAGCAGTGGCTCACACCTGTAATCCCAACACTTTGGGAGGCCGAGGTGGGAGGATCACCTGAGGCCAGGAGTTTGAGGCCAGCCTCACTAGGAGCCTCACTATGGATAACATAGTGAGACCCTGTCTCTACAAAAAATAAAAAACTCAGCCAGGCATGGTAGTGAACTCAGGAGGTTGAGACGGGAGAAACCCTTGAGCCCAGGAGTTCAAGACTGCAGTGAGCTATGATGGTGCCACTGCACTCAAGCCTGGGTGACATAGTGAGACCCTGTCTCTGAAAATAAATAAGTAAATAAATGAGAAGAGGGAAAGCTGAGAAATGTAGTGTTAATCTAGACAGCCATGTGACCAGATAAAAATCAGAGGTTCTGTTACTCTGGGGTAATACAAAGGCTGAGCAGATGTTGGGGACGACTAGCTGTCTCCGCCACTGTCATCAATGACAGACATCCATTCTCGTAAGGCTATGGAGAGGAAGTGGGGCAAGTGGGCATGTGTCAGTTAACTATTGATACAACAGTGCTGCAAAACAAACCACCCCAGGCCGGGCGCAGTGGCTCACGCCTGTAATCCCAACACTTTGGGAGGCCGAGGAGGGGGCGGATCACTAGAAGTCAGGAGTTAAACACCAGCCTGGCCAACATGGTGAAACCCTGTCTCTACTAAAATATAAAAATTAGCCAGGTGTGGTGGCACACGCCTGTAATCCCAGCTACATGGGAGGCTGAGGCTTGAACCCAGGAGGTGGAGGTTGCAGTGAGCCAAGATTGCGCCACTGCACTCCAGCCTGGGCGACAAAGCAAGATTTCATCTCAAAAATAAGTAAATAAGATAAATAAATAAATAAATAAAACCCACCCCAAAATACACTGGCCTCAAATAACAATAACTTATTCTCTCTTATGCTTCTGTAGTCAACCGACCTAGGAAGAGCTGGGTGGGACATGACCCCTCCCTGTGGGCTGGGCTCAGAACTACTCACTGTAACTTTTCCTGGAGGCAGAAGGGTCAGGGTCTACCTGGGGAAAGTTCTCACTGCAGTGAAAGCACGTGTGTGTTTTTTAAACTTTTAAAGTTTAAAATAATTATATATTCACAGGAAATTGCAAAGATAGTATAGCGAGGTCTCATGTACCCTTCACCTAGTGTGCCCCAATGAACACATCTTACATAATTATAGTACAATATCAAAAATTGAAATTGACATTGGGACAATACGTATGTACAGTTCTATGTCATTTTATCACCTGCAGATTTGTATAAACACCACCGCAATCAAGACATGGAACTATTCCATCACCACAAAGACCTCCCTCGATACCCTTTTATAGGTACACCCATTCCCCACCCCTAACCCCTCGCAACCACTAATCTGTTCTCCATCTATGTAATTTTGTCATTTCAAGAATGTGATATAAATGGAATTGTACAGTATGTGACCTTTTAAGATTGTCTTTTTTCACTCAGTATAACGTCCTTGAGCTTCATCCAAGATGTTGTGGGTATCCTATTTATGTTGCGTTCAATCCTATTTATTGCTGAGTAACATTCTGTGGTATGGATGTACAACCGTTCGTTTAGCCATTTGCCTCTTGAGGGACATTTTGGTCATTTCCAGTTTGGGGCTGTTACATATAAAGCTGCTGTGAACTGTTGTGGAGAGAGTTTTGTGTGGATGTAACTTCTCATTTCACTGGGATAAATGACCAGGAGTGCAATTGCTGGGTTGTACAGTAAGTATAGGTTTAGTTTTTAAGAAACTGCCAACTATCTTCCAGAGTAGCTGTACCATGAGAGATCCAATGTTTCTGCATTCTTGCCAGCATTTAATGTTGCCCCAGTGTTTTATTTTAGCTGTTCTAACAGATAACGTGGTGATTTTCATCCGGGTCTTAATTTGCATTTTCCTAATGGCTGGTGATACTGAACATCTTTTCATGTGCTATTTGCCATCTGTATATCCTCATTGGTGAAATGTCTTTCCATGTCTTCTGCCCATTTTCTAATTAGATTGTTTGCTTTTTTTACTGTTGAGTTTTGAGAGCGCATACAGTCTATGTATGAATGCTTTGTCAGATATACGATTTGCGAATAATGTGCTCAGTCTGTAGCTTGTCTTTTCATCCTTCTAACGGTGTCTTTTGCAGAGCAAAAGTTTTGACTGTTGATGAAGTACAATTTGTCCTTTTTAAAAAATGGATCATGCTTTCCTTGTTGTCTAAGAGCTTTCCACTAAGCCCTAGGAGCTGTACAGGTAGTGGGGCTGTTACATATAAAGCTGCTATGAAGTATTGTAGAGAGAGTTTTGTGGGGACATAACTTTTCATTTCTCTGGGATAAATGACCCAGGAGCGCAATTGCTGGGTTGTACAGGAAAATCCTGAAGATTTTCTCCTATGTTTTCTTCTGAACGTTGTATTGTTTCACATTTAAATCTTTGATCTAGTTTGAGCTAATTCTCATACGATGTGAGGTTTAGGTTGAGGTTCTTTTTTTTTTTTTTTTTGCCTAAGGATAGCCAATGGCAGCCGGGCGCAGTGGCACATGTCTGTGATCCCAGCACTTTGGGAGGCCGAGGCAAGTGGATCACCTGACGTCAGGAGTTTGAGACCAGCCTGGCCAAAATGGTGACACTCTGTCTCTACTAAAAATACAAAAATTAGCCAGGCATGGTGGTGGGTGCCTGTAATCCCAGATACTCAGGAGGCTGAGGCAGGAGAACAGCTTGAACCTGGAAGGCGGAGGTTGCAGTGAGCCGAGATCACGCCATTGCACTCCAACCTGGGCAGCGAGAGTGAAACTCTGTCTCAAAAAAATAAAAAATAAAAAAGGATAGCCAATGGCTTCAGCACCATCTGCTGAAAAGACTATCATTCTTTTGCTGAATTGCTTTTGTTAAAAAACAGCTTTAGGCCGGGCGCGGTGGCTCACGCCTGTAATCCCAGCACTTTGGGAGGCCGAGGCGATCAAGACCATCCTGGCTAACAAGGTGAAACCCCGTCTCTACTAAAAATACAAAAAAATTAGCCGGGCGCGGTGGCGGGCGCCTGTAGTCCCAGCTACTCGGGAGGCTGAGGCAGGAGAATGGTGTGAACCCGGGAAGCGGAGCTTGCAGTGAGCCGAGATTGCGCCACTGCAGTCCGCAGTCCGGCCTGGGCGACAGAGCGAGACTCCGTCTCAAAAAAAAGAAAACAAAACAAAAAAAAAAAACCAGCTTTATTGAGGTATAAGCACATATGGGACAATTCACCTCTTTCAAGGTTACAATTCAGTGGTTTTTAGCCTATTCTCAGAGTTGTACAATCATTATCACAATCAATTTTAGAACATTTTCATCAGCCCATAAAACAACACGATACCTATTAGCAGTCACTGCCTCCCATATACCTCACCCTCCCAGCCCTGGACTACCACTAATCTACTTTCTGCCTCCACAGATTTGCCTGTTGTAGACCTTTCATGTAAATGGAATCACACGATATGTGGTCCTTTGCAAATGGCTTCTTTCACTTAGCATAATGTTTTCAAGGTTCACCGTGTTGTGGCGTGTATCGGTACTTAGTTTCTTTTTATTGCCTAATAATATTCTGTTGTGTATACCACATTTTATATACCACAGAATAGACCACATTTTATTTATCCATTCATCAGTTGATGGACATTCGGGTCATTTCTACTTTTTGTCGATTATGAATAATGTTGCTATGAATAGGCATGTACCAAGTTCTTTGGGGGACACACGTTTCCAATTTTCTTGGGTATTTACCTAGATGTACAGCTGCTGAGACATAAACAAGCTCTATGTGTAACTTTTTGAGGAAATGCCAAACTTTGCCATTTACATGTCTACCAGCAGGGTGTGAGGAGTCTGATTTCTACACATCTTCACCAACACTTACTATGATTTTTTGTTGTTGTTGAGACAAGAGTTTTACTCCTGTCCCTCTTGCCGGAGTGCAAATGGTGTGATTTTGGCTCACTGCAGCCTCTGCCTCCCCAGCTCAAGTGATTCTCCTGCCTCGGCCTCCTGAGTAGCTGGGATTACAGGTGCCCGCCACCATGCCCAGCTAATTTTTGTACTTTTTGTAGAGACAGGGTTTCACCATCTTGACCAGGCTGGTCTCAAACTCCTGAGATCAAGCAGTCAGCCCACCTTGGCCTCCCAAAGTGCTGGGATTACAGGTGTGAGCCACTGCACCCGGAAGTATGAAGTCTTTTTTATTACAGCCATCCCAGTGGGTGTGAAGTTTTGCACCTTTGTCAAAAATCAGTTGGTCATACCCTGTGGGTCTATGTCTAGGTTCTCTGTTCCAATGATCTGTGTTTCTATCTCTCTGCCAGTGCCACACAGTCTTGGTTACTGTACTATATGATGTCTTAAAATCAGGTAGAGTGGGCCGGGCATTGTGGCTCATGCCTGTAATCCCTGCACTTTGGGAGGTCAAGGTGGGCTGATCACTTGAGGTCAGGAGTTCAAGACCAGCCTGGCCAACATGGTGAGACTCCCGTCTCTACTAAAAAAAAATACAAACATTAGCCAGGCAAGGTGGCGGGCGCCTGTAATCCCAGCTACTCGGGAGGCTGAGGTAGGAGAATCATTTGAACCCGGGAGGTGGAGGTTGCGGTGAGCTGAGATCCTGCCACTGTGCTGCAGCCTGGGCAACACAGCGAGACTCTGTCTCAGCAAAAATAAATAAATAAATAAATAAATAAATAAATAAATAAATCAGGCAGAGTGAGTCTTCCCATTTTATTCTTTTTTTTTTTTTTTTGTAAAGTCTTGCCAGGCATTCAGGGTCCTTCTGGAGTGAGCCTGGGCCTCCCCTTGAAGACACCCCCTCCTGCTCTGCCAAATAGCCCTCCTGCAGCCTCTCATTATCACACCTAGCCTCCTCCTCATCCCTTGCTTCTGCTGTCGCTGCCACCTGGGATACCTTCACTGTCTCTGTTTGCCTCGCCAATTCCAGCCTGTTCTTCCAGCCTGTTCTCCCAATCCTTGGCAGGCTGAGACCCGCCCCACCTCTGAACCCTGAACTCCCTCTGAAAATCTGTGCCAAGGCTCTGTCCCTGGGAGAATCGTAGCAGCTCTTGAATTTTCCATTAAATATTTTGCGGGTGTGAGTTTGGGCTCTCCAGTCAGGGTGATCTGGCAGTTGGCCAAGCTGGCCTTCACCCAGAGTAGTGACCAGGAAGATCGCGGGCACCTCTTGACCCCCAGACTGAGAGAAGCAGCTGGACCCAAACACCCGGTGGGGCTATTTTTAGTTGCTGGTTCCCGGCAGGCCTGGCCTGGTTTGAGCCTGGATGGAGAACAATGAGCCATTGAACCTTATCGAGTCCCTGGGCCCTGTAAGGCCAGGAGAAGGGTAAATGATAGAGCGAGTGGGGGCAGTGCTCAGAGGTGGACAGAGGTTGCCTGGCCACCTCCCCCATGCCGACCGGCAGGAAAAGCTTCTACCCAAGCTCTTTGTTAGACTTCCCGTGGGGCCAGGTGCGGAGCCGGCAAGTATTTTGGGAATGCTGTGTTTGTTAGCAGCGGCGGCAGCCTTTCCAACATTTCTTGAGCCCGTCTCGTGGGTCAGACACGGTGCTGAGCACTGCGTGTCCTCTCATATTTATCAGCCTCATTGTTCACATGTGGAAACTGAGGCCCAGTTAAAAGAGGCCAGGAACCTGCTCACACACAGCAAATAAGAGGAGGAGTCGGGATTCAAACCCAGGCCCTCTCTGTCTCCTTCCAGAGTGTGGACACTGCAGAGCCACCCAAACCAGCCTGCCACCTCTCAGGCCCCCCCGGGACTGGTGGGCTTCAGTCTCTCCTCTTTAACAACTCTGACTCCATGAATGACCTCAGGCAAGTCACTTGTCTTCCCTGGCCTTGGTTTACTCATTGGTAAAATGTGGGGGAGCCTTTCATTCAGGGCGGTATGGGATGGTGCTTCACAGCTGGGGAGGGGACCAGCATGGTCTGGCCTCCACCTTCCCTCGTCTGGTGATTTAAAAAGCCCACGAAGCACAGTTCTGTTCATTGCAGACACAAAAGGTCTTCACCCAGGAAACACATTCTGGGCGTAGTGGCTTCTAGGCCCTGAGGGATGGAGGCATCCGATCTGCCCAGTGGAATTGGGGAATTCAGGAATTCACAGTCTGGAAGGGAAGACAGGCTCATTGACAGCACAATGAGCAAGATGCATGAGAAACATCTACATGAGTCTGCTACGGTGGTCAAAACACAGTCCCAAGCCTGGTGGTGCCTTAAGCAGCAGTAGTCTATTTCCTCACAGTTCTGGAGGCTGGAAGTCCAGGATCCAGGTGTGGCAGGGTTGGTTTCTTCTGAGGCTGCTCTCTTTGGCTTGTCGTTGGCCATCTTCTCCCTGTGCCTTCATGGGTCTTCCCTTGCACCCTTCTGTGTCCTCATCTCCTCTTCTTATAAGGACATCAGTCACATTGGCTTAGGAAGACAGTCATTCCCACTCTATTGACCTCACACTAACTTAATGACCTCTGTAAATACAGTGACATTCTCCAGGACTGGGAGTTAGGACTTCAACATTGGAAATGTGGGAGACACCTTTCATTCCATAGCAATGGCGATTTAAAATGACTGACAGTAGTCACTTTTGCATATTGGCAGATAGTAAATCCTGTCAGGTGAGGCCCCTCCTGGGATCCCCAAGGAGCGGAAGTTCTGAATAGCTTTGGCATTAGAAATGAGAAGGGTGAGGGGACCTGAGAAGGGAGAAGGAGTTTCCAGAACACTCTGAGAGGTTAGGTTTCCCGACTCCCAGCTTGTGAGAGATTCTCTGTGAGGAAAGATGGTTGACAAATTCCTAAGAAGCATCATGTCTGACCCTGAATGTCAAGTTTTTTGGTGGCCAGCATTGGAATTGCTGTTATCCAAGTTAACTCAGCATTGCAAGGCCCTTGGGATAAGGTGGGGGTTGGGGTGTCTCCAGAATGGAGCCCAGCAGGCTGCTGGGCAGAGGACAGCTGCAGGTGCTGAGAGCAAGCAGGACTGGCAGGTGGACATCCACATTTATAGGAACTTGGAGAGGACACACTGGGATGGTGGGTGGGGAGTAGTGCTATTTCATCCTGATAGGTCAGGAGTGACAGGAGGATTTGGGGACACCACGCAGCTCCCCCTGGGAATAAGGTACCTATACTGGCCTGGAGGGGTGGGCATCAGGGAAGGCTTCCTGGAAGAGGTAAAGACCAAGGTGGATCTGGACATGTGTCATAGATTGCTAGAGAAGGGCAGTGGCATTCTGAGCAAGAGACCCTGTGAGGCAGAAGCCTGGAGGTTCTGCAGACTCCGGATCGCATCTTCCTGTGGGCCAGACCCCAAACTAAGCTCTTCCCATGGTGACGAAAGCAGGCGGCCATGTGAGAGCTGGGAGCTGGCTGTGGCTTGGGTGTGGGGTGCAGGCGAGACTACAGGGGAAGCTGGCCTCACCAAGAGGGGCCTGGAATGCCCAGCTGCAGACTAGGACTTCATGCTAAATGCAACAGTGCCCTGCAGGTGTGTGTGTGGTGTGGCATGTGTGTAAATATGTATGGGTATCATCCATTTATCTGATATGATACATATGGTGTATATGTTGTGTTACGTGTGGGGAGCCTGGCAGCTTTGAGCAGGGGAGAGCCGAGCGAGATGACTTGAGAGAGGGAGGGCCTGATGGTATTTGATGAGTCCCCAGTGCCCAGCGCGGGGTAGACACGGAGTGGTGAGCAGGACTATGGCATTTGATGTGGTCAGCTGATAGGTCAGGTAGGGCTACTCAGGGCCTGGCGGTTGGTGTGGATGCCAGGTGACATGTTGACCAGTGGCCCTCCAGTTTCTGGAAGGACTTGGTGGTGACTTTCCAAGAATCACTGTTTCTCCCCTGCAGCTTCTGCTGGGGTCAGGAGGGGAACCTTTGGACCAGTCAAGTCCAATTTATAACCCGTGGTTGATCAGAGTAGCCGAAGACTGGAACAGGACACACGTGGATTGAATACCTCCCTTGTGCCAGGGCTGTGCCAAGGACTTCATGCACCGGCACATGTTCCTCCCAACCATCCCAGGAGGGAATGGGTGGCAGCCCCATTTTACAGAGGAAGAAACTGAGGCTCAGGGAGGGAGAAGGATTTATCCAAGGCCAAAGGACTGGGGAAGCATTGAATCCGGGCTTTTTTTTTTTTTTTTAAAGCCCATCTTCCAAGAAACTCCCCTGGGCCCTATCTGGGCTGCCTCGGTTTCCAAGAAATTGGAGGGTGACCCTGTAGCAGCCCTTCCTGCCTGGGGACAGAAGGGGCTTTGTGAGGAAGAGGGTGCCTGGCCTGGCCGAGCTGCCTGGGAAAGGTGGAGAGTTGGGCAGGGCAAAGGCCCACGACCCTGGCGTGCCCACTTGCCTCCTGGCTCTGACTCTGGGCAGGGCCTGTGTCTCTGCAGACAGGAAAGAACAGGCACTGCCCCTTGGTGGAGCTAAACCCCTGGACCCTGGAAGCTGCCGCCAACTTCCCTACCTGATCCCCAAAGCCAGGAAGTTACCCTCTTAGCTCAGGGGCGTACCTTTACCTCTGTCTCCCATCTGAGCCTGTTTCCTTTGATACAGTAGGGCAATGATACTCCCTTGATGGGTGAGTGCAAGAGGGAAATAAGGCTGCGTTTGCAGAGAGCTCAGGCCCCCGAGAGCCAGCTCCAGGTGCAGTTGCTGGGCTGTAATGATGTCTCTGGGCGTGTTGTGGTTTTCGTTGTCACAGACTTACCACTTCTCTGCAGGCTGGCTCATTGGTACTGAATGGCCTTAAATTCCAGGTTGACCATGAGGAGGAGGAAGGGTGTGGGCTCTGATTCCTGTCCTGTCGGTGATGCTGGGCCAAGTGCTTCTCTGCACTTCGGCTTTGCGGCCTGCAGCTGTTTGGGCTGGAGGATTTTAAAACTGGGTGCCACCAGAGGCAAAGACTGATCTGACATCAGGGGCAGGGGCTGGTGGGGAGCAAGTTCATAAAATTGGTAGTAGCCAACTGTGGTGGCGCACACCTGTAATCCCAGCTATTCGGGAGGCTGAGGCAGGAGACTCGCCTGAACCCAGGAGGCGGAGGTTGCAGTGAGCCCAGATCATGCCACTGCACTCCAGTCCGGGCAACAGAGCCCTGTCTCAAAAAAAAAAAAAAAAAGAAAAGGGCTCTTTTCCTCCATCTACCTTCTCTCCCCATGGTGCTTTGCTCAACAGATTGGCCTGGAGCATCTCTAAAAGGTGCCACTTTGAAAAGTGTGCTTGGGGGAAGCAGGGACACTCTCCCCTACACAACCCCCTCCCCCAGTTCCAGACGTGCCTCTGGCTGGTACCAAGAATGGCCTCTGATTACAGCATCCACACACGCCCACATCAGACACACAACACACATTAGAGACACGCAGCCTGTGTCAGACACACAGCACACATAGCACATATGCTACACAACACACATCAGACACAACACATACATACAGCATACATCAAACACACAACACACACAACATACATTGACACACACAACACACATAGTCACAGCACACATCACACATAAAGCATGCATCAAACACACAGCGTGTATCATACAGACACAACACACACAGCACATTTCAAACACATACGACACACATATACACCCCATCTTATATGAAACATACGTCAAACACATGCACCACACACATACACAACACAAATTATACTACAAATACACACAGTACACATAGAAACACAACACACAACCACATAACACAACACATACATCATATATGTTATACAAATAGGGGACATACACATACCTCACTCACAGATTTATACACATATCACACCACACACACACACACCAAACACACACACACACAAACATACCAGCAGAGCACTGCTGCATTTAGTATCTTTTGATTGAGAAAATGCATTTCAACAAAAGCTCTAAGAGTTCAGAGAGGTCTTAAAATGATTTGGTCTTTCATTCCTCCCAACAGAATCTTCAGACAATTGAAAACCAGCCATTCAAAGATGCATCAAACACGTTCTGTATTCCAGTCCCAGATGTGCCCAGGTCTTCTGGATCCAGGCACCCCAGTGGGAATGCGGCACATCCCAGGGCTCTGGAGTGCGAGTACGGCAACCCCTGGTTCAGGCCACCATTCAGCTACCTGCTTCCAGTGGGAGATTGGGCTGGAGCCACTGGTGGCTCCAAGTCCCTCTTGCTCCTTCACTGTTCTTACTCAGGCATGTGGCTCTCCTCTCCACATCACATGCCTGAGGTTGTGTGTGTGTGTGCACATTTGTGTTTGTATGTGTGTCGGCGAGGGAGGCGGGCATCGTGCCGGCAGCCTCTCACTCTGCCCTAACTATGAGCTCACAAACCGCCATCCTGAAGGATCCCCCTGCAGAGAAACTTCCCGGCCAGCTCCACCCAGAAGAGAGAGCAGATGGAAAATTGGAGCAAGCCCTCATCTTGGGTCAGGGAAGAAAAGATTCTTTTTTTCCCCTTCTCTCTAAAAATATGCTCAGGGCTTTTTTGAGCCTTGATGCAATAGAAACCAGCTGTGGCCCAGAACGCCCCCGCAGCCACTGCCCAGGGAAAAGGAAAACAGAAACAGCCATTGGAGGCGGGATCAATGCCTGTGTTTGGGCTCCAGGCCCAGCCTCTAGCCACCTCTGGCCTGGAATTGTGTCCCAAATGGGCACCAAACAGTCCCTGTTTATTCGTCCTGTTGTGGGCTCAGGGCCCCAGGAGTCACTTAGCCCTTCCTCTTTCAATTCTTGGCGCAGAGGATGAGAAGATGACAAGAAGTGGGCGTTTCTTAAACTCTGCACCCAGGTATTTCCCCATCTCGTGGGGGAGACAGATGGGCACATGAGGTACCCAGATACAGCCTGAGGCTACCTCCTCTGGTAGCCTAGGGGAGGGAGAGGCCATGTTTAACCTGGGGAGCAGGAAGGCTTCCTGGAGGAGGTGACCTTCAGATGGTCTTAAAGGAAGGAGCAGGGAAATTCTAGGATGGGGGACCAGAATCAGAAAGGCCAGGAGATGGGGACAGTCATTACTATGTGGTGACCAGGATGGAAGGCAAAGGTGGGGGAATGAGCGGGAGCCGCTGGAGAGGAAGGTTGGGACCCTGGATGCTGGGTGAGATGTTCACTGGGTGATGGAGAGCTGTGGAAGGTTCTTGAACAAAGGAGTGACTTCTCTAGATCTTGGAGGATATTTGGAGGGGGATGCTGGTTACCTCATTGGAGCTGAGAGCTTTGTCAAGGAGTCCCTTAGAGAAGAAGCCACACCTTCTGAGTTTCCTGGTACTCTGGCTCATGCCTTTGGAGAGGTACTAGTGTGGACAGGTGCTATGGATTTGGAGTCAGGAGATCTGGCTTCTACTTCTGACTCTGCTGTGTGAACTTGTGTGCCCTTGAATAGACTGTCCTTCCCAGGCCTCTAATTTCCCACCTGCAAGAAGGGATCATGAGGGCTTTCCGTTTTTCCGGAATGTCATTGCTGGAGGGTTCGTTGGTGTCCAGCGCCTGAGCTCTGCTGGACGGAGGCGGAAGGGGGACTCCAGACTGGGGAAGGGACTGCCCACATTCACCCAGCACTATCAGCAGCCAGCAGTGTGGCGACCCGGGCACCCAGGCTCCAGGCTCTGGAGGAGGATTTCCTGCTGTGGACTTGTGGTTCTTGGAGCCCCGGGCGCTGGCCTCTGGCTACAGCTCTGTCCCCAGAGAGCTGCCTCTCCCATCTGCAGCTCAGGCCCCTGCAAGTGTCCTGTGCTGGAACCCGGGTGGAGGTGCCTGCTCTTCGCTCCTCGTTCCTGGAAGGAACTCCAAGGGGTGCCAGACGGGGCCCTCCTGTCATCTTGTCTCATTCCCTCCAGCAGCAGCTCTGTGAGGCTGAGTTTGTCACCCTCTTTTGTAGAAGACAAAACTGAGGCTGGAGAGGTGGATTGACTTCTCCCAAGACCTGCAGCTGGTACTGAGCAGAGCTGGGATGTGAGCCCTGTCTGTCTGCCCCTGGCTGCTCTGCCACGGGGGCCTCTCCTTCCTGCCGCACTCCTGCTCCCTCCAGCCAGATCTGAGCTCTGCCAGGGCATCTTATTCACTGTCAGATCTCAGGGCCCCAGGCTGGGCATGTAGTGGGAGCTTAGGAAATGTTTTTTGGAATGGATGCCTGGCCTACCATTGTGGGGTGGAAAATCCAGGCCGGGCCGGTGGCTCCACCTCCTTGACCAGAATCCTTTGCTGGCCGGAAGAGTTCACCATATTGGTGAACCTCAGTATCATGGCCTTTCACCATCTTCCTGTTCCCACGTGGCAACCAAGGGAGGGAATGTGGTCTCCCTCCCTCCCTGATGGCCAGCGCCCCCTGCCCTCCAACCACGGCCAGCCCCACAAGGTGAAGGGCCCCAGGGCAGACACTTGGAGGTAAACGGAGGTGGCAGTCCGTAGTTGCCTCAGACCAGGGAGCCCAGAGGAGAGGCTGAGAGAGGGCCTGCTACAGCTGCCAAGGGTGGTTGGGGACCCCTGAAAAATTAGAAGGGGCCCCGCAAGGTCAGACCAGCTAAAAGTCCTTACGTGGTAAGCATATGTACATTGCAGGCCTGCTGCTTCCTGGACCAACTCTTCCATGGCCCTGGGTGTCACCCAGTGTTTCTGGAGCCTCTGAGTGGTGCCCGCTGCCTGGCAGCAGCCCCTGGAGGTAGGCACTTCCTGGCATCATGGCAGATCTGGCATCCTCTTGCCCTGGGCTTCTCGCAGTCTTGCAACCCACGTTCCCCAGCCAGCACGGAATTCCCCTTTCTCTGCCTCTGAGTGCACCCCTCCTTTCTGCCTTGCTTGCTTTCCTGTCTTACCTTGCTTTTGGTCCTGATACCCTCTCTACCTTCCTCTGTAGTATCTCTGAGACCCACAGCAACCTGATGTCCCAGAGAAATAATACTAATAACAATAACAACATCACCGACGATGTTTTCAGTACATTGTATAAGCGCTGTCGGTGCCAGCAGCTGTGCGAAATGCTTTGCACTCACTATCTCCTTTAATCCTCACAATAAGCCTAAGAAGTAGCTAATTATGCAGATTCCTGACAAAAAACACATGGCCCAGTTGAAGGATGCAATTCTGTGGGTGTCATTGTGTGTTGGAATTCCCTGGGGCGTATCAGATACTCCTGCTGCCTGTATCCTACTCCCAGGGGTTGTGGTTTAATGGCTCTGGGGAGTGGCCTGGGATTGGGAATTTTTAAGAGATCCCAGAACATTCTAATATGCACACAGGTTTGGGAACCACCAGTTTTCCTGAAGAGAGTTTAATGAAGGGACTTTAAAAAAGTTTTATTGAGGTATAATTGGCACACAATAAACTGCACATATTCAAAACATACAATTTGATGATAAGTTTTTAAAAACCATCTTAACCATTTTAAGTGTATCATTCCACAGTATATTTTTAAGTATATTCATATATAAGTATATTCATATTGTTTGAGGATCTCCAGACCTTTTTCATCCTGTAAAACCAAGACCGTACCCATTAAACAACTCCCCGTTTCCCCTCCCCCAGCCCCTGGCAACCACCATTCTACTTTCTGTCTCTGTGACTTTGATGACTCCAGGTACCTCGTAGAAGAGGAATCACACAGGCCGGGCACAGTGACCACACCCATAATCCCAGCACTTTGGGAGGCCGAGGTAGGTGGATCACCTGAGGTCAGGAGTTCGAGACCAGCCTGGCCAACATGGCGAAACCCCATCTCTACTAAAAAGACAAAAAAAAATTTAGCTGGACATAGTGGCGCACGTCTATAATCCCAGCTACTCGGGTGGCTGAGGCATAGAATCGCTTGACCTAGGAGGCGGAGGTTGCAGTGAGCTGAGATCATGCCACTGCACTCCAGCCTGGGTAATAGAGCAAGACTCCATCTCAAAAAACAAACAAAAAAAAAAGGAAGTGGAATTACACGAATGTCTTTTTGTGACTGACTGATTTCACTAGCATAAGGTCCTTGAGGTTCATCCTTGTCGCATATGGCAGGATTTCCTCCCTTTTTAAGGCTGAACAATATTCCGTTGTATGTATGTACCACATTTTCTTTATCCATTCATCTGTCCATGAGCATTGAGGTGACTTCCATCTCTTGGCTATTGTGAATAATGCTGCTATGAACACGGGGTTCCAGGCATCTCTTTGAGACCTTGCTGTTAATTATTTTGAATATATATGCCCAGAATTGGGATTGCTGGGTCATGTGGTAATTCTATTTTTAGTTTTTTGAGGAACCACTCTACTGTTTTCTATATCAGCCACACCATTCTACAATCCCACCCACAGCGCACAAGGGTTCCAATTTCCCCACATCCTCGCCAACACTTGCTATTTTGTTTCTTGGATAGTAGCCATCCTCATGGGTGTGAAGTACTAGCTCATTATGAACTTGATTTGCATTTCTCTAATGATGAATGGTGCTGAGCATCTTTTCATGTGCTTGTCGGCTGTTTGTAAATCATCTTTGGAGAAATAATGAAAGGACCTGGTAGGGGATGATGATGCACCAGAGACTAGTGAAAGCAGCACGTTGTAACCACCTCTAGCTCTGTGGGCCAGAGGAGAGCACTGGGTACCAGAATCACAGATCAGGAGCTGTGGAAGGCGCTGCCCGACAGGATGGGGGACCCTGGGAGAGGGATGCAGCCACATCCAAACTGTGGCCCAGAAGAGGGAGTGGGAAAAGTCCTCGACCTCTCTGTCTTCCTGCTGTCTTCCAATATCCTACCTGGGTGAGGTCAGCCTCCTGGGGATCAGAGCAGGGCAGGGAGGGGTGAGAATGAATCCACTGGTGGTGGGGGCAAGGGGCAAATAGAATCACCCAAAAAAGAGGTATATGTTGCTGACTCCATTTTACAGTCGGGGAAACTGAGAGTCATGTTTGGCACAGTTTAGAGGGACTTGGACCAAGATTTGGACTTTGCTCTAGGTGATGCCAGCCTGATTATTCTAACCTGTAAGCTACACCACCTTCTGGCAGTGGGCAGTGCCCAATGGGGGAGGGTGCGGGGGCAGTGCCCTTCCCGCCAGATGCCACCCCTCCCTTGAGCTTGGTCGAGGGTGATCTGCCTTCTCCTTCCTTCCTCTTCCATTTAGAAAGCAACGGGTCTGAAAGGTAATTCTGTTCTTGATGAGGGTGCAGGCAGCAGAGGGAATTGTCATCCTGCTGAAGACACACAGCTCTTCCATGCTCTACCCTATGTGTAATTTGTTCTTATCTGCTCCTGGAGCCACCACCTGCTACAGTGTAAAGAGACCCCACAGACTCTCTGGATCAAACTACTCACTGTCCAGAAGGAGAAAATGAGGTCCTATGTCTGTGGCTAGAACCCAGGCCTCTGGGGAGCAACCCAGGGCTCCATCCAGGGTGACCTGAGCCTGCTCTGCTCATCAGAGCCAGTCTTTACCACCCTTCATATCCCGGGAGCCCACAGGTAGAAAGATGGGCATTGCAGGTCACCGTGGTTCCCCCACTGAAGCAAGTTCCCTGGCTCGCGATTAGCCAGTGCTCTGCTGGTTCATGATGCGCTCCAAATGCTAGACCAAGAAAGAAACTGGGTCGGTGGGCAGGACACAGGACCAGCGCTCTGGGAGGAGAGCTGTTCTCAAGCAGTTTGGTGGCATCAGAGCCTCTGTGTGGTCAGTCAAGCAGGGCAGCCAATTTCCTCTCCTTTCAGCCCTAACTCTGGACTCCTGTACCTGGAGGGGCTCCCTTTGTGCTCCTGCAGCCCAGAAGCCCTCCGAGGCTTGACATGAAAGAGTCGCGGGATCTTGGACTGTTCCGGTGGAAGGGCTCCTAGCAAAACCCAGATGTTTTCTCTTCTTGTATGGATGGGAGGACCGAAGTCCAGAGAAGTGGAATAACTTGCCCAGGGTTGTGCTGAGATTTGTGAAGGTGCCGGATGCTGGTGTGCTGGTGGCTGGCATGCTCTGAGCCCTTCCTTCCCGCTGTTTCCCTGGAGTTCTGCTTGGCAACCACCCGCCTGCATTTTTGCAAAGTGATGTCATCTGCAGATAATGGTTTTTCCGTTCCTGGTGGAGCAGGAGTTCCAGATACAGTGCTTCGGGGGAGGGGCTCAAGAGAGCTGATTGTGCACTCCTCAGGCAAGTGGGGGCTGCATAGACCCCCTCCCCTCTGACAGTCACATCTCAGTTGTAAGGCAAGGCACCGTCTCAGGCTTCCTGGACTCCGGAACCTGGAATGACCAAAATGGCAGAGGCCCCAGAGACAAGCCTCCCCTGCCTCCTCCTTGTAGAGTTGGGAATCTGAGGCCCAGAGAGGGCAGAGCCTTGCCCAAGCTCACACAGCATTTACAGGCAAAACCTTGACTCACATCCCGACTCCTAACATCTGTGGCCACTTGCCCGTGGTTGGGGGTTTTTCACCCTCAACACCGTTGACATTTTGGGCCAAGGAGTTTTGTTGTGGGGGCAGTCCCTTTCATGGCAGGATGTTTGGCAGCATCCCTGGCCTCGACCTCCTACAGGCCAGTAGCACCCCTCTCCAGTTCTCAAATCCAGACACTGCCAAATGTCTTTCACCTAAGTTGGGGTGGGAGAAAGTAACCCTCCAGCTCCTAAGACCTTTATCCACTGCCATAGGCAGGAGAGGTTTCTTGAGTCCAAGCCCAAAGGGTGCTTTGTCTGAGGCTCTGACTTAACGTCAGGCACCTTCAGGATGGGAGGCAGGCCTGGAGGGGGCTATGAGGGGCTGGAGATGGTCCAGGCCCTCCTTCTGGTTAGGAACACTGCTTCCTCTGATCACTTTTCTTGGAGCAAAACTGCCGATTTATTTTCCTGGGGAAATAAAAATAAATGCTGGCTGTTGTAATCTCATCCCTGATCCCATCTGGAAAAAGCAGGCTCATGAATCTTGGCCGCCTGAGCTCTGAGGACTGTGTCTGGCGGAACCTGGAGTTACAATGGGCCTTCGAACATCGGAACAGTCACGGCTGACATTTCCTTTCCCGTTACATGGCTCCTTGGAATGTGAGCCCCAGGGGGCCGTCCGTGGGCAGGCGGAATTTGGTGGAAAGAAGTGCTGCACGGGCCGGAGGCCAGCTCAGCTTCTGACTTGCTGTGTGACTTTGGGCCACTTTTCTGTTCGTTTCTGGGCCTTGATTTCTCCATCTGCAGAATGAGGGGAGCCACGTTCCTCAACAAGGGGTCCATGGACCACCTTGTATCAGAACCATTTAGGGAATGTGTTTATGGCTATTCCTGATATTTCTGATTCCTCTTCCAGACCTCCTAAAGTTTTTATGCATCTCTAAGTGATTTCGATATATATAAGTTTTGGGACCCACAACACCAAGGACTTTGAACTTTCCACCCAGTTTCAAGTTTGAACACATCACAGTTCTTCAGCCTCCTTCCCCCTCATAACGAAGTGTAGAGTTATGAAGCTAGAGGGTAAAATTATGGGGTGGGCTGGAACTGGGCATTGCTCCTAACAATTATCTGCTTTCAAACTCTTGGCAGGGTCTCTGGGGTCCTTGATCCAACTGAAATCACTGTTAAAGCACTTTATTCCTCCAGTAATGAAACTCGAGCTGCTAGTTACAGAGTTTGGTTTCAAAATTGTGCCATTTATTATTTTTGTTGGATTGGCTTATAAACCCTCATATAGTCATACATCATTTATAATGCATTATTCCATGAGAATGCATTTTCCAGATGAGATTTATTTTTTCTGTTAAAAACTTAAAACTGTTCTTTTTTTTTTTTTAAATGGCAGTCTTTCGCCATGTGTTACCTATTTATACCACCTTAAGTGAAGGTCAGGAAATGCAATTTTACTTATTCTCAATGCTCCAGGGTTGTCATTGTGAGTTTTAACTACTGTATGCATTGATGTAAATTTTAGGGACTCCAAAACTCACTGTGCCTGAACTATGAATGTCCCCCAAGCTGCTTAGCCCTTGTGTCTGCTTTTAAAAGTTCTGCTTTGCTTCTATATTTTTAAAGATTTCTTCCTCATGAGATATCAGCAGTTACTTCTCACCACGTTATCATGACTCCTTTGGATGAAAAACCAATAACCAGTGTGTATCAGGATTGTCTGTAGTGTAAGAGTTCATAATCAATGAATGAGAGGACTCTCTGATGAGTCAGGGATGTGGATTTTTGACATTTGTTTTGGCAGCTGAGAATAAGGGGTAGTTTTTTTCTTTCTAATTTTCACCCCAATAGCAGCTGCTTTCTGAGAGTTTTCTAGATAAATGTGAAATGAGTGTAGATCGATTTTTCCATGTAACTAATTTACATTCTGGGTGAACTCATTTTGCTTCTGACTTAGAGGTGCTTTCATTTCCTTCTCATCTGCACCCTGTTCTTGGAGAAGCTGCTCCACCCCTAGCCCATGATACATGATGCATGACCCAGCCCACTGGGCCCCCTGATGCCACCTGGGCCAATCAGATTTTCCAGTCAGGAAATTTGCAATTGAGATTCAGAGCTGGAAAGAGTCACCTGCTCTGATGGGAGCTGCATTTGTGGACTGTGACTCAGAGGCTGAGGCCCCAGGGAGCCGACCCCATGGGCCCTGGGCAAGCCCAGAGTGAATGTGGAAGCCGGGCTGTGGAGGTTCCCTGAGCAGACAGTCCGGGTGTGTGTGCGTGTGTTTGTCTGTGTGTGTGCGCACATGCTGGAGGATGGGGCAGAACGTAGGGTCCCAAGCCCCTGAGGGAGGGGCTTGTCCTAATCAAGTCACAGAAATCAGGGCAGGGAGAGCATGAAAGAGTCTTGTTCCCCTCTCTGCATTTGGGAGATTCAGGCCCCGGGGAGAGGAGAGACTGACCCATGATCATCCAGAGGGGACTTGGTTAAGCTGGTCCTGAGCTCTGCCATGCATGTTCTGTTTTCCTACCCTGGCAGCTGGCTCAGAGCATGGATAGGCCTTGTCTCTCTTTTCTTTCTTTCTGCCAAATTCTTTTCTGTTGGGAATCTGAACAGCGGGTAGATGCAGTCATGGCATGATTTGCTCCAAATATCTCCCCAACAGGTGGTCACGGTGTCTACAATTCCATCACCAGATCTTCCATTTCCAGGAGTAACCCTGGGCAGGTGTATACCATGTGTCTTGTTTACAGTGGGGATTAATAGTTCAAGGAGCCCAAGGTAAGGAAACCCATATTTGATGAATCTCCAGACAATTTATACCCACCACACAGCCTTATGAAGATAGCCCAATCACGCCTATTTTACAGAGGGGAAAACTGAAGTTCTGAGAGGTGAGCTGACTTGCCCAAGGTCACATAGCACGTCAAAATCGGGGCTCACATCTGCATCCAGAGTCCAGGCTCTTTGCCCTAAAGCAAGCTCATCTGATCTGGGAGCTGGGGATAGGCTGAGGAGGCGAGCGGGTGACAAAATGAACTTGTCCCATGGAGTCATTCAGTGGGAAAAGTTGTGGTTTGGGAATTAGGGCCAAATGGCTCCTTAACCTTGGGCATCATGGTGGGCCTCAATTTCCTTACCTCTGCAGGAGGGAAGGACCGGATGTACTCTGCAATCCCAGAAAACTCAATGGGCTGAGGCAGGAGGACCTACTGGCCATTGAAGACTGTCCACTCCTGGTCCAGATTCCAAGTGACCAGGCAGAAAGAGCATGGACTTTGGAGTTTGATTGCCTGGCTTTAAATCCCCCTGCTCCACTCGCTACTGTGGTGTGGACTCAAGTAGGTTAATTAACTGCTCCAGCTGCAGTTTTCTCATCTATAAAATGGGGATAATAATAGTATCTACCTCATAGTAATGATTAAATAAGTTAATGCCTGTAAAGCCGCGACAGTGCTGGATACCTAGGAAATGCTTAATGCATTTTTTTTTTTCTGAGATGGAGTCTTGCTCTGTCACCCAGGCTGGAGTGCAGTGGCGTGATCTCGGCTCACTGCAAGGTCCGCCTGCCAGGTTCACGCCATTCTCCTGCCTCAGCCTCCCAAGTAGCTGGGACTACAGGCGCCCGCCACCACGCCCGGCTAATTTTTTTGTATTTTTATTAGAGATGGGGTTTCACCGTGTTAGCCAGGATGGTCTCGATCTCCTGACCTTGTGATCCGCCCGCCTCGGCCTCCCACTTAATGCATATTAATTATTGCTATCATTCCTGACACCCTGTAGTGTGCCCCTCGGGGATGAGAGGGTTTAACTGAACATCTGTCTCCTCCCGGATGCGGTGGCAACCCTGGGATCTGGCAGCAGTCCCCTGTGGGCTTTTTTCCTGGGCAAAGTGAGTCCATCATCACTCAGACATGACACACGGCCTGGCCACCCCCTCTGGGGCCACAGGCAGCCGATCCTGGGCTAAAAATACCAGTCTCATGAATGGAGCCAGGGAGGCCATTCTGGGATCCACAATTAGTGTTTGTGTTAAAACCCATTCTCTGACTCTCCACCCCTTATGTGCTGCTGATTCCGGGGAGACTGACATTTTCAGCTCCCAACACTCACTCAGGGTTTGGGGGTTTGGGAACGGAAAGGAAGGGGAGTACATCTGAAGGGTCCTTTAACAAGTAGGGAGGCAGCCGGTCACCCAATTCCCCTACTACCGAGTCGGGTAGGAATTAAAATTCCCCTTTATAGTGGAGGAAATGGATGTTTCCAGAGATTGCAGCCTGGGGATATATAGTTAAGTCTGAGTTCTGGGCCAGTGCTCCCTCCAAAGTCTCTTCTCCCTCCACCTGGTGCCACCCAACAGCCCTTTGGGGAGGGGTCCTGACTTCGGGGGTGGGAGCTGACCTCGGGCATCTTCCATCTCTCCTGAGACTTGAGGTACAGTCATCCTATGAAGGATCAGAGCTGGAAAGTGGGGGCCTGGCTCAGGGAGCAGCAGAACCAGAGCAGAAGCTGAGCTGGAGATGCCCTGATGGGGCCGAGGTGGAGGCTCAGGCCTGGGATGGGCAGTTGGACCAGCAGGTCCAAAACAGCAGAAGCCAAGGCAGGCAGCGGTCTTGGAGATGCCCTCTGACCTGCCGTGGACTGGAGCCTCTAAGATGCTTCCTCCTGAGGCTGGAGCTGATGACTGGCATCCTTGGGATGTAACCTGCGTGCAGCCGGCAGGTGAGGACGTCATGCAGGGCAGGAGCTCAGGCCCCCCAGAGGGGGTCACACCTGGCCGGGCCACTGCCCTGTGAACATCCTTTCAAGGGACCCTTTCTCTTGCTTGTTTGTGGCCCCGCTAGACTGTAAGCTCTTGAGGACAGAGCCATTGGGAATGAATGACAAGGTGAGTCTGGGGGCCCAGGACCCCAGACAGTAGCTGTCCTTACTGAGAGAAGGGTTAGGGCTCCCGGAGGCATGGAGAAGGATGAAGGCCCAACTTACTCCACTTGGGGACCACCCTGATCACAGAAAACACTGCCTGCTTCCCTCACCCTCAGGGACAGCTATGCCCAAAGGGAGGGCCTCAGCCTCTGGCTGGAGAAAAAGCAGATAGTAAAGATGGTGGCCCCTGTGCTTTCAAGTTTCTCAAGCCAGATCCCGACTAGGCTCACAGTGTGTATTTGGGACTTTTAGAATTTGGGAAGTTGAGACCTATGAAAGTTTGAGAACCTGGGAAACTTCAGAGCTTTCAGGATCTTTTGAAATCTTGGACATTTTAGAATCTGGAGCATCTTTAAACCTGGGGAACTTTAAGAAGCTTGAACTCTTCTGACGTTGTGGAATTTGAGGGATTTCATTTTGGGGCTCTGTTGGCCTTGGAGTGGATGCTGTCCTCTTGGTGTAGAGGAGGACATTCGTCAGCAGACCTGAGCCCTCTCCTCCCACCGGCCCTCAGAGCCCAGTATTTCAAATATCTCGACGTTATGCAGTTTTAAACTTCAGATTTTTGAAATGAAATTGTATTAGTTATCTTGAATGTTCGATGTTGTGTTTCTCAAACATGTGTTGGCCTACTGGATTTCTAAGTTTCTGGCTCTTTCTTTTGCAAATGATTTTTCCTCTCATGTCACAGATTCAACAAATATTCATGCTGGAATGGGATGCAGAAGTCACCTACTTTCAGAGATGGGGAAACTGAGACCCAGAGAGGGCACAGCCTTTTCTCGGGGGCCTCCAGTGACTCAGAGTCAAATCTGTGCTTCTTGGCTCCTGGATCTCTGAGCTGCACCCACTGGACCCCTATGCCAACCCCAGCACCCCTGTTCTCCATGGCGGCCCCGCCCTGAGGATTTCCTATGCCTTTCTACAGAGCTTTCTCCTTCTCCTAGATCCCTTTTCTGCAAAACGAGGCTGGGGAGTTCTGAGCCAAGCCCAGGCCCACGTGCCTGGAACCAGAGACAGCGTAAGGAGCAGACACTGCCAGGTCACTTGCAGCAGACTCCAGGAGGAAATGAGGGAAACAGAACCTCAGCCGTAGCCTAGCCAGGGCTCTCAGAGCCTAGAAAGCTCTTAGGAGAAGTGGAGAGTTGTTCAGATCCAGGCTAATTTGTCATCTCCAGCCCTTCTCTGGTGATCAGCTTGCCTCTTCCTCTACCTGCCCCTATAGGTAGAGGAAGCTTGCCCTTCCTCTCCTGCATCTTCTCCTCCCCTTTCTGTCACATGCCTTCTGCTTCTTGAGGCCTCTGCCTCATTGTAGTTTCTCTTGCTGTCCAGTTCCGGTGAGCTCATGGCTTCTGTAGCCCAGTTTCTCTTTGCTTCCCTTTGTGAATCTTTCCTGCTTCGACTCTCACTCCCAACTTCTTAACTTACACTCAATGCTCCCAGAGGGAGGACTTGATTGGTTTGGAAGTCCCCCACCAGGACAGGCCAAGGATTAAGTGAGTTCTTATATGAGGTCTCTGATTCCCTAACTCCAGCTAGGTGTTCAATTATTCAGTTCAATTCTGACACCAACTCCAGGAGTTAGTGCAGACCCCAAGGTTTAGGGCTCAGCCCCACAGGGCTGTCCCCCTTTAGCCACCAGTCACACACAAGTCCAGGGACCATCTGTACATCTGACTGCCTGGCTCTGAATTTCAGGGTTCCCATAACCTCCCCTTCTAGTTAGATCATTCACTAGAACAATTCACAAAACTCAGCAAGTGCTTTACTTACTATTACCAGTGGATTATAAAGGATACTACTCAAGAACAGACTCATGGAAGAGATGCAGGGAACAAAACATGGGGGATTTGCACAAAGCTTCCACGCCCTCCCAGCGAGTCCCTGTGTTCACCAGCCCTGAAGCTCCCAAACCCTGTTGTTTAGGGGTTTTTCTTGCAGTTTCATTATGATGGATTAAATCATTGGCCATTGGCGATTGAATTCAATCTCCAGCCCATCTTACCCCCATGGAGGCTGTAGGGGGTGTGGGGGTAACCAGCCCTCATCATGAAGCTCTCTAGGGCTCCTCCATAAGTCATCTCATTAGCATATGAAAGGCAATACGTTCAGGGGTTTTAGGAGCTCTGTGCCAGGAATTAGAGACCAAGACCAAATATTTATATTTTATACCACACCAGGCCACTTCTCAGCCCACTGGCCAACTTCAAGATTGACTGCTGTTAGGTCACAATACCCACTTGGCCAGGGGTAGAGATCACTCAGTATCATGTGTGGTGTAAGCTGTTGAGATTAGGCATAGACAGTGGCAGGTGACTGACGGGCTGGACAACTGACAGATGCTCACCTTGGCCAGTGTAGGCACAGATAGGGCAGGACCCCATTTGTTTAAGTGTTCCATCCTCAGAAATCCCCTCTCCCCCACTTCTTCCTTCTCTTCATTCCTTCTTTGCTATTTTTAAATGGCACATTGGAAATAAAACAATTGTCAATGTATTCAGCCCTCCCGCAGCGGGCTGCCAATCAGCACAGTCCAGCCTACCTCCGCTTCCATTCCCTCCACCTTAGCCCTCACCTCCCTCTTTGCTCTTGCCCCCGTCTCCGGGCACTCAGGTCTCTGTTAGTTTCTCAACAGCTTTGCATATGCTGTTCCCTCTATTTGGAATGCTCTTCCCCATCTCCCACCCCTGGCTGGCTTTTCCTGGCCACCCACTCTGAATGATGCGCTCCTCTTACATATGTGCCCTGTGTGTTTCTTTACTGATACTTGTCAGCCTGCTGATCGACTTATTTGCACAAACATTTAATAAATCACTGGACCGTCTGCTGTAGGCGGGCAGAGATCAGATCTGTTTTGTCTTGCTCAGTACTGTGCAATAACACCTAGAACAGGCCTGGCTTGGTAGATAGCTATTGAATAAGTGAGTGAATGGATGAATGTCATTGAATCAGAGATGATTATGATTCACAAAGGCTTATATGTATGAGTGAATTTGAAAAAATAGAAACAACTTGAATATTCAATAATAGCCAATTAAAAATATAGTAACCTACAATGGAATTTGCATGGCAATTAAAATCATAATTTAAAAGCATATCCATGACCAACAGCATTAGTCGTTAGGCAAATGCAAATCAAAACCATGATGAATTGCCACTTTACACTCACTAGGATGGCTGTAACTTTTAAAAAAGGGAAAATAACTGTTTTTGGTGAGGATGTGGAGAAATTGGAAGTGGATGTGGAATCTGGCAGTTCCTCAAAAAACTAAACATAGATTTACCATAGGGGCCGGGCACGGTGGCTCATGTTTGTAATCCCAGCACTTTGGGAGTTATGAGGCAGGTGGATCACCTGAGGTCAGGAGTTCAAGACCAGCCTGACCAAGATGGTGAAACCCCATCTCTACTAAAAATACAAAAATTAGCCAGGTGTGTTGGCACGTGCCCATAATCCCAGCTACTCAGGAGGCTGAGGCAGGAGAATTGCTTGAACCCGGGAGGCAGAGGTTGCAATGAGCCAAGATAGCGCCACTGCACTCCAGCCTGTGCAACAGAGCCGGACTCCGTCTCAAAAAGAGAAAAAAATAAAAAATATTGACCACAGGACTCAGAAATTTCACTCCGAGGTATAGATCCAAGAGAAGTGGAAATATATTCACGCAAAAACCTGTAAATGAATGCTCACAGCACATGATTAATAATTTTCAAAGAGTAGAAAAAACTCAAATGTTGATCAACTGCTAAAGGGATACACAAAATGTGATCTGTCTAAACAGTGGAGTATTATTTAGCCATAAAAAAGAATGAAGTACTGATTTATGCTACAACTTGAAATGTTTAACCTTGAAAGTATTATGCCAAATGAAAGAAGCCAGTTACAAATAGTCAAATGTTGTAGAATTCCAATTATATAACCTATCCAGGTGCCAAATGCAGACAGATAGAAAGCAGATTCGTTGCCAGGAAATGAGGGGAAGGGGAGTTGGGGATTGGCTAGTATTAGGTCAGTGCAGAAGTAATTGCGGTTTTGGCCACTTAAAATAAAAAACGTCAAAAACTGCAATTACTTTTGCACCGACCTGTTAATAGGTATAAGATTTCTTTTGGGGATGATAGAAATGTTCTAGAATTAGGTAGTGGTGATAGTTGTACAACATAGTATACTAAAAGCCACTGAATTGTACAATTTATTTATTTATTTATTGTGACAGAATCTCACTCTGTTGCCCAGACTGGAGTGCAGTGGCACCATCTTGGTTCACTGCAACCTCTGCCTCCTGGATTCAAGTGATTCTTTCTGCCTCAGTCTCCTGAGTAGCTGGGATTACAGGCGCCCACCATCATGCCTAGCTAATGGCTAATTTTTATATTTTTAGTACAGACGAGGTTTCACCATGTTGGCCAGGCTGGTCTCGAACTCCTGACCTCAGGTGATCCACCCGCTGTGGCCTCCCAAAGTGCTGGAATTACAGGCGTGAGCCACCGTGCCAGGCCTGAATTGTACACTTTAAAGTAGTGAGTTTTACGTTATGTGAATTGTATCTCAAAAAATAAATTAAAAGTATGTGCAATGAGAGAAGACGGTGTTCATGGTTTATTAAAGGGAAACCACAAGGTTACATAACTTAGCTGCAATATCTACCATACTCTATACATACGAGAATTCCTAAAAAGTAACAGTATTAGAATATGTGTGTGTGTGTGTGTGTGTGTGTGTGCGTAGCAGATACAGATGCAACCACAAACTGAGACACGTAAGAAATGTCATGTTTGTCTCAATTTTAAAATGACCTGAGAAAGAACTCTTCTGTGCACTCGCTTTAACCCTCTTTCTTCCTTACTACTCAAACCTTCGCTAGGTTGAAACTGCAGCCTGGAGAATGGGATTGGAGGTGAGAAGAAACTGACATTCTGTCTATTTCTAGACCAGAAAATTCTGCACTGGTCTAGAAATAGACATGATTGCCTTGGACTGTGTTTGCAATTTAAAGGAATTGTCATTACTAAGACAGCAAAAAAGTCGCCCCCCCCAACCCTTCCTGGAGTTGTCCCACTGACTACATTTTAAAGAGATAATGGAACACAAAAATAAAGTTGTGCTTTTGATTACATTACCAGTCTGGCTTGTTCAACCTGCTGGTTCCAATAGCATTATTTCTGCACCTGTTGCTAGCTAGGCATTGGGCTACTATAACAAAGGTTTGCCTCGTTTAGCCTCAAAAACATCCTAAAGGCAGGCCATACCCTCCAGATGATCCAGAAGGAGAAACTGAAGCCCAGGGTGGTTACATTGCATGTTCTTGGTCACACAGCTAGTAGGTGGCAAGTTTGCCTTTTTGAGCCTCTATCTCCTCATCTGTGAAATGGGGATGCTATGGTTACCTTGCAGGGTCACTATAAGGATTCACAGAGGTGAATGGGGGTGCTCTGCGCACTGTAGGGGGTGCAGTCAAGGATCACATCTTCCTCTTTGAGCCTGCCTCCCCGTCTCCTGGCACTGTGTCTCTGGATGAGACTGGAGCTGTGTTTGGCCTCGTATGTCCTCACATCTGGAAGGCATAGACTTGCTGGCACACTTGGCTTTTGGGTTCTGGAAATCCCCTCTCCTGTCCCCTGACCTTCATCTCTGGGCAGCTGACAGCAGCTGACTCCCCACAGCCAGGCTGGAGGGGTCTCAGGCTCCGGGAAGGATTTCTGCCTCCCCAGAGAGGGCTGGCTGGCTCAGCCTTCTCGGGCAGCACTCCGCGTTAACCTCACTTCACGACCATGTTTCTGGTTTACTGGGAACCAGGCAGAATCTGCCGAGTCCTCAAAATATGAGAGGCTGAGGTTTTCTCTGCTGGTGTCTGTCTGGCATCCTGCTGGTCCTTATGAAGGGGTCCAGGGAATTGGGTTTGCAAAAATCTGGAGTGGGGTGCAATACAGGGCCCTTGTCTTCTGGCTCCCAGCCTAGTGGCAGGGCAGCCTCAGCCTGCATATTGGGAGAGAGGCTCTCCCCCAGTCTGCTGGTCCTGTGTTCCAACCTCACTTGCTATGTGATCTCAGGCAGAGACCTTTGCCTCTCTGGGTCTCATGAGCCCGTGTGTACAAAGACATGATTAGTTCTCCATGCACTGTGTGTGTGTGTGTTCATGGGCTATGCATGAGTGTGCCTGTGTGACAGATGGGGAAATTTGGAAATGGGGAGGCATTTTTGGTTGTCACAAGGATGAAGGCAGGGTGCTGTTGGCATTAGTGCCGAGAAGCCAGGGATTCTAAGTGTCCTGCAGTGCACGGGATAGTCTCACGTCGTGAAGGCCATTTGTGTCTCATTGAGAAATTCTGGGCAGGATCATTTCCCAGGTCTGTGGTTTTTGATATTTTAAGATTGTTATCGGAAAGGAGCTCATTGCTACTTAATCTGAGGAAGAATTTTTCTATGCTAATATAACTATCATCACTTGAGTCAACAGGCACAGAGCCAAGGAATGAAGAAGTCCCTCAAAGACTGTCCCATAACAGGGTGGGTCTGGCTAACTGGAAGGCCCCTTGATAGGTGTGACTGTGGGAAGGTTTGGGATTAAGGGTTGGAGGGATTGGAATTCCTAGTCTTAACAGACGGAGAGAGCAAGACTGAATGGGTGCAGGGGGAGGAGGCGTGGGAGGAGAGGAGAGAGGAGAAGGCATGGGTGGAACACTGGGCCCCTGGAAGGTGGGGGCCCTAGGAGGCAAAGTGGGCAGAGGAAGGTTCTTGGAGGTGCGGAGTTGGGCAGAAAAAGATACTGAAAACCAGGGATGTCAAATGTTCAGTGCGAAGCGTGTACCGCAGTGTAAACATGCCTCCACATTCCATCATCAGTTAGGTCTACAGCCACCCACATGTTTCTTGGGAATATGGGTTTTTCCTGGTAATTGAGGAAGGGGCTGAATGGTTTATCTTAGGAGACATACTGAGGAGCTGAGATGGTGATGAAAGGGCCGCTGAGATGGTGATGAAAGGGCCACTCAGATGAGCCACAGCTGGTCTGACTCAGAGGCGGCAGTCGCGAGGAGCAGAGAGACCACGAGAAGGCAAGAGCCCTCATGACAAAAATCTCGGGGAGGGCTTTCAACTTCCATGGGCCTGGAGTGAGTTACAGTGGTTAAACAAGCAGGTTCCCAGTTCAGGGTACCTGGGCCCAAATCTCAGCCCTGCCCTTTCTACCCATGTGACCTTGGCGAGTCACACACACTTCTCTAAGTGAGTCGGCTTCCTCATCTGTGAAATGGGGGTAACATTAGTGCTTCCTTAGATTTCGTTGAGAAGATGAAATAGCAGGATCCTGAAAGGGCACTGAGCCCAGCCCCTGACTTGCTTCTCAGTTGATATTAGTTGATATTGATCATAGACAATGGTCCCTATGCTCCATTGTCTCTGGGGGCAGGGAGGTGGCAGCTGACATTTGGGTTTCAAGTATGCTTTCTCATCTAATGCTCACACCAAGTCCACAAGGCAAATATTTGACTCCTCATCGTACAGATAAAGAATCAGAAGCTGGCCGGGCACGGTGGCTTACTCCTGTAATCCCAGCACTTTGGGAGGTCGAGGTGGGCGGATCATGAGGTCAGGAGATCGAGACCATCTGGGCTAACACACTAAAAGCCTGTCTCTACTGAAAATACAAAAAAATTAGCTGGGCGTGGTGGCGGGTGCCTGTAGTCCCAGCTACTCGGGAGACTGAGGCAGGAGAATGGCGTGAACCCGGGAGGCGGAGCTTGCAGTGAGCAGAGATTGTGCCACTGCACTCCAGCCTGGGTGACAGAGGGAGATTCTGTCTCAAAAAAAAAAAAAAAAAAAAAAAAAAAGAATCAGAAGCTCAGAGAGGGGAAGTGGCTTGCCTGAGGTCACACAGCTATGAAGCACTGGAGCCAGGGTTTGAACTCAGGTCTCTCTGACTGCACAGTCCTGCTTCTGCTCCTCCAGGCAGCCTCCTGAGTCATCTACAGTGGAGTAAGATGCCTTGAGAGGTAATGAGCTGTCTGTCACTAGGCTGATTGGAAGAGGACTCTGCTCTGGGCAGGAGCACAGATGGTCCCTGGCTCTAGGACTCAGCTCTCTGATGCAGCAGTTTTGGGCTTTGGGAAGGATTGTGGGGATTACTGATGAGCTTCCAGGACTGGGTCATGGAGTTTGAACACCAGGCATTGCTAAGAACCTGGCAGATTCACAAGGGCCCCTTGTTGCGCTTAACGCACGTGGAGCGGTGTGTGTGTGTGTGCACGTGCGCATGCGTATGTGTGTGTAGATGTGCTGAGTTGACACTGCTTTCTTTCCTTCACCATCCCATGAGGAACAGTCTGCACTTGAGGTCACAAATGTTGACACAGGACATGGGCATGAAATTCCAGGAGGAGAGTGACAGTAGGGCTGGAGGCTTGGAGACCACTAGATACCTGACATTCTTTATGCAAGAAAGCCTGACCCTCTATTCTCTGAGACTGGCTGGAGGGGACCCTGACTCAGGGGACAGGGGGACCGAGGGCTCCACAGGTGGGCCCAGTTGCCTGGGAGCAGCAGACAGTGAGTCAGGAACCTGCTGTGCCACCAACACACTGGGTGACCTTCTCGCTCCCCATCTATCCAAGAAGGGGCCTTGGCTAGGTTCCTTCCTGTGCGGTGGGGAGGGTCGTGGAGGTCTGATTCGATTTCCTTGGAATTCCCCAAGCTGGGAAAGCTCAGAGCATTTCCCTAAAAGGCCTGGTGGATGACGGACTGGCTCAAAGAAGCATGGCTACATCAAAGAGAGGAAAGCAATGTGGGGCAGGAATTTCCTGTAGGAAAGGTACGAGGGAGATTCCTGGGTTGTGGGGTGTAGGTGCTTTCTTCCTGCTTAGGACACAGGATTCCCAGAGGAGAAAGAACAGCTGGTCCCATACCTCTGACCGAATGTGAGAAAATGGGCTCAAATTACAAGAGGGATTACAGTTAGACACTTAGTTCAACCAGATAAAGTAGTCACTTGGATCCTTTTACACTGAGAGGGGTTTGGCCTGAAGTTGTAAACAGGTTTAACAAAGCTTAGAGAAGTCTACACATTCTGAACAGAGGGAGAAGTAAGGAAAAGGGGAGGTTTCAGATCAACAAGGGAGCTCTAGGCGTTGGCCATCTTGCTGGTACTGCACTGGGCATCTTGGCAGGGGCACATGGTTCCGTTTCCCCAGAAATTTGTAGTACATTGCTGGAAGAATCTGAAAACTAGAGAGTAAAAATCCAAAACAAAAGGAAAAAAAAAGTCAAAGTTCAAATCCAGGACATTAAACTTGAGCACACACTGAGGGCCAAATCCTTTGCCTGCATGAGATCACGGAGTGTGTGGTGAAAAGTCAATATCATTAGAGGGGCTGTGGGCTCAGAGAGGTTGCATCTCTTGCCCAGGTTCACACAGCCGTTAGCAGCAGATCTAGCTTTCTCTGCTGTGCCACAGACACCCGTGCCAGGTGCCCAGGCTGGGGGCCTTTCTTATTCCTTCTCTGTGTCAGGAGCTGTGCTACATGGTGGTGGTCGGAGGCTGTGGATCAGGAACAACAGGACAGAACCCATTTCTCATAGTTATACAGTTTCTATGGCCAGTTTAGAAAAGGAATTCCTGTCATTGGGAGCTCAAAGTCCCAGACCCATTCCAGGGACATAAAGGCAGAGGATGCAGTCTCCCGTGGAAACACGAGTTTGAATCCCACGCCTGAAAAAAAAAGAAAGAAACATAAATAAGTAAATAGAGGCAGTGGGAGTGCCAGACAGAGCTGCAGGGGCTCAAGAAAGGTGGGCTTAGGGAGGGCACTAGGTGTGAAGCCTCCTTGTGAGAAGGTGGGCAGGCCAGGTGAGAAGAGACGTCCCCAACTCCAGGATCAGCTATAGAGGGGTGGTTCACTGCGGACAGAGATCTTTGAGGAGCCCCAGTCACATGCTGAACACTGCCCTTGCAGGCAGGATTGCAGGCTGATTAGAGACACTGGCAATCAGGCAGATCTGGATGCCAATCTGGTTCTAGCTTAGTGTGACTTTGGGCAAATTACTTGCCCTCTCTGAGCACCAGTTTCCCCAACTGTTAAACAAGAATAATAATACTTTCCTTGCAGGGATATTATATAGAAAGCATTTGGCCCAGTGCTTGGCACATCAGGAGCACCCCCTAAATGGCGGCTGTTATTACTCAGTTTATGATTGGGAGAGTCCCTTCTCCACTTGCTCCCTGGCCTCAGTTTCCTCAGATAACAGGATGGCCTCTGAGCAGCTCTGAGAGGCTGACTCCACTGGACTCCAGGCAGGGGCTAACCAGGGCCTGGTCCCCACGGAGATCGAATTTCCAGTTCCTCACTGGAGCCAAGTAAACACAGGGGAGACAGCACGGCTCCCTCAGCCGCCCACTAACAACCAGATTCCGAAGCCACCGCAGCTGCGGCTGTCCACTCTGATTGCGTCTGGCTCCAGCATCCCCAGCCCTGCTGCTGTCACCCTCATGGGACCCTGGGGTTTGGGTTAGGGGTGTGGCAGAGATGGTGCAAGCCAGCCTCATGGTGGTGGTGACGGGTAGGGCAACATTGTCCGCTGCTTCCAGAAGCAAATGGCTTGTCTCTTGGAGTCATCCTTTTCAGCTGCCACCTCCTTCTGTTGGTGACTTCACTGGACCACTAAAGCTGCTGA
Source organism: Homo sapiens (assembly GCF_000001405.40). Taxonomy (NCBI): domain Eukaryota; kingdom Metazoa; phylum Chordata; class Mammalia; order Primates; family Hominidae; genus Homo; species Homo sapiens. Next base: position 113,636,607 of record NC_000009.12, read on the forward strand.
CAGAGGAGACAGAGCCCAGGATGCTAAGGAAGCTCTCTGCCCCAGTTGCACTCCATTCCTCTGAGGTCAAGACCAGTGGTCTCAGTTTTATAACCTCTACATTCTTCTATTCTCTAGCTTTTCACGTTCCAGGAGAAACAGTATTTACTGAGCACGACTATGTAGGAGACATAGGTGAGCAAGACACAGAATTCCAAGTCCCTAAGGATTTCATAATTTGTCTGGTGAACTCCTATCCACCCTTCAAAACCCAGTTCAAATATCCTCTCCCACCTCTCCATGCTGCTTATCTCATGCTACTCCCTCACTGGTTCTCTGCACTTGGCCATGTGACCTTTCGGCAGCTGTGGGTTGACGGGACGCAGCAAAGCTCCTGCCCTCCTGAAGACCTTTACTGGGTGCTGCACCCTCTGCCCCCTCCCACTCACCATTCTGAGCAACCCATGCCTACCCCTCAAATCTCAGCTCAGACGGCATCTCCAGCATATACAGAGTGAGGGCCCATGGACTTTACAGGCAAGGCCACTGATATGATTTGGGTCTGTGTCCCCACCCAAATCTCATGTTGAATTATAATCCCCAATGTTGGAGGTGGGGCCTGGTGGGAGATGATTGGCTCATGAAGGCAGAATTCCCCCTTGGTGCTGTTCTCGTGATAGTGAGTTCTCCTGAGATATGGTCATTGAAAAGTGTGAGGCACCTCCCCACTCCCTCTTCCTTCTGCCCTGGCCGTGTGAGGTCCTGGCTCCTCCTTTGCCTTCCGCCATGATTGTAAGTTTCCTGAGGCCTCCCCAGAAGCAGACGCTGCTATGCTTCCTACACAGCCTGTGGAACTGTGAGCCAATTAAACCTCTTTTCTTTATAAATTACCCAAGCTCAGGTATTTCTTTATAGCAGTGTAAGAACAGATCCATACGGCCATTATTTCGGTCTGCAATTTAAGCATTTACAGCATGTTTATTTGATTCCTGCCTGTCTCCCTTCCTGGAATGTAAATTCCATGGGGACAGGGAGCCTGTATTTGGTTACCTTTGTCATCCCAGGGTCTAGCATGTGGAGGACTCTCAGTATGCAGGAAGGAACTCCCTCTTCCATGAAGTCTTCCTTGATTGCCTCGGGCACATTTAGTTTTCCTCTCAAGTGCGCATCTCCCAGCATTTTCTTTTATGTTATATTTTATGATATTTTTATTTTGAAATATTTCATATAGAGAGAAAAGGGTATAAACATATGTGTATAGTTTAACAAATAATTTTAAAGCAAACACCCACCTAACTAACACCCAGGTCAAGATATAGAACATTATCAGCAACTAGAACCCCCAGTGCACCTTTCTGTCTCTACTAGAGTTAGTTGATTTTTGATAATTTTTTTTGCTTTATTTTATAGGTTTGCATCTACATAGGCATTCCTAAACCACAGAGTTTAATTTTACCCATTAAAAATTCTTTTTATTTACTTATTTATTTTTATTAAATTTTTTAGAGATGGGATCTTGGTATGTTGGCCAGGCTGGTGGACTCAGACTCTCAGGTTCAAGTGATCCTCCCCTATCATCCTCTCAAGTAGCTGGGACTACAACACATGCCACCATACCCAGCTAATTTTTCTTATTCTTTGTAGAGATGGGGTCACCCTGTGTTGCCCAGGTTGGTCTCAAACTCGTGGGCTCAAGCGATCCTCCCGCCTTGTCCTCCCAAAGTGTTGGGATTAGAGGTGTGAGCCACTGCACCCAATGATGCCTTTTCACTTTCTTAATTGCACTTTCTGGTGATCAGGCATATAAACATTTAATGTAATAAACGTATCAAATTTTTCCTTTATGCTTCATGGTTTTTAAGAAATCCTTTCCTACCTCAAGTTCATAATATCTTTTAAAAGCTTTATGGTAACTTTTTATATTTAGATCTGCAGTGGGTTTTTTTTTTGTGGCGTGTAGTAGGGGTCAAGGTTCATTTTTTCCCTGCCATATGGATATCCGATAGACTCAGCATCATTTGTTGAAGCACTATCCTTTTCCCACCACATCACAATTGTCATAAATCATGTGTCCATCTATGCCTGGGTCTGCTTCTGGATTCTGTCTCATTGGACGGTGTGTTCATTCTTGCACCAACATCACAGCTTACCGTAGCTTTAATTTACGATACCCTGTGCTATGCTAAGTCTAAACAGCTGGTAGGGCAAGTCTTCTATGTTGTTATTCTTCTTCAAGAGCGTCTTGGCCCTTTGAGTTTCCATATACATTTTAGATTGTATCTTTCAAGTTCTAGCGACACACACACACACACACACACACACACACACGCACATGCACACGCAGCCCTCTCTTCATCCCTGAACTCTCTGCCTTCATCCTTTGCAGCATTTAGCCTTGGATCATGGATGTTTATGTGTCTGCCTCCATCCATACTCAGCATCATTTGTTGAAACACTATCCTTTCCCCACCACATCACAGTTGTCATAAATCAACTCTGATTGCATCTGGCTCCAGCATCCCCAGCCCTGCTGGGGTATGTGTGGGTCTGCTTCTGGATTCTGTCTCATTGGATGGTGTGTTCATTCTTGCACCAACATCGCAACTTACCATAGCTTTGCCACAGTAAGCACACCCAGGGCTGGGACAATGGCATCACGTCATTTCTGCACCCCAAGGCCTTCCTTCCTTGCTGAGTGGTGTGGAGGACACGCTCTACAATCATCTAAGAGGTTTCAAAGAGTGAGAGCGAGAGAATGAGAATAGGAGAGAATCTGAACATGGTCAATGCTGTGGATGGTTCCGTCCTCCACTCCACCCAGGGAATGTATGGCCTGGAGTGAGTGCGAGATTGGAGACCAGAGTCTATCATTCTTCCATTCTTCCTGGAGGTGTTAGTTCCGAGGTGCCATCTTTCCAGACTGAGTGTGGATCTAGTGTTTAAAAACACGTGTGCTGCTGGGCACCGCGGCTCACACCTGTAATCCCAGCACTTTGAGAGGCTGAAGCAGGAGGATTGTTTGAGCTCGGGAGTTTGAGATCAGCCAGGGCAAAATGGCAAAACCTGTCTCTATCAAAATACCAAAGATTAGCTGGGCATGGTGGCATATGCCTGTAGTCCCAGCTACTTGGGGGGCTGAGGCAGGAGGGTTGCTTGAGCCTGGGTGGTCGAGGTTGCAGTGAGCTGAGACTGTACCACTGCACTCCAGCCTGGGCGACATAGTGAGACCCTGTCTCAGAAAAAAAGAGAAAAAAGGCCGGGCACGGTGGCTTATGCCTGTAATCCCAGCACTTTGGGAGGCAGAGGCGGGCGGATCACGAGGTCAAGAGATTGAGACCATCCTGGCCAACATACAAAAATTAGATGGGCATGATGGCGCGAGCCTGTGGTTCTAGCTACTCAGGAGGCTGAGGCAGGATAATCGCTTGAACCTGGGAGGCAGAGGTTGCAGTGAGCTGAGACTGTGCCACTGCACTCCAGCTTGGCAACAGAGCAAGACTCCGTCTCAAAAAAAAAAAAAAAAAGAGAAAAAAACCCACAAATGTGGGTGCGTGCACTTGTGTGCGTGACAAGGCCCCAGTAAGCCAACCATCTTGCATTCAACCAAAGAAACTGCAGTCAGATCCGTGCTGGGGAAAGGCTGGCTGTGATGGACATAGTGAGAGATGTTATAGAATGTTGGGCTTCAACATGGCGAAATTCCATAAAGAATTTTCAGGGATAATTTTAATGGTGCCCAGTGTTCTCCTTTTATGCTGATTTTATTTATTCAAGACAGAGTCTCACTCTGTCGCTCAGGCTGGAGTGCAGTGGCTTGATCTCAGCTCACTGCAACCTCCGCCTCCCAAGTTTAAGTGATTTTTGTGTCTCAGCCTCCTGAGTAGCTGGGATTACAGGAGTGCACCACCATGCATGGTTAATTTTTGTATTTTTAGCAGAGATGGGTTTTTGCTATGTTAGCCAGGCTGGTCTTGAACTTCTGCCCTCAAGTGATCTGCCCGCCTTGGTCTCCCAAAGTGCTGGGGTTACAGGTGTGAGCCACCATGCCCGGCCCTAGTGCTGACCTTAGAACCAACTTCCGTACAGGACAGGACTCTACTTATTAACCTTCTATGATACCAACCTCCACAGCAGCGACTCTGCTGCAAGTTTCTTGAAAGCAGGACTATATTTATCTTTCCCATGACGTGTTTTTCCCAGGAACTTGACACATTGTAGGTCCTTAGTAAATGCTATAGGATTAAACTTAATTCTACAGTCTTGCTTGCCTTCCACAAACGTTTTGTTTACTTTTTAAAAGGGAATCTTAATGAGATACAGTTTTACAGGCAATAAAATGTATCCATTTGAATGCATGTTTTAATGTGTTTTGACAAATCTATAGGTCTATGTAACCACCACCATGATCAAAATATAGAAAATTGTCATCTCCTCTAAAAATTCTCTCATAACTCACCCTGTCAATACCTCCCACCCCTGGCCTGGGTCCACATGGATCAGCTTTCTGTTACAATAGACTAGATTTGCCTTTTATAGTGTTTCATGTGAGTGGCATCATACAGCCGATGATATTTTGTTTCTGGCTTCTTTTAGCCAGTACAATGTTTTTGAGATTCATTCATGTGTATATCAGTAGCTCATTTCTTTGACTGTGCAGTACATTGTATGGCTATATCACAGTTTGCTTATACAGTCACTGTTTCATTGACATTGGATTATTTCCAGTTTGAGAGTACTGTATTATGAATAAAGCTACTATGAGCATTTGTGGACAAGTTTTTATGTGGACAAGTCTTTATGTGGGCGCATGTTTTTATTGCTCTAGGGCAGGGGTGTCCAACCTTTTGGCTTCCCTGGGCCACACTGGAAGAAGAAGAATTGTCTTGGGCCACACATGAAATACACTAATACTAACGATAGCTGATGAGCTTAAAAAAAATTCTATGCATAATTTTCATTATATCCACTACCACAGATAAGCAAAAAAGTCCTTGCATTCAAAGAGTTGGACATGGCTGCTCTACGGTAAATGCTTAGGAGTGGAATTGCTGGATTATGTGGTAAATGAATGCTTAACTTTCAAAGCAACTATTCACCGGTTCTCAAAGTATCATTTTACATACTTACCGGCAACATATGAGAATTCCAGTTGCCCTACATCCTGTCTGCACTTGATACTGTCATTCATTTTAATTATAGCCATTCTGGTGTGTGTGTGTCCTGCCATCTCACTGTCATTTTTTTTTGGTATTTGTCTAATGACTGTAATGACAAATGACGTTAAGCATCTTATGTGCTTATTGTCTATTTGTATACTTTTCTGGTAAAGTATCTGTTCAAATATGTTAAAAATGGGATTTTCTTATTATTACTGAGTTGAGGGAGTTATTTATATATTCTGGACACAAGTCCTTTCTCAGAATCTTGTATTGTTGGTAGCTTGCCTTTTCATTTTCTTAACATCTTCAAAGAGCAGCACTTCAGATTTTGATGAAGTTCAACTTATATAATTTTTTCCTTTTATGGTTAGTGAATTTTGTGTCAGATCTAAAGACATCTTTGCCTAATCCAAGGTCAAAAAGATTTTCTCCTATGTTTTCTTCTAGAAATTTAATAATTTTGTTTTTTTATGTCTAGTTCTATGATCGATTCACATTAATTTTTGTGTATAATAGGAGGTGAAGGTCAGGTTCATTTTGTTTCCATATTGATATCTAGTTGTTCTAGCACCATTGATTGAAAAGTCCATCTTTCCCTCCATTGAATTACCTTGGCATTTTTGTCAAAGTCAATTGACTGTGTATGCTTGGGTCTATTTTAGGTCTCTCTAATCTGTTCCATTAATCTTTATGTCAATCCTTTTGCCGGTAGCACACTGCGTTAAGTACTGTAGATTTATAATTGGCTTGAAATCAGGTGGTTTAAGTCCTTTAAATTTGTTCTTCTTTTTCAACTTATTTTATTCTAGGTGTTTTGGTTTTCCATATACATTTTATAATCATCTGGTCAATTTCTACCAAAAAAAAAAAAAAAAAGCCTGCTAAGTGTTGATTGGGATTGCGTTGAATCTGTAGATCAATTTGGGGGAGAATATATAGATCAATTTTAACAATATTGAGGCTTTCAATCAAAGAATATATTATCTCTCCATTTCTTTGGGAGTTCCTTAATATCACTCAGTGATGTTTTATAGTTTTTCTCCTAGAGTATTACATATATTTTGTTAAATATATCATTATATATATCATGTTTTTTGGACACGTCTGTAAATGGTATTTTGTAAATTCAATATTTAAGTGTTCATTACCAGTACATAGAAATACAATTCAGTTTTGAACATTGACTTTATATCTTGGAACTGTGCTAAACTCACTCATTAGTTCTAGTTGCTTTTTATTAGATTTCTTAGGATTTTCTATGTATACAATTATGGGGCTTGTGTTTTCATTTTAAAATATTGTTTTACTCTGTCTCATCCCATATGTATGTATTTTGCTGGGATTGTGTATTTTATTTCTGTTTCATGCTTTATTGCATTGGTTAGTGCCTCCTGTATGGTATAGAATCTAAGTGGTGAGAATGGATATTTTGACTTGTTACCAGTTTTAGTGAGAAAGAAATCTTCACCATTAAATATGATTTTTACATGAGGTTTTTAATAGATACTTTTTGTCAAATTGAAGAATTTTCTTCTATTTCAGGCTTGCTGAGAGTTTCAAATCATGCATGACCGTTGAGTTCTGTCATTTTTTTCCTGAATTTATTGAAATAATTATATGGCTCTTCTCATTTATTCTATCCAATATTGTGATTAATATTAATTGATTTTCAAATGTCAAACCAATTTTGTGTTCCTGGGATAAATGTAGTCAGTCATTTTATACACTTCTGGATTCAGTTTGCTAAAATATAAACATTTTTGCCTCTCTGGTTATGAGGAACATTGTTTTGTGGTTCCTTCTTCTCTCCCTGCCTTCTTTCCTTCCTTCCTTCTTTTTCTTGCATTGTCTTTGTCTAGTTTTGGTGTCATGGGAATGCTGACCTCACAAAATGAGTTGGAAAATTCTCCAACTCATTTTGAAAGAGTTTGTATAATATTTGTGTTATTTTTCCTTAAATGTCTGATAGAATTTATCATTAAGCCATCTAAGTCTGGAATTTGTTTTGTTTGCAACTTTTAATTACAAATCCAATTCCATAATAGATATAGAAGTTTTCAGATTTTCTATTTCTTTTTAAGTTAAGTTTTGGTAATTTCTGTCTTTCAAGAAACTTTTCCATTTCACTGAGTTGTCAAATTTTTTGGGAAAAAGCTATTTGTAAAATCCCCTTATTATCCTGCTAGGATCTATGTTGATGTACCTTTTGAGTTCCTGATATTGGTAATTGTGTCTTTATTCTTTTTTTTTTTTTGCCTTGATCAGTCTGGTTAGAGATTTATTATTTTTTTCCATCTTTTGGTTTTATAGATTTACTCCATTTGTTTTCTCTCCTTCTAGTTCATTGATTTCTATTCACTAATAATTCCTCCCTTCTCCTTCTTTTGGGTTTATTTACTCTTCTTTTTTAAGCTTCTTCAGGTGGGAGCTTACATTATTGATTTTAACCCTATCTTTTTTCTAATATAAACATTTAAAGCTATGCATTTCCCTTCAGGCACTCTCTTAGCTACATCCCACTCATTTTAATATACAGTGTTTTCATTTTTATTTGGTTCAAAATGTTTCTTATTTGCCTTGTGATTTCTTATTTGATCCATGTGTTATTTATAATGACTTTAATTTCCAAATATTTAGAAATTTTCAAAATATCTTTCCGTTACTGATTTCCAGTTTAATTCTGTTGTAGCCAGAGGTCATACTCTGCATAATTCAATCTCTTAAAAATTGTTGAGACTTTTTTATGGCCCAGCATGTGATCTGTCTTAGTGAATGCTCCATGTGTGCTTGGATAATGTGTATTCTGCTGTTGTTGGGTGGAGCATTCCTTAAATGTCAATTAAGTTCAGTTGGTTGATAGCACTGCTGATATTCTTACTGATGGTTTAAATCATTTTTATAATGTGTTCTTACACAAACGAGATTGTGTATATTACAAGAAAAATCAGATGATCCAGATGTAATAGGGTACCTGAGAAGGCAGAGACTCATTAGTTTTTTTTTAATCAAGAGAAGTGGGATCATAAAATCATCTTGAAGCAGATCCCTCAGTTAACTGAGAATACCTTGAATGGCCTTCTTAATCAGGCTATTAATCAGAAGGTAGAGCCAGAAGGCTTCGGTCTTTGGGGTTCCGGTGTAGATAGTCACTCCCTTAGATCTCTTGCAAATTGAGTAGGTACAGAGCAGGGATGACTACTTGGGTAAAAAGCCTTTAGAAGATAGTATAGTACTCTGCCTGATTAAGGAGGTCATTGGAAGGATTTCTCAATTAACTACAGGATCTGCTTCAGTTGCAGGGTGGATAAGGTGGTTCCATCTGAGTCTCCAGGGCAGGAAAGGGCCATGAGACCCATGGAATGATCTTATGGAGAAGGGTGGCCTAGCCAGGTGAGCTGGGAGGGCTTGGAGGCAAGCCTGGTTTTGAGGCCCCCTGCTTGGGTGAGTGAACAGGTCACACCCCCACTAGATGTGGGTCTGGTTCTCAAGGAGGTTACCATGCGTGTGCACAGATAAAATATTCACAAACTCTGAGACTCACGAACCTGGGAAATCTAAACTTCTTGTCCTCTATAGCAGGGGTCCCTAACCCCTGGTACCAGTCTGTGGCCTGTTAGGAGCCGGGAGGCACAGCAGGAGGTGAGCTGCGGGTGAGTGAGCTTTACTGCTAGAGCCCCGCCTCCTGTTAGATCAGCAGAGCCCTTAGATGCTCATAGGATTGCGAACCCTGTTGTGGACTGCGCATGCGAGGGATCTAGGCTGCACGCCTTATGGGAATCTAACTAATGCCTGATGATCTGAGGTGGAACAGTTTCATCCCAAAACCATCCCTCCCCATCCCCATCTCCTGTCTGTGGAAAAATTGTCTTCCACGAAACGTCCCTGGTGCCAAAAAGTTGGGGACTGCTGCTCTATAGGACCAAAGTTCCTGACTCTCACCTTCATGATGGTGGAAACAGAAACACAACATGAATGCTGGTGACTGAAGGGACCCCCCGCAGAGTGCAGTTTCATGAGAACTGACCCTGCCAGGGAGGGCAGCGGCGACAGGGCAGCCATTCACTGAGCCCTTGTTACAAGCCAGGTACCGGCAGGCAGGTGAGTCAGTTCTTACCATGATTGGGCAAGATGAGTCCTATTGCTGTACCCATTTTAGCTTCAAGGAAGTAGAGGCTCAGAGAGTCTAGGAGATTGCTTCCTGTCCCACAAATAGAGTGGAGTTTGAATCCCAGACAATCCAACTGTAGAGTTCATGCTCTTCAAGCTGGAGAGGTGGCCCAATCGCGGAGGTACTCGATTGCCAGGCTAGGGAGATTGGACTTTATTCTGAAGGCAATGGCAGGCATGGAGAATTCTGGAGCAGAGCCAGAAGGATCCCTCTGGCAGCTGGGTGGAGGGTGCCTTGCAGTGAATGGTTAGTTAGGAAGCTGTTCAAGACAGAAAGAATCACAGTTAAACCCAAATCAGCCCTAAGCACCAGAGATGAAAGTCTGAGGGGACTGAGGATAGTGTGGGGAAGAAGAAATTTCATCCAGTGTTAGAAATGGGCAGAGAGGTGGTTGGATGGAGAGATGGCAGACGGCATTAGAGGCATAGTGTGTGAGCGTCGGGGTGGGGGTGAACCTCTTTCCTCTGGCTCCTTGGTAAAGCCCAAGGGGAACAGGAGAGAAAATTCTGGACTAGAAATCAGGAGCCCAGGGTCCCAATCTTACCCTTGCCATGGGATTCACTGTATGACCATGGGCAATTTGCTCCCCTTCCCTCAGCCTCGGTTTCCCCATATGTACACTTTGCAGGGTTGGTGTGAACAGTGCCTGAGACCTGTTTTGCAAAGGGGAGAGCCCCATAACTGGTCTTTCCATTTCTGCTCCTGGTCCTTCTAATCCATCCCCCGAGGGTGGCCAGACGGAGGTTTAAAGTTAATTGCATCAAATGCCTGCACTGGTTTCCCTGCCCTGGCCCCTGCCTCCTGCTGCCTGGCTCCACTATGTTCTTAAAACCTACCGCTGGCTTTCACTGTACTTAAAAAATGTCCAAGCCCTTTCAATGGCCTTCAAGGCCCTGCGTGATCTGACTCCCGTTCACCTCCGGGATCTCATTTTCTCTCTCCCTCCTGGTCCTTCACTGCATTCCAGTTATGCTGGCCTTCTTTTCAGTTTCTCACAACTCACCCAGCTCTTTCTTATCTCTGAGCAATTGCTGTTCCCACTGCTTGGAATGCCCTCCCCCTGTATCAGTTATCAGTCTCAGTTAACTGCTGGGTAACAAAACACTCCAAAACCTAGTGACTTGAAACAACAACCATTTGTGGTTTCTTGGGAGGCGGTGGGTGGGCTGGGCAGCTCTGCCGATTTGGTGGCACTGGTGGATCTCGGTTGGTCTTGGCTAGTTCACTCAAGCATTTGCAGGCAGCTGCGGGTGGAGCAGGTGGTTCTGTGGATCTTGATCTCGGCTGGGCTCCCTCACGTGTTGGTGGTTGATGGACAGTTGGTTGGTCTGGGCTAGTCTTGGCTGGGGTGACTTAGATAACCAGGCTTCTCTTCCATGTGCCTTTCCTTCTCCCTAGCAGGCCTGCTGGGGTGAAGGCAGGAGTCCAAGGAAAAAGGCAGAATCCTGAAGCATGTTTTCAGCCTCTGTGTGGGTCATTTCCTAACATCCTACTGCCCAAAGAAAACCACATGGCCAGGGCCAGAGTAAAGGGTGGGGAAACAGACTCTGCCTCTTTTTTTTTTTTTTGAGACAGGGTCCTGCTCTGTTGCCCAGGCTGGAGTGCAGTGGTGCAGTCATGGCTCACTGCATCCTTGCCCTCCTGGGCTCAAGCGATCCTCCTGTCTCAGCCTCCTGAGCTGAGACTACAGGCGTTTGCCACCATGCCTGACTAATTATTTTTTCTAGAGATGGGGGTCTCTGTATGTTGTCCAGGCTGGTCTCGAACTCCTGGGCTCAAGTGATTCTCCTGTCTCAGCCTCCCAAAGTACTGGGATTACAGGCATGAGTCACTGCGCCTGGTGCTAGACTCTGCCCTTTTAGTGATAAGAACCAGCTATAAGATCACTGGGCAAAAGATCTGGACACAGAGAAAGGAGAAAAATTGGGGTATATTTATCTCTGCCTCCTTCTTTCTACCTAGTGCCTTCTCATGCATTGATGCCTCCTTGGAGGAGCCCTCCCTGACCATTCTGAGGGCAACAGTTGTTCCCTGGTTTTTCTCAGCCACAGCCCTGCTCTGCTTGGACCACCTTTGTCCCAGAATGCAAAGTAAGTGTTCAGCAAATATTTCTACGTCAACTAATAAACCATCACAATTCTTGGGGAAAGAATGACACTGTGCCCGTGAGTGGTCAGTCCCCTCCCTTTAAGTGCCACATCCCAGAAGTGCAGCCTCATAGAAAGCAGCTACCACATCAGCCTGTCCCCTGTCCCCTGTCCCCAGAGGAACCCTAGACCCTGAGGCTGCCCTTGCCATTAGAAATGAGGTTCTCAAGACTGGCTGAAAGCTTGTTGACCTAGTGGCCATGCCCTTGCTGGGAAGTCGCACTGCTCTGGTAGAGAGGGTCAGGCCATTCTGTCCCAGGAGACCCACAGGGCTTGCTCCATTGTCCTTCACTCTTAAAATAGATTTTATAACCATGCTGCTGAGTGAAGACCTCCAGAGTCTCAGAACTCAGGTCAGAGCCTGAACTCAGGTCTGAAGCCCTGTGAGGTCAAGGTGGACTGGGGCTACACAGTGGGATATGGACAGGACAGGCCTCAGGGCCCCGCCTCTACCTCCCAGCTGTTTCCACCTACCCAGTCCCCATAGGACTTCTCTGTCCCTTTGTGTTGTGGCTGTAGTGGCATCTTTCTAGATGCCTGTCTGCTTGCTGTTTGGGGCAATGTATTGGGAGCAGGATATAAAACCGGGACCTCCTTCATTCTCCCCAACACGAATGTCTATAGTAGTAATAATAATAAGAATAACCACAGCAACTACTATTGGCTTGGCATCACTACATGTAAGACATTTTGCATGCCTGGACTTACGTAATTCTCACAGTGATCGTGAGACTTGGTAACATCATCATCCCGTCTTCCAGATGAGAAACCAGACAGGGCGAAGGGTGTGCCTGAGGTTGCCCCACTAGGAGGTGGCAGAGCGAGGATTCAAACTCAGGTCTGATGCCAAAACCAACACCTTCCTCCACCACCAGGCCCAGGTTGCCCCTCAGCCTCCCCTCCAGCAGCCACACCTCTGAGTGGCTGCCCTTCCCTCCCTGCCCCTCAGCCCTGTAGGACCTGCATCTGCGTAAAACACTCGTGGGCTCTCTTTCTGCCACCTGAGTCACTAAGCATCTGCCCTGGCTGGCCTCCTGGTGTCTGGGCTGGGAGCAGGCCTGGCTGCTGGTGCAGGGCCGGGAGAGCCACGTGCAAGCTACAAGTGTTGTCCTGCCAGGGGCCTTTGTCTCCCCCATAATGGGACCCAGCGCTCTCTCCAGGCCCCTGAGAGCCTGAGAGGCTGTGGGCCAAGGCCTTGGCAGAGCGGCCGGCTGAGGGCACTGAGTGGAAGCAGATGTGCCTGGGCTGCCTTTGGCCCGCTGCCCAGAAGAGCCTTTCCATCTGGAGCCCTCGGGCTTGGGGAGGATGCTCCGACTGTGAGAGCCGTGTGGGGACCGGACTCACACGAGGCTGCCTTGGACCAGAATATTTTAATCTGTTTGGTTTAAGAAAGAAACAAAGCCTCCATTTTTGTTGTGTGTGCCAGAGCTGGTTCTGAGCCAATGGTGGTGAGAGATTGACACCCAACCTCTGATACAGCTTATGCATGGGGAAACTGAGGCCTAGTGAGGGCGGAAGGACTTCCACAAGGTCACCTAGCATTTTGTGAACGTGGACATGCTATACCAATTAGAGTGACAATTGGGGCAGATCTGGGAGGGGTCCCCAGCCTTCCTAGAGCAAGGTACGTGTGGGCATCTTTCTTGTCTAGCCTGGGTGTGGGTTGCAGAGCCATGAGATTTTCTGGAAGGGAATCCCCTGCCACTCCAGGGAGGGGAGAGATAGCTAGTGTCCTCCTGTTCTGTCAGACTAAGTCCTACCGCAGAGACAAAGGGCTCCTTCACCAGTTACTGTCAAAACTGACATCTTCAGGGAGGGAGGGGACCCTGCCTTTCTCCAGTGATCCTGCTCGTGGGGTCTTTTGAGAGAGACAGCTCTGAACTGAGATTGGGAGCCCTGAGTTCAAGTCTGGAATCTGCCTCTGACATGCTTTGTGACATTCGGCAAGCTGCTTCCCCTCTCTGAGCTTCCTTTTTTTCCATCTGCAAAATGGGGATAATTGTATCCCAATGTCTTCTGGGATAGCAAGAGTACACTTTGAAAATCTAGTCCCTCATCCATTTCTTGAGGGTGTCCAAAATCAGCCCTTTGAGGTGGGAGGAGCAATATTCTCACTGCCTGGAAGGGAATGGACAGCTCAGAGAGGTGAAGTGACTTGCTCAGACACACAGCATCCGTGGATCAATGCTGTGGGGTTGGAAGGGTTTCCTGATTCCTAGTTCTGTGGTCATCTCCTCTCCGTGAGACCTGATGTCCTCTGCCAGACCACATAGAGACAGCAGACATGGCCTTCGGTGGGGTCCTCCACCACCCCTCATGGAGAAGCCGAAAATGAGGGCAAGGGCCAAAGCATTGAGACTTGCTTCACCTATTGGAATGGGGTCCTGAGGATCGATGCGACACATGGCCTGCAAGTTGCCTGCAGCATGCCTGTTGGAGGGTGAGGTCAGCCAGTCTCTGCTTGCATAGCTCTCGGACAGGAAGCTTACTATTTGCTCAGGCAGCCTGTCTCATCCCAGCGACTGTGAGAAAGCATCCTCGGCCTGGGCTGAAACCTGACTCCTCTTCAAGGTCACTCCTGTTCCCCAACCCCCAAACTGTGCACATTCTGCTCCCCAGCCTGGGGTGGCCCACAGGCCCTAAAAATGGGCGAGCCTGGGGCTGCCTGGATTCGAGAACTTACAGCTCTCCCAGTCTCCCCTTCCTCTCACTTGACCCCTGATGCGGAACAGCCTCCTTTCCTGAGGCTCTGATTACCCTGGAGCAGGCAGGCGGAACCTTTCTCCTCCACCCCTGGCAACACTGCTGGGCAAGCACACCACATCCTGCTCGTCCTACTGGAAGATGCCTCCCTCTGCATTGGGGAAGGGATGAGACTTCCGGGCCAGGCCAGCAGGAAGACTCACTGGTCCAGAAGTCAGAACACCTGAGTCACTTGACATGCACTCTCAGATGAGCTGCTGCACTGCTCTGTGCCTCAGCCGCTTTCATCTGTAGAATGGGATGGTCATGATGCCTGGCCAGCAGGGCCCATGGAGCTTGTATAAAACCTGATGGGAGGGGAGGTTGCAGTAAAAGCCTTGGAGATGAAAACACTGGACACAGGTGAGGATTGTGTGGAGCAGAAGCATCTCACCCAGTTGAGATTCTGGACAAATCAGAGCCTCCCTGTCTCTCCGCAGCTGTGAACACCTACCTACCCCGCCAAGGCCTCCTGCAGCTGTGGACAGGTCCCTCTCTGCTGGGTCCCTCTCTGCTGGAAACTTCACAAATCCCTGGGGCCCAGGGCTGCTTTGGGGAGGGACAAAGCCGTGGGATGAATAGGGTAGGAAATTGATGTTCTCCTGATGGCAGTTTAAAACATTTTTAAAATATTGAAACAAACATGGATTTATGATGAAACAGGAGAATTTGACATGAATTTGGAAGTGAACACATGAGGCTGAGGAGACTTAACGCAATTGCAGGCTTTTGCCTCACTGTGCTCTGCCACACACCCTGCCTCCTGTTCCCTCCCATCCCCTCTGTCCCTGCTCCTTCCCACCCACCCCCTGGTGTGGGCTATTCTCTTTCTGCAGTACAGAAACTTTAGGAAGACGGTCTGTGTGGCCCTGTGATGGAACAGGTCAACCCAACCCATCACATTTCTGATTAATGACCCCCAGGCCCTCTCCTCTACAAATTCTACCCTTCTTATTGATTACAAACATACTCTTCAAAAACCTTGGTGAAATGTCCAAGCTCGTTTTCCTTCCTTAGAAATGGCAGTTGTTGTTGCTGTTGTCATCATAACCTTCATCACCTTCTTGTGTAGGCGGGTATTAGAATCTGCTTTTCTGAAAAACATGGGCCTGAGCCTGTTTGACTCATGGTCTCAACCTTGAAAGGCTCAAATTCAGAGAGGCTTATGGGGTTCCTCAGGCCACCTCTTACCGGACTCTGTTCACTTGCACACAGGTCCCCTGGAGTCATTGGAATGCAGGTTCCTACTCGGAGGCCTGGGTTTCCAACAATCTCCCAGGTGAGTCAGTGCTGCTGGTTCTGAGACCAACTTGGGCCCCAAAGGCAGTTGGTGATGGAGCTGGGCCTGGCGCCAGCCTCCTCTACCATGATAGCCTGCCCACCCTCCTACCACCTGCCATCAGGGTGACCTGGAAAGCACTGGGGGGCCATAGACAAGTCTCAGATAGTTCTGCATCAGAAGAACCAGGCCTCCTCTTGCTATCTGTGTAAATAATTATTGGGAGGCCGAGGTGGGAGGATCACTGGAGGCCAGGAGTTGGAGACTAGCCCGGACAATATAGCAAGACCCCATCTCTAAGAAAAAAAATTAAAAATTAGCTGGGTGTGGTGGCTCACACCTGTAGTCTCAGTTGCTGGGGTGGCTGAGGCAGGATGACTTGAGCCTAGGAATTTGAGGCTGCAGTGAGCTATGATTGTGTCACTGCACTCCAGCCTGGACAACAGAACAAGACCCTGTCTTAAAAAAATTAGAAAATCAACATTCATAACCTCCAATGTGATGAGTGATTCAGGTGAGAATCATCAGTGCATGTGAAGAGATCATGGAATGCCAGTGGTTGGGGAACAAGATATTCACAATTTTGAAGTATCACTCCAGAGATTTTGTATTCCCTGCAGACGGGGTGTGCATTGAGCATGGCAGGGCCGGGCAGCCAGCACCTCCCCAAAGCAGTCAGGCTGGCCCTTGTCCATGTGATGTGGGCTGACAGGATGTGCTGCCCTTGCTGGAAAAGTTCGGCCTGAAGCTAACCTGGGAATCGTGGGATATTATGCAGGACATGTGGCCTGGATTGTTCAAAAGATTTAGTGTCATGAGGAGCAGAGTGAGGGGGTACACACCAGCCAAATGCCAAATGCCATGCATGACACTTGACAGGATCCTGGATTGGAAAAATAAATAGCAGCATGTTTTGGAGCAACTGGTGGAATGCGAGTGTGGACTTTGTGTTGGGTGATGTTGCCCAATGCTGATTATCCCTGGTGTGGCACTGGTGTGAGATTGCGTAGGAGGATGACCTTGGTCCTGAGAGATGGAGAGGTATCTGGGGGTGAAGTATCATGATGTCTGCAGCTTAATTTTGGATGGTTTGGCAAAAGAGCGGGAGGAAGAAGAGAAATAGAGAGAGAGAGAGAGCTCGATGGAGGGGATACAGTAAGATGTTAATGGTGGATCTCAGATAGGGGTATTCTTTCAACTATTCTGTGCATTAGAAAACCTTCCAAATTAGAAAAACACACACACACACACACACACACACACAAATGCAAATAGGCTGGGCATGGTGGCTCACGCCTGTAATCCCAGCACTTTGGGAGGCCAAGACGGGCAGATCAGGAGGTCAGGAGTTCAAGACCAGTCTGGCCAACATGGCGAAACCCCATCTCTACTAAAAATACAAAAAAAAAAAAAAAAAGCTGGGCAGGGTGGTATGTGCCTGTAATCCCAGCTACTCAGGAGGCTGAGGCAGGAGAACTGCTTGAACCTGGGAGGCGAAGGTTGCAATGAGCCAAGATCATGCCACTGCACTCCAGCCTGGGCGACCGTGCAAAACTCTGTCTCGAAAAAAAAAGAAAATAATTGTGAAAGAAAAAGGCATGGAAAAGCCATAATCTTTGCTGAAATCTACAATACAAAGTCAGAACTTGTATCCTGTGGCAGAAAAACGTCCTAACAATCCTCTTTCCCCAACCTCCACTCAAAGCTTTGCTTACCACAGAAGCTGCTCCTCATAAGACCCCTCTTTTCCCTCTCTTTCTCTCCCTGCAAAGCTGCAAGTACTTGTGTCAGTAGCCCTCTGCGTCCTACACCTCCCCTGGCACCCCTGCCCTGGCCCCCAGGCCTTTCTTTGTGGGGTATCCCAGTCTTTCTCAACACCTGTTTGGCAGCTAGGGGCACAGGTTCACAGGTGGGACGCCTGGTGTGATGTCTCACTCTGGCATTGACATGCTGGGTGGACTCAGCCAGATTATCTAACCTTTCTATGACTCAGTTTTCTCATCTGTAAAATGGGGCAGAACATCAGCATCTACCTAAGAGTGTTGTTGGGAGGATTAAATGTCCTAACACCCCCGGAGCACGGGGCAGAGAGTAATTGCTCATGAATGACACAACTGTCCAAGGTAGGTTGCCCAGCCCAAGGCCTTGTCTTTTTGGGACAACTGGCTAAATGAGATCCAGCTCCCACTGTGGCTTCCCAGGCATCTCTATTCATGCCACGGTGGGGAGATGGACGCCCGTGCTTGCTTTATGTCCCTGGGCCTCTTCCTCCTCCAGCACACGGTATGACAGCACCAAGCCACCACCTTGACCTTGGGCATGGACGCAGCTGGCTGTGGCCACTGGGTGGAAGCATTCAATTGCAGATGCTCCAAGTTTTCCCTTGCTCTCCTCCTGGCCTGGTACCCAGGGGCCACGCCCAGCCAGCATGGAGTTGACTCTGTATGAGAAATATATCTTTATGGTTTGAAGCCTCTTGGATTTAGCAGTTGTTTTGTTTCCAGTATAACCTTATCTATTCCCACTGATAAAACAGGGTTGCCCTGTCCCATGCTAAGGCTCCTTGGAATGCTCATCTAGATGAGGGTCAGTCTTAACTGCAACTTTCCAAGCATCTCTGAGTCCCAGCCAATGCCCTCACTGCGTTAGAAACCTCCATGCTTAGCTCCGCCGGCCTCCGCAGCCCCCTTGCCCTGGCCAAGGGCCACTCTGAAACATGATAACAGAGAGGGCTGCCTCGTTTCCCCAAATATAGGCTCTTATCAGCCTCATTCGCCCTAGGACATTTGGTCATTGTCTTAGTCTAGACATCAAAATTAAAATCTCTTATGAGCTCATATTCTGGGGAAGTTGGGTCAGGCTGTGTCCGGGCCAAAATTCCTCTGCCTCCGGCCCAGCTGCTGCTACAGCAGAGCTGAAGCTTGTTGGAAGGGAAACTAGGGATGCGGGACGGAGCCTGGAGGGAGAGCCAGAAAGCTGGGCTCTGCTTCTCAATGTGTGATCTTGGAGAGTCACTTTTTGTCTCTGGGCCAAAGATGAAATGAACTTGCCTTTTCCTGCCTTGGGGCCTTTGCACAGGCTGTTCCCTCTGTCTGAAGCTCTCACCACCTCCCTTCCTCTTCACCTGGTTAACTCTTGCTCAGCTATCACATCTCAGCCTAAAATACAGGGTCACTGTGCTCAAGGAAACTTGAAGACCTGCTGCCTTCAGCGCAGACAGCTTCCTTTAATTGTGTCGAGAGACTGTCTCCTTGCTAGGCTCAGAGCTCCACAAGAGTGAGAATCTGTCTGTTTACCTCTCTGTGACTCAATTAAGGCTTGCTGAAGGAACGAGTGAGGTGCATCAATCTGCTCCACGAGAGCCTACAGCTCCCTGGCACTTGGCAGGAGCTGCAAGAGGGCCCCCCTCGTCTCTTTTCTGCTCCCTCTTCCTGCTTGCTGGCGGGTTGGAAATCCTTGGCAAGGATTAAGTGTGTCCTGAGTGACTTGGCCCTTTGCTGCCTCCTGGCGTCCACTTCCAAGATAGCCGTCCCCAGATGCTTCTCCCACTCGTGGAGGAAAACTGAGTGTGGCTTCCATGTGCTGTGATCTCGTTCATTTCCAACAGTAGCCTTGTGAGAGAGGAATGATCATCCCCTGTTTGACAAATGAAGAAGGTCCACATTTGTTCATTTGTTTGTGGAATAATGACTGAGCACCTATTATTTGCCAGACACTTTGTTGGGAGCTGGTGCTTCGCTGATGAACGGCAACGCGCTGCCTCATGGAGCTTACGTTCAGGTCTGCAATAGGGAAGGCAGATAGTAAACAAGTGAACAAACGTTTTGTGTGGGCCGGGCGCGGTGGCTCATGCCTGTAATCCCAGCACTTTGGGAGGCTGAGGCGGGCAGATCACTTGAGGTTAGAAGTTCGAGACAAGCCTGGCCAACGTGGTGAAACCCCATCTCTACTAAAAATACAAAAATCAGCCAGGTGTGGTGGCGCACACCTGTAGTCCTAGCTACTCGGGAGGTTGAGGCAGGAGAATTGCTTGAACCTGGGAAGTGGAGGTTGCAGTGAGCCAAGATCGCACCACTGCACTCCAGCCTGGGCGACAGAGCAAGACGCCGTCTCAAACAAAACAAAACAAAATCCATTGTGTGTGTGTGTGCACAAGCACACTCAAGATGCCAGGGGACAGTGGCTGGGCTTTGGTGGTCCAGATGTTAACTGACTTGTACAAGATCACAGAGATGCAGCTAGATTTGAACCTGGTAGTAACAATTGTAGCTAATAACTCTATAAGCCCTTGCTCTGCCATGTGCTGCTGAACTCAGCGCTTTTTACATATATGCTACAACAGCCCTACTATTATCCTTGTTTTGCACATGGGGAAATAAAGCACAGAGAGGCTAGGTAGCTTGCCCAAGGTCACTCAGCTGCTCAGTGGTGGAGCTAGGACTCAATCCAGGCAATGTGGTTCCAGAGCCTGCCCTTTAACACTGTAAGACAAAATTTAGAAGTTTTGACATCCAGGGCCTTGGGGATGGTGGCCACAAACCCAGTGTGCTACTCTCCTCCCAGCCCAGCCAAGTAGACCATCCTGGACAGTCTCCTGCCCTCAGATCTTCCAAGATGACTGTATAGCCTCCTGTCCCATGAGTTGGAAAGGATGGGGAGGAGAGGGTGCTGTGGAGGGCCCCTATCCTCAGGAATCCTGATGGGCTAGCCGTGGGGACAGAACCAACCCACACTGGGCTGTGAGGTGGGAGGCTTCCCCTCCAAGAAGGCAGGAAAGGCTTCTTGGAGGAGGTGAGGGGTGAGGTGGGCCTGGAAGGTTGAGTGGGATTCAGACGTACAATTCAGTGGGAGCAGAAGAAGCCAAGGGAACGGCAGGGGCGGGGGAGAGGGTGGCGCCAAGGCTTGGAAGGAGGAAAAATGAGGCTGCATCAGGACCCGAAGCTTCCGGGCTTCTTCCCCAGGCTGGGGAGCTGTTGCAGGCATCCAGGTGAGAGGGGAGGGGCAGCCAGGGGGCGGAGATGAAACCAAAGGTGGCCAGGACCCAGGTGGGCTTCAGAATCACGTGCCCCCACCCCCAACTTTAATTTCTCCAGCTCCCCCCTCATTCACCCACCCCTTGCTGCTGCTTGATTGCCCCAAACACAGCACTGCCCCAGGAGTGCCTAGACCCTCCCCGTCCACATCCGCCTGCCTTGAGCCCTCACTTCCTTCCTGTCTCTGCTGAAAGGTCACTTCATACAGAGGTCTTCCCTGACCACCAGCAATACTGTATTGCTGGTGGTTACAACACCTTCCACACGCTGTACATTTCCCTGTGCTTGGCTTAGCGCACAGGTGGCTTAGCGCTTGGCAGGCCTTCCACGCATAGTTTTTGGCTGTGGGCAGCTGCTTGGCCGAGTCCTGAACAATCTTCAGCTGCAGCTTTATGTCCGTCATCTTGGCTTCCTCGGAAGCTCAGTCATCTGTCATCCCTGAGACAGACCGTTGGAAGGCTCGGGATGGGGGAGCCAACAATGCAGACACATACGCATGCACATGTTGTGCACACAGACACACACACACATATCTACACATGGGCATGAATCATATGCACACACATATGCCCATACACATACAAAGCCATGCACACATACATATGCACAACACATACACAAATGCTCACACGCATGAGCACAACACACGTGTGCACACAAGGCATGCATATCTGTATATAGGTGTGCACATGTGAGCACACCCATGTGAGCAAATATACATGTGTATACCATGCCCACATATGTATACATGCACATGTACACATTGCACACACACACACACACACACACACAATACATATATAGGCATCATATGCGTACACCACGACATGCATGGACATACGTATACTTACACATGTGCCCACATACATGCACGTACATGCATTTCTGACACCTTGACTCTCACCTTCTCCATTCATCAGAGTGGTGACCACGTTGTCCCAGGATCTGGCACAGAGACTGGCTCAGCTATCTACGGCCACAGCCAGATCACCAGAGCTCTGGGGTTGTAGCTAGGTGACGCCACCGATCCTCTGCTACCACCTTGTGGCCACTTCCCAAATGGCACCAGTCAGTGGCTGAAGCCTTTCCCTGGTTCTTGTCCCAGCTAAGCTACCGGGCCCAATCCACAGGGCTCCTGGGAAACGTGTAGTCATCCCTGAGCCTTGTGCCCCACCCTAGGACAAGTGGATGGCTTTGCTAGGTGCTGTGGGTAATGAGTGGGGCCTGGAGTAGGATGCAGGCCTGACCTCTCCACTGCTCCGTTAATCCTCTCTGTCCCACTCTGCTGCACCCAATACCTCCAGGACTTCTCAGGGCTGACTCCTGTGCCTGGAGCGCCCCACTCCCCAGTGCCCCACTGCCCAGCGAGCTCCTTGAGGGCAGAGCCCTGACTGTGCTCATCTCCAGTACAGACGGATGCTCCATGAATGTGGGAGGGAGGAAGGGAGGGAGGAAAGGAGAGAGGAAGGGAAAGAAGGAGGGGGTGAGAGAGTGAGAGAGGATTTCCTCACTGGACTTCCTCAGTTTGAGCTCTGAAAGTCCCATGTCCCAGGAAACCCCTCAGGCCTGAGCAATCTCTCCCGTTGGTCATCCTCCTACAGCTAATGCTGGTAGGAAGTGGTGGGGGCAGGGTGGGGCACTGAGAGAATTCAATAAAACAAAGTGTGGAGGGGGCCTGCCTGGATTGGTGGTGAAGGTGCGCCTGGAAATGAGAATTAATGAACTCCATTGTTTGTGCCTAAGCTGTGAGCCGTACACAAGCCACAGTATCTGCACAATCTTACCAGGGAAAAGTCTCCTGAGGATGTAGAGGCAGAAAAAAAGCCTGGGCCATGACCCATGCTTTGCTCCCAAGGTTACTGCTTCCCTCTCTGCTCCCCCCAAATCATCCCCCTTAAATAAACACGGAGAGTCTAATGCCAGCCCTCTACGTGCCTGGAGAACGGACCAATGTGAGAACTATGCTTCAGACTAGGAGCAAAATCTTTTTCCATCAAGAGACGTGGGCTGTGCCAAAAATAGAGCTTCAAGACCCTATTAGGGGGTAGTTCTCAAACTTGATATGGCATTAAAATAAGAGAGGGCTTCTGGGCAGACCCACCAGAGGTTGTGACTCAGCACATTTCAGGATGGGCTTCAGGATTCAGGTGGTTCTCATGCAGGGGTTAAAGGAGAAACTCTTCAATGATACTTGTTAAAAGCATGGTAACAAAGACTTTAGTTAGGACTCTTGATGTAGGTATAGGGACCATTGCAACAGGGAGACAGATTGGACTCAACTCTAAGACAGCATGGGCAGGTGGGACTTACAGCTGAGGGGCAGGGTGGGGTCAGTGGATGGAAAATTACCAAGAGGAAACCTTCAGGGTGAGGGGGATTCTGGCTAAACCTATTTAACAGGATTCTGGGGATTGTCATTGAAGGCAGGCCAGGGAGATCAGACATCTGCTGGGGGATGGTGGTGGATGAGGAACCTGATCAGATATGGAGGATGATCAGATGTCAAGGACGGGGGTTTCTGGTTACACTGACTTAGCAGGGTTCTTTTTCTAAAACTGGACTTCATAAGGAAGTGCACAGATGGGCCTAAGAGAAGGTTCAGGAGTCTGACTAAAGTTTGGCCAAGCCAAGAATCCTTGTCACAGGTGACTCCAGTACCATAAATAGAGGAACTCTTCCGTAGGGATGGGTTTAGAAAGATGGCATCACACTGATCTGAGTCACCTTGAAGGGGCACGTGACCAGGGCATCAGTTCTGAGCCCCTTGGTGTTATGGCTTTCCCCAGGCTGGTGCCAAGGGAAGAACTGGGAGGTGGAGGCAGCCATACCCTGAACACATGTGCCAGCAGGGATAGGCACATTGTACCCTATGCCTAAGAGAAACAGAATTAGCAAACCGCTGGCCCTGCAGGGGATTAAAGGAAAGATGGTGTTTATCTGCTTATGTTATGTGACTATTTGTTTTTACCAATTTAAATGGATGTCACTGAAGCTCTGGGGTCTCCTACCATAAGGAGGAGGCTGAGTGGGGAGGAGGGGCAGCCTCTTTAGATGTCATGCCTGCATTTGCCAGGGTCTTGGAGGTAACCGACATGGGGTAACTGAGACAGAAGCCCGAAGTGCTTTCACAAGGAACTTCTGCCCAACCTTGGTCCAACGTGCATGGCAACCTCACTCAAAATACAGAGACGCAGACGATGGAGGTAGGAGGAAGTAACAGAAGAGCAGAGTTTTACTACATGGAAATTTGCTAGCAATTGGAAATTTGACCGCTATTTGCAAACGTCAACTTCCCCTCCCACTGAAGGGCTGAAGAAGCTCACCAGTCAGTGAAGAGAGAGCTGATCCATCATCTGGCCTCATGTGCAGATGAGTTAGGAAGGAAAAAACCAACATCGATGCTATGGATGAAACAATTGTAGCACAAGGGAAACGGTGGGTGAGCAAACCTCCAAAATGACCCACCACAGGTCATTTCAGCCATCCTCAGTAGAGCACAAGAAGGCAGAAAGCCTGCAAAAAGCAACAAGATGAGATGGAAAAGGAGGTAGGTGGGAGAGACAAGGACAGGTTGCAAGGAAACCAGAAAAGCACAATGACCACCCTGGTGGTAGTCACAGCAGACCTAACTGATGCCTCAGATCATTGAATTGGTGATTTGGAGGAAGAGTACAGAGGAAAAAAAATACATTAAAATGATGATTGATAATAGGATCGTTTTGAAGAAATAGGGAAGAAAGAAGAGATGACCAGTGAATGAAAAATGGTGTTCATTAATGAGAGTTCAGAACAAGAGAAACAAACATTGTAGTCAAAGAGGCAATACCAAGAAACTCTTCTGAGCTGAAAAAGGAACTGTGTGTGCAGATCAGAAGGACTCCCTACGTTCCAGGCAATGTGGTGGCAAAATTTTCAAATTAGAAAGCAAAAGGAAAAGTCCTAAAAATTATCCAGGCAGAAAAGGCAGCTATATACAAAGGATGTGGGGAGGAAGGGATGGAGAGCAATCCTAAATGGCCAACTGATAGGGGCAAACATGCATATCGGGCTTACTACGTCCAGGCATAAACTAAGTGCTGTGCACACATTCGCTCATTGTATCCTCCACATAACCCTATGAGATAGGTGCAGTTATCATCATCTCTGCTAACAGATCAAGCTGAGACACAGAGAAGTTAAGTAATCCGCCCAATGTCACACAGCAGATGGCGGAGCTGTTATTTGGCCATAGGCAGCCTAGGACTTTCATCTGTGCTTTTCCAAACTACTTCACTCCACAGCCATTATCAGACCACGGCAAAGCGTCTAAGAAGTTTGAAAATGTTGTAAAGCAAGAATTCTAGACCTAGCCAACTTGTCATTTAAGTAAGAAAGCAAGATAAATTTATTCTCAGATATGCAACAGCTCAGAAAATATACTACCTCTGTACCTCTTTTTTAAAAAATTACTGGAAGAAGTACTCCAAACTATTGAGGGATGAAACAAAATTAAGAGCACAGGCATGAAGAAATCATGATATAAAAAGAACTGGCGGATGGGCGCGGTAGCTCATGCCTGTAATCCCAGCACTTTGGGAGGCCGAGGAAGGCGGATCACCTGAGGTTGGGAGTTTGAGACCAGCCTGACCAACATGGAGCAACCCCATCTCTATTAAAAATACAAAAAAATTAGCCTGGCTTGGTGACACATGCCTGTAATCCCTGCTACTCAGGAGGCTGAGGCAGGAGAATCGCTTGAACCCGTGGGCGCAAGTTTCAGTGAGCTGAGATCCCACCATTGCACTCCAGCCTGGGCAACAAGAGCAAAACTCCATATCAAAAAAAACAAAAACAAAAACAAAACAACAACAACAAAAGAACTAGCAACAACACTAATTTTAGTTAAAACAGACAGAATTTTAAATTATTATAAATCTGGCCATAACAGAATACAAAAAGTCCAAATGTATAATTATAAGGGCAGTTATATGACAAAAGGCCAATAATGTAACAATTATAACCTGGATCCCAAAACCTCAGATGATATCAACAAAGTTCAAGAAGAAAAGAAGGGAGACAAACTAACTTCTCATCTCAAATGGGGGAAAGTGCACAACATCGTAACAACTAGAGAATGCCACTGAAATGCTTACAGGTCTTCATTAGTCACATAACGCCAGCATATATTTTTTCTAAAACATTAGTGAACATAAAATTGAAGTAAACAAGATCTGTTTAGTTTTCTAAAAAGTGCAAAGCAGACAGGCAACCCCACACCCACACAGAGAGGTGTGCAGTTTGCCATGTACGTTGATTGATGTAGGATGGCAGAACTGTCCCCCGGGGGCACTGCCACAGCAACCTTCTCCTGCCTCCTTCTCCTGCCCCCCCAGGACTTGACCTCCCAAAAGTGCTGCATTGTTGCCAATGCCAATGTTCTCATTCTTCAACTTTTTTTTTTTTAAAGACAGTGTCTTGCTCCGTTGCCCAGGCTGGAGTGCAGTGGCACGATCTTGGCTCACTGCAACCTCCGCCTCCCAGGTTCAAGCCATTCTTCTGCCTCAGCCTCCTAAGTAGCTGGGACTACAGGCGTGCACCACCACGCCCGGCTAATTTGTGTATTTTCAGTAGAGATGGGGTTTTGCCATGTTGGCCAGGATAGTCTCGAACTCTTGACCTCAGGTGACCCACCCGCCTCGGCCTCCCAAAGTGCTGGGATTACAGGCATGAGCCACTGCACCCGGGCTCATTCTTTAATTTTTGTGCACCTTTTGAAGGTTAGAGAAGGACAGTGTCCTGGCTGGCATGGCCCTGATGCCAGTGTCCTGGCTGGCATGGGCCCTGGGTTGGGGAATGGGGAGTGGGAGAGTTGTGAAGAATCTTCCTATTTTTTTTCTTATCCAGATGGTGCTTGGCATTAGGAACCTATAAAGTCCAAACTGAATCATGTGACTCCTTTCTTAAAGCAATTGACTGACTCCCTTTTGCCCTCGTGTTAGAGTCTGAATCCCTTCCATGTTCTCCAGAGTTCCTTCCAATCTCATCATACCTCCCGCTCCAACCTCAGTTTCCATGCTGCCTTTGACATTTATGCAGCTTCCCAAATGCTCCACGTTCTCCACTGACCTTTTTGCCTTTGCACAAGCTGCTCCCTTGGGCTGCAGTGGCCTTTCCCTCTGACCCCATCCCCACCTGGAAAACACTAATAAGATAAGGTGCAGGTGCGTGTCTCCCATGAACCCTTCTCTGATGTCTGCTGACTGGAGGAAGTCCCCTCCTGTCTCCCATCCTGTGCCACATTCTCCCTCTGGTCATTCACTACACATTTCCTGAATCTTATTTAGTTTCAGGGATGTTTAAAACCCTGGTAGCTTGGGTTTATTTCGCTGGCAGCTTAAGCCAGCCCAAAGCCATAAACTGCACTGGAAAGGACAGGTCTTCTTCACCGTGTCTCCAGGCTCAATAGCAGGTACCCCATAAACGCTTATGGAACTCAACAAAGGTGCCCTCGCTACCGTCACCAGCCTGCACCATGCCTCACTAGCAGGTAGCAGTACAGCGAGTGTCACTTGAAGGCTGAATCCCAACAGTTGGTGGTGCTGGGGTTCTGGGAGAGGCAGTTGGAAGGGAGCATGGCCTCCCACAGGGCAGCTCCAGAATGTTCTGGCCATATGACCGAGGTCTTCCAGCGCTGGCCTGTCCCTGCCTTGTCCCAGGACCACAGATCCTGCATAGTTTAATTTTGCTAAGAACATTTTAGATTCTAGGAAAGCATTTGAGGGTAAGGGAAAGGGAGGGGTGTTATCCCGGCACCAGGTAAAAGTACACAGGGGAGATGAGTAGGAAACTCTGACTGAACCTTGAAGGGCTGGGTTTACAAAATGCAAGGGCAGAACTAACACTATACAACTGGACATTCACCAGACTGTCCTTTTTCGTTTAGCATTAAAAAAACAAAAAAACCACAATGTTGCCTAAGTTGCTTTGAGAAATCTGAAAAGATCTATGCATAATCTATCTTTCCAACCACGACTCAGTGTCCCCTCTGCTTGTGGGAACTGAATGTAAAAATAATCACCAGCTTCAGGGCCTGAAAAGCCACCTCGATGGGGAGGAGGCAGGGCACAGAGGGGGCAGTGCCAGTCTTGAAAGGTAAGGTGGGCAGAAATTAGCATCCCAAACTGCCCACCACAGAAGTGGCATCCAACCGGGTTAAAAAAAGCTATTCCCAAACAGGCTCCTTCTGACGGCCTTGGAACTGATGTGCAGGCAGCCAAGTGTGTGTATTTGTGGAGTTGTAAGTAGGTCAGATATTTCTGTCGCTAATTATTACTTGCGAAAAAATATGTCGTGAGCTTGCCGCAGGGAGAGAGTATCGAAAGCAGCATTGATCTTTGGAATCTCTAGCCAGATTTATCCGTGCAGGGTTGGAATCCCAAGGACTACCAAAACAGGAAAAAAAAAATGGCCTCAATCCAGGTCTACAGGGGGCAGCTGTGGGAACTCCAGCAGGAAGGTGAGAAACCTGGGTTCCAGCCCTTGATTTTTACTTTCCTGTTCCGGGCTTCAGTTTTCCCACTAGGTTGGATTTTATGTTCTGATTTCACGAACTCCGCAGTCAACGGTGATTTTCTCAGGACCTGGGATTTCCCTTCTGTTTTAGGGATATGGGTCATTTCCTTTCTGGGAGGTATAGGCAAGAAATTCGTTCAGAAATGAGATCAAAATTTTCCGGCATTGATTATTAGGTGGGAAATTTCGCTGCACCTGGATCAGACTCACATATCTAAATATTTGCTGAGTGTTGAATATGTGTTGGACATTGTGGCAGGCATGCTGGACATACTAGAGCATATGACTCTACTCACTCCTTTGTATATATAGGGTTGGTGGCCCCTTACTGAATTTCAGTGAGTGACATGGTTTTCTCAAGGTTGCACACATAGGAAGCAGAAATGCTGAGATTAGAGCCCAGCCTGACTCCAAGTCAGTACTGTCCTTGGCTCTTTCTCTCCCTGACCAGCCCCAATAGCTGTACTCAAGTGGGCAGTAGAGAGGACAAAGATGACCCTTCCCCTCCTCTTAGATGCAAAGTCTGGATACTAGGGCAAGACACTACTCTAATTAGTTTTATTTTTACAGGCTCTGAGGCTTGTCAATGCTTTATGCAAAGTTATGCAGAATATGCAAATCAGGAGTGGCTCTGGTTGTGTTGTAACCAGGAGGGCACCTGCAATTCTCTGATCTGAAAAATTCCACCTGCAGAGCTTCCTGAGTGGGAAGTGTTGGGCTCCTGTCTGCAATGTCACGCCTCTTGAAAGTCCCTTCTGAGTAGTGCCCAGGAACTGGAATGTAAATGCCCCTGCCATATGGAGAGTATTAGCCCCAGAGACCTTGGCAGGGATGAATTCATTGGATATGAAGGTTTTTTGTTTTTGTTTTTAAAGCAGGTGGGCCTCAGTTTCCTCACCTTTATAATGAGTGAGTTGGTCTCTATGAGCTTCAAGGATCTGTGATCACCCTAAGTGTTTAGATCCCTGTATGGAGGTTTCTGGAAAGTACCATCCTCTCTCTTTTTCTTCAGCACTTTCTTATGATGCCCCCTGCCCCTCTCCAGCATTCACTCCCACTGCCCCATGTTTGTGCTTCCCCCCATGAAGTATTTGGCCTTCTGGAAGCTTCCATGCCTTTCTTACCTCCTATGCTTTGCACATGCTGTTTCTGCTCCTGGAATGCCTTTCCCTTCCTTCTCCATCTGTCTAACTCCCACTCTCCCTCCAAGCGTCAGCTCGGACATCGCCTTCTCCTGCCCGTTCCCCAGTCTAGGCCAGGTACCCTTCGTCCCCAGCCTCCTGGGTAGCACTCAGCAGCTGGTCGTTGTCCGCCTTCCCCAGCAGGCAGTGGGCTCACTGGGAACAGACACCTGTTGGTCTTCCCTGTAGACCCCCAAGCATGTGGGCCCAGGATTGTCACCAATCAACTGTCACTGGTCAACCTTTAAGGAATTAACAAATAAAAGAGTAAATGCACCCACTCCCTTTAATTTAGAATTGTCAATAAATAAATAAATAAATAAATAAAATAGGCCAGGCACGGTGTTGGCACCTGTAATCCCAGGGCTTTGGGAAGCCAAGGCAGGAGGATTGCTCGAGGCCAGGACTTTGAGACCTGCCTGAGCAACACAGTAAGATCCCATCTCAACAACAACAACAAAAGAATTGTCCAAAGGAAGCAGTTGCGTTAAGCTCCCACCCAGCTTGTGACTTTAGACTAAAAATAGGCATAGGGACACCAGGCTCCTCTAACTCCCTAATATGAATTTTAATTTTTAATAACTCGAGAAATCAGTGAACTATACCTATGGGAAAATGATGAGGAATCGGCCACATAAATTAATGGAAAGTATGTGTTCACATTATCTAACTGTATTAAGTGTGAATAATAATTAATTATAGATTCTACATGAGGTCTTGTCTTGGAGAGTTCTTTAACCCAATGTGAAGAAATTTAAAAAGTCATTCATCACTCTCCTGTGCTCCACCCCAGGCCATAACATAAAAAGCAATAGCTAAAGAATTTTCTATAATTTATTAAGATTATCATCTTAGAGGAAAAATAACTCTTTAGAGCATAACAACTTAGAAATGGAAGCTGCACCCAAACGTGTTTGTTAATGCTGGTGTAATCATCCAGGCCACCTCCCCGTTCTCCCCTGCATTTATTCATTCTTTCACTCAGTCACTGTACACCCTGTGAATGTGGTATGGAGAGGTGGTATAGCAAGCGGATATGAACATGAACTCCAGGGCCAGACTGTCTGGGGTCAAATCCAAGCTCATCTACTTTCCAGCTGTGTGGTGTTAGGCAATTTGCTAAACCTCTCTGTGTCCAAGTTTCCATTCTATAAAATAGAGAGAATAATAGGACCCATCTCATAGAGCTGGGATGGGAGCTTAATAAGCCAATACATGTGATGTGCTTGACCTAGAGCTGAAACTAATTCTAGGTGTGGCCCTGCTGGTGTGCTGGGCAGTAAGACAAAATGACTTTCTGCCCTTAGAGAGTTTGCTGATTGGTGAGGAAAACAGACCATAAATAAGCAGCTGCATTTTAAATTACAAAGTGTGTGTTGCATACGCAAGAGAGTACAGGACTACGATAGGGAATGATGAGGGCATTTTATATAAGGCAAGCAGGTCCAGCTTCTCTCGGGAGGGGACGTTCAGATCAAGGACTGAAGATAAGAAGGAGCTGGTTAAGTGAAGAGTTGGGGGAAGAAGATTCCAGGTCTTGGCTTATGTGTGGTACCCTGCTACCTTGGGTTGCCCTTTCCCTGTTTAGATTTTTTTTTTTTTTTGAGACGGAGTCTTGCTCTGTCACCCAGGCTGGAGTGCAGTGGCTCGATCTCGGCTCACTGCAAGCTCTGCCTCCCAGGTTCATGCCATTCTCCTGCTTCAGCCTCCCGAGTAGCTGGGACTACAGGCGCCCGCCACCAAGCCCGACTCATTTTTTTGTATTTTTAGTACAGATGGGGTTTCACTGTGTTAGCCAGGATGGTCTTGATCTCCTGACCTCGTGATCCGCCCGCCTCGGCCTCCCAAAGTGCTGGGATTACAGGTGTGAGCCACTGCACCAGGACTTTTTTTTTTTTTTTTGACAGAGTTTCACTCTTGTTGCCCATGCTGGAGTGCAGTGCAATGGCACGATCTCGGTTCACCACAACCTCTGCCCCCCAGGTTCAGGAAATTCTCCTGCCTCAGCCTCCTGAGTAGCTGAGATTACAGGCATGCCCCACCATGCCTGGCTAATTTTGTATTTTTAGTAGAGACGGGGTTTCTCTGTGTTGGTCAGGCTGGTCTCGAACTCCTGACCTCAGGTGATCCGGCTGCCTCGGCCTCCCAAAGTGTTGGGATTACAGGCGTGAGCCACCGCCACCGACCATCTTTCTGTTTTTATCAGACTCAGCTACAGAGAGCAAAGGTACTCATCTCCCAGCCCCTGGCACATTCTCACTGTTGAACTGCACACAACCTTTTTTGTGGGTTTGGGTTTTTTTTTTTTTAACCTTTTTCTCATTTATCCCTGATTCCCACCACCATTCTGTTTCCCCCATGGGCATTTTCCCTCATGTATTTGATATATGTTCTTAAATATGCATGAATCCTTATAAAACATGTTGTGCTATTCTGTGTATATCTGCTTTTAATTAACATGACTAATTCCGTGCCGTAGCTCTCAGTCTGGTTTTTTTTTTTCTTTCCTCTCTTAGCACCGAAGTATATTCAATGGTCTGTAATAGTTGCTTATAACCATGCACAATGTTTTTCCATGGTGAGAATTCACCACATTTTTCTCATGCATTTCTTCAGCAATGGACACCCTGGTGGTCTCAAAGTCCCTGATCCTCCAAACTACACTGCTGGAGTAGCCTCAAGGGGCGGCAGGGCTTCTTTTTGTACCATAAGATGCGAGACGCAGGGTGTGAGAGGAGATGTCTCTGAGATAGACATCCAGGAGAGGTCACGCTGGGTTGTGAATAAATATTTAATGTCCTTAACTGCCAGGGCCCTATAGCCCAAATGGCACCTCCATGAAAACTAGAAAAAGCACAAAAACCAAAACAACAACACTAACAAAAAACCCCAGAAACACAACAAAATTGAAACAAACACAAAAGCCCTGCCTGCCCTTTGAGGCTCAGCTCACCGCTGTCTCCTAAGGGGCCGGATACCATTTCTTTTCTACTCTGAATGCCCCTGGCACATGGTCCCCTTTGCCTGGGAAACAGTGAGCTACTTGAAGGCAGAAAATCATATATTTGTCTCTTTCTTGCTTTCTCTCTCTCTTTCTCCTTCCTTCCTTCCTTCCTTCTTTCTTTCTTTTCTCTCTTTCTTTCCTCCCTCCCTCCCTCCCTCTCTCCCTCTCTCTCTCTCTCTCTCTTTCTCTTTCCTTCCTTCCTTCCTTCCTTCCTTCCTTCCTTCCTTCCTTCCTTCCTTCCTTCCTTCCTTCCTTCCTTCCTTCTCTCTCTCTCTCTCTCTCTTTCTTTCTTTCTTTCTTTCTCAGAGTCTTGCTCTGTTGCCCAGGCTGGACTGCAGTGGCGCAATCTCAGCTTACTGCAGCCTCCACCTCCTGCGTTCAAGTGATTCTCCTGCCTCAGCCTCCTGAGTCGCTGGGACTACAGGTGCGCACCATCATGCCTGGCTGATTTTTGTATTTTCATTAGAGATGGGGTTTCACCATGTTGGCCAGGATGGTCTCGATCTCCTGACCTTGTGATCCCCCTGCCTCAGCCTCCCAAAGTGTCGGGATTACAGGCGTGAGCCACCGCCTCCGGCCTATTTGTTGTCTTTCTACCAATTGCAATAGCAGGCCCTCATAAAAGCTTGCTGGACTGATTTTCTATTTCCTGACACTTCAGAGCAGCATGACCTCACCACATATTGATAAGCATGCCCACTACAGAAAAGGGGAAAATGATGGATTTGAGAATCAAGAATTGTAAGATTCTGGTCTCCTTGCTGTCACCAACCTGAAGGGTAACCATCAGCAAACAACTTTTCCTCTCCGGGTCTGAGTTTCCCAGTGGCAGCTCCTCTGTGACAGAGATAGGCTAGTTTCCCCCAAACCACTTCCCTTTTCCTCTTGGGCTTACATGTAGCCTGCATTACCCAGCCTCCTTGCAGTGAGGTGCAGGCCTGTCTTCAGGTTCTGGTCAATAGAATGTGGATGGAGGTGACATACTCTGCTTCCAGGCCTGATTTGTGAAAACCTCCTCATGCGAATCTCCACATTCTTACATCATCTGCTGGCCAGATGCAGAAAATCCCACAGCACCGCAAGCTAGAAGGAGCTTGGATCCCGAGTCACCCCCTGGAGGAGAGCCATCCAGGAGAGCTTTATAACCAGAAACACCCTTGGGGGATGGTTGTATGAGCAAAACTAAACTTTTATGGTGTTTTGCCTTTGAAAATTTTGAGGTTGGTTGTTACACTAGGTGCCCTCCTGATTAATCTATTTCCCTCAAGCCAGATTTCACCCAATAATTCCTTAATTTGTGTCATGCTTCTCCACTTTTCACAATTGATGTTTTGTGGCCCAGTTCTTTTATTCTACTCAAAAGTAGCTGAATAATCTGAAATAGCAATTGAGTATCCAAAAGGAGCCAATCTCAATGCTGGAGTTGCCCTGCATCCGCTCCCTACAATCCATCACTATCATGGAACCAAAAGGATCTCTCTGGAACCAAAAGGAAAAGGCAATTCCTCCAAAATACTTTCATGGTCTTCTGTTATCCTCAGAATGAAGCCAAAGGGCTCATGCCTACAAGGGCTACCAAAACTGGCTTTGTCTATTTCTTCTACTTCCTCTCCTCTGTTGAGTCCACGGTTCAGCTGCAAAAGCATTTCCTCTAACATGCCAGTCTCAGTGCCCAACACGGTAAGGACTAGGCCTTCAGGGTAACGCTGCACGCACCGCTAGCTGAGCCCAGGAGGCTCTTCCATCCCCTCCTCCTTATCTTGGGGGTGTGGCTTACAAGTCACTTTTCCTTAGGGGGTCTGGGCCCCCTGATCACTCGCTCTGGTCCACGCTCTTGCCCCACTGATGTGCTTACCACTCACAACATTCACTGCAGTTGTAATTACTTGTCCCCTGAACTGTCAGTGTCCTGAAGGAAGGACCAAGCCAGTCTTGCTTCTTGCTGAATCCCCACACCTGGCCCAGACCCTGGCTTGTTGTCCATGCTCTTAAGTATAGTCATGTGTCGCTTAACAAATGGGGATGCGTTCTGAGAAATGCGTCATTAGGTGATTTTGTGCAAATGTCATAAAAGTGTACTCACACAAACCTAGATGGTAGAGGCTGCCACACACCTAGGCTACATGGTCTAGCCTGTGGGTCCTAGGCTACTAACCTGCACTTGCGGCACTGTACTGAAGACTGTAGGTGACTGTAACACAATGGTAAGTATTTGTGTG
Organism: Homo sapiens; assembly: GCF_000001405.40. Lineage (NCBI taxonomy): Eukaryota > Metazoa > Chordata > Mammalia > Primates > Hominidae > Homo > Homo sapiens. The sequence continues at coordinate 113,671,069 of NC_000009.12, forward strand.
TCTAAACATAGAAAATGGACGGTAAAAATGCAGTATTATCATCTGATGGGACCACCAACTTATATGCGGTCTGTCATCGACTGAAACGTCCTATGGCACATGACTGTAGTTGCTGAACAGGGGCATCAATAAATGACCCAATCCTGAGGGAACGAGTGGTTTGATTCCTGGGGAAGGGGTCGTATCCTGTGTCATCCTGGGGGGACAAATGGATTTCTTGGAAGGCATAGTGCCTCTCAAAGGAACAAAAAGGCCATCCTTGGATGCACTAGGTCCCCATGGGTGAGAGCGTTCGGTCCAGGGCTTCCCAGAGTGAATCTACAAAGCCAACACGCTCAGCGCCCACAGAGAGAGATCCCATACTGGTCACCAGTTTGGGCCACTGAGTTCTGGATCTCCCTCTGAACCCAAGACTTAATAACACACAAAAATAAAGCTGAAGGCCCAGGCAGGAAGGCGTGATGAGCGTTCACAGGGCGGACAGGCTGGGCATGGAGATCCTCTCCCACAACGGGCACACTTTCAGATGCACAAACTCATCTCCAGGCAATTGTTTTCTCCGTGAGTTCCCTTGAAGCAGCCATTTGCGTCTCTTGATCCCACACGCCGATGACCTTGTTAGGTCTTGTTAGATAGATGGAAGACTGTACTTGTGCCCTTTCTCTCTCTCTGGCTAATTACAATTTGCAAGTTGAGGTCCTTCAGGTGAATTAAAACAAGACACTTGACGATTAACTTAAATAACAAATAATGTCAGCTTGGCCATCTGCCGATGGCTGGCCCCCATCCTGACCACAGGTGCCATCAGCAAGAGGATCTGTTCTCTCAGCCCAGCAAGATCGTAAAAGCCCAGGCCAAGAGACCCCGGGACCCCGGAACACCAGTGCCCGGCACAGTAAGGACTCAGCCTTCATGGTAACGCTGCAGTCTCAGGTTGGTGACAGCTGCTCTGCCAGGCCCTTGTGGCCAAAATTTCAGGCCTGCCAGTTTATAAATTTTGTCCTTTTTCACCCAGTATTAAGAAAGCCTGTGTTCCTTGACCTATCACTGCTGTTGTGTCCACGGTTGGTATAAATATTGCCTTCCAATTACACAGAATTTTGAATTTTTGCTCAAAGCATTCGTTTGGTTACTTCACTCTCTTGTCTTTCCAAATCGTCCCTTTTCCCTCATCTGAGATTTCGTCTGGGCCACTCCCCAGGAGAGCAGGAGTGAGATGTGCTCAAACTCCTTTCCAGGACTTGTTACAGATCTGACGTGGGTGGATGGATGGGGCTGGGCCAGGCTAGACCTAGTAAAGGTCAGAGGCTATTGCTGCTGGAAGAGCTTTATTTATGGGCAGGAAGACTGAGGTCCCCAGGAGAGGAGTAGCACAGGGCTGCATGAGGGTAGAGCTGGGTTTGGGCTCACAGTGGCTACCTCCTGCACCAGGGCTCTATGCAGCATCCCAGCCACCCCAGCCACCCGCTCGGGCAGGAAGAGATGGCCAGGCCCCTTCCTGAGTGATCTAAGTTCTGAGCTTTGCAAAGACCCTCCTGGTAGGATCTCAATCTGGAGCAACGAACTGGAAGCCTAGGCCAGACCCCTTGCCATCCTATCGGTCTCCTTGGCTCCATGCCTGCAGTGGCCTCAACTGGCCCATGCCAGCTTGAGCTTCTGGCGAAGTGGGTCTGTTGTTGCTGGTTTCTGTTTGCCTAGCCCTCCTTCCCCTGATCACAGCAGCCCTTAACTTTTTTTCTTTTCTTTCTTTCTTTTTTTTTTTTTTTTTTTTTTGAGACGGAGTCTTGCTCTTTCACCCAGGCTAGAGTGCAGTGGCGTGATCTCGGCTCACTGCAACCTCCACCTCCCAGGTTCAAGTGATTCTCCTGCCTCACCCTCCTGAGTAGCTGGGACTACAGGTGCCCGCCACCACCCCCGGCTAATTTTTTTGTATTTTTAGTAGAGACGGGGTTTCACCGTGTTAGCCAGGATGGTCTCGATCTCCTGACCTCGTGATCTGCCTATCTCAGCCTCCCAAGGTGCTGGGATTACAGGTGTGAGCCACCTCACCCAGCCAGGTCAGGAGTTTTGAGCAGGCATGGTCTGTACTAAAATACAAAAATTTGCCGAGCATGGTGGCAGGTGCCTGTAGTCTCAGCTACTTGGGAGGCTGAAGCACGAGACTTGCTCGAACCTGGGAGGCAGAGGTTACAGTGAGCTGAGATCATGCCACTGCACTCCAGCCTGGGCAACAGAGTGAGACTCCATCTCAAAATAAATAAATAAATAAGTAAAATGTAGCCAAGTTTTGAAAACCACTGCTTCTTCCCCTGCCTCAGGGATGGGCCTGTGAACCAAAGTGGGTCCATCAGAGTCCTTCCCTGGGGGAATTTGCTATAGACAGAAGATGGTCCCCTTTAAAGGCTGTGAGGGGACTTATGTTAGCCAGCAGCACTCAGCCCCGCAGTCAGCCCCTGAGAGGCTGCTCCTGTCCTCAACCCTCTTCCCCGCTGTTCTGGGTCATGTGGAGCCCCCAGAATCACTGAGCTGCTTTCTGGACGTGCATCTTTGCATATGGTATTTCTTTCTCTTACCAGCGCTTCTTTCTCATGAAGTCTTACTTAACCTCAGAGATTCAATGGGCATTGCGTATTCTGGGAGAGCATCCTTGCTCCCACCCTGCCGTGGGCTGGGCTTGGGGCTACTCATCTGGACTCATGCTTGTGTGTTCTTCTCTGAGGGACTCAGCGCTGCCTTGTAATCATCTGTCTGCACACCTGTGCTCCCGCAGGCTGCGGGCTTCCCTAAGGCAGAGTCTGTGCCCTGTTCTGATGTATCCTCCTATGTTTAGCTTGCAATCTTTGCTTCGTGAATGAGTCATTTTTTAGCTCCCAGGAGCACTGGGGGGATCACCTAGCAACAGGGGCAGGAGCAGGAGCTCATCTGCTTCTCAGTGCTCCCAAGAGAGAGGGAGAAAATGAGAGTGGAGAGAGAGTGTGTGTGTCACAAAACAGCGGAGAGAGAGAGAAATGTCGTCCTTTTTAACTAAACTCTCTGTTCCTTCCCTCACTGGACAGACATTTTCTGTGCTCCTTCCTACTCTGAACCAGACAGAGAAAGTTTCTCAGAGATGAGCTATGCAGGAGACAATTAAAATAAAACTATCAGGCCGGGTGTGGTGGCTCACAGCTGTAATCCCAGCACTTTGTGGGGCCAAGGTGAGTCGATCACCTGAGGCCAGGAGTTCGAAATGAGCCTGGCCAACATGGTGAAACCCATCTCTACTAAAAATACAAAAAAAATTAGCTGGGCATAGTGGTGGGGGCCTGTAATCCCAGCTACTTGGGAGGCTGAGGCTGGAGAATTGCTTGAACCTGGGAGGCAGAGGTTGCAATGAGCCAAGATTGCACCATTGCACTCCAGCCTGGGCAACAAGAGTGAAAACTCTGTCTCAAAGATAAGATAATAAAATAAAACAAAACAAAACAAAACAAAACAAAACTGTCAGTCACCTGGACTTTCAGAAGACATAGTGGGCTATTCGCAAAGCGAGATTTTTCTGGTGAGTATCTCAATTACTCACTCTCTGGGTCATGGCCAGGCACTGCTTCCTCAGCACGAGGCACCACCAAAGACCTGAGAAATAGGATCCCTGGAGTAGTCTTCCGACCCCTTGGAGGCCTCTACGAGAATACCTGTTACTTTTCTCACCTGGGAATATTCCAACATGTGTAGCCCTCATACTGCAAACACCATAGCATTGCTTCTGAGTTTTCTCTGTGCGACCCCAAACCAATGTGGTCCCTCTGTCTGTGGGCTAAAGAGCAATCAGAAGAGCCATGAAAAATGACATTTTCTTAAACCTTGTGTTTTGTGAAAACTACATGTTATAGAGCTACCCCCCAACAAAAGGAACTGATGAACAGGAATACACAAAGGGGCTGTTTTGGTTAAGATCATAAATCCAACTCAAAACTAGCTTAAGCAAGCAAGGTAATTTATTGATTGTATCAGAAATGTGTTTGGCTACGAACAAAAACTCTGACTACGGTTGGCATAAATAAAGGTTTTCTTTGTCTCACATAATGTTCAGAGGTAGAGCCAGGCGTGGTGGCTCACACCTATAATCCCAGCACTTTGGGCGGCCGGGGTGGGTGGATCACTTGAGGTCAGGAGTTTGAGACCAGCCTGATGAACATGGTGAAACCCCATCTCTACTAAAAATACAAACATTAGCCAGGTGTGGTGTCCCGTTCTTGTAATCCCAGCTACTCAGGAGGCTGAGGCTGGAGAATTGTTTGAACCCAGGAGCGGAGGCTGCAGTGAGCCTAGATTGTGCCACCACACTCCAGCCTGGGCTACAAAGTAAGACTCTGTCTCAAAAAAAAAAAAAAGTTCAGAGGCAGGCAGTCCGGGGCAGGAGAGAACGCTCAGCAACCCCTCCTCTCTTTCTGCCCCATTGTCCCCAGCCTGGTCTGTTGAGGTTGTGAGGCAGCTGCAAATTCCTAGCCCTTACTCATAGGAAGGAAAAGAACAAAAATAGAAAAATGGAAGGAGGTCCACAGCCAGTTCTGATGACGTTTCTATATCAGTGATCTGTTTCTGCGTGACTAATCATCCCCAAACCTAACAGCTAAAAACCACCACACATTGTCGCTGATGAGTCTATGGGTTGGCTCGGAAGTTTTGCTGATTTGAGGCTGGCTTGGCTGATCTCAGCTGGGCTCGGTCATGTGTCTGTGAAAGACTGGTCTTCCACTGGGACCGTCCGATCTAGGATGGCCCTCTCACGTGGCTGGTGTTGGCGAGTTGTCAGCTGCTGGGATGTCTCCCTTCCACCAGCAGGCTAGCCTGGGATTGCTCACATGGTGACTGGGCTGGGGTTCAACAGAGGGAGCAGACATATCCAAAAGCTCTTGAGACCTAGGCTCAGGCCTGGCACAGTGTCACTCCTCCCACCTTCTATTGCCCCAAAGTCGTGAGGTCAGCTGAGATTAAAGGTGGAGAAATAGGCTGGGCATGGTGGCTCATGCCTGTAATCCTAGCCCTCTGGGAGGCCGAGGCAGGCAGATCATTTGAGGTCAGGAGTTTGAGACCAGCCTGGCCAACAAGGTGAAACCTCGTCTCTACTAAAAGTACAAAAATTAGCTGCGCGTGGTGGCACGTATCTGTAATCCCAGCTACTTGGGAGGCTGAGGCAGGAGAATCACTTGAACCTGGGAAGAAGAAGTTGCAGTGAGCCAAGATCGTGCCACTGCACTCCAGCCCAGGCAACAGAGTGAGACTCTGTCTCAAAAAAAAAAAAAAAAAAGGTGGAGAAATAGACTCTACCTCTCTCTGGGAGGAGCCACAAAGGCACCACGCACTGGGTGGTGTGGATAGGTGTGAAAGTGGAGTGTGGTGGCCAAGTGACACAGTTTGGCTGTGCTGGTTCACAAGGGCACCCTTAGCTTCATCAGGGCTTGGAAAACTGAGCTGTGAGCAGTTTCTGCCTCTATAAGAGAAGCCAGAGGAAAGGGGATCAGAAATGAAGCTGGGGCAGCCGGTCGCCAGCCTGCTACAGTCACCGACCTGGGAGATGGGTGGAACTAGCTGACAGCAGGGGCTCAAACAGGGTCATCTGGGCATCTCCCTCCATCGCTTGGCTCTGCTCAGCTCTGTGCTGTAAAGTGTCAGCTGAGTGAGTCACCAGCAGCCCCGACCTACCTTCTCCTGGCGCCACAAATCCAGAGGAAAGAGGATTTCTTTTTCCCTATTTCCCACCATTGATTGCAGGGAAACCTCTGACTGCTTTTGCCTGGTCAGGCGTCTTTTCCCTAAAAACATCTGTGGAGTCAAGGGCAATGGGTGCCGTAATGTCCAGCCTGGATCATCCGCTGTCCCCTCTGGCTCCTGGGGGGGCAGGTGGAGGTGGGGATCATGACAGACACTCTGCCAAGGCCGGATAGACAGCTGGAGTTGCCCAAAGGGACCAGAACAAGTGAGAGAGGAGAATGCTGGGCACACAAAGCCCACGGCCCTCAGCCCCTGCAGGGGCCACGTAGATGGACAGCTGGGAGTGGTGCTTTTGAAGAGTAGCCTTGGGAGAGAGGGAGGAGTGAAAGCTGGCATGTGGGAGCTGGTTGGTGTTTCACAATGTCCCATGTGCTCTGATGTGAGCTGGGTTGTGGCTGAAATCCTGCATCCTGGGGAAGGGCTGGAGAGCCCTCCTGGAGGGCCCGGGTGCCCCTTGTTTGAGGCACCTACCCTTCCGTCTTCAGAACCACAAAAGCACTTAAGCGTGGGTGTCAAAAACCGTGAATGCCCCGAGAGAGGAGCTGACACCATTTCCACTGCAGCACAGCTGTGTGCCCTGTGAGCGTGTCCAGACCCCAGACCTGCTGCATGGGCTTGAAGCGCCACAGACAGGCACCTGGTACAGAAGGTCGGACAGAGTGGAGAGTTCCAGTCAGCGAGTTCCTCGGAGGGCTGCATTTCAGGGATGCCTAGGGCTGCTCTGAGAAATAGAAAAAGGTTCTGTGATAGAAGTTTGGGGAACGCTGGGTTGAAGAAAGTTCACTTATTCATTCATCCAACAGATATTGATTATTTATTACATACCAGTGTTCTAAGGGCTGTGAGCACGCAAGGGAATAAAATAGACAAAAATCCTTGCTTGGGTTTTACAGTCTAGTAAGAAGATTGAAGAGTTTTCTCTTCTGCAGGACTTCTCAGGGCCTTTAATATACAAATGGGCATCACCAAAAGGGGGTAAGGCAGGCTGTGTTTCCTAGAGTTATTGAACCCCAGAAACTCTTGTTGTGAGGGGGCACTTATAGAATTGTTGTTTTATGAAATAGATTTTGAGAAACACTAACATCATCCAACCTCTTGTACAGATGGGGAAATTAAGACCATAGTCAACGTCGTTGGGCAGAACTGGCACTGGAGCCAATGTCTCCTGACTCATGGCACCGGGCTCTTGCACATCCTTTCCCTTTGATTCCCACCCTCCCTCCCTTCTTTTTCCTTCCTTCCTTCCTCTCCTCCTCCTCCTTCTTTTTCTTCTTTCCTTCTCCTCCTTCTTCTTTCTTTCCCTCCCTTCCTTCCTCCCTCCCTTCCTTCCTTCCTCTTTCTTTTTCTTTCTTTCTCTCTCTTTCTGTCTCTCTCTCTCCTTCCTTCCTTCCTTCTCTCTCTTCCTTCCCTTCTTTCTTTCTCTTTCCTTCCTTCCCTCTCTTCCTCCCTCCCTCCTTTTCTTTCTTTCTTTCTTCTTTCTCTTTCTTTCTCTTTTCTTACTTTTCCTTCCTTCCTTTCTTTTTCTTTTTCTTTCTTTCTTTCTCTCCCTTCCTTCCTTTCTCTTTCTCTCCTTCCTTTCTGTCTCTCCTTCCTTTCCCTCCCTTCCTTCCTTTCTTTTTTCTTTCTTTCTTTCTCTCTCTCTCCTTCCTTCCTTCCTTCCTCTCTTCCTTCCTTCCTCCGTTTCCCTTCCCCTTCCCCTTCCCTTCCTTTCTTCATTCTTTCCCTGCCTTTAAGATATGGGAGGCTATAATGAACCTTGATGCCTGAGATAACACCTGAAAGCTCCCATGCTGGCCATGGGCCACCTGGGCTGGCATCCTGCTGAGACACCACACCTTTGACCACATAAACCATGTTCTGTGACCTCTCCCCATGCCCATCCCTGCTGACATGAACAGCCGGGCCCATACCTTGGGAAAGGAGGCAAACTGGAACATGGGAAGCAAAGTGAGACTGTGAGGGAAAAAGCTAGTTTACAAAAGTCCAGCTGACATCTTGGTGCTTGGGGAAGTTGTCTGCTTTCTTGATTAGACGTATGAAGGGGGTTCTTTTCCTCTGTGGACATCCTTGAGTGCTCTCATGTCCCTCAGTTCATTCCTCAGTTCACAGTATGGGGACTATGTTTGGTGTCTGGAATCTGCAAAGAGCTTGCAATCTCCAGGTGTGTTGCTCATGCAGTGGCCAGGCCAGCGGGAGAGGTGTTAAAGCACAGAGCAGGAGACTGGAGGATAAAGGAGGTGAAATCACCTACACGATGTCATCAGTTGGTGACATCACTTGGTGGAGCTAGGACTTGAAATCCAGGTCTCACTGTCCCCTCCCCCAATACCCAAGTTCTTCACTAAGGAGTGAATTGTCTTTAGGGGACTAGAAGCTCTTGATCAGTCAAGTAAGAACAAAGATTCCAGTTCCAAGAACCTCAGAAGGTTTGGGGGGCTATCAAATAAAATACCGTTTGTGACAGAATGTTGACAGCAGTCAAATGATGAGGGATGGTGTTCGCAGTAAAGCCACAGGTTCTATTCTAGGTGCTTTTCAAACATCACATTTTGCTGATAAGAAAACCGAGGCTCAGGGAGGTGAAGCCACTTACCCAGAGCCACTCACCTGGCAAAGGACCCTGGCCAGGGTCAGACTGAGACCTCCTTGGTCTGTGTTGAGAGCCGCGTTCTTTCTACTGCCACTCATGGCCTGCCCCACAGCACAGGACAGTCAAGTTGTGAGCAACTGCTATTCTTTAAAATAGTCTGGCCGGGCGCAGTGGATCACGCCTGTAATCCTAGCACTTTGGGAGGCCGAGGTGGGTGGATCACAAGGTCAGGAGATTGAGACCATCCTGGCTAACACAGTGAAACCCCGATTCTACTAAAAATACAAAAAAAAAAAAAAAAAAAATTAGCCAGGCGTGGTGGTGGTGCCTGTAGTCCCAGCTACTCGGGAGGCTGAGGCAGGAAAGAATGGCGTGAACCAGGGAGGTGGAGCTTGCAGTGAGCCAAGATCGTGCCACTGCACTCCAGCCTGGGCAACAGAACGAGACTCCGTCTCCAAAGAAAAAAAAAAAAAAGAAAGAAAAAGAAAATAGTCTATAAGTCGATCATTTGGGCATATGGACTGCCCTATCAGCCTGAAATGGGTGCTCTCGATCTCTATGACAGCCTCACATCCATCATTTTCTGGAATTTTCCACTTCTCCTTTCCCTTTTGTTCTTGCTTCCTGAAAACATAGAAACCTTATAATGAAATAAAACAACTGACTTCACCACAAACACAGCCCCTTCAACTGGCTTCTTTCTTTACTATTGTATCTTTGATTTTTAGACATTTCAGCAACCCCCAAATCATCTTAACATTTCCCCTAAACTGGAAAAATAAAAAATAAAACACTCCACTGGGGAAAGAAGGGAAATTGTATGTTCTTTTGTTTACACGAGTGTACAGAAAATCATTACAGACCTCCATGTGGCCTTGGTGATTTTCCATTGTGATATTGAAAGAGAAATGGATAAACTGGAGTTTGCAACCAATCTCGAGGGACTGCTTTTCTATTTGGGTGACCCCTGAAAGGCTTCTGAGCATATAGTTATTTTTGAAGGAAAAGAGGAAAGGCTGAGGGGTGGCCACCATTACCAAGAGTTCACCCAGATGCTAACTTATTCTGATGTTTGCTTATTTTTATTTTTATTTAATCTGATGTTTTGATGCAATTGTTCGTATTTTGTGTTTGACCTTAAACCATTATAATTCATCTTGGGCATGCCAAGAGAGGCAATTGACTATTAGTGACCAGGAAGCAGCCTATTTTCTTAAAATGTGACCCAGCCATGTTCATTGAATTGATGTAAAGCAAGGTTAATCTGAGGGAGAGGTGGGTGGCACTGCTTTGATCTTAACTCTCTTTGATCATAATTTACTTCTCTGCTGCTTGGAATAGAAACATGTTTCCTCTTGCCCAAGGTTTCCACCAAGAGGCCTTTACACTTAGGGAAGAACTTGAGCCAAGTCCTGACCCGTGGATTCTGGATGCAAAATGTACAGACTCAGAATGAAGAATTGCTATCCTAAATTCTGAGCTGCATGAATTCTAGGTATGGTAGATGGAGCACTGAATTGGGAGTTGGTTGATGTAATCCTCCCACACACTCTAGGAAGGAAGTTGTTCTTATGCCCATTTTACAGATGGAGGTACCGAGACATGGAGAGTTGAACTAACTTGCCCAACCCAGTAAGTTGAGGAGCCTTGGATTCAAGTTCAGGGAATCTCCCTTCTCCCTGCAGAGATTGGAACCTTAATGACCAAGCCTAGAGGCTCTCCAGATCTTCTGTGTGACCTTGGGCCAAACTCCTCTCCTCTCTGGGCCCTGTTTCCTCTTCTCTAAAATAAGGAGACTTGGCTGGATAATTTCCAGGCCACCCTTTCTGGCATTGACTACATACAAAATTTTGTGATGTTCCCAAAAGTCCAACAGGCAACCTGACTGTCATAGGTGATCCTGGTCAGATTTGATCTCCAGAGTCTGAAGAAAGAATTTAGCATGGATGGAGAGGAGTATTTAGCAAGTACCTGCTCTGTGTGCTACACGTTTCATGCATGTACTTCATGTTCATTCAATCGCCGCCACAATGTGATGAGGCCGGTCCTGTTATCCCCCTTTTACAGATGGGGAAACTGAAGATCAGAGTGAGGATGTGGCTTGTCCACATACCTGAGGAGTGGTGGATCCAGGATTAGCCTCCAGTACCCCATAGTACCCCCGTAAGAGCATCCCTCATCAGAGCATGCTTGGTAATCTCCTGTTTATCTAGCTGTGTCCAGTCTAGACCATGAGTTCTGAGTAGCAGGGACTGTATTTTAGGCTTTGTATCTCCAGGTGCCAGCACAAGGTCTGGCCCACAAGAGATGATCATTGAGCATTGTTGAATGAATCCATGAATGAACAGATGAATGAATGGAACACTCCAGAGCTCATGCCATCCCCTGCACTAACTGCACGGGATGGTCTCTGTGGGAAGAAAAAGAGGGGTGTGGGGAGACAGGCTCAGATGGAATCCTCAGTTATGTGACTAACGGCTTTGTCTCATTCAGTTCCTAGGCCCAGATGTCCACCCTCCTTCACGAGCTCAGAATTGAGCTCGTATCGCCAACATGTTTTGCGGAAATGCTCATATCAACACTTGGTGAACCAGGAAGACTGTACCCTCATTCCTTTCTCCTGCTGCCTGCTAGGTTGAGTTAGAAAGCTTACTCTCGAGTTTTACTGGCTTGCTTGTGCTTTTTGGCATTTTCAAAATTTTGTACAATGATCTTCAAAAAGCAAAAATACATTAATTTTTTTAAAGGTAGGATCCATATGAGATTGGATCTTCATCTTCTAACACTTTGGAGAACAGAAAAGTGGTATTTGGAGATATAATCTTCATAAGAATTGTGGCACTGAATAAAAGAGCACTGGAAGAGGAAAGAAACATAAAGGAAAGAAAGGAAAAGAAAAGACCAAAAGAAAAGCAAGGCTCCACTTGCAAATGAGAGAGCAACTTGGAAAACCTGCCACTCACTACCACTGATGCCCACAAGAGGGCGTCTCAGGGTCATCCGGAAGGCAAAACTCAAGTCCAAGATCCGCTTCCCAGCAGCTGGAAATGACCAATGAGTAGGTTCTGGAATATCAGCAATGACCCTGGCTCTCCAGCACTTTACAGTTTACATTAGACTCTCCTCCCCGACGTCATTTGCACCTCCCAAGGCCAGTTCTCCCGGTGGTTTCCAGCCCTGGGGCGTTTGTGGTTCTCTCTGCCTAGTGGGATGCAACTGGCATTTAGTGTTTGTCCGTATGTGGGTGTGGCTGGGGAGGGCAGAGAGGCAAACAGCCCCGCACAAGCTGTACAGTCCCCCTCATCAAGATGTGGCACTCCCTCTTTGCCAATAGCAACTCCTTTTTGAAACACTGGGCCTGAAGCAATCATCTTGAAGACATTTTTCATCAATCTTGTTGAAATCAACCTGGTTTTTCAAAATAGAGGAAGCACATCAATGAACAGACAGCCTTGCCCCATTTCTTCTGGGAAGAGTCACAGGAGGGCCTGCAGTGGGCAGGCAGGGACCGTGTCTTTTCTCTACCACACTGGGAAGGGAGGGAAGGGGGGCAACTTGGCTGAAACCCACAATGGGCACTTAGCATATGTTGTCACTTTTAGGGCCCACAACAACCTAGGAGGGAGATATCAATTATCCTCATTTTACAGATAGGAAGACAGAGGCTCAGAGACGTTCAGCCATCTGCCTGATGCCACCCAGCTTTTCAGAAACACATAGAATCAAGATTTTTTTTTTTTTGAGACTGAGTTTTGCTCTTGTTGCCCAGGCTGGAGTGCAATGGGGCGATCTCAGCTCGCTGCAACCTCCACCTCCTGGGTTCAAGCGATTCTCCTGCCTCAGCCTCCTGAGTAGCTGGGATTACAGGCGCCCACCACCACGCCCAGCTAATTTTTTTATTTTTAGTAGAGATGGGGTTTCACCATGTTGGCCAGGCTGGTCTCAAACTCCTGACCTCGTGTTCCGCCCACCTCGGCCTCCCAAAGTGCTGGGATTACAGGCGTGAGCCACCATGCCCAGCCAGAATCAAGATTTTTAACCCCAGAAAGGCCCAGGCTCCCCCAGCCCCACCACGGCTTCTATTGAGGCAGATACCAGCTTGGAGGTGGTTTTCCGAGAAGCCGTGAAAAACTGGGGTGGGCTGGGCTCAGGCTGTGACTCAGGGGGCCAAATTACCCCCTCCAGAATTCTAGCAGGCTGCGGGGAGGCCCATCTCTGGTTCAAATGTTCTGCGAGCTAGTGCATGAAATCTGTTCTTTTCCCCATTAATGCTTGCTGTACTTACACTTCTTACTATAATTACTCTGCAGTAATTAACAAGGGAAAATAACACATCTGGGTCTATACTTCGGCTCCAAACAGATGTACAAGATGCAGAGGCATGCAGAGGTCCTTTCACTTATTCGGCAAATCTGGATGGAGCATCTACTATGCACCAGCCTGCTGAACTGCAGGTGTCCCTCAGTGAGCCAGGGAGCACAGCCCCTGCTGGGCATGAAGGCGGAGTCTTTGGCAGGAGGAAGGGGAAGTGCCAAGGCCCTGGGGTAGGAATGGGTTTATCATGTTTTGAGAAGCTCCAAAGGCCAGTGTGACTGAAGCAGAATGTATGGTTAGTGCAGGTGGGAGACAGGTCAGGGAAGGGGTGGAAAAAGACCTTGGAGGGCTCTGGAAGGCACCAGAAAGCAGCTGGATGGAATGCAGTGGGAAGCCCACTGGAAGGGATGAGGCAGGGTCATGGTAGACTCTGATTTTGTCTATTTCAAAAGGGACTGGGGCTGCCCTTTATATCTGTGTGAATAATCTGTATGGGGGAGGACAAGAGAAGAAGCCAGGAGACCAGTTGGAGTGGGCATGGTAGAAGCAGAAAGGATGAATTTGGTGCATATTTTGGAGTTAATGTCCATGGGATTCACTGATGGATTGAATGTGGAGGTGGGAAATAGGAATGAAGGGACACTTGGTCAAGGTGTGACAGTGCTATAGCTGTGAGTCGCAGTCATCTGGAAATGCATTCATTCATTTATTCACTTATTTAGCAAAGACTGAAGGCCTGCTACATGCCAGGCCCTGTGCGAAGCACTGGGGATAGATCAGTGAGCGACAGCCACTGTGGTCCCTGCCCTCAGACACCACATGCAGAGTGCCAGACACGGCAGGAATGAAGCGGCAAACCGGGGGGAAGGAGGATGGAAGGTCCAGGGTCTCAAAGCTGCTAGGGTTGGGGTGGTGGGCAGGGAGGTTTCCCTGAGGAAGTGAGAGCTCCCCAGCTCCCCTGAGATCTGAACAATTGGTGGGGGAAAGGGAAAGGGTGTTCATGGAGGTATTGTGATGACCAGAGGAGGCAGCAGTGTTTTTTTATTTTTATTTTTATTTTTATATTTTTTTCTAGAGACAGGGTCCCACTCTGTCACCCAGGCTGGAGTGCAGTGGTGCCATCAGGGCTCACTGTTACCTCAAACTCCTGGGTTCAAGCAACCCTCCCACTTCACCCTCTTGAGTAGCCGGGACTACAGGCATGTACCACTGTGCCTGGCTATTTTTTTTTTCTTAAAAAAATTATTTTTCAGAGAGGGCGGTTCTTGCTATGTTGCCAAGGCTGTTCCTGAACTCCTGGTCTCAAGCTATTACAGGCATGTGCCCCATGACCAGCAGCACTGGTGTTTGAAGGGAGGCTCTAGTAGAGGCAGTGAGCGTTGTGACCTGCAAAGGAGGCTGGGGCTGTTCCACGTGGGCACAGAAGGCTCAGATACCTCCTCAGCAGTAGAAGCATCTCACAGCGGTGGAACAGGAGGACCAGCATTGATTTCCTGCATCTCAGATCCCTCTGCTTGCTGGGCAGAGACTGGATTGGAGATGACTATTGCAATAGAGAGAAGGGGACAGCCTGCAGATAGGCTTTGGGTTTCACACACAGGATTTGGTGATGGTTTGGCTGTCAGGAGGACAAGGAGAAAAGAGAGGGAGGAGTGGAGGGTGAGTCCTCTATTTCTTGCTTGAGCAACTGAGCAGTTGGAGAAACCATTTATTGAGGAAAGGAAGACTCAGGATTTTGGAGAAAAGATTAGGAACTCAAAATTTGATTGACATTTTGAGCAACAAACGAGAGTGAGGACAGAGAGAGATTCCTCAAGACTAAGGAGGGAGTCTGGGTCTGCAGATCCCATAGGTGCCTGGCTCCAGGTGGGACGGGCTGGAGTCAGCTTTTGTTTTGATTCTAGAAAAATAGTCATGCGGCGATATTTCTTGTATCTAGAGTTTCTGGAGTGAAGGTCACACCCACTGATATGGTTTGGCTGTGTCCCCACCCAAATCTCATCTTGTAGTTTCCATAATCCCCACATGTTGTGGGAGGGACCAGGTGGAGATGATTGAATCATGGAGGCTGTTTCCCCCATCCTGTTCTCGTGATAATAAGTTAGTTCTCATGAGATCTGATGGTTTCATAAGGAGCTTCCTCTTTCACTGGGCACTCAATTTTCTTCCTTCCTGCTGCCGGGTGAAGAAGGATGTGTTTGCTTCCCCTTCTGCCATGATTGTAAGTTTCCTGAGGCCTCCCCAGCCAGGCCAAACTGTGAGTCCATTGAACCTCTTTCCTTTATAAATTACCCGGTCTCGGGTATGTCTTTATTAGCAGCTTGAAAACAGACTAATACACCCACCATACACATATATATGCATAAAACACTCTGGGAGGCTCCAAACCACAACCTCTTTCTCTCTGGGCGCTGAGGGTGGAGGGTGATATTTTTCTCTTCCTTTTGTTCTTTTTGTGTTTTCTCATTCTAGATTAAACATGGATTATTTATTTTCCTGTCTCTTTCCTCTTTTCTGTCCTCATCCTTGCAAAGGAACCCAAAGTTCCAGCCATATGGGCCTGGAACTGGGGTGTCCAGGAGAAAAAAGGCCACCCTGACTCCATGGAGCACTCCTGTTGCACAGAATTCTGGGACCTGGTTTGACCAGACTTGGACAAGCCCCCACTCTGCCCCCAGCTAGGAGGGGTCCTTGAACATCTTTTCTTCAATTTGCAATTGCGTTGGAGGGCATTCCAGGTGGAGGATATGAGCAGGTTCGATACCTGCAGTCAGGAGACAGCATGGAAATTAGGGGACCTGCAGAGAAGGGATGTGGCAGGAGCAATGGATATGAGGGACAGGGCGAGTGCACTGAGGGAGACAGGAGCTAGATCCTGCAGGCTCTTCTGGGGCCCTGGACTCCCCTGAAGCAGTGGGGGGTGGTTGTTGTGGCTGTTCCCATATATAGAGGAGGGAATGAAGCATCCTGCGGCACAGTGACTTGTCTTGCAGGGCTGAGGCTGGAAGCCAGGTCTCCCAGTGGGCTGGGGAGGCACAGGCTCTGAGGGAAGGGGGGCCCAGCGCAGACCCTGTCAGGTTCTTTCCATTCTCTCCTGCTCCCCCCAAGCCTTGTGAAGCCGCAGGGCCACCCCTCTCTGCAAAGGACAAGGCCAGGATTTGACACGGGAGCACTTCTCAAGGCTATTGGGAAAACTGGGACCCCTTCAAAGGCAGACACTGGGATAATTCCTCTTGAAGCCTCTGTAAATGCTGCGGAGGAGAAGGGGAAAGTAGGGAGGAGGGAAGAGGAAGGAAGGGAGGAGGGAGGAGGGAAGAGAAGGAAGAGAGAAGGGAGGAGGGAAGAAGGAGGAGGAAGGCAGAGAAGAGGAAAGGAGGGAGGAGGAGGGTGGGGAAGGGAGGGAAGAGGGAGGAGGAAGGAAGAGGAAGACAGGGAGGAGGGTGGGGAGAGGAAGGAGGAGGAAGAAAGAGGAAGGCAGAGAGGAGGGTGGGGAAGGGAGGGAGGAGGAAGGCAGAGAAGAGGGAGGAGGGAAGCAGAGACGAGGAAGGAGGTAGGCAGAGAGGAGGGAAGAGGGAGGAGGAAGGAAGAGAGTAGAGAGGAGGGTAGGGAAGGGATGAAGGTGGGGAAAGGAGGGAAGAGGGAGGCAGAGGGGAGTGAGGAGGAAGGCAGAGAGCAGGGAGGAGGATGGGGAAGGGAGGGAGGAGGGTGGAGGAGGAAGTGGGGAGGAAGGAAGAGGGAATGTGGATATTGGTCTTGCATCACCTTTTAAAGGAAGGAATCCCACCCTCTCCAGGGAATGAAGACTCCTGGATCTCTCCTTCCTGGGGCCTCAGTTTCTCCTTCTGAGCAGGAAGTGTATAGGTGCCCTTTCTAGTGGCTTTCTCTCTCCTCCTCCCACCACCCACCCCTTTCCATTTCCCATCTGCAGAATTTCTCGCTCTGCGTGCGTTGAGGGGTGTGTAGGCAGAGTGAGGCGCTGCTGTGGAGGTTCGGGAGTCAACTGCTCTGTTCAGCAGCCACCCGCACAAGGTGGATCATTGTCACCTTCTCGGCTTCTAGTAATTCTGTGCCCTGTCCTCGGCCCTCTTCCCCCTTCCTTCCCTCCACGGTGATCTCTCCTGCCCTGGGCTCTCCATAAACGCTCCCCGAGGGGCCTGGCGTCGCCGTCGCGGGCGAGTGTAATTGGGGACTTTTCCAGGCTGCGCGGTGCCTCGCGCTCCGGGGTACGGAGGGTCGGAAACTGCGGAGTCAGCGCTTCTGTCGAGCTCCCAGCGCAGCCCCTGAGGACCAGCTGGGGGTGGGGGTCAGGGGAGGGAGCGGGCGATCTCACCCTGCAGCCCGCACACTCAGGCCTACACTCCCCGGTTTGGAGCCCAGATAACCCCTTCCCGTCCTCCCCTCACCCGCGGGAACCCTGGAGAGCCGGTAGGGGAGGTTCGCACCCTGCGTTGCAGCTGCCTTGACTTTGGCCCCTCTCCGATCTGTTTCCTCTTTAGGAAACCATGGAGATGCATACTGCCCCAGAGAACACAAGCGTGTTTATCAAAACCACTTCGTAAGCAAGGGTTGTGTACTTGCTGCGTGGGTGGGGGAGGCTCACCATGTAGTCTTTCCTGGCGCTGGAAGGGTGAGGCTTTGGAATCCAGCTGCCGGGGTTCTAACCTCAGTGCTGAATGACCTTGAGAGAGTCATGCAGCGTTTCTGCACCTCAGTTTCCTCCTATGTGAAGTAGGGATGATATTAGTAACACCTACTTTCCGTAGTTAGTTTGAGAATTCAACGTGCTCCCCGGTAAGTGCTGGCTGTTGTTTTAATTGCCCCATTTTGCAGGTGGGGATACTGAGGCTTTGGGCTCTGGGTGCCTTTCTTTAGGGTACACAACTGATAAGCAGGAAAGTCCGGGTCTGCAGGCTCCCTCCATAGCTCCTTCATGGTGTCAAGTACACTGAGATGTCCCCATTGACCTCTCCTAAGGGTCTTGGCTCCCAACTCTCTCCCACCTCCTTTTCAGGCTATTCCTCTGAGGATGAGGTGCCACCCTCAGTACAGAGATACCCAGCAGTGGACTAGCTTCAAGCTCTTGAAGGAGTTTAAAAGAGCCTGCCAGGTTGAGGGCCTTGACCCAGGAGGTCCCCCCTGCCTTGACTGTGTGACGCATTGGACAGAACCCCAGGCTCTGAGCCTTTGCTGGTAGCTCCTGCTGGCTCTGTACAATGGTCAAAAGACCCGAGGTTATGGAGTCAGACAGATCTGGCTTGAAATCTGCCTCTGCTGCTTATGCTTTTGGTCAATACCTCCCCTCCCAGAGTCCAGTTTTTTAAAACCATAAAATGGAACCATAACCCCTGCCTTGTGGGGTGATGACAAGGCTTAGAGGTAATTATGCAAAGCCACTCCCAGGGAGCTGGCATTAGGGTCAGGGTACCATTGGTAGGAACTTGCTATGTGAACCTGTACATGTCTCTTACCTTCTCTCATTTTCCCCATCCTGGTAATAAAGTGGCTATTCCAATGAACTTTAAATGCTACGATGGATCAAAACTTGCCGAAACTTGCTTGTATTCCAGGAGCTCTGAGGAGGGAGGGGTCAGGAAGGCCTGTCTTGGTGTCAGTACCTGGACCTTTAAAGGCCCTTTGACATGTGTCTTAACAAATGAACAGAGCTGTGAAGAGTGACTGCAGAAATGAATGCGCAAATGTGCGTTCACCCACGAGTCTCCTTCCACATCGCTGCTGCCTCCAGGCTCATGACAAGGCCGGGCAATACTCTGGGAAAAATGTTTAAGTCGCATGAACAAGGAACTCATGATTCACAACCAAAGCCCTTAATAATTGAGTCCAGACATCATGAGTCTTTCTGCCCAGTTCCCAAAGCACCTTCACATCCATGATTTTACTTGATGTTCCCAATGACTTGACCAGGAAAGCCTTATTGTAATTACTGTTATTATTATTTCTATCATTACTATTTATCTCGTTTTACTGTGGGATGCTGCCTCTTCCTATTCCTGGGCCCCCCAGACATGAGCAATCAATCAGGGGTTCTTGTCTCTTCGTGTCTTCAGAATGCTTCTCCATCAAGCACTCTAGGTAGTCACCACCAATCAATTGAAGTTGTTATGACAGCTGAGACCTGTTTTGCTTCCCTGGCTAGCAACTATCCTAAAGGCAATAAATTCTTATTAAATTAACTTGAAAGGCTCAAGGAGGAAGAGGCAAGCTAGGCTCAGGGCCTGGATTTCCTGACACCCACCCAATCCAGTGTTCTGCATGCAAACATCACTTAGAAGCCTCCTTCCTTCAAAGGTTCTCCCATTTCTCTGACCTAATGAGACAGCTCCAGACACTGTGAAACAGGCAAACACACACAAGTCCTTCCTCCATGGCAGACTTTCCTTTAAAAAAGAAAAAATTACCCAGCAGTGTTGGCAATGAGATCAGGCAAGACTGAATTTGGGGATTGGCCAGTTGCGACAGCCAGGTACACCATTCCTGGACCACAGAATGGAGCCAGAGATCTCCAGGAAGCTCTGCACTGTGCTGTATGAATCACTGATAACAAAGACTCAAATTTACTCATCTCTAAACAGGGAAATGCTTTTGACTAGCAAATTAGACATTTTCATTTTCATCACTGAAAAAGCATGAATTTTCTGTTAATTTGTCACTTTCCACACAGAAAAATGTTCCTCCTGGAGCGCAGGACCACCTGCAGGAAGCCCCTGGAAGCCTCTATTTCATGGGTCCCTGCTGCCCGGAGTGGCGAGAGGCCTTGCTGAGCCACTGCGGGGCAGGGATGCCTGGCTGGAGCCACGTGACTTCCTGAGCCTTGGTCTCCTTATTTGCAACAGGCAAATGCCTGGGCCTCCTCTGCTGCTGCTGTGCCGCGCAGTGGGTTACCAGCTGAGTAACTTTCAGCAAATTCCTGTGCTTCACCGACCACAGTTTGTCTATCTAGGAAAAAGAAATAATGATGTTTTCTTTGACAAGATGTCGAGTGGATTGTGCTCGATGGGTATGTGAAAGCAGAGTAGGAATGAAATGCCTTAATCTTAGCCCCCTTCCCCTCATCTCCCTGAATTGTAACAGAAGGTCACAAGAGAGTGATGAGAAAATGCTATCTACACCAGCAATGTCAGTTAGAACTTTCTTGGAGAATGAAAATGTTTTTTATCTGCACCGTCCGATACGGTTGCAACTAGCCATGTGTGGCTGTTGAACACCTGAAATATGGCTGATGTACTGAAGCACTGTATTTTGAATTGTATTTAGTTTAAACCAACTGAAATTTCTTTTTCTTTTTCTTTTTTTGAGAAGGAGTTTCACTCTTGTTGCCCAGGCTGGAGTGCAATGGCACGATATCGGCTCACCGCAACCTTCTCCTCCTGGGTTCAAGTGATTCTCCTGCCTCAGCCTCCCGAGTAGCTGGGATTACAGGCATGTGCCACCACGCCCAGCTAATTTTGTACTTTTAGTAGAGATGGGGTTTCTCCGTGTTGGTCAGGCTTGTCTCGAACTCCCAACCTCAGGTGATCCGCCAACCTCAGCCTCCCAAAGTGTTGGGATTACAGGCGTGAGCCACCATGCCCATCCCTAAACCAACTGAAATTTCAATAGGTACATGTGGCAAGTGGCAACTGGAGTGGGCTTAGCAGATCTAAACCTACAGCAGTGATCTTGTTAGAAAGTAAATTTCTTCTTCCTCCTTACCAAAGTGAACACGTTGCCACCAAGCACTGTGGCTGAAGTGTGCATGCGTTTGGAAGCCAGCTTAGTTCTCCAGGAATCTTAGAGACCGTTCAAGCCAAATTTGCCATTTTTTATCTGGAAGAAGCTGAGACCCAGAGACTTGCCCAATGGTACATGACCCAGGTCTCCTGATTCCTGGTGGAGTGCTATCTCCACCAGCAGAGAGGCCCCTCTTTCATACTCAGCCAAGGTAGACTAATGGATTCTCCTTCTTCCGAGGGACAGAGTTGGTGATAATCTGCAAGATGAACTCTGTCTGCTATCTCAGAAGGAGATGACTCTAATTACTATTAAAATTCTGAAATGCTGATTCCTGACATAAGAGCCCTTGTGGCAGACTAATAGTTGCATTTTTGTCCTTTCCTTTTCTTTTTTTGAGATGGAGTCTCGCTCTGTCGCCGAGGCTGGAGTGCAGTGGCGCGATCTTGGCTCACTGCAAGCTCCGCCTCCCGGGTTCATGCCATTCTCCTGCCTCAACCTCCCGAGTAGCTGGGACTACAGGTGCCCACCAACACGCCCGGCTAATTTTTTGTATTTTTAGTAAGACGGGGTTTCACTGTGTTAGCCAGGATGGTCTCGATCTCCTGACCTCGTGATCTGCCCGCCTTGGCCTCCCAAAGTGCTGGGATTACAGGCGTGAGCCACCACGCCCGGCCTGCATTTCTGTCCTTTTCTATTGCCGAGAGAATCCCACAAAGTAGCCACAGACCCCCCAAAGGGAAGATGTGTCAGGCTGAGGGATTTTCCTATGACCTGGGAACCTGAGGGTCCAGTTGATAAAACTTCAGGTAAATGACAACCAACCTAGTTCCCAAACCAGCAAAGCTCCAAGTTGCTCTGAATTTTATCTCCTCTTCTTAGAGCTGTGTGGAGGCCCTTGGGGTGAATCTGGTTCAGTAAAGTCCCAACAAAAGCACATGATAGGAGATAATGAAGATTAAGGGAGAAGTTTTAGCAGAGGCAAACAGAAATGGATTAACTGAGACGTTATCTTATCCAAACGGAAGGCAGAAATAGCTATCTAAGAGCAGAGCCTTTCAGAGAGACAGTTAGGGGATTGCCCATAAAAATCATCATGTGGATTATCTAATCTAAGAGGGTTTTAGTAAGTAACACAAGGCACTGCTCAGGTACTGTCAGAGTACTTTCTACTGCTTCCTACTGGTCACAAACCTAATTGTGCAGAAAATGTATCGCATTCCTCCAGCAATGGCCTGGCTGCCAACCTCAGATGGGTGGTAGGAGAAGTTGAAGCCTGGGAACCCAGAGGCTTTGTTTGGGTGCTTCCTCCTTGAGCCTTTCCATTTAATTTAATAAGACTGTATTGCTGTTAGGAAAGTTGCTAGCCAGGGACACCAAGAGGCTTAGTGGGTGAGAACCCTGGATTGATTTTTCATGTCTGTTAGGGGTCCAGGAGTGGGAAGGGGCAGCATCCCACAGTAAAATGAGATAAATAGTACTGATGAGACAAGTAATAAGAGAAATGACAAAGGATCAAAATTACAATAATTAAACATTAAAATAAATGTTGTAATAATTAATTATGATAAATAAACTGGGTAGATTTAGAAGGATCCTTTAGCCACCTCCTGTGACCTTGTCTCTCACTGCCGCCCCTAACATTTGCTCCAGAGCTCCAGTACAGTACAGAAACTGTTTCCTGAATGTCCCACGTGGTTTCATTCCTCAGGGCACCAACACCAGCTCAAATTGTCCTTATCCTGTGTGTTTGTTTTTTTTGGTTATTATCTGTTTCTTCCACTGGAATGTTGGCTCTTTAAGGTTGTTCATTTTGCTCACTGGTATATTAAAGTATATATACCCACCCCTAAATTGATGCCCAGCACATAGTAACTGCCCAATAAATATTTGAATGGCTCAAAATGGATCATACACCTAAATATAAGGGCTACAGCTATAAAGTTTTTAGAAGAAACCATAGGAATATATTTTTGTGACTTTGAGTTAGGTAATGATTTCTTAGATATGACAC
The DNA here is from genome assembly GCF_000001405.40 of Homo sapiens. Taxonomy (NCBI): domain Eukaryota; kingdom Metazoa; phylum Chordata; class Mammalia; order Primates; family Hominidae; genus Homo; species Homo sapiens. The sequence goes on from NC_000009.12 coordinate 113,693,469, forward strand.
CAAAAGCACAAATGACAAAAGAAAAAATAGATAAATTGAACTTTATCAAATTTAAAATTTTGAGCTTCAAAAACCACTGCCAAGAAAATGAAAAGACAACTCATAGGAGAAAATATTTTCAAATCATAAGTCTTCTACAGGTCTATACCCAGAAATACAAAAAGAATTCTTACAACTCAACAACAAAAAGACAATTATAAAAAATGGGGAAAAGATTTGAATAAATGTTTCTCTAAAGAGATACACATGGCCAATAAGCATGTGAAAAGATGCTCAACATCATTAGTCATTGGAGAAATGCAAATCAAAATCACTACCTCACACCCATTAGGATGATTTTACTAGAAAACCAAGAACGTAGAGAAATTGGAACTCAATAGATTGCTGGTGGGAGTGTAGAATGGTACAACCACTTTGGAAAACAGTTTGGTGGTTCCTCAAAGGGTTAAACAGTTCCCATATGACCCAGAGATTCCATGCCTAGGTATAAACCCAAGTGAAAGAAAAATATATCTCCACACTAGGACCTGTAGACAAATGTTCATAGCAGCATTTTTTGTAATAGCCAAAAAGTTTGGTGCAAAGAGCCCCAGTGGCCACCAGCTGATGAAAGGATAAATAAAATGCTGTATATCTATTCAATGGAATGTGATTTGTCAATAAAAAGGAGTAGAGTACCGATATATGCTACAAGATGGATGAACTTTGAAAAAGTTATTCTAAATGAAAGGAGCCAATTGCAAAAGACCACCTACAGTATAATTCCATTTGTATGAAATGTCCAGAACAGGCAAATCTGTGGAGACAGAAACAGGTGGGTGGCTGCGGGAGGCGGGTATAGGGACTGTTAATGGTTATGGTGTTTCTTTTGGAGAATGAAAATGTTATAAAATTAGATTGTAGTGATGGTAGCACAACCCCGTGAAAAATCATTGAATTGTATACTTTAAATGGGTGAATTGTATGATATGTGAGTTATGTCTCAATAAAGCTGTTACAAAAATAAAAGCTACGAGTGAGCAGGGAAGGTTTCCAGCAGATGATAGTCTAAGCAGAGACCCATGGTATAAGCAGAGGGAGGTGATATTTGGGTCGTGGGGGCACATAGGAAGAGATTTGGAAAATGAGTGCTTCATCATGGAAGAACACCTGGGCAAAGGTCCCAAGTGGGGAGAATGACCCCTGGAGCTGAAGGAAGGGCAATGTGGCTGGAATGAAGCAACAGAGCTAGGAATGAGGAGGGAGAAGAATCATGGGCAGGAAAGACAGACAAAGGAAGGAAAGAAATTCCCATTCTACTGGTGAAAAATGGAACCCCACTTTCAATCCCTGGTCCTAAACTCTTCCTTTTGTGGGGAATCAGACAGTGAGTACCCTGGGCAAGAACCCAAGTTAGTAGGCTTGACTTAAATATTAACACCTACTAAGTGCTGTAAGAAGCCCAAATTTCAAGTGGTGTACTGCTCCTGAAACCTGATTTGCCGCTGACATTGGCAGGGGCAGGGATGACCAACGTGATAGCAAGACTTCCCAAACACACACACACACACACACACACACACATGCACACACACATTTGTACATGCATGCATATGAGCATGTGCTCACTAACATACACATGCATACAATGAGCACTCACAGATATGCACACAATTGCACAAATGCACACATGGATACACTCATGCATGCACAATATACACATTCATGGAATAAAAGCACAAACGCACACACACATTCATATGCATGTGCACACACATTCACATGGACATATACATGCATATAAGCACAAAGCTTTCACACATGCACACACGTACATACACAGACACACAGGCATCCACATGCACACATGTGCATGCAAACACACTCATGCACATACACAGACCTCCAGAATAGAACACAGGCTCCCTTTCTCTGCCTCTGGGAGCTCTGCAGGGATGCCTGGGAACCTGCAGCTTCCAGAACAACAAGCCCACTCCTCATCCACTGGCTTCCCCTTCTGTCACTCTTTCTCAGCTCTGATTTACTCACGTCAGCAAAATATTGCTTTTAATAACAGCGTTGGCATTCTGCATTTTCTTCTGGGTGTTACTGCAAACTGGTGTGTGATTCATGTGCATTACATTTCTTTCTAATGTGGTTTGTCTCTTGCTTTTTTTCTCCCAATTTGGTGTCTTATCTATAAATTGTGGTGAAGCAAATACTCAGATGTCATTTAATTTCTGGGCTTATTTCCTTTCCCTCTTTCACCTCAAGACCCAGCTGATGGCAGCACCTCCTTCTGTAGGGGTTCCCAGCTCTGATGGAATCATCTTGACACTTGACCACAGGCCTTTGGTAAGTCTGAACTCCTTAATCTGGACTACTCAGAGTCCTCCAGTTATAATCCCAGCTCTGCTATTGGGACAAACATCTAACCTCTTGTAGTCTGAGTTTTCACCTCTGGACGATGGAGAGGAAACCCTTCATCCTGCTGGGTCATTGAGTTAATTAGACAGGATGTGGCATAGTGAACATGCCAGTACAGTACCTGCAGTTGCTCAAAGGGACTGTTGTTCTCTTCCCCCATCTGTCCCTGCTTTGGTATGCTAAGGCAGGGCTGAGACACATAAACACCACGTGAATGCTAGCAGTGTGGCCATCCTTTCAAACAACAGTCTTTAATATTTGTGTGACTCAGAGAAGGCATTGGGGTGAGGGGTAGGGAAGGTGCTCTGGTAGAAGCCCTTGGACTACCATGCTAAGGAATTCAGCTCTGCCCCAAACTTGCATATCTGACTCATTATTAGCCATCACCAATCTAGGGAGGTGGTGAATGACCAAGCTATTACTTGAGAAGTTCCCTGGGGTGTCATTCTTCACCCAAGTGGCTACTTTGAGCATTCATTCCAAGCTTCCTGATATGGTCCGGATTTGTGTCCCTGCCCAAATCTCATGTTGAATTGTAATCCCCAGTGTTGGAGGAGGGGCTGGGTGGGAGGTGATTGGATCATGCGGGCGGACTTCCCCCTTGCTATTCTCATGATAGTGAGTGAGTTCTCAGGAGATCTGGTTGTTTAAAAGTCTAGGTCGGGCGCAGTGGCTTATGCCTGTAATCCCAGCACTTTGGGAGGCTGAGGCAGGTGGATCACCTGAGGTCAGGAGTTTTAGACCAGCCTGACCAATATGGTGAAACTTCGTCTCTACTAAAAATACTAAAATTAGTCAGGTGTGGTGGCATGTGCCTGTAGTCCCAGCTACTTGGGAGGCTGAAATAGGAGAATTGCTTGAACCTGGGAGGTGAAGGTTGCAGTGAGCCGAGATCATGCCACTGCACTCCAGTCTGGGTGACAGAGTGAGACTCCATCAAAAAGAAAAAAAAGAAAAAAGAAAAGTCTATAGCACCTCCCCCTTCTCTCTATTTCTCCTTCTCTGGCCATGTAAGACGTGCCTGCTTCCCTTTCACCTTCTGCCATGATTGTAAGTTTCCTGAGGCTTCCCCAGCCATGTTCCTGTATAGCATGTGGAACTGTGAGTCAATTAAATCTGTTTTGTTTATTTCTCTTTTTTTTTTTTCTGAGACAGAGCCTAGCTCTGTTGCCCATGCTTGAGTGCAGTGGCATGATCTCAATTCACTGCAGCCTCTGCCTCCTGGGTTCAAACGATTCTCATGCCTCAGCCTCTCGAGTAGCTGGGATTACAGGCATGTGTTACCATGCCCAGCTAAGTTTTGTATTTTTTGTAGAGCTGGGGTTTCTACATGAATGTTGGCCAGGCTGGCCTCAAACTCCTGGCCTCAAGTGATCTGCCCACCTCTGTCTCCCAAAATGCTGGGATTATAGGTGTGAGCCACTGCGCCCAGCCTTTAAACCTCTTTTCTTGATAAATTACCCAGTCTCAGGTAATTCTTTATAGCAGTGAGAGAACAGTTCCCTTAGAGTTTGTGTCTTTAGGAAACCTCCTGGCTGGCCTGCCTTTTAATCAGGCTCAGGCTGCAGAGTGGTGTTAGCGGGAACAGAGCTAGATGTTGGGGCTTAAGGTAGGTCCACACCTTACTGATGTGATTGTTTCTTTTCTGTGTCCTTCCCCTCCTCAGACACCTCTGGCAGCTGCCTACTGCCTGCAGAATAAAGTCCTAGTCCCTTAACTTTCCAGGCCCTTCTAACCTGGTATCAGCATAACATCAATCTCCTACTTATCCTCTTGAGCGCCTGGAGGTTAAAGACCTGCTGCCCTACTTGCCTCGATGTTCTCTGCTCACTCTGGAGCCGTTCCCAGCCCTGTTGAGCCCATTCTCCTCACCTGGACCACTGTGGTGTCCTGCCTCCTGGAACCTGCACTGCTTGCCTGAGGGCTTTCTGAGCTTGCCAGGGCCCGTGTTGCCCACCAGGCTTGAGAAAATGAGCACGTCTCCCTACCACCACCATAGTCCTCAATCAATAACTGAGGAGGGTTGATGGTAAATACCGCAGTTCCTTCGCCCTTTCATGAGACAAATCTGAGGCTGTGCACCACACTGGCTCCAGAGTTCTCCAGGGAGATTGATATGGTTTGGCTCTGTGTCCCTACCCAAATCTCATCTCAGATTGTAACCCCCACATGTCAGGGGAGGGACCAGGTGGGAGGTGATTCCATCATGGGGGCTGTTTCCCCCATGCTGTTCTCATGAAAGTGTGTGAATTCTCATGAGAGCTGATGGTTTTAGGGTATGGCACATCCTCATTCTCACACACACTCCCTCCTGCAGCCTTGCTAATAAGGTGCCTGCTCTCCCCTTCACCTTCCACCACGATTGTAAGTTTCCTGAGGCCTCCTAGCCATGCTTCCTGCTAAGCCTGCAGAACTGTGAGTCAATTAAATCCCTTTCCTTTATAATTACCCAGTCTCAGGTAGTTCTTTATAGCAGTGTGAGAACAGACTAATAAAGAGATGAAGGCACCAACAGCACTAGTGGGCTTGGGAACACACTCTTCTCTCTCACTTCCCCACTTCTTAAGGTGTCTCTTCGCCTCCCAAATAAATGACTTGCCTGCAAATCCTTACCTCAGGGGGTGCTTCTAGGGGAACCCAAACCAAGACAGGTCTGTCCTGGAACATTTTCTCTTAGCCAACTCCACATAACAAACCCTCAAAGCCCAACTTCAGTGGGAACCCCATCTGAGGATGTGGGGAATAATACTAGCGAAGACTCAGCACCACATACCATTCTAAGCATTTCACCTGTACTAACTCACCCAAGTCTCACAGATTAGAGGGACCCTCCTCAGAGAGTCCTATGATTACCATCATGGTACAGATGAGGAAACCGAGGAAACTGAGGCATAGAAGGACTAAGCACTTTGTTTTAGGCCTGACAGGTAGAAAGTAATGGAGTTGAGTTGGACATGGTGGCTCATGCCTCTAATCCCAGCACTTTGGGAGGCCGAGGCGGGCGGATCACCTGAGGTCAGGAGCTTGAGAACAGCCTGGCCAACATGGTGAAATCCCGTCTCTACTAAAAATACAAAAAATTAGCCAGGCGTGGTAGCACACACCTGTAGTCCCAGCTACTCAGGAGGCTGAGGCAGGAGAATCGCTTGAACCTGGGAGGCGGAGGTTGAAGTAAGCCGAGATCCCACCACTGCACTCCAACCCAGGCAACAGAGCAAGACTCTGTCTCAAAAAAAAAAAAAAAAAAAAAAAAAAGAAAGGACTGCAGTTGGAACATGGTAGAGGTAACAGCTGAGTTTATGAAGACAAGACCTCAGTGTGCGTGCAGAGTGGCTGATGCTGATGCCTGCCTACATGCCATGCCTGGTTGCGTGGGTCACTTCTCCCTTTGTCATTTTGGACCGACTCTATCTAATGGAGCATAAGGGCCTAGTCTGGTGCCCACTGTGCCTTAGGGCTCAGGAGCTTTCATCAGGTGACAGCCCCTAACCAAGTCACTTTCTGCCGGGTGTCTGTCACATCACCCTGTTGGTCTGGAGGCATGGCCCTTCTCACAAGCTGTATTGCTTTTTATTCTGCTTTTTAATTTGCTTACTTTATAGCCTGTCTACTCCACATGACAATAAGCTGCAGGAGAGCAGGGGCCTGTCTACAGTGGTTTTGCTGCATCCTTAGCACCTACTATGGCACCTGGTAAGTAGCAAGCCTTCAAACATATCTGCTATCTGGAGAATGGCCAAGGGAACTGGAGCCTTCCAGCTTATGAGAGGAGCCGAGCTGGATCCTCTTTTCGTGACCTGGTGCATCTGCCCAGAGCATGGTTCTGTGTCAGTAGACACCTTGCCTAGGTCACATGCAAGTGAGTGGCAAAGGGCAGTTTCTACCTGGGGTCTTTATGTCCAGAAGTGGCTTTCTGGAAAGTGCCCCCAGATTTCATCTTTGTCAATCCCAGGGCCCGACTCTTGGGTTCCTAGTTGAAAAACAACAGCTGTGAATATTAAATGAGGCACATGCACTGAGATTCTTCGATCAGTGGTACGTGTATAAATTTCAATAATAATGGGGTTGCATTCATCAGACCCATCAATCATTACTGCCTATGCTGCTGAGACATTGCTCAATGTCAGACACATACTTCGCAGACATAGTCTCTGGAATCCAGCTGCATGGCCAGAGGCCCATGGCCCCCACCGTGGGCAGTCCCTTTCCCCTGCCAGGCCTCAGTCTCCCTTCCTTCAGTAGGGAGGGGAATTTGCGGTGGATAGCTTTGCTCAGACTGTCCAGGTTTCAGAACTCTGAGTGCTAAGATGGCGCATGAGGAAACGTCATTTCTTCGCTCTCTGTGCATCTGGTGCCTGCACAACTGCCTGCGTGTCTAATGATGTCTCACTTTTCCTAAAAGTCCCTGCAATGGTTCCCTTGTGCCTGGAGAATGAAACTTCTACTCATCATAGAGCGCTTAAGACCTTGCTTGATCTGGTTGCCAAATCTCCCCTTCTCACTCACTTTGTGGCCAGCCAGGTGGGAGCCAGGTGATAACAAGGGAGAAGGAGGATATTTCAGGTTGTAGACCTAGCAGGCCAGAGTGACTGGCATGCAAGAGAGGATAATGAGGGTGGAGGTCAGGGAGGGAGAATCTCATGGCTTGGCATTTTAGGAATTCAGCACATTAGAATCACAGGACTGGGCGAATGCTGGCCTCATGGCCACCTCTGAGATTTTATATGAACATTCACTGGTCATTTATTCTGTGCCAGGCTCTTGGCCCAGGCACTAGGAAGGAACACCGAAGGCATTATAAACATTGAACTACAATAAAAGGCAAAATAACTGTGTGCCAAGAAGAAAGATGGGAGCTAACATTTGTTGGGCACACTGTGTGTGCCAGACACTTTGCATTCATTTCTGTTGTGGTGGATTGTGTTTCCGAAGATGCCTGTGACACTATCCCATCCCATCTGCTCTTTTGCAATGTGACCATACCACTTTCCATCAAAAGCTGGTATATATTTCTCGTCCCCTTGAATCTGGGTTGACTGTACAACTTCTAAGACTGGGCCTCAAGACACTGACAGCATGTCTACTTTCCTGCTCTAAGTGCTCTTTCTTGACCACCAGAGACCATGCTGTGAGGAAGCCCAAGCTATCATGAGGCCAGAGGGGATGTAGTAGAGCCCCAGTCTATCAGTTTTGTGAGTGAAGCTATCTTGGTTGGACCATCCACCAGCCAGGAGAATGACCCCAGGAGATACCTTGAGGACCAGAATCTCCAAGGCCTGAATCTCGAACTCACAGAATTATGAACACATAAAATGGTTATTTTATAAGCCAATAAGTTGGGGCAGTTTGCTAGGCTGCAATAAAGAACCAAAATACCTCTTTAATTCTCCTACATAGCCCCGAGAGGCAGGTGCTGTTATCTCTATAGGTAAGGAAACAGGATTGGATAGGTTAAATGGCTAGTTCAACATCATATGGGAAGTCAATGGCTGAAGTGGATTCAAACCCAGGCCTCCGGCTGGGTGCAATGGCTCACGCCTGTAATCCCAGCACTTTGGGAGCCTGAGGCAGGAGGATCACCTAAACCCAGGAGTTCGAGACCAGCCTGGGCAACATGGCGAGGCCTATCTCTATTGAAAAAAAAAAAAATCAAACCCAGCCCTCTGTGACCCCAAGACTTTGCCAGTTCCCTCAGTCATGGTACTGTTAGAGGGCAGGAGTGGAGCCTTTGATTCTGCTGAGGCCCTCCCTCTGGGGATGGCATCTACAGCAGGAAATAGTAGAAGTCTTCTCTGCATTCTTTTGTACCTTCTATGTTTGGAATCTATTGCCTATTCCAAAATGAACAAATAAAGGTAACATTCTTATTTTCAAGAAAATAATTGTGGTATGTGTGTAGGTCAGGGTGGGAGTGGATGAAATGAAAGGCTGCTTCACAGAACAGCAGCATTTGGGCTAGGCTTGGAATTCAGTGGTTCCCACCCCGGTCATACTCTGGAATCACCCGCAGAGCTTTAGAAGTCCCGATGCCTGGGTCCCGCCCAGAGGTGCTGTTTTGATTGGCCTGGGGCAGGGCGTGGGCTTCAGGACTTTTAAAAAGCCCCCTAGGTGGTTCAAATGCCCAGCTAAGGTGGAGAGCCAGCGCTCGATGGGGGACCAGGATTCCGCTGGCAGTGGAAGGCTGGAGAGACGGAGTGGGCTGTGCTCCAGGAGCAGCGTGAGCCAAGGCAGGGCTGAAGCCGATGATTTGTATGGAAAAACCTGAAAAAGAATTGCTTTGGGGGTGTAGATGCTTAAACTAAGCAAAACAAAACAGAACAAAACAAAAAGGGGTGGCCCTGCCTTCTGTGCCCTGGTGTGCTTATTGAATTGGTTCACAGAAATGCTCAATCCTCATGGCCAGGTTGCTCAATCTCAGAAGGAATTCATTTGAGGGATGGTAATAATTAGGTCTGCTTACAGGGAGAAATGCTATGCAGTGCAAAATCCCTCTCCACACAGGAACGGCCTTTCCTAGTCCTGAGCTTTGCTGGGATCCCCAACCTGCAGCTAGCCCTGGCAACTGGAGGCGTCTGGGCTTCCTTATGAAGCAGGTGCAGCAATTGGTGACCCCAGAGACTTTCTCTGGGTTTTCAGGGAAGGAAGGTGCCATGCAAGCCATGCACTGTGTGACCCAGCACAGTGGTTCTCAAGCCTTCAGCCGGGCTGCACCTTCAAACCACAGGGGGGCCTTTGAGAACAGATCTCAACACCCCCCACCCTCTCAGCCCCAACACCTGAGATTTGGGATTCAGGATTCAGATGCCTTTGGTTACTGGTGGAGCAGTGGGGTTCTTTTTGAATTCTGTTTCTCCGGAAGCCTCCGAGCAGATCAGAGCGGTGGCTATCAGACACTGGTGTGTCAGAATCACCTGGAGCGCAATGAGTTAAGACAGGGGCTCATTGCAAGAGAACAAGTCCAGGAGCAGTGGCTCATATCTGTAATCCCAGCATTATGGAAGGTTGAGGTAAGAGGATTGCTCAAGCCCAGGAGTTCGAGACCAGCCTGGGCAACATGGTGAGACCCCATCTCTACAAAAAATAAAGTGTGTACCTGTGATACCAGCTATGAAAGAGGCTGAGGTGGGAGGATTGCTTGAGTCCAGGGCTTCCAGGCTGCAGCGAGCCATGTTTGCACCAGCCATGTACTACTGCACTCCAGCCTGCGGGACAGAGAAAGACCCTGACTCAAAAAAAGAAGGAGAACAGAACCTGAGCCTCTGTATGTTAACCAAGGTTGAAGAACCAGTGCATTATAGTATTCTCAAACTTGAGGAGTTAAAAAATATTGTCACCTTTGTTGAACTCCCAGAGATTAATTAGTCGGGGAGATTTAATTAGTCGGGGGTGTGAACCAGGTATGTGGAGTTTTAAAAACTTCCCAGGTGATTCCAATATGCAGCAAAGTTTGAGAACCATTGGATTAGGGAATCTAGAAACAGACTCAGGTATATGTGGGAATTGAGTATGTGATAAAAGTGAAACTTTAAGATTGGAGAGGAAAGGGTAAATTTTCATTAATAAGGCTGAGTCAACTGTACATTTGGAAATAAATTCAACTAGATCTTTCTTCATGTTGCAAACAATAAATTTCATATGGATTAAAAATATACATTCAAGGGATAAAATAAAATTCCATATACAGAAATATTTTCATAATTTTGGGATGAGGAAGTCCTTTCAAAACATAACAAATTGCAGAAGCCACAAAGAAAAGATTGACAAATTGGCTGCCCTTTAAATTTAAAACTCTATTTGGTTAACTAAGCCATAAACAAAGATAAAAAATGCATGATATGCTAGGAGCAAATATTTGCAACCTATATAACAGACCAAGGGTTAGTATCCATAAGGTATTAACTGTGCTTACAAATTAATAAGAAAAAGACAACAACCTATTAAAAATGGGCAAATGATAAAAGAGGTAATTATCAGAAGAAGAAATACATACAGAAAATTATAGATTGATATGTCAGTAAATATATAAAAAGATGTTCAACTTCATTAATAATCATATAAACATAAATTAGATATAACTATTAATATGGTTAGGCTTTGTGTCCCCACTGAAATCTCATCTTGAATTGTAGTCTCTGTAATCCCCGCTTGTTAAGGGAGAGACCAGGTGGAGGTAATTGAATCATGGGGGCAGTTTCCCCCAGGTTGTTCTCTTGATGGTGAATGAGTTCTCACGAGATCTGATGGTTTTATAAGGGGCTCTTCCCCTTTCTCTCAGCCTTTCGGCTTCCTGCTGCCTTGGGAAGAAGGTGTCTTGCTTTGGCTTCCTGCCATGATTGTAAGCTTCCTGAGGCCTCCTCAGCCATGCTAACTGTGAGTCCATTAATTCTCTTTCCTTTATAAGTTAGTCTCAGGCAGTTCTTTACAGTGTCATGAAAACGGACTAATACAGCTATTTTTACCCACCTGGTTAAAAAAATATTGATATGATCTATATTGTTAGGGTTGAGGGGAAATGGGAAATCTCAAATGTTGTTGGTGAAAGCGTAAATATGACTTTCGGGGAGGACCATTTTGCATTAATTATCAAAATTGTAAATGCACCCACCCTTGACCTAGTAATTCTACTTCTAGGAATCTGTTCTATAGAAATACTAACATGAATACACAAGATTATACCAGGTGCTCAGCACAGTATTGTTTTTAATAGTGAAAAACTGAAAAGAACGAAAGTGAACAACAATATGAGGGAATGGTTACATAAACAGTAATACAGCCCTGTAATGGAGGCTGAACAACCATTGCCAACAATGTGTAAGCTCTGTGTACCCAAGTGGAAAGATGTACACGTATGTTAGCATAGTAAAGAAAGCAAATTGCAAGATAGGGTGGGTGATAAAAGCTATCCTTACACATAGTGTTTTGGAGCAGCAGTGGGCAGGGGAATTAGTCATGATGGCTAACAGTTTCTGCCATGATCCACTTTTGGCAACACATTAATTTGAGTTTCCGGAATAATTGAGGTAACTTTCAGGTGACACCATGAAGGATCTTTGAAGGGATTACACTGTGAGACTCTCAATAAAGAAAGCTGAACTTGCCGGACACTATGTCTCACGCTTGTAATCCCAGCACGGTGGGAGGCTGAGGTGAGTGGATCACTTGAGGTCGGGAGTTCAAGACCAGCCTGGCCAACATGGTGAAACCCCATCTCTACTAAAAATATAAAAATTAGCCAGGCGTGGTGGCATGCGCCTGTAGTCCCAGCTACTTGGGAAGCTGAGGTGGTGAGGTAGGAGGATCACTTGAGCCCTGGAGGTCGAGGCTGCAGTGAGCTGAGATTGTACCACTGCATTCCAGCCTGGGTGACAGGGTGAGACTCTATCTCAAAAAAAAAAAAAAAAAAAAGCTGGACTTGTCTTAGGCTTTGAAATATAGTAACAATAATAGTCAATGGAGATATGGTGCTGTGTGCCCAGCACTGTTTTTGAGTCCTTCACATATACGAATCCAGGCAGGCTTGGGTTCAGATCCTAGTTTTGCCACTTACTAGCTTTAGGTCCCAAGGGAGGGCACTCCCTCCCTTCTCTGAGTGTCCCTTGGTAAATAAGGAGACTGCTTGAAAGGAGGTGACCTTGGTGAGGCGCCCACTTCCTGCACACAACTCTCCACAATTCACTGTCACCCTAGGTGTCACTTTCTTTAACCCTCATCATGCGAATTCAAAGCTTAAGCTTAGCTTATTTACCAGTTTCCTTTTTTTGTAAAGCTCTGCTATCAACTTTCCTAAGATTTATTCATGGTTTGGCTTCAGATGTTCTATTCTTGAACTCTTAGGGCACCTCTCTGAGTCTTGAAGTCATTCGGTGTCAATTTTATTACTGCTCAGTCTAAGTTGTCCCGCCCTCCATGACCCACCGGAAGCCTCTGGCTGTGTGTGACATTTTAAATACTAACTTTGGGGCTCTTGTCTTAAAGGAGGAATTAAGTTCAAACTGTGGCTCTTTAGAAATACATAAGACATAAGCTGGGCTTTTAATGGAAAAGTCACCTTCTCATAAGCTCTGCCAGGCATGACTGGGACAGGCTGATATAATCCCCTCCCTTTTTCAAAATCAAGAGCAAATATTGGTTTACCCACAACCAAGATGACCTTGGGCCCATTTCTGTTGCAGTAAAACTGCAGTAGGTGCTCAGATGCAAAATGGAGCAATGGCTGAGCCTCTGGTTTGGGGTCATCTACCTGTAGCTAGTTAGGCAAATAAACACTTTCCATTTAAAGTGGACTTTTCACAGGAAGGAACCCTTCAGCCAAAGGAAGGAACCTGGAGGTGTGGAATTTCAGGAATCTGGGGAGTCCTTGAAGGCAGAGACCTCTGTTACATGTTTGTGTGTTCAGCACTGGGCTGACTGCATAAGGAAATGGACGGCTGAATGATTTAGATTGCTACATAATTTACCCAATACATTTCAGAAGGTCCCTCAAAAGTGAATCCTCTGGAGGACACAGGTTAACTGGCTGTCTGTTTAGAAACAAATATTGACATTCTGATTGGATGAAACCAGGCGAGATGCCAGCTTGGTGGGAGGGCAGAGACCCTGGGGATCAGGCTGCCTGGCTTCCAAGCTGGCCTCTGCCATTCACATCTGAATGGGTAGACAGAGTAAAGCCAATGGCCCTCCCCAATGTGAGTAGGCCTCACTCAATAGTTGAAGGCCCAAAAAGAACAGAAATGTTGACCCTCCAACTGGTAACAGGAAACTCTTCCTGCCTGACTACCTTGAGCTGGGGCATCAGTCTTTTCCTGCCTTTAGACTTGAACCGAAACATTAGTTCTTGGTTCTCAATCCTGCCGGCCTTCAGACAGGAACTTATACCAGGCCTTTGGACCTGGACTGAAACTCCACCATTAGGTCTCCTGGGTCTCCAGCTTGCTGGCTGCAGATCTTAGGACTTCTCAACCTCCACAATTTTGTGAGTCAGTTCTTTATAACAATCTATACACACACAAACATGTAATATGTTTATTACACATAAACACATACATATAATGTGTTTATACATATGCATGCTTGTGTATATGCATATATATATTCTATTGGGTCTTTTTCTCTGGAGGATGCTTCCTAGTGCCAGCCACTATGATCTTGGTGACATTAGCATTGGGCCTTTTCTTGTTTTTACTTTCCTTTCAGTATCCTTTCCTTTGCCGTGGTGGGTCTTTTGGCTCCTAACTCCCAAATCTGCTAATCCACACTAATGTGGGTGTAATGAGGGAACAAGTACCTTCAGGGGGTGAAGAGCTAATTAATGATGATGTAAAACATTCTCCTGGTGCTTAACGTGGTGGGAACTTAGTAACTGTTATTTGTGATTTTTGAATGGCACAGGAATTGAAGAGAAAGCTATGTGTCTCGTTTTATAGAAGTGGCTGCTGAAGCTCAGAGGGGTAGAGAGGTTACCCAGGGGCACACAACCCGTAAGTGGTAGAGCTGGGATTCAAACCACTTATCTGTGGGATTCCAAACCCCATGCCTTTCCTGAAGAACTCTGATATGGTTTGGCTGTGTCCCCATCCAAATCTCTTCTTGAATTGTAGCTCCCATAATTCCCTTGTGTTGTGGGAGGGACCCAGTGGGAGATAATTGAATCATCAGGGCGGTTTCGGTTTCCCCTGTCCTTTTCTCATGGTAGTGATTAAGACCCACAAGATCTGATAGTTTTATAAAGGGAAACCCTTTTTGCTTGGCTCTCATTCTCTTGTTTGCCACCATGTGAGACATGCCTTTCACCTTCTGCCATGATTGGGAGGCCTCCCCAGCCAAGTGGAACTGTGAGTCCATTAAGCCTCTTTTTCTTTATAATTTACCCCGTCTCGGGTATGTCTTTATCAGCAGTGTGAAAACAGACTAATACAACTTCTCATGGCTGATTGGCTCATTGCTCCCAAATCTCTACTTTCTCCATTAATAGAATTGTACATCGTTACACTTATTGTGGCTTTGGGGTGGGCAGGGGTTACCTCCCCATCCTTTGACTTTGGGCTTGACTATCTGACTTGCTTTGCCTAAAGAAATGTTAGCACATGTGATGTGTGCAGAGGGAGGCCTTAAATGTGTGGCATGGTTTGACTTGGCCTTCTGTGCCCTCTGATCTGCCATGAAAACATGCCCAGAACAGCTGTTGGTCTTAGGAGCAGATTGAGTCCAAGTCAAAGCCTGCAGTCAACCCAGGCCAAACTGCAACCTGGAACACAGCCAAGCCACTCAATCTACAGACTCACAAGGAAGAAAAATAAATGCTTATTGTTGTAAGCCACCGAGTGTTGGAGTGGTTTGTTACGCAGCATTGGCGCAGCAATTGCTGACCAATACACTTCCCTAAAAGGGTATCTTTTTAAAATGGCTCAAATGGAGGGACGTGGAGAGAACTATGATGTTTGAGTCCCTGGAAAGCATGCAATAGACATTACTGATCCCCAGGTCTCCTTTTTCCCTCAGCATATGGGAAACTTTCCAGCCCTCAAGTTAGTCAGGGCCACATACATATTTCTGGCTCGTGAAATACGATAAGAAATGCCAGGTGGCACTCTCAGGCCATGGCAGTGTCATTCCAGTGCACTCTCACAGTTTCTCTCTTCCCCTGCCACAGTGGTTGCGGAGGACACCTCAGGTGGAGATGGGAGTCACAAGACCAAAGCAGCCTGTATCATGAGTCACTTCACTGGAATCACTGTGGATTTTCATGAGAAATAAATTAATTTTATAGTGGTAAGGTACAGAGATTTGGGGATTGTTTGTTCCTGCATCAGCCACATCGTGACAAAAATACAGAGTGAGGGAAAGGTGCTGGGAAGGGCTGCAGTTGCCACCTGCTCATACCTCAATTCCAGTTCTCCCCAGTTAGGGAGAAAGGTTCTGCTACAAACTTGCTTCGAGACCCAGGAACGTCCCTGGCCCCTCTTCCTCAGTTTCCTCAATGGCCACATGGGGGTTCACTGGCTCTTTCCTAGGAGCATGCGCAGGTGGCCCCAGCCTGCTGCTGGCCCTCAGGTGATGTGAATATATTCAGTGGGATCTCACCCAGAGAAGGACTGCACTGTGCCAGCAGGCAGGGCTCTGGGTGTGGAGGTGTGACTTCATTGGATTTCATGAGGCCTCTTTATGCAGAAGCTAGGGATCTGCAGGCTCTTGCAACACTTGACAAACCTGTAAATATGCGTTTGGAGTCGCCACTGCCCAGTCTTTCTGTGAAATCTGCGTCACAAAGCCAAGTTCAGAGAACAAAGCTTTTTGATCAGCCAGAGGAAATCACTTTCCTCATTTTTGAAGTGAAATAGTTGTCTCTGTCCTGCTGACTCTTGGTCAATGTTAAAGGTTGAGAGAGAGAGAGAGAGAGAAAGAGAGAGAGAGAATGGACTTAAGGGTGCTTTGTAAACTATAAACTGCCAGGTGCCAGATATGCAGAGGTGAACACAGCAGAGATCCCGGCCTCTGCTAGGGAGCTAGTCAAATAACGAGATGACCCACCACTCAAGATAGGAGAGTGACAGCTGTAGAATGGTGGAGGGAGAGAGAACTGTCAGCAGGGGAATCAAGGAGGACTTCCTGGAGGAGATGTAGTTGTAGAGGTGGGTAGAATGTTCACAGGAAAACAGAACAGCATGAGAAAATGTGTTGACAGCACACTGATGTGCACAGGGAACAGCAAAGAGACTGGCCTGGCTGTGCTGGAGGAGGAGCAACAGTGTTATCCCTGCCTCTACTGCTGAGATATCCCATAGGCGTTAAGAGCAGATGCTCTGGGTAGCTTTTAAGTCCTGGCACCATCACTTCTTGTTCTGTGACTGTGGACGAGTGACTCTACTTCTCTGAACTCTGGTTCGTTCACCTGTAAAATTGGGATAATAATATGTACCTTAGAGGGTTGTGAGGATAAGACGATGTGTAGTAGGTAAAGGCCTGAGTACATGTGGTTTTTACCCCATGAAGGGTAGCTAAGGATGGTGGCCTGGTCCGGGAGACTAGATGACACATGAGAGGAGGAGCTGGTGTCTTCCAGTTGGCAGTGGCATCTTTGAGTCGCTGGTAAACCCTGTGTGTTGAGCTCTGGAAAGATCAAGCCTTCTGGAATCAGGGAGTTCTGGGCTTGTATCGCAGTTCTGGCACTTTTTAAATGGGTGACCCTGTTCTGAAATCTCCCAGAGCTTGTGTCACCTCCTCTATAAAATGCATTGGAATCTCAGTTGCAAAGACTGGATGCCCCCTGTGCTGTCTTGAGAAAAGAAGGTTTACTGTAAGGATGTGCGTGGATGGGGAGGGCACCAGGCTTAGGAGAGGCTCTGGGAATGTGCTTCTGGTTAACAAGCTCTCCTGTTCTCTAGGGAGGTCAGCTCCTTTGTCCCCTCACTACCACTGGTTTGGTCCCAAGGGAGGGAGAAGAATTAGAACCCTACTGGGCAGAGCCCTTTGGGCCCACCACGTTTTCAGTGGCCAGCCTATGGGTGGGTCCTCTGTGGGTCAAGTGCCTTCCTGAACCAATCAGTGGCTCCCTTAACATAGAAAAGCCAGGGAGGCTTGACTGTTGGGTAGGGCAGCCCTAGTGCAGAAGATGTTAATTTCCTCTCGAGAATCCAATGAGCCAGTAGATATAACTCATGAGACCAGATCCTGACTGTAAGGGCTGTGGTGGGTTTGGGCAGTTCAGCACCCAAGGACCTAAACAGAAACCTAAACAGAGACTCAGTATAACTGAGAAAAACAAGATCAGCATCCCTGGCAGAAAGGAGAGATGGAGGCTTGGAAGTAGAGCCTGGGGGTCCCAAGGGGCAGGTGGCAGGGAGCCGCATGGATGAGTGGAGTACTGCCAGAACAAGTTTGAGGGGTCTGGATTTTAGCTCCAGCTCTGCCAGAGACTTCTGGTATGAATTTAGCCTGGTTTCTTAACCTCTCTGGACCTCATAATTCCCCCAATTATAAAGTGGATATAACTGTACCTGTCTAGCTTTCTTCTGCGGCTGTTATACAGGATATGCATTTAATTTTAAGGTCACCGATGAGATGTAGTGGTATGAAAGCAGAGACCAAATCCCCATATTACAGAAATGGAAACTCATGGCAGAAGATAAGCAATACTGTTTGAGACATGCTCTCTGAACCTTTATTACATACAGAGTCCTGGGCCCAGCATAATGACGGGCAAGGAGGTCCATCCACACTCTTCACTGTAGCTAGAGGGACTTTTCTAATATGCACATTGGCTACTGTCATTCACCATCCTGAAACCAAAAGACTAGTAGAGTCTTTCAGGCCAAGTTAGAAACATTTATGAAGTCTTAAAAAGGCAGCTATGAGGGGCTAGTTAAGAGCTCAGGTTTTGGAGGAAGGTCCCCCTATTCTCAAAACCCTCCTCTAATACTTACACCAGATCTTTGAGTCCCAGTCATATTCACCTCAAAATTTTCCTCCCCCAGTGACTGCCTTGTAAAATTGTTGTAAAGTTTATCAGACATCATACAGAGTATGTGGTCTGAGTTATGCTAAGCATTTCATAATTGTGGGTGCTATTAATATTATTGGTAATGTGGCACTTTGAAGACTACTTTTGCATCTGAACAGCTGGTAGAATCCTGCTTCAGGAAGGAGCTGTCTTTGGGGAAACACCCTGTGAGGTCCCTTGGGGAGGAGGAGGGCATGGGCTTGGCAGGAGCCGAGATGTCAGAGGGTGGAGGAGTTGCTCTGTCTGAGGCACAAGGAGGCACTTTAGGTTCTGTTTTTGGGAAAAAAAAGTGAAGAGGTGAGAAAAGAAAGGGTACACAGAGAAGGAGAGGTGCAAAGACAGGGGAAAGGTGGGTAAAACTCACTGTTGGGAGTATCAGGGGCACCTGGAGCAGCATCCCATTGGGGAAGCCTCCTGTTCCACCTTGACATTGCTTACCTGCCCTCAACATAGGGGCCTTCTCTGTTCCCTGCACTTCCTGGATTGAGGAATGCCTACGGTGGTCATCAGTGCTTTAGGGGTAGACTTTGATGGGGGTGGGGCAGTGGGTTGGATCTCCAAGCTGGGACAGACCCTCACAGCTGGCTTAAGTGGTGAAGGTCAGAAACAGCAGAGATGGCCCTGACCCTGGAAGGTCACTGAATCTTGAGCCAGGCTTTGGGCTTGTGCAGCTCCCCCCTTCACCTCCTTTCAATGGTAAAACCAAGTTTACTCCAAGGAAGAAGGGAGTACCCATCTGACCTCTGAGTTACACTGGAATATCCACAGTAATAACAATCATATCTATGTAATCAAATCCTTGAACGTGCCAGGCATTGAGCCAAGAACTCTACATGTATCCTTCTACTTAATGCTCAGAGTGAACCTCATGAAAAACGAAGTCCAGAGTTTAAATAACTTGTCTGAGTCATAGAACATGTCAGTAGAGAGAACAGGTTCAAGTGTTGCCAAAATGACTTCAGAGCTGGCCCTCTTAGGCATGACAGTGAACTTGAGCCAGGTCTGTGAATGACTAGATAGTCAATGGTACAAAAACAGAAAGCCAGAAACAGGTGTGAAGGTGTGATTTCATACATATCTATATACAATTTGTATATAATAACTACCATTTCAAAGGATAGGGTATTACTGAAACCAACAGGCTACTGGGAAAATCAAATCAGTTTATATCACATGCTAAAACGAATCCCAGATGTTTATAAGATTTATATATAAACAGATAATCATAAATGTAGAATAATTTGATCTTTGGGCGCAGTGGCTCACGCCTGTAATCCCAGCACTGTGGAAAGCCAAGGTTTACAGATTGCTTGAGCTCAGGAGTTCAAGATCAACCTGGCAACATGGTGAAACCCCATCTCTACTAAAAATACAAAAAGCTAACCAGGTGTGGTGGCATGTGCCTGTAGTCCCAGCTAATTGGGAGGCTTAGGCGAGAGAATCCCTTGAGAAGCTGAGATCACACCACTGCATTCCAGCCTGGGTGATAGACACACCTACTCCCTAAAAAGAATTTGATCTTCACTCTGTAAGAGCATTCTAAACATATGCATAAAGACAAAGGCCATGGGAGAAAAAAGATTGATGTTTTTAACTGAATAAAATTTTGAAAATTCCATAAGGCAAGAATACTTAGACAGATTTGAAAAGTCTGATAATAGAATGATCAAAATATTTGGAATATAGATGGCAAAGAGCCAAGAGCTCCTGTGAATTAATAAGAATAAAGATGAAAGGGTAAGGGAAGTGAAAATGCAGTCCGAAAATATGTGACTAATAAATGTATAAAAGTCTTCACCTTTGCCAATAATAAAATAAATTCGAATTAAAATAATCATTTCCTCTCTCACTGACAGTCTGTTTGGTGATGCTTTAACAAAATACCACAGACTAATTTATAAAGAACAGAAATTTATTTCTCATGATTCTGGAGGCCGGAAAGTCCAATATCAAGGTGCCAGCATCACCTATGGCAAAAGGGCAAGAGAACACTCCTGAGAGAGAGAAGGGGGCCGAACTCATGCTTTTATAAGAAAGTCACTCCACCATCACAAATCCATTCCTACTCCCACAATAACAGCATTAATCCATTTATGAGGGCAGAGCCCTCATGCCCCAATCATCTCTTCAAGGTGCCATCTCTCAACACGGTTGCATTGAGAGTTGCATTGGGGTTAGCCTTCCAACATACAAACTTTGGGGGACACATTCAAACCATAGCACTCACCAATAGTCCAACATTGAAAATACTCAGTATTGGTGAGTGTAGTTAGAAATGGGAGCTTTTAGGCTAAGGGAAAATCACTGGTACAACTACTCTGTGGATAAGTAAAACATGATGTGGCCGGGCACAGTGGCTCACGCCTGTAACCCTAGCACTTTGGGAGGCTAAGGCAGGTGGATTACATGAGGCCAGGTGTTTGAGACCAGGCTGGGCAACATGGCAAAACCCTGTTTCTACTAAAAATACAAAAATTAGCCAGGCATGGTGGTGCACATCTGTAATTCTAGCTACTGAGGAGGCTAAGGCAGGAGAATGACTTGAACTTGGGAGGCAGAAGTTGCCGTGAGCCAAGATCACACCACTGCACTCCAGCCTGAACAACAGACCAAGACTCTGTCTCAAAAAAACAAAAACAAAATGTATCAAAAGTCTTAAAACTACACCTGCCTCTGCTAGCAATTCTACTTCTACAATTTCATCCTGAGAAAGTAATCATGGATGTATGCAACTATTTAGCAACCAGAATATACATTGCAATATTTTTTTAATGAGAAAATAAATTGAAAACAACCTAAATGTTTAATAATAAGTAGCTGGTAAATTATGGGGAATCTACATAACAGAATAAATCCTCAACAACCACAAAATTTGACAGTGTAGATCCAGTCATAATAACAAGAAATTTCTAATTTTATTCTTTAGATAAAGTACATTACAAAATAGTGTAAAGTGTGACCTCATGTTGTAAAAAATATGTGAAAATAGACACAAATCTGCAAAGAAAAAATCTAGAAGATATTAAAATATCAATATAACTGGGAAGTGGGATTTCTGGTGATTTGTTTTTTATCTTTGCTTTTGTTTTTGTTTTGCTTATTGCTATTTTTCCTTTGAAACATCTCATTGGTCTATAAAAAACATACATAGACCAATCAAAACAATAGAGTGATTTTGCAGGATGCAGACATAGCAGTACTTACAGGGAAATTCACAACTTTATACAATGTTATCTTCAAAATGATAAGACAACCAACTTTATGTACTAATAAGACAACCAACTTTGTGTACTAGAAAAGGAACAAAAATAAGCCAGAGGAAAATGGTAAGAATACTATAATAAAGATGAAAGCTGAAGCAAATAAATTAGAGGACAACAACAACAAAATAACTCAGTGGAATTTATAAATGAAACCAAGAGCTAGCTCCTTAAAAGGACTAATGAAATATACAAACTTCTGGCAAATCCAACCACAGGGAAAAAAAGAACTCATGAACAAAATGAGAAACAGGGCGTAACCACCGATACGAAAGAGATTAACGCAGATAAGGACGAACCAACGCACAGTTTCATGGTCATACATCAGAAACACCTTAATCTAAATGGATAATTTTCAACAACTCTACAAACTCCCAAAGGCCTCGAAATATGTACCTCATTTGTGTGACAAAAATCAGCCATCAAGGGAGTCCAAGCAGAAGGAAGTCCTTCCATCAAAGTATTCTGAGAGTCAGCCTTCTTTCCTCATGACAAAATGAAAATTAAATAAATGAATAGCAAGGGAAACCTCTGCCAGTGGCTCCATGTCAAGATTGGCCTCAAATGTTTTTAAGGCAAGTCATGGCTGCTGGGTGAGATGACATCATTTGACAAAGCCTGTGATTTTCTTCCAAGTCACAAACCGGCTGAACGGTTTCTGCAGGGCCTCTTAGGTCATGCATGGCCTCTTTCGCTTGGCGAGGCTTCACACCTTGGAGCGTGCTTTGAGGTGAAGCTTGTGTATGTAGGAACATTCAACTTCTGGTCAAGTGCCAGCCTTTAAAACCACACCTACTTCTCATG
Source organism: Homo sapiens (assembly GCF_000001405.40). Taxonomy (NCBI): domain Eukaryota; kingdom Metazoa; phylum Chordata; class Mammalia; order Primates; family Hominidae; genus Homo; species Homo sapiens. The sequence goes on from NC_000009.12 coordinate 113,715,435, forward strand.
GATCCTGCTTTGAGGATCCTAGTAGAATGGGCTCCTTGGATATATGGGCTTCATGCTTTGATGGCCATGAACCTGGGCCCTGAGTATCTTGTCATGTTTGTGGATAAAAGTGAAACCTGAAAGGTCTTGGTGTTTCCTTGCACGTTCTTTGTTCTGACATTTTCTAACTTAATCTCTCTGTAAACATGAGCATATGTTCATAATCATCACTGAAGAGTAAGTCTTAAAGTAGGTCTTTTTAAATGTCTATTTACAGGAAACTATTGCAGACACCAAAGCCCAGTGATGGTGATCAGATGTTACCTAAGTATGTAGACTACTGCCTACCACGCTGTACTTGTTGGAAGAGAAAGAATAATAGGTCATAAACCATTTTTACATAACAAAGACATTTCAACATGCCGTACCCAGAAGGAAATCAAAGGGGAATCATAAGGATGTCAGGTTTAACCTCCTCCCCCAAAGCTCCATTAATTCCAGGGCATCTGAGTTAAGAATCTCATGTGTTATTCCAACCCCACGTTTCAGCCTAACCAGGGGCACCTGCATGGATCCACAGGGCGTGGGAGCTGATAGAGACTCTGAGGATACATCTGTGATGTATAGATCAGAAGACAGAAACCCACTCAACTCTTCAATGAATTAATACAAACCACCAACCTGGGAGTGCTTCCCACAGGCACTTTGCAGGCCTTAGGTTGATTGTTGGGTGTATTGGGTTCTCCAGAGAAACAGAACTGATGGGGTGTGTGTGCATGCGTGTATGTGAGAGAGAAAAAATTTTTATAAGAAATCAGCTCACACGATTCTGGAGGCTGGCAAGTCCAAAACCTACAGGTTAGACTGGCAAGCTGGAGATCTAGGGAAGTGATGATGTTGCAGCTTGAGTCTGAAGATAGGGTGAAGGCAGAATTCCATCTTCTTCAGGGGCCCTCAGTCTGTTTTTCCTTAAGGGCTTCAACTAACTGAATAAGGCCCACCCCCATTATAGAGGGTAATCTGCTTTACTTAAAGTCTATTGACTTAAATGTGAATTTTATCTAAAAAATACTTTCACAGCAACATTCAGATTGATGTTTGACTAAATATCTGGGTAATGCGGCCAAGTTGACACATAAAATGTAACTGCCACTCTGAGCCAGACAGGTGCATGCAGATAATGTGTAGGCAAGTGTTCTTGGAAACAGCATCTTAGGGGAGTGAGGGAAACAGGTCGGGGCACAGAGAAAAGTCAGGCTGCAATGCGGTTGCAGCAGAGGCCTCAGTTGATTCCACTGGGAGCTTGGAAGCTGGGTTGGCTCTTGTTCCAGTTGAATTAAGGCAGGGAGGCTGGGCCATTATCTCCCTGCATGGGCCAGCACTAGATTAAGTCACGAGGACTTCATCACTGCCTAAAGGCTCCACCGCTTAATACTGTCACATTGGTGATTAGGTCTTGATGTAACACACTATCACTAATCCCCTCATAAATGGGATTACACCCTTATAAAAGGGCTTGAGGGATTGGATTCATTTACTCGTATTCTGCCATGCGAGGACACAGCTACAAAGTACCATCTTGGTAGCAGAGAGCAGTCCTCACCAGACATGGAATCCACTGGCACCTTGATTTTGGACTTCCCAGTCTCCAGAACTGTGAGAAATAAATTCCTGTTCTTTCTAGGTTATCCAGTCTGAGGTAGTTTGTTACAGCAGCACAAATGGACAAAGACAGGGTGTCTGAATTGAGAGTTATGTTACCTGTTCTCACAGTACTCTGGGGCATGAGCTCCTCCAACATGAAGGAGGGTGTTTGTTGATGCACCACAGTTCCACTATGCAAACATCATCTCATTTTATCCCTTCTAGAATGTTGTAAAGTGGGCATGATTATGCCCATTTTACAGATGAAGAAACTGAAGCTAAGACCAATGGAATAACTTGCAAAAGCTCACAGGGCTGGCAGAGCCAGGATTCAAATCCAAGCTTGATGGGCTCCAAATTAGTCTAAGCTGTTCAATAACTCAGCTCCAAGATTTGGACCTTTGTTTTCGGTTTTCCTGTAACAAAGATCCCCAAGTGATGGATTTCTATTCTTCTCACTGGTTGGACAGGGGATGCCATGTTTGGCAGCTGGGCTTAGGGACACAGACAGCTAATACTTCACAGCTATTGTTTCACTTAATCCCTCCAAGGGCTCTGTGGGGTAGAAACTATTATTAACACTAGTTGACAGGTGAGAAAACTGCAGCATAGAGATGTTAAATAATTTGCCCAGACTCTTGCTGCTGTTAAGTGGTAGAATCAGACTTTGAATCTAGACCAGCTGAATTCAGAGTCTGGGCTTTGAACCTGTAAACTCTACCGGCCGCCTCAGATGAAGGATTATAGGTACTCAGTGGGGAGAGAGTGGAAGGGGCTGGAAGATGCAGGGAAGTCTTCCTGGGGGAAGTGTCACTTAATCAGAAAAGTAACCGCTGAAATGCTGGGTGCGGGGGCTCACGCCTGTGATCCCAGCAGTTTGGGAGGCCGAGATGGGTGGATCACGAGGTCGGGAGATCGAGACCATCCTGGCTAACATGGTGAAACCCTGTCTTTACTAAAAATACAAAAAATTAGCTGGGCGTGGTCGTGGGCGCCTGTAGTCAGCTACTCGGGAGGCTGAGACAGGGGAATGGCATGAACCCAGGAGGTGGAGCTTGCAGTGAGCCGAGGTCGTGCCACTGCACTCTAGCCTGGGCGACAGAGCAAGATTCCATCTCAAAAAAAAAAAACAAAAAAAACCCGTTGAGAAGGATTGAGTGTCTCCTTGATTCAGGCTCTGCATGTTGGCTAGGATGTAATGGGGAGGGAGAACTGGAGAGAGTGTTATGGATGATTGTACTGCAGAAGCGAAGGCAGGGAGGTGAAACTTGAATATACAGTGCACTGGGTACAATGAGAAAAGCAAGCCAGTGGGTGCAGCAGGCACATGACTGTCCCAAGAACATGGCAATGCACCCGAACAAGCACTTGGAAAAGCGCCAGAGCTGCCCTCCCCAGCATGTCTATCACTGCTTGTTCCTTAGCCTTGGAAGAGAGGAGGAATGTTTTCTCCTCCTTAGCTCCTTCCTGGCCACTGACATCTGCCACACTGACCCATACCACAAGCAAGTGCATGCTCCATTCTAGCCTCCTTGGCAGTACCTTTGGGCTTCATGGCTGCTTTCACTGAGTCCTTCACTTGGGTGAGCAGACAGGAAACAATCTGGGCCAGAGAGCTCTGTGCTCCTCAACTGACCAAGTTCCACTACGAAGGCTTCCTCTGAGCCTGGGCCCTGCCCTGGAGGCCCTCCAATGTCCCTGTATGTATGTCAGGGCAGAAGATACAACTGTTCTGAACCCTGGGGGCTGTCTCCAGATGATGCAGCCAAATGTATGTTACCCCAATCCCCTCCCACAAGGTTTCTTGTGGCCTGTGTCCTGGGGTCTACAGATTGGCCATAGAGTTGGTGGCTCCTGGAGAAGGAGGCTCTTGATGGGAAGGGCAAGATTTAAATTGATAAAGAGAAGAAATAAAAGAACAAAGAACAAAGTGAGCAATGGATCTATGTGGGCCAACAATCAGTCATTTATTCAATCAACAAACACTTCTTGAGTACCTACTGAAGCCAGAAAATTTTACAGGAAGGAAAGCATGTCAGCTTGGCTCCAAGCGGTGGCAAAATAATGCTAGAGCTATCTTGCAGGACCTCTCTTCCCCAGGTCCAAAACTGACCTCATGCTGTTCATCTCCTCCTTTTGGATTCCCTGTCTCTGTCAATGACACCACCAGACACCTAACTGCTTAAGCTGGAAAACTGGGCAATATCTCTGATTTCTCTCTCCCTCACGGCCCACGTTCAGTCATCGATGCCTCCCATTGAGCTGCCCTCTGATGGCTCTCAGATCTGGCTGCTGTTCTCCTCTCCCCTGCCTCAACTGTGGGCCCATCAGCTCTGGCCTGGACCTCTATAGTATCTGTGCTTTCACTCTCCCCTCCCTTCTGAACATTCTCTGCACCATGACCAGAGGCGTCAACTGAAAGCAAGTTTCACAGTGCTGTTTCTAGGCTTAAAATCCTTCACTGCTTCCCCTCCTGCCCCAAGGACAGTGTCCAAAGTCCTGTGCTGTGGACCGAATTGTGTCTCTCCCTAGAACTTATATGTTGAAGTCCAAACCCCAGTGTGACTATTTGGATATAGGGTCTTTAAGAAGTAATAAAAGTTTAATGAGCTTGTAAGGGTAGAGTCCTGATCTGATGGGATCAGTGTCCTAAAAAGAGGAAGAGGAGACACCAGGGAGTTCACTCTCTGCCATGTGAGGACACAGCGAGAAGGCGGCCATGTATCAGCCAGGAAGAGTCCTCACTAAAATCTGAATTGGTTGGAACCTCGATCCTAGACTTCCCAGTCTCCAGAACTGTGAGAAAATGCATTTCTATTGTTTAAGCTTCCCAATTTGAGATATTTTGTTAGTGTGGCTGAGCCAACTAATGTACCCTGCAGGGTCTGTCCCCTGCCTACTCTATCCAGCTCATTTCTCTCCATTTTCAGGCTATCACAGAGCTGCTCTTCCTGGAAAGCTTCCCTGGCCCCTTCTAGGAAATGCCATTAGTGTCTGTGCCACCTCCTGGCACTCCCGCCTCCATCTGCAGCTGGAGCTGGAACAGGCAGTTCTCATGCACATCACCTGTGTCCTACCACCAGGCTTCCACTCCAAGTACCTGCTGAAGCTTTTGGCTCCACCCTTCCTTCCTTCCTTTGGAAGGACAATTCTGAGGCATATTCTGAACAATTCTTCAGTCTCCTTGAATTGAGCCCTGGGTGGCCCTAAGTATATCCAGCTGGGTTCCACACCTGCATTGGCTTTGCTTCTTTCCCTTCTTCTGCTCTGCACTCCTCGGCTCTGTGCCCCGAGATCATTGCCCAGATAAACCCCCTGCTCCCATGTCCTTGCCTCAGGTTGGGCTTTCAGGGAACCCAAATCAAGACACCTCTCCTTTCATCCAAACAGGAGTAGGTCCCCTTCTATTATCCCTCCTTAAGCCAGGTACAATTCTTTGTTCTATTTTTCTGTCTAGGTGTCCCCCTCCCCAACTTCAGTGTGAGCTAGAAAAGAGAAGCGACCTGGCTGTCCTATTCCCAGCACACAGCACAGGATGTGGCATGCAGCAGGAACCTCAGTAGGTGTTGTGGAATAAGTGAATGAGAAGTAGGGTGTTCACGACAAAAACAACACACTGGGAACAGCAGAGAACTTCCTCAACATGATAAAGGGCATGTGTTAAAAACCCACAGCTGACATCATAATGCTGAATAACTGAAAGCTTTCCCCCTAAGATCAGGAACAAGACAAGGATGTTCACTCTTGCCACTTCTATTCAGCATCGTACTGGGGGCTGGGCGCTGTAATCTCAGTACTTTGGGAGGCCAAGGTGAGCAGATCACTTGAGGTCAGTAGTTTGAGACCAGCCTGGCCAACATGGTGAAACCCTGTCTCTACTAAAAATACAAAAATTAGCCAGGCATGGTGGTGCATGCCTGTAATCCCAGCTACTCAGGGGACAGGCAAAATAATCACTTGAACTCTGGAGACAGAGGTTGCAATGAGCTGAGATCAGGCCACTTTTCAGTATGAAAAGGACTGATTTTTTTCTTTATTTCTTAAATTGACAAATTTACATATTGTATACAAGATATTGTTTTGAAATAAGTATACATTGTGGAATTGCTAAATCAAACAAAATATGCATTACCTCACATACGTATCATTTATTTGTGATGAGAACACTTAAAATCTACTCTCTTGGCGATTTGCAAGTATACAATAGATTATTATTAACTATAGTCACCATGTTGTATGATAGATCTCTTGAAAGGGTAATTTGTTTATTTATTTTAAATTAATTAATTTTGTAGGGACAAGGTCTCTCTCTGTCACCCAGGCTGGAGTTGCCATGGCACCATCATGGCTCATTGTAACTGTGAACTCCTGGGCTCAAGCAATCCTCCCACCTCAGCCTGCTGAGTGGCTGGGAGTACTGTCACACACTACCACACCTGACTAATTTTGGACAATTTCTTAAATGAAATAAAAGACATCCAAATTGGAAAGGAAGAAGTTAAATTGTTTATATTCAAAGTTGACATAATCTGATATATAGGAAATTCTAAAGAATCAACAAAAGACTATTCAAGCTGATAAACAAATTCATCAAAGTTATGGGATAAAAGATAAATATGCAAAAATAGTTATATTTCTATATACTAGCAATGAACAGTCCAAAAAGGAAATGAAGACAATAATTCCATTTAAAATACCATCAAAAAGAATAAAAATACATATGAATAAATTTAAAGAGGTACAAAACTTGTGCACTGAAAGCTACAAAATATTACTGAAAATAATTAAAACCTAAATCAAGGAAAGATATCCCATGTTCATGGATTAGAAGATTTAATATTGTAAGATGTCAGTACTCCTCAAAGCAATCCACAGATTCAATGCATTTCCTATCAAAATCCCAATGGCCTTTTTGCAGAAGTGGAAAAGCTGATTCCCAGATTCATATGAAATTGCAAAGGATCCTGAATACCTAAAACAATTTTGTAAAAGAGGAACAAAGTTGGAGAACTCATGCTTCCTAATTTCGAAACTCACTACAAAGCTACAGTAATCCAAATAGTGTGTTACCAACAGAAGGGTAGATATGTGGATCAATGGAATATAATTGAGAGTACACAAACCCATATAACTGTCAATTAATTTTCCACAAGGATACAAAAAAAAAACCCTCTGTCACATTATATATGAAAATTAACTCACAGTGGGTCAAAGACCTAAACATAAGAGCTAAAACTATAACTGTTAGAAGAAAACGGGTAAATCTTCATGAGCTTGGATTTGGTAATGGATTCTTAGATATGACATTAAAAGCAGGAGCCAGAAAAAAAAATAGATGAACTGGACTTCATCAAAATTAAAAACCTTTGTATACCAAAGGACAATATCAAAAAAATGAAAAGACAACATACATACTGGGAGAAGATATTTACAAGTTGTATATCTGATAAGGAAATTGTATCCAGAATAAAGAACTCCTATAACGTAACAAGAAGACAACCCAATTTAAAAATGGGCAAGGGACTTGAAAAGATTTTCAATATCATAGTCATCAGAGCATGCAAATCAAAACAATGAGATACCACTTTACACCCACTAGGATTGCTGTAATAATAATAATAATTAATGGAAAATAACAAGCATTGGCAAAGATGTAAATAAACTGGAATCCTTGTACATTGCTTGTTGAAGTGTAAAATCGTGCAGCCACTGTGGAAATGTTTGGCTGTTTTTTAAAAAGTCAAACACAAAATTACCATATGACCCAGCAATTCCACTCCTAGACATACACCCAAAATAACTGAAAAATTAATTCAAACCAAAACTTGTATATATGTTGATAGCAGCACTAGCCACAATTGCCAAAAGGTGGAAACAACTCAAATGTCCATCACTGAATGAATGAGTAAGCAACATATGGTCTATCCCCAAAAGAAATATTATTCAGCCGTGCAAAAGAATGAAGTTCTGATACATGCTACAACTTTGATGAATCACGAAAACATTGTGCTAAGTGAACCAAGCCAGACACAAAAGGTCACATATTGTATGATTCCATCTATATTAACTATCCAGAACAGGGAAGCCCACAGTGTCAGAAAACAGACTGATGGTTACCAGGGGCTGGGAGAGGGAAGATTGGGGGTGACTGCTTAATGGGTACAGGGTTTCCCTTTGGGGTTATGGAAATGTTTTGGAACTAGATAGAGCTAATGGTTGCACAAAATTGTGAATGTATTAATGCAACTGAACTGTACACTTTAAAATGGTGAATTTTATGTTATATCAGTTTTACCCCAATAAAAACAAGAAAGGTCAGGCGTGGTGGCTCACACCTGTAATCTTAGCATTTTGGGAGGCCAAGGAGGGCAGATCGCTTGAGTCCAAGAGTTCAAGACCAGCCTGGGCTACACGGCAAAACCCCATCTCTACAACAAAAATACAAAAATTAGCCAGGCATGGTGGCACATGCCTGTAATCCCAGCTACTTGGGAGGCTGAGGTGGGAGGATTGCTTGGGCCCAGGAGGCAGAGGCTGTAGTGAGCCAAGATTTTGCCACTGCACTCAGCCTGACCGACAGAGCTAGACCCTGTCTTAAACAAACAAAAAAACAAGTGGATCAGCTTGTGGTATCCAGCTACTCCAGTCTTCCATCCTGCCTTGCAGTGGCACATGAGTGGTACACAGACAGAGACCCCTCTGTCCCTGCCTCTCATGATTTCCAAAGACCAGCTGCCTGGGTCTTCAGAGGTGGGGCCACTGTGATCTTGCTCATCTCTGCCCCTTTTTTTTTTATTATTATACTTTAAGTTTTAGGGTACATGTGCACAATGTGCAGGTTAGTTACATATGTATACATGTGCCATGCTGGTGTGCTGCACCCACTAACTCGTCATCTAGCATTAGGTATATCTCTCAGTGCTATCCCTCCCCCCTCCCCCAACCCCACAACAGTCCCCAGAGTGTGATGTTCCCCTTCCTGTGTCCATATGTTCTCATTGTTCAATTCCCACCTATGAGTGAGAATATGCGGTGTTTGGTTTTTTGTTCTTGCGATAGTTTACTGAGAATGATGATTTCCAATTTCATCCATGTCCCTACAAAGGACATGAACTCATCATTTTTTATGGCTGCATAGTATTCCATGGCGTATATGTGCCACATTTTCTTAATCCAGCCTATCATTGTTGGACATTTGGGTTGGTTCCAAGTCTTTGCTATTGTGAATAGTGCCGCAATAAACATACGTTCTGAAGGGGATGGGAATTGTCTTACATTTTAAATCCTCCGTTTCACTGGGAGTGCCCATCAGAATTTGGCTAGAACTGTTGCTCTAGGTCACAATTACTTCTGCCAAAGGTATGTGCATATTTACGACTGTGCACATGCTTTGTGTTTACCGTGTCTCAGCAGCACTCTTTGCATTCATGCTGATAATGAAAACTCAATTTATAGTAAAAACAAGCATTTTGTTGTGAAATTGGGTTTTAAGGATCCTATAAAGGCATTGCAGAGATTTATTTTAGCCTAGTAAATATCTTGCTCTAGGGTGAGACTTTAGAACCTTCGAACAGTTCATTTTGAAGGATTTGGTTATTAGAAAACTTTTATAGTCTCTTAAATTTAATCCAGAAGAATAACAAATTGAAGGCCTTCCAACAACAATGGATTTCCCATATCTGGAATATCTTGGCATCCTACATAGGCTGGATGGTACAAGACTGGTAGCTGGGAGTTGGGAGACCTGGGTCCTAGGCTACTCAAAGGCTAGATGACTGTAGGTGCGTCCCTTTTCCCCTCTAGGCCTTCAATTTTCTCAAATTCAGCCTAGGGGTTGAATTTTTACATAAAAACTTTTGATCCTGCAGTTCCACACTTAGAAAATGTTCCTGAAGGAAAAAATTTAACAAAAGCAGTAAGTTATATGTTTAAAACTGTTCAATGCAATGTTATCTATAAAGGCAAAAAAGCAGAAGCAATAAAAATATCCCATGAATTGGAAATAGATGATAGAATTATAGAAACACTTGTGGCAGAATAATAAATTGACATTAAAAATAGTAATTGCCATATATATATATATTCCTTCTCTCTCAACACCAGTAAGACTGGCATAATGCTCATTAAAACGAAACAGTGGTTATTTCTAGATGGAATTATGGTTCATTTTTGTTTTCTTCTTTATGCTTTCATGTATATTTCAAATGTTCCATAATGAACACATATGACTTTTATAAAAAACTACTGTCATTGAAGTAGCAATTAATTTTATAAAGAGTAAGTGACAAAGAAGAAAATAGTTAAGTTATAATGTGAAATGAGAAGGAAATGAAATGAAGATGAAATGAATACTCAGGCTGCACCTAGGTTGAAATGGCAACAGACCAAATCCCTGAAAATCACTTTGCTAATTATCAATCCATTTAATAACCAATTCTCTAAAAATTTACCACCCTGCCTATAGGTGTTTTTGTGTCTATTCAATTATATTCTTTTTTCATTTTGCCATCTTTTGACATGTTAAGTATTTTAAATAAATTGTCTAAGGGTACTTCTGATTTTATATTTCTTTTTTTTTTTTTTTTTTTGAGATGGAGTTTCACTCTTGTTGCCCAGGCTAGAGTGCAATGGTGTGATCTCGGCTCACCACAACCCCCACCTCCCAGGTTCAAGTGATTCTCCTGCCTCAGCCTCCTGAGTAGCTGGGATTACAGGCATGTACCACCACGCCTGGCTAATTTTGTATTTTTAGTAGAGACAGGGTTTCTCCGTGTTGGTCAGGCTGGTCTCGAATTCCCGACCTCAGGTGATCCGCCCACTTCGGCCTCCCAAAGTGCTGGGATTACAGGCGTGAGCCACTGCGCCTGGCCTTGATTATATATTTCTAAGAGTTCTTTTAAACATATGCACCACCCCTTGATTATGGGATTGTTTTTATCCTTTTGTGTGTAATTGTTCATTTTTAATCTACTTTGGAATAATTTAATAAGTTGTGCGCCTGTTTGCTAAAAACCCTTTCTTTAAGATTTAGTGTTTTGCTGGTCATGGTGGCTCAAGCCCATAATCCCAGCACTTTGGGTGGCCGAGGTGGGCAGATCACTTGATCCCAGGAGTTTGAGACCAGCCTGGGCAACATAGTGAGACCTCATTTGTAAGAAAAAAAAAAAAATCTGGGCATGGTGGCAGTGGCATGTTCTATTTTTTAGGACATTAGAACATCCATCCATGTCTTGCTTGCTCTATAACTCTGGTGACAGATGCCAGTGAAGGCTCAGGACAGAAGGAGCCTTTATAATTGATTGTCCTTAATATCTTGGGCACCATTGTAAAGTTTGTTAGAAATACTAAATCTCTCTCTCTCTCTTTTTTTTTTTTTTGTGCGTGTGCATGTGTGTGTGTGTGTTTGTGAGTGGCAGGGTCTTGCTCTGTCTGCCAGGCTGGAGTGCAGTGGTGCAATCACAACTCACTGCAGTTTGGCCTCCTCTCGGGCTCCAATGATCCTCCACCTCAGCCTCCCGAGTAGCTGAAACTATAGTTGCACACCACCATGCCCAGCTAATTTTTGTATGTTTTCTATGGAGTTTTGCTATGTTGCCCAGGCTGGTCTGGAACTCCTGGGCTCAAGAAATCTGCCCGCCTTGGCCTCCCAAAGGGCTAGGATTGCAGGTGTGAGCCACTGCACCTGGCCATAAGTGGGATTCTTCATGATGAACCTGAAGAACTTTTGGGTACTACTTCAAGATCGGCCCAGTGCAGAAATCAAGGCTTCAGTTGCAGCTTCCTACTTTAGCATCTGCATGTGAATATACCAAGAAAGAGAGGAGGAAAGAGAGAAAAGATAGAAATAGAACAATTTATAAGAACAGCCTATCTGTCCTTCCCCAGTTTAAAATTGAAATCATTAGATTTAGTTATATTTAAATTTAGCAACTGAAAAAAATGGAATGGAACTTTAGATAAATGTTTCTTCAAACAAGTGAAATTGGTTGGTTAAGACCCCTTTAAAGTTAAAAGAAGAAACATGAAAAACTTTAATTGGTCAGAACCATTGTTATTTTCTTTCAATTAAATCTGATAGTCTCTACTGCTAATGCCAGTTTAATCTATTTATATTTATTTGATCCCTGATGTTTGGACTTATTTTCAAATTGCTCTTTTATTTGTTTCCTTTTTTTTTCTTTGCTTTCCTTCCTTCTTTTGCGTTAATAAAGTTTTCTATATATATATTCCCCCTTTTTGCCCCTGCTTATTGGAAGCTTAGCTTTTATTTATATTTCTTTAGTGGTTACAATTAAAAATTTAACATATGTATTTAGTGATCAGTTTCGCAAATACAATCTAAAGTTATTCAATACTTCTAGTCATCTTTTGAGCAATCTTGACATACTTTTTATCACATTTCATAACCAATTATCCTTGTTACTGCAGTCTAGGTATTTAGTTCCATTTCTGTTTAAATTATAAAAGATGATGTGATTATTACATGCAGTCAACAGTTAATTAAATTTTATCAATTTTATCAATTTCTGCGTTCATCATTTTCTTAGTCCACTCAGGCTGCTATAACAAAGTACCATAGACTGAGTAGCTTATACACAACAGAAATTTCTCATCGTTCTGAATAAGGGGAAATTCGAGATCAAGGCACCAACAGATTCGGGCCCATTTCTGGGTTCACAGATAGCACTTTCTAGCTGTGTCCTTTCATGGTGGCAGGGGCTAGCTTGCTCTCTGGGGTACTAAGGGCTCTACCTTCATGATCCAATTACCTCCCAAGGCTCCACCTCCTAATACCATCACCGTGGAGTTTAGGATTACAATATATGAACTGGTGGGGGTGGGGGTGAGTTGGGGCACACAAAAATTCAGACCGTAGTCATTTTCTTTGTATTCTATTCTCTTTGATTTCAAACTTCTTCTTGATGAAAAGTCATTAAGTAGTAAATGGTACATCTTGGGGGGAAAATTTTTATTTTACCTTCCCTCTGGAATGATTGTTAACTTTTATACTTAAAGTATGAAAGTCTAGGTTAGTAGCACTTTTCCTTAGCACTTTTAAGTTAATTCTTTAATTTTCTTTCACCTTTTAATTTGGCTAATGAGGGCTGGCTTTTAGCATAATTTATTTGTTTTCTGGCAGCTTTTAAGATTTTCTCTATATCCTTCATTTACCGACACTTCTTTATAATGCATCTAGGTGTGAATTTATTTCTTCTGTCCAGTATCATGTACTTTCAAGGTTAGGACTTATATCTTTCTTTAATAGTGAAAAATTCTCAGTCATTATCTCACTAAGTATTGTTTCTTCACTATTCTTTCTTTTTTTCTTTTCTTTTTTTTGAGATGGAGTTTTGCTCTTGTTGCCCAGGCTGGAGTGCAATGGTGTGATCTTGGCTCACTGCAACCTCCGCCTCTCAGGTTCAAGCAATTCTCCTGCCGCAGCTTCCTGAGCAGCGGGGATTACAGGCACCTGTCACCATGCCTGGCTAATTTTTGTATTTTTAGTAGAGACGGGGTTTTACCACGTTGGCCAGGCTGGTCTTGAACTCCTGACCTCAGGTGATCCACCCGCCTCGGCCTCCCAAAGTGCTTGGATTACAGGCGTGAGCCACCGCACCCAGCTCACTATTCTTTCTTTTTTCCTGTTTTGGCTATTCTCTTAGAAGTATGCTGAATCCTCTAGGCCAGCACTTTGGAGGCTGAGGCAGGTGGATCACCTGAGGTCAGGAGTTCAAGACCAGCCTGGGCAACATGGCAAAACCCCATCTCTACTAAAAATACAAAAATTAGCCAGGTATGGTGGTGCATGCTTGTTGTCCCAGCTATTCAGGATGCTGAGGCATGAGAATTGCTTGAACCCAGGAGGCAGAGGTGGTAGTGAGCTGAGATCGTGCCACTGCACTCCAGCCTGGGCGACAGAGCAAGACTCTGTCTCAAAAGAAAAAAAAAGTGTGTTGGATCCTCTAAACTATCCTTTCTCCCTTAACTCTTCATTCTTCTGTGTGTGTATACATATATATGTATATGTGTGTGTATGTGTGCACATGTATATATGTGTATATATATGTATCTACCTTGTGCTGTATTCTAGATGAATTCCTCAATACTATCTTCCAATTTATTAATTCTCTCTCCTATTGTATCCACTGTAGAATTTATTCTCTCCATTGTGATTATAATTTATTTTTATTTTATTTTTGAGACAAGGTTTTGCTCTGTTGTCCAGACTGGTGTGCAGTAGTGTGATTATGGCTGCAGTCTTGACTTCCCAGGCTGAAGCGATCCTTCCACTTCAGCCCCCGCAAATAGCTGGGACTACAGGTACATGCCAGCATGCCCAGCTAATCTTTTTTGTTTTTTCACCTTGTTTATAGAGACAGGGTCTCATATTGCCTAGGCTGGTCTCGAACTCATGGGCTCAAGTGATCCTCCCACTGTGGCCCCTGAAAGTATTGGGATTACAGGTGTGAGCCACCATGCCCAATGTTTATAATCAAAATGGTAAGATTTTTATTTCTAAGATTTATAATTGGTTCTTTTTTATATCCACCTGCTGTTGTTTTATTTACATCAGAATTTGTTTCATAAATTCTTGTTTCCTTTTGACAAATGACAGCTTTCATTATCTCATTGAGAGCCTTAAACATTCTTATTTTAAAGTCTTTTCCAGACTGGCTCATTATATTAATTTTGATTGCAATTAATATACCCAATTATTAATTTTGTTAACTTTCTTAGGATTAGTTTATTTCATATGTGTTTTTTGTTGTTGAGATATAAATCACATACCATAAAATTCACCTCTTTAAAGTATATAATTAACTGGTTTTTAATAAACTCACAAGACTGTGCAACTATTACCACTATCTAATTAAAAACACTTTGATCACCTCCCAAAGAAACCTCATATTCATTAGTAGTCACTCCCTATGTCCCCCTCCGCCTTATCCCTAGAAACCACTTATCTACTTTTTATCTCCAAGATTTGCCTATTCTGAACATTTCATGTAAGCAGAATCATATGATATGTGGTCTTTTGTCTCTGGGTTTTTCCACCTAGCACAATGTTTCATCTTATAGTTCACCTAACATAATGTTTCATCTTACAGGATGAATCAGTTACTTCATCCTTTTTAGGGCTGAATAATATTCCATTGTATGAACGGACCACATGTTATTTAACTATTCATCAATCAATTGATGGGCATTTGGGTTGTTTATACTTTTGGGATGTCATGAATGCTGCTATGAAAATTGTATACAAATTTTTGTGTGGATATATGTTTCTTCTGCCTGCTAAAATATTGCACTTAAGCCATATCTGGAAATGAAGTTTTTATTTCAGTTATTATATTTTTCTATGCCAGAATATCTAATTGGTTCCTTTTAATAATTTTCTACATTTTTACTGATATTCTCTATATGGTGAGCCATCATTCTCATACTCTCCTTTAGTTCTTTGGACATAGTTTCCTTAGCTCATTGAACATAATTTCAATAGATGATTTAAAGTCTTTGTCTATTGGTGGCTGAGGCGGGAGGATTGCTTGAGCCTAAGGAGTTCGAGACCAGCCTGAGCAACATGGCAAGACCCTGTCTCTACCAAGAAAAAAAAAAAATTAGCCAGGCATGGTGGTTTGCACTTGTGGTCCTAGCTACTCAGGAGGTTGAAGCAGAAGGATTGTTTGGGTCTGGGAGGTAGAGGCTACAGTGAATCATGTTTCTGCCATTACACTCCAGCCAGCACAACAGAGCGAGACCCTGTTTCACACACAAAAGAAGAATGAATGAATGAATAAATAAATAAATAAATAAAAATAAAGTCCTTGTCTAGTAAGACCAGTGTCTGCTGTTCCTCAGGAACAGTTTTTATTGACGGCTTTTCTTCCTGTATATGGGCCATAATTTCTTGTTTCTTTATTATTATTAATTATTTTCTCTTAAGTCCCCCTGAAAATGAAATACTTTGTTTCTTTAAATGTCTCTTAATATTTTGTGGAAAATTGGAAATTTTAAATTTGGCAACTCTGGAAATAAGATTATCCAGGATTTGTTGTTACTGTTTGTTGCTTTTGTTAATTTCTTTAGTGACTTTTCTGAACTAATTGAGTAAAGTCTGAATTCCTAGTTCTGTTTAGCCATCTAAGTCTCTTACCTTAGTGGTGAGCAAATGATTGGATAGAGATTTCCTTAAACTCTTGCAATCAGTAAATCTCCCTCTCTTTGCCAAAGGACCGTGTGTGTGTGTGTTTGTATGTGTGTGTGCATGCTTTCCAAACTCAGCCAGGCTGTTAGCAACTCTAACTCTTCACTTCTTACTTGTGCAAGATCTCAAGGTCAGCCCAAGGTGGGAGCTTAGGACCTTCTCAGGTTTTTCCTGCATATGTGCATAGCCCTAGGTATGTGTATAGCCCTATGCATGTGTGTGGCCTTCTAGAGTCCCAGGAACATGTCAAAACTTCTTAAAGCCCCTGTGGACATCTCATGCCTCAGCTTTTCCTTTTAAGCTTTTTGTTTAGCCTATTGTTTACCCCAATTATCTAACTGCCTTGGGAAGCTACAAATGTAATCAATTGCCTCTAATTGTTTATAACAAACACCCCCCAGGGAAAAGGCTTTTTGTACTGTGTGAGCTTTGAGTCAGGTCAAATAAAGACAGCTCTTTAAAGTGAGGGCTTCCAGACAACTGTTAGACACATCGAATGATGACAATTTTCTGGAAATGAAGCTTTGAAGGAACAGCAACCCTGTTAAGCCCCCATGGTGGCTGGCAGGCTGCTGATTTTTACTATGATTTTAGGCTGTTAATTTTCAAGGCTACTGTGGAGCTGGAGAGCATGAGATGGAAACAGGGCAAATTAAAATGCCACAACACTTGCTGTCTTTGCTAAGATTTAGCTGTTTTTCTTTAATAATTGCTCCCTAGATTGCTACAAGAATTTGATTAACTTCCAGACTTCTAAAAAAGTTGATTCTAAAAATTTTTTGCCAGTATTCACATGACATATTCGAAGCATTAACGCTTCCATTTTCACTGGTATCAGCTTTTCAGGTGTTTTTAAATTTTGGTGTACAAGTTCATTTTGAATGGGAGAGCTCTTTCTCCCTGCATTCCTCCCTGTCTAGCAGTTATGTGGCCATCTCCACCCTGCCCCTCGGGACCCTTAGTTCAGAGCCATGTTTTACATTAGCAGGCTGGAGCTCTAGCCCAGTGATCACACTGGGGTTACTGCAGATACTTTCATCGAGTCAGCAGCTTGATTGATGTCCTGGTGGTAAGGATCTGTCCTCCCCGTCTCCCTAAGCTTGCAGTTTCATATGGGATGTAACTGGGAGCTGTCGGCAGACATTTCTAGCTTCCTTTCAAGAGCAAAAGGTACCAGTGCTTCCCTGGTTTGGAACAGTGAGCCCGACTCAGGTGCCCCACCTCATGTTGAAGGTTGTTACTTCTGGTTACACCCCAGAATCCGAATTCCCACTCTTAATGTTTGCTTCCCAACCTTGAGCCTAGGAGGCTCATGGTTACACCTTCCTCTTCCCACTTTTTATTTCCGGTTCATAGAGATTCTTCTCTTGTTTTAAGCATGCCTATGTGTTTTTAATTTTCCCTCTTTACATTTTATTTATTGTTGCTGTGTGTTTGGAGCAAGAGGGCTGGGGGGTATAGGAGTAGGCAAAACACAAGCGATCACTGTTATCTTGACTATGCATTGTATAAAATCTTCTGTCATTTAAATTTTTAAGTTATTTGTTAGCCTGAGACAGTATCTATTGATTCTCTGCTCTGATAGATGAGGAAATTAACCTAAGATGATTAAAAATGATAATACATATCTAGGTCATGCTTACATATTGGGGGCAGTACTCCTGAGTATATTTCTCTGACAAAACTACTCCAGCTGCTTTCAAAGTTGTATAAATATGCCAGACATCTATCTTGATTTTGCATTCTAGGAAAACGTAGAAATAAGGCACCAATCACCATAACAAGGAAATTTTCCTTTTCTCTTGTCAACCACATTTTATGAGGGTGAAGAGGTGGCTCTGTGGAGGAAAGAAGTAAATCCTAGAAAAACCATGATTTCATCTAATTACAATACTTACATGCATACCTATGAACCTTGATGAAAAACTGTGACGTCCAACTGAGTAAAATTTCACTAACTAGAAGTGTAAGGAATAGATGAGCCCAATCCAATTTGACAAAGCTTTATTGAATTTTTACAAGGTATAACTGGTGTTAGGCATTGAGAGGATGTAGAAGTGAGCAAAGACCATTTCTGTTCTCTAGGAGATGAGAAGGGAAGTAAAATAACTTGAGGGCTCATAGTGTGGTCTACGCGGGCTTGACGTCCTTCAGCGAAGTTGTTTCTGAGTGCAGGCCTGAGGACCAGGCAACTCCTATGGCACCTGGATATTTAAGAACAAATCTCACCATCCTGTTGAAGCCCTCACCATGAGGAGACAATTAGTGGCTTTATTTGAAATTTTCCTATTGACTTTTTCTCAACATGGTCCCATTGACTTTGGATCAACTCAGTTCTCCAAAAATGGAACTAATATTAATTGGCTAAGGACGCAGCTCTGAAGGGTACCAAAGTTCAGTTATTTTAAATGTTGAGATCTAGAGGTGGGGATAGACGTAGTTCCAGAGAAACCTCTTTCTAACAAACATAAAATCAAACATTCTCTTGAGTGTGAGTTCTCTTAAGTTAAGGGGTGAGATCCTGGAGAAGAGTGTGGGATGTGCCTGCAGGGGCAGATGGGGGACACCAGCCTGGGAATCAGGAGACCAGCTAGGTTCTCATAAGCTATCCCTAATCTGGCTCTTCCAACCCTGTGAATACTGAGGCCAGCATTGTCTTTATAGAGCACAGTTTAACTCTGTGTTTTAGATCAGGGGTCCACAACCCCCGGGACCTGGACTGGAACTGGTCTGTGGCCTATTTGGAATTGGGCCACACAGCAGGCAGCGAGCAGTGGGCAGTGGGCGAGCGAGCATTATTGTCTGAGCTCTGCCTCCTGTCAGATCAGCAGTGTTATTAGCTTCTCACAGGAGCTTGGACCCTATTGTGAACTGTGTGTGCGAGGGAGCTAGGTTGTAGACTCCTTATGAGAATCTAATGCCTGATGATCTGAGGTGGAACAATTTCATCCCCAAATCATCTCCCCAACCCCCTGTCCATGGAAAAATTATCTTCCACAAAACTGGTTCCTGGTCCCAAAAAGGTTGGGGACCGCTGTTTTACACAGTCCATTCACATGTCCCAAACACTTCCATGACTTTCCATGAGGAAGGAAATGGGAGGCCATTTCAGACAGGAAGACGTACATGGGTAAAGGTATGGATTTCCTCAACGTTTCTTGCCATTTGTCCATCTTTGACGTCACCCTCTCCCTTGTTGGAGTGGTTAAGGCAGGATAAAGTCCAAATTCTGTCACTTCCATAAAACACCCTGTCTGGTCTGGACCCTGCCAGTCTCTTTCACCACTCTCCTTCCACCCTAGACTTGGCCCCAGACATACCCAGCTGCTTGCAGGTCTATGAATTCATCCAGCTTCTATACCTGTATCTATGCTGTGCTGTATACCTGGAGGTACATCCCTGCCCTTCCCTCTTCCAGGAAGCCTTCACTCCTATAACAGTGATAAGCAGCTAGTATTGGCTAGGATAATTCTGGCAGCATATGACAGAGACCAAATAACAGTAGTTCACATAAAATACTAGTTAATTTGTTTCTCACCTAGTTATTAGGAAGGCTCTGCCTTACAAAGCTGCCTATAATGCAGATTCCTTCTGTGTTGGTCTGGGATGTATTCTTTATCCACATGATCCAAGGTGGCTTTCATTTGTCACTGTTATGAGGAAAGGCTTCTGGGAAGAAGGGCAGAAATGAGTCCTCCAACACGGAAAGGACATGCAAGCAGGAAGGGCAGGTGTCCTCTCTTTCAAAGGCATGGCCTGGAAGTTATACGCATCACTGGCACGCACTCCCCATTAGCCAGAACTGACTCACATGGGCACAAAACCCAGCTGCAAGGAAGGTGGGGGAGTATAGCTTTTATTCTGGGAAGCCTCTGTTATTATGAGAGAAAAGGGGAAGGCTGACATTGGAGAATGGCTGTATGTGGATGAGAGCTGTGAGAACAGAAGGACCACCCAGAAGGAATGAAGATGAAGACTTAACCACTCCAACAAGGGAGAGGGTGATGTCACCCTTCCTTCTTAAGGAAGACTTAACCACCCCAATAAGGGAGAGGGTGACGTCAAAGATGGACAAATGGCAAGAAATGTTGAGGAAATCCATACCTTTACCCATGTACATCTTCCTGTCTGAAATGCCCTCCCATTTCCTTCCTCATTTCTCCAGGCCCAATTTATGCTTGATTTCCTCATGGAGGCCTCTACTGACAACTTCAGTCTTTCCCGGGCCTAGATAAAAAGTCTCTGTCTGGGTTACTAACTGGGCCAACATGATTATAATCATCTTTTATTGATGCCTCTTATGAAACAGGTAATTTATATACATATACATATCTCATTTTCTTCTCACCATGCCTTTATGAGACTTTTATTATTATTTTTTTATTTTTTATTTTTTAAAGAGACAGGGTTTCACTCTGTCACCCAGGCTGGTCTCCACCTCCTGGCCTCAAGCGCGATTCTTACCTGAGCTCTGACATTACAGGTGTGAGTCACTGCACCTGGCCCCTTGTTAGACTTTAAGAGGCTCGGCGAAAAATCACTTCTCTCTCCCCTTCTGAAATGAGGATCAATTGGGAAATAAAATCCAGGAGACTGGCGAATGGACATCAATGTTAGCTTTTTATTGATAAACTGATTGGAGAGCATGACTTCCTATTTGTGGTCAAAGGGCTGGCTCATAACCCTCTTTGCACCCATACAGGATCCCATACAGGGTCCCCCATAGAGAACTTGGAAAGGCCTGCTGGGGGAAGTTTGGGCTTCAGAGTCACTCATCTACTGAGGATTCCTGCCTAGCCCTGGTATGGAGAAAAGGGATGAAAAGAGGAAACATCCCTAGTCTTACAGTCTTTTAATAACTTAGCTCTACCCACCAAGAACTGTGGTCCCAAGGCTGTGGCCCCACATCAGGTAACTCATTCACTTCCCCTCTGAGGGGTAGAGGGGAAGGGGCGGGGCAAGAGGCCAGGAGTGTTACTCTTTTTGCGTTCTGTCCATGGGGAAACGGGAGGCAAGAGGAACGAAATTTCTGCCATAACAATCCCTAATGAGAGGAATTGCTTTGCCCATGTTATAGGCGAGGAAATCAGCACTGCGAGAAGGGCTGTGACTTGCTAGGGTCACTGAGATGTCATCCAGGTATTAGATGGCAGAGAATTTTGGAACCAAATCTATCTAGCCTTGGTCATTAGTCACTATCTGTAGTAGCTTATAAGCTCTTTGAAGGAAGCATTACAATCAAACATCTCTACTTTCCCAGCAGCAGCTAGCAAAATGTCTGTTCATTAAAAGACTCACAGCAGAGTCTGGTATAAAGGGCCCGGGTTCTGGTCCACATATGTTGCCTCTTTGTCCTCGTCTCATGTTCAGTCAATCTCTTTACCAGGACGTTTCACGTCAGAGCAGGAAGCAGTGATGCTACCTGGGGACCTTGTCAACGCTGCTGCCTCTGAAGAGTCCCTTGCTGGGTTTATAGTTTGAGGCACTTTGTTGCATTTTTTTGAAATCCACTTTCTCCGTTGAGCCTCCTACTACTCCTGAGGAGGGAAGAAAAGGGTGGTGAAGAGATTAAGGGCAATGTGGGATTAAGGACCATGGGTGGTCCAGGCTGGTAGTTTAGTTCGTAACCCTTCAAATAAATAGCCTTAAATATTTGCCCAGGATGTATTTCTTTCTTTTTTTTTAATTTTATTGTATTTTTTTTTGCGGGGGGGATGGAGTCTCGCTCTGTCACCAGGCTGGAGTGCAGTGGCCCAATCTCGGCTCACCACAACCTCCACCTCCTGGGTTCAAGCAATTCTCCTGCCTCAGCCTCCCGAGTAGCCGGGACTACAGGTGCCCGCCACCACGCCCCGCTAATCTTTGTATTTTTAGTAGATACAGAGTTTCACCATGTTGGCCAGGATAGCCTCGATCTCTTGAGCTTGTGATCCACCCGCCTTGGCCTCCCAAAGTGCTGGGATTACAGGCGTGAGCCACCATGCCAACATGTATTTCAAGAGGATAGAGAGAGACTGGCTGTTAATAGAAATTGCACAGAAAAAGGGATTCTCTTACTAATGAATCTTGGGCAGAAGTGGTGGTGTTTACGTCAAGAAAAAGGCCTGCCCAGCATTTCCCACTTTTCTGTGGTCTTTATACTCTATATAGTTTTCTTTTGCAACTTGCTAAACTGTACAGCTTTTTGGCAGATATATTAAATGATTTTATATTTAGATAATGAAAGAAGTCACTTGTTCCCAGTAAACAGCCCCGCTCCATGGAACACATCTTTACAGAACTTCTGGTGCCTCCTGAAGAACAGAGGGCTATGCTTGGGAGAAACGCTGTATTTTTATCTTCCACTGGAGGGCGCTGTCTACTTTGGTGGAAGTGGAACCATCGATTCCACCAATTTATTCTAGCAGTGTTTCAGCTCACCTGGTGAATTTGTGCCTTGGGCAGTTGTCCAGCAGTCTACTCCTTAATCTGGCTTTTTCCAAGGTCCCACAGGGCAGTAGTCAGGGCTCGGATGAGACCCCAATCAGTGTCATTTCTACTGAGCTGGGCCACTGAACTCTAAGAGTTCTTGTCTTTGAAAAGAAGGCTTTTCAGAGCATACCGCAGCCTCATCCCATATGTGTGTATCTGTTACCCATTCCTATACTGTCTGTGACTCAATTTCCATGACTTTGCATCCTTTGCCTTTGCAAAAATATAAACTGGGCATCTTTCTTTTCTTTTCTCTTTCTTTCTCTCTCTCTCTCTCTTTCTCTCTCTTTCTTTCTCTCTCTCTCTCTCCTCTCTCTCTTTTTCTCTCTTTCTCTCCTCTCTTTCTTCCTTTCCTTCTTTCTTTCCTTCTTTTCTTTCTTTCCTTCCTTCCTTTCTTCCTTCCCTTCCTTCCTTTCTCTTTCTTTCTTTATTTCTTCCTTTCCTTCTTTCTTTCTTTCCTTCTTTCCTTCCTTCCTTCCTTCCTTTCTTCCCTTCCTTCCCTTCCTCCCTCCCTCCCTCCCTCCCTCCCTTCTTCCCTCCTTTCTTTCTTCCTTTCTTTTTCTCTCTCTTTCTCTCTCTCTCTCTCCCTCTCTCTCTCTCTTTCCCTCTCTCTCTCTCTTTCTCTTTTTCTTTCTTTGTCTCACTCTGTCACCCAGGCTGCAGTGCAGTGGCGCGATCTCCACTCACTGCAACCTCCGTCTCCTGGGTTCAACCGATTGTCCTTCCTCAGCCTCCTGAGTAGCTGGGATTACAGGCATGAGCCAAGGTGCCCGGCCTCGGCATCTTTCAAATAGGATCTGCTCCCTAGGTCATGACTCTCCCTCTGGATCCACTGCCGCACAGTCTCCCAAGTTGTCAGCACATGGCTTTAAAGTAGGGCTTCTCCAACTTTAACGTGCAAAGGAAATGTCTGGTATCCAGTGAAATGCAGATTCTGATTCAATAGGCCTTGGCAGTGGGGCCTGAGATCCTGCATTTCTAACAGGCCCTGGGTGGTGTCACTACCGGTTAATGTACCACTTTTCAAACGTCAAGACTTTACCTATTTATCCCATCCTGTCATTGTCCCACTCGTTTTTGCATATAGAAGGTCCCCCCCGCCCCTATAAACTCAAGGATGGAGGCTGGTCAATATCTATTTGGAGCTTCGCCTCTTACTTTGTTCTCATCAATTGCTCCTGCAGGGCCCCTCTCCCTAGCTTTGCTCCATCTCATCTATTCCTCTTTCCCTAGTTGAGCAAGCATGAAGCATTGTGTTGGTGATTGTGTCTGCCACATCTGTCCCCTGAGTGGTCTTTCACTATCATGCAGAGTAACTTCTTTTCATTTTCTCTGATCTTGCCTTTTCATTGAGAGCCTGAATCAGGACACAACAAACGATAGCATAATGGTAATGACAGATGTCACCTGTGCATAAAGTGCTTTTATACCCACAAGGCAGTACTGGTCGAGACTATGGGCTAGGGCTCCACAGTCGGCCTGCCTGTGTTCAAATCCTATCTCTGCCGCTTCCCAGCTGGGTGGCCTAGGCTTAGTTACTTAACCTCTCTGTGTCTTAGTTTCCTAATTTTCAAAATGTGGCGATGCTGCTTTATGAGGTCCTTGTAAAGATTAAATAAGATAATGTATGTGAAGCATCTAGAATAGGCCTGACACACAGTAGGCACTCAATTATGGTCAGGAATGTTATGATTCCTTTATCCTGTGAGAAAGGTGAATTATTACTTCCATTTTAAAGACGAGGACCTTGAGGCCCAATGAGGAGAAATGACTTGCACTCAAGAGCCCACAATAAGAACAGCAGCACAGCAGGGACCAACCCTGACTCCAACCCAGTGCTCACTGTACCCTCTCCCAACCCTGACTCCAATCCAGTGCTCACTGTACCCTCTCCCAACCCTGACTCCAATCCCAGTGCTCACTGTACCCTCCCCACCAACCCTGACTCCAATCCCAGTGCTCACTGCACCCTCTCCCAACCCTGACTGTAATCCCAGTGCTCACTGCACCCTCTCCGAACCCTGACTCCAATCCCAGTGCTCACTGTACCCCCTCCACCAACTCCAATCCCAGTGCTCACTGCACCCTCTCCACCAACCCTGACTCCAACCCCAGTGCTCACTGCACCCTCTCCCAACCCTGACTCCAATCCCAGTGCTCACTGCATCCTCTCCCAACCCTGACTCCAATCCCAGTGCTCACTGCACCCTCTCCCAACCCTGACTCCAGTCCCAGTGCTCACTGCATCCTCTCCACCAACCCTGACTCCAATCCCAGTGCTCACTGCACCCTCTCCCAACCCTGACTCCAATCCCAGTGCTCACTGCACCCCCTCCTAACCCTGACTCCAATCCCAGTGCTCACTGAACCCTCTCCCAACCCTGACTCCAATCCCAGTGCTCACTGCACCCCCTCCCAACCCTGACTCCAATCCCAGTGCTCACTGCATCCTCTCCCAACCCTGACTCCAATCCCAGTGCTCACTGCACCCATTCCACCAACCCTGACTCCAATCCCAGTGCTCACTGCACCCTCTCCACCAACCCTGACTCCAATCCCAGTGCTCAGTGCACCCGCTCCACCAACACTGACTCCAATCCCAGTGCTCACTGCACCCTCTCCACCAACCCTGACTCCAGTCCCAGTGCTCACTGCACCTTTTCCCAACCCTGACTCCAATCCCAGTGCTCACTGCACCCTCTCCCAACACTAACTCCAATCCCAGTACTCACTGCACCCTCTCCCAACCCTGACTCCAATCCCAGTGCTCACTGCACCCTCTCCACCAACCCTGACTCCAATCTCAGTGCTCACTGCATCCTCTCCCAACCCTGACTCCAATCCCAGTGCTCACTGCACCCATTCCACCAACCCTGACTCCAATCCCAGTGCTCACTGCACCCCCTCCCAACCCTGACTCCAATCCCAGTGCTCACTGCACCCTCTCCACCAACCCTGACTCCAGTCCCAGTGCTCACTGCACCTTCTCCCAACCCTGACTCCAATCCCAGTGCTCACTGCACCCTCTCCCAACCCTGACTCCAATCCCAGTACTCACTGCACCCTCTCCCAACCCTGACTCCAATCCCAGTGCTCACTGCACCCTCTCCACCAACCCTGACTCCAATCCCAGTGCTCATTGCACCCTCTCCACCAACCCTGACTCCAAGCCCAGTGCTCACTGCACCCTCTCCCAACCCTGACTCCAATCCCGGTGCTCACTGCACCCTCTCTGTGCTTCCAAACACGGAGTTTCATTACCATCAACTCACAACCCTGAGTGTGACTGTTTTCCAGGCATCCTGCTGATCTTTTGTTTTCTCTTTCCTTCTAATGGAGCATTTCCAGCTGGGGTGATTCATGGATCTGGGACCGCATGGCTCCCATTAACTTCGAGGAAAGTCATAAGGCAAAACCCACATCAATCAAGTCTCCAAATTACTCATCCATCTTTTCAGGTGACACATGGATTAAGATGAACGTGGAGTGAAGTGGGTATCATAGAATAACTATTTAGATTTATGAAAATCGTGTCAGAGCTTACACCAAGTCCCCAAATGGAAGCTTGCTCTGTTTTCACGGCATGGTTAAACTTCAGGGATAAGAGACAGAATGTCATAATAGAAAGGCCTTGAAGCTTGAAGTCTGAAGGGCTGGGACTCCCAGCTTCACTATTTGCTAGACTTTTGATCACCAGCAAGCCCTTTAACCCCTAAGAATCTGTTTTCTCGTTTTATTGTTCATCCTTCAAACAGACCAAAGAGTGAGTTATTATCCCCACTTCACAGATGTGGAAACTGAGGCACAGAGAGAGTAAGTGACTTGCTCAAGGTGATAAGACCACCAAGGAATGAAGCAGGGCTTGACACCCCTATATATGAGTCCAGAAACCTATATCCTTGTACCACTCTATCTCATAAATGAGATGGTGAGTCTAAAAGCACCAGATACTGGATAGGAGCTTAATATACCTTTACTGAATCTGAGTCTTGAGGATGAAGCCCATATCTTATCAATCCTTATTATTATTATTATTTTTGAGACAGAGTCTCACAGTGTCACCCGGGCTGGAGTACAGTGGTGTGATTTTGGCTCATTGCAACCTCCGCCTCCCGGGTTCACGAGATTCTCCTGCCTCAGCCTCCCAAGTAGCTGGGATTACAGGCGCACAGTAGGTTCTCAATTAATAGGAGTTGAGCTGCATTATTCCCCCATGGAAATGGTTCTGTTTTTATTTAATGATTTGCTTAGATGCATTTTAATATGCAGACCACAATGCTTCTTGTACAATATCTTCTGGACTGCGAGGCGCGGGCATTCATTATTTTATGAGACGCATATGTCATGCATAGCACAAGCCCTTTTCTTAAACCAACACAACATGCAAATAGAAATTTCATGTAAAATCACATTCAGACAGTCTCAAAGTAGAAACAGATGTCTGAAAAATATGAACGCCAGGCTTATTAAATATTTTATCATCAAATATTTCATACATTTCAAAAATGTCATCTGTGAAAACACAGAAATACCGCCTCAGGAGAACCAAAATATTTAATCACTTTCAAGAAATTCTTAAAAATAAGTCTTCACCTCAGAACTATTCCAGGCAGAGAACAAATTTCCAGGTGCTGCAAGCTATATTTATTATATTTTCATCAAAATCAGTAACCTAGTTGAAGGAGATACAGTAATCAGTAAGGTCATTATTAGGTAAGATAATGACTTCTGAATGAATTCTCTCATTAATCTCATTACAAAATGGTAATGGTACCTGACTAATCATGCCGGAGGGGAGAGCTGTGTTGAATCAGAGCAAAATTAAGGCTGTAATCCCAGAGCTGCCCCCACCGTTTCTTCATGAAAGCCTCACTTGGGGTTTCGGGATGGGCTGGAAGCCTCTGACAGGGCAGCCTGTTGATCTGAAGGTTGGGGCACCCCATGTGGCCAGGGGGAGAGTGAGATGGCTGAGTAGCAGTCAGGAAAACCAGCCTCTTCCTGCTTCTGTTGCTAACTTCCTGGGTTCCTTCGGAGACGTCATGCCTTCCTCTGGGTTCAGTTTCTGGGTTTTCTGATTTTTGTTCCCTGCTTCCACCCTTGCCCCTTTTATAGAGTCCATTCTCTACCCAGGAGCCAGCATGGCCCTGAAACTCATAAGCGTGGTCATGTCATTCCCAACAACGTTGTGCGTTTCACCCAGAGAAGGGGCCGTATTCCTACATGGACCACACCCCCTGTGTCACCTGCCTCCATTGCCTCTCTGACCTTATCTTCTACCATCTTTCCTGTCACTTGCTTCCCTTCAGCAACACTGACCTCCTTGCTGTTCCTGGGACACTGCAGGCATGTGCTTGCTGTTCCCTCTGCCTGGATTGTCCCCACCCCCATCCCATGTGTCCACATGACTCACCTCCTTCCCTCTTTCAAGTCTTTGCTCGAAGGTCACCTTCAGCAATGCCTACCCTGACCACCATATCGAACCCTGCAAACTCTGCATCAGCACCCCAATCTATGTTTTCTTTCTCTATGTCCTCACTGCCTTCTGACACACTATTGTTTCTTGTCTGTGTCTCTCACCCCCACCCCTCCCACCCCTGTTGGAATGTACGTCTGAGAGCTGGGATCCTGGTAGACTCATTGACATGCCCGGCACGTAGCCGATATGCAATAACTCTGATAAATGTGGAATTTATCACATGCTTGTAGATTCCCAATGTTGCTGGACACTAAGGGAGGAACCCCAGTGTGTGAGACCGATGACCAGGGACGACTAAGTGTGCATTCACTGCAGCGAGGTCCTCTGTTGGTGGGGCTGGCTTTGCTTTTTCATCCTGTTAGAAATTGGAGCCTCATCAAGTTCCTTTATTCCGATGAGAGCTAGCCTGAGTACACACATTCTTGGTGGCAGTGTCTGGAGTCAGAGAAATCTCAACAGCCAGGAGAGCTGGGCCAAATGGAGTGAGATGGAATTGACAGAGGTGAAAAGGAAGCCTTGTTCCGGGCTCCAACCCCAGTGTGCAGGTGCAGGGTGTGGGTGATGGGGGTTCCACAGGCACACGCATGCAAAAACCTCAAGGGTCTCAGCAGATGGGAATTCAGGCTGTTTGAATAGATTCCTCATGACAAAAATAAGACAGGTAGCAATCTCATACTAACCCTCACTGGTCCAACCACCTAGAATCAAGTCAGTTCTGCGGTTTACATTGGTGCCAAAGATAAAATGGAACATGGCGTGGTGGGGAGGTAGTTTTCATTAAATGCTCGATGAGTTAAGCTCTGAATTAACACATGAATATATTTGTTTCTGTGTGCCCCATTTTATGGGGATGCAATAATAAATTGTCCAGAGCTAACAGGGGGCCTGAAAACCATACCACCGAAGGGACAATGAAAAAAACAAAGGGAAGTTTAACCTGAATAACAGAAGGCAGGGTGAGAATAGGCCCCGTCTTTAGTAACTGCAGGACCAGCACGTGAAAGCTGGATTACTTTAATATGGCTTTAGAACAGGGATTGCTGGTAACCAATCCAAGTGCCACCACGTGCCACTTCCAACCCAGTGGCAAACATCATTAATCAATCATAAATACTTTCCCATAAAGCCAGACCAAGTCTCAGAACCCTTCTCAACACAGTGTCCCAAACTCCCTCACCCAAATTGAACGAACACACAAGGTAAAATAAAATTGTGATACTTTGCCTAGAACAATGATTGAGAGCTCGTTAACATTAAGAAAAACACATTTTGCTAGACGCGAAGATGGAGTATCCTGGGATGGGATGGGGGGGCAGTGAGTTTCTAGACCATTATTGTTTAAGAAGAGGTTGTTTCTCTCCCTTCCTTCCCATGATGGTGTCCAGTGACAAGGTTGGCATCTGAGCTCTCATTGGTACACGGGACGCATTTCCAGTGTTGAGAGCTCAGACCTGTAGTTATATCTAACAAAGCGCCTTAACAGCTAAGGATAGTGATTAGTGCTCAAAAACAGCAGGCACAAGGCCCTTCAATGCAGTGAACGGTGCCCTGGAAATGCTTCCTGATTGCTCCCAGGAAGTTCTGCCATTTT
This sequence comes from Homo sapiens, assembly GCF_000001405.40. Lineage (NCBI taxonomy): Eukaryota > Metazoa > Chordata > Mammalia > Primates > Hominidae > Homo > Homo sapiens. Next base: position 113,744,802 of record NC_000009.12, read on the forward strand.
CCCCTGCTAACCAGGTCCCAATGTCAACAGCTCTTGCCAGTACTACATTCCTTGGATTTTGGCTCATATACTACTTAATGTCCAGGTTCAGCGGTTCATCTCGTAGCACCCCTGCCCCAGGGCCCTTTTGCCAGTGACTATGGGTGTCTGTGGTGAGCCTACACCCTGGCAACTTCAGCCGTGTTTCCTGCTAGGGCATATGGGAACTTCCAGCTCCTCTATGTGATGGAGAGAAAGGAACTGGGCTCTCTCTCAGCCTAATTATACCACACCTGAATTCCTTTCAGCTGCCCATGTTGGTGCAGGAGTGCTCTTAAAGGTTCTGCCTCCCAGAGTAATGAAAGATACAATGGAGCATAAGTGTATTCTCCCTTCAACTTTCCACCTATGATATCCACAAGACCTTTCTGCCACCTATTCCTTCCCTGCCCCATCCTGGGATTTCCACTGTAAAAGAGAGCCAGGACACTTGAGTCTCTTCTTGGCATATTTCCTCCTCTCTCCTCATTTTTCCTTTCCTTCCCCTTTCTGTCTGATGGGAACTTACCTTATCAATCATCATCTTCTCTATAATGCGACTTTATAGAAAAATTGCACAATCTGAGATCATCAGCCTCTGTTCTTGATGGTAAAGAAGCATTTAGAATTTAAAGAACTTTAATCTTTCTCAACAAAGCCTATCTTTTAAGCTATTGCCTCAAAACTCTAGTCTGATTTAAAGTAGAACAATGACTTTTTTGGCCTAAACGCTAGGTGGTACACACATCTGTTTCTGAAGAAATAAAGATCATTGAGTGAATGGAAAGCCACAGGACATATGACTCGTGGAAGGAAAAACTTGATTTTCTATCTTAAAAAGTTGTTTTCTATGGAATAACCAAAGTGTATAAGAATATTTGTGTTTGGGGGTGTTCACTATAGTATTATTTGTCGTTAAAATAAAATTGGAAGCAACCTGAATGTCCACGAAAAGGGGATCAGTTAAGTTGGGGTTTTTAATGTTATAGGATATTGTTCATTCACATGGGTAAAATTTTGTAGTATTAGATGAAGAAAGCATATTATAAAATAGCATATTCAATATGACTTTGTAAAAAAGTATATAACTGTCTATCTCCGGATGATAAAATGAGTGATTTTTAAAATGTTCTTCTTTGAGCTTTTTTATATTTTTGAAATTACTATTGAACATCTGTTAGTTTTGTGGTCAGAAACGAATGACAAATGCTCTGTTTATTTTATGGAGAAGAAAATACAGATGATCTCTTGATGGGGATGAGAGGGCACAGAGGATGCTGTGACCATTCTAGTCTCTCTAAGTCCAGAGACTCTAGTTCTGTGATGCCCCCAACTTTGACCTCTGGCTGTGTGGTATGATGACAGAGTGGAAAGGTCCACTCCAGGTTTGGTGGTTCCCAAGCCCTTGGACAATAGCCAGTGCTCCAACAAGTACAGAAAGTGCCTGCTCCCAACGAAGCCTTCCCACCATAGCAATACTCCAGTTGATTACAGAACTATGATGCCAAGAGAGCTTTCTGCCTGTGCTCAAGCCTTGAGTACGCTGGAGCTTCAATCTTTTATGAAACAGCTTTTCGTTTCTTCTTTCTTTACCAAGGGCTTTTACAAGCCACTGAGTGGTTCTTTGTGCATCAATTTTTAATCTTGTTAAGGTTTCTTTTTCCACTTGACCAGTCCTCAGTTTATAAATAACACATCAAAAATTTGCTCCAATTCTTTCTGTAGGCTTTGTTTGCGTTTGTTTAAAAATGGTCTCCTATTGAGAAGGAAGAAAGTGGTGAACACATCACTGTCTGCCTGTGTCCTCCCCCATATACAGACTTTCCATGGCTCCCTATGCCAGTCAGAGCAAGCCCAGACTTCTCCACGTAGCACTCAAGGCATGCCATGACCTGGCCTAACCATCTTTTCTAGCTCAGTTCCTCCCATCATTCTCCCAACACACCCCAGAAGCCAGGAACAACTGCTGTTCCAGGCCGTGTTCCACCTTACAGTCTTCCTCCCTGTGCTCACCCCACGTCCTCTATTGGGAGTGCCTGAAAAGACCTGGAGTGATTTTGATTTAACATGTTTCTGTATGGTTCTCTGTGAGTTATGTTTCAGTTTCTGACATGCTAGATTTGCCTAGTTCCCTTGTAGATATGGCTATAGTTTAATAGAGTCTGGACTTGAAGATCAGACAGATCTGTGTTTGAATTACACTCTGTGGCATTGGTCAAGAATTGATAGCTTCATTCATCTATTCATAAAATGGAGAGAGTAATGCCCACCCAACAGATCAGTTATAAGAATAGAATACTATTGCTTATGTAAAACTATGGAGTAATGGGCCTGGTACATAGGAAGAGCTCAAAAATTATGAAATCTGGGTCTTAGGCAATATTTGTATATCCAACTGCTCAAGTATGTTTGAAACACCTGTATGCTCACCACCTAGATTCAACAGTTGTTAACATTTGGTCATATATGCTTTATCTATCTATATCTATTCATCTAGCCATCCATTATCTACATATCTATCTGTCCGTCTTCTATCAATTTAGAGCTATGTAACCATCTCTCTCTCTTTTCTTTGGGGGGCGGGCTGTAGTACTTGAAAGAAGTTGCAGATATAATTCTTCAACACTCATGCATCTAAAAATAAGAACATTCTCTTACACAACCAAATGCCACTTTGAATCTAAGAACATTCACAATAATCCTATATTATCTAATATCAAGTCCTCATTAAAATTTCCCAATTGTCCCCAAAATGTTTTTATAGTTTGCCCCTAACCAAGATCCAATTAAGGTTCACATATTGCATTTGGTTGTTATATTTCCTCTGTCTCCTTTAATCTTGAACATCTCTCACCTAGGCCTTTATTGACTTTTGAAAATATTAGGCTACTACTGTCTTGTAGAATGTTTCACATTTTGGAGTTTCCTGCTTGTTTCCTTGTCACATCTTTTAACATTTTACCCCCATCTCTTGTATTTTTCATCAACTAATTGGCATAGATTATAGATCCCCCTAAAATGGCCAGGTAAAGACTTCATTCTTTCATTACCAAGTTTCAGAGTAAGGAGTTGGGGTAACAGTCCCTTTGGTGCTGGCCTCCGAGTTTCCCTCTTCTCTGTCTCTTTTTCTCTCTGTTTTTCTCTCTTTTAAAGTATTCACTAAGATCTCTTGGATCTTTTTTTCTTCTATCCATCCCTCTATCCATCCATAAATTCATCTAGGTATGATGTAACGATCCAATTTTATGATTTCCCAAGTGACTAGTTGTCCTATATCATTTGTGTTAAAGTTCATATTTCTCCAAAGATTTGAGATTCCTCCTTCAGTAACATCAAATTTCCATGTGTAGTGGGTCTATTTCTGGTCTTTTTATCCTGTTCTATTGATATATCTGTTAAATTATGTGTTAATACTATATCATTATAATTTTAGAGGTTTTCTTATATATTTTAGTATCTGAGAGAACTAGCTCCTCTGGCTATTGCTCTACATTCTTGATGTCTTCCTGGCTGTTCTTGTTTGTTTTCATATGAACTTTAGAATCAAGTTGTCTAGTTTCAGAAAAAAAGTGTTGGTATTTTTACTGCAATTGGCCTAAATTTATTATTTGTTTATTATTTTGGGGATATATTGAGTTGTATTATCTTAAGAGTATTTATGAAGATAATTGTATTATTTTTCTTCTTAGAATTGTTAATTTTTAGAATTACATTAATTTCCTAATATTGAACCATCCTTGAATTGTTGTAATAAAACTTGGCCATATGTAGTTTTTCAATGTGCTATTGGATTTTTTGATACAATTTTTGTATAGTTATTGATAAGTGAGATTGGTCTGTAACTTTTTTGCACAATATTTATTGGGTTAAGGTATTAATATTATTTTCATTATATAAATGACATTCAAAATTTGCATTATTTTTCTGTTATTTGGGACAGTTTAAATGGCATTGGGATTATCTGATTTTTGAAGGAATAGTATAATTCCCCTCTTAAACCATGTGGACCCAGTAGTTTTATGGTTGGTTAGTTATTCCATAACTTTCTCTATTATGGATATTGATCTATATAAGCTATCTCCTTTTGTGTCAATTCTGGTAAATTATATTTTTCCTAGAAAATCATTCCATCTAGGCTTTAAAATTTACATACACTTGATTGTACAAAGTGATCTTACTAATTTCTTCTGTTTCAATGGTTATTTCTTCCTTGTCATTTCTTATTTTGTGTATTCCTTCTGATTATTTTTCATGACGAAGTTAACTCTATTCAGTCTGTCTATATTTTTTTTTCCTAGAACTTATAAAAGTTTCCACTGTAATGCAGTGTATCATTAATTTTTATGAATGTTTCATGTGCACTTGGATAAAAGATGTATTCTCTACTATCAGGGTGTAAGTTTTGATAGCTATACATGAGAATTATCTTACTGATTCTGTTGTTTAGAAATGTTGTCCATTTTTATCTTTTGTCTACTTCACCTTTTTGGAGTGAGAGTGGTATTTAAAATCTCTCGTCATTAGTGCTTTCTATACATTTCTGTTTGCATTTCCTGTAGTTTCTGCTTTCTGAAGATTGCTCTGTGTCAGGGGTCCCCAGTCCCTGGTCCGTGGCCTGTTAGGAACCAGGCCACATAGCAAGGGGTGAATGGTGGCTGAGTGAGCATTACCACCTGAGCTCCACCACCTGTCAGATCAGTGGTGCCATTAGATTCTCATAGGAGCTTGAATTGTATTGTGAACTGTGCATGTGAGGGATCTAGATTGCACACTCCTTATGAGAATCTAATGTCTGATGATCTGACATGGAACAATTTCACCCTGAAACCATCCCCACTCCCACTGCCATGTGTGGAAGAATTGTCTTCCACAAAACTGGTCTCTGGTGCCAAAAAGGTTGGGGACTGCTCTATGTTATTTGCTGTGTTGATATCCATATTGTTACATCTTCATTGTGAATTGCAGCCTGAAATTATTAAGTGTTCTGCTTTGTCTCACTTGATTTTTCTGGCCTGAATTTTACCCTGTGATAGGTCAAGGTATCAGATTTCTTTTCACCTTGCATATTTTGGTTCAATCCTTTATTTTTAGCCTTATCTACTCACTTAGTTTCTGATATGTATCTTGAAAAACAGGATAGATTTGAGTTTTGTCTCATAAGCCAATCTGAAAATCTTTTTATTCCAGTAGGTAAGTTAAGCCTATTTACATTTATTGATATGATTTTAGTCTTAGTTCTGTCATTTGCCATTAAAATTTTTTTTGTTTTGTGTTTTTATTTCATTTGGTGTGTAGAAAGGTTTGAATATTTGCTTTAGTGGTTATGTTCAGCTAACAGCTTTACTTAATGCTGTTAGTCTCCTTTCCTTACTTATATTAACTACTATTTGCTTTTTTGACCTTAAATGATATTCTTTGATTCTCACCTATGTAGCAATAATTAGCTTATTTTACTTTTCACTTTTTCTCTCCCTTCCTCCTTTTTAGTCATATGATTTCAACTTTCTCAGAATATGATATCTACATACTATTCTTCCATCTTTGTGGAAATCTAAATTTTAGTCATACATCTATGATTAAATACATCCAATGATCAAAATCTGTTCTGTCAACATTTCTCCAATCATCTCCTGGTTGGAAAAAGTTCTTGTAGATTTCTCAGAAGGGACTCATGAATGCAATATTCTATAAATTTTTTATATTTAAACTATTTTTCTTAGTCTTGATATTGAAAGACAGATCAATGGACATAAAATTCCTTCCTTCCAGGTTTATTTTAACTTGAGTTTCTTGGAAACGTTACTCTATTGATGACTAGCTTTATGTGTTGCTGCTATAGTCTGAATGTGTGCCCCAAAATTTATGTGCTAGAAACTTAATCCCCAGTGCAACAATGTTGGGAGCTGGGGCCCTTGGGAGGTATTTAGGTCCCAGGAAGGGTCCTCATGAATGGATCAAAGTTGTTATAAAAGGGCTTTCCAGAGTGGGTTCACTCTCTTCTGCCATGTGAGGACACAGAGTTCATCCCTTTCTTGTCCTTCCACCTGCCACCATGTGAAGACACAGAGACAAGGCACCTTCTTGAAAGCAGAGAGCAGCCCTGAGTGGCACCAATGTCAGCACCTTAATCTTGGACTTCTTAGCCTTCATGATCATGGGAAATAAATTTCTGTGTATAAAATTACTCAGTCTTAGGTACTCTGTTATAGCAATACAAACTCACTAAGACAGTTGCTATTAATAAAAGTTGTGCCAAGATTATTTTATTTCCTTGGTCTTTATGTTTGAAAGCTCAGAAAGTATTTTCTTCTACTTAAGTATCTAATATTTTCACTAGGGTATGACTTGGAGTTGACCATTCTGAGCAGCCTTTTCAATGTGTAAATTCATGTCTTCTTTTATTTCAGGAAAGTTCTTGAATTATAGTTTTAATTAAGGATCCTGTTCCATTGTTTTTCTTTTTTAATTCAAGAACTCTGATGATACATATGTTAACCTTCCTTGCCTGTCTTCAATAGCTATCATGTTCTCTCCAATCCTTATAACCTTTTCTTTTGGCTTTGTTTTCTCGGCTCTTTTCATTTCTATCTTCTTGGTTGTAACTGTTCTCCCTTGGGGTATTTCGTAATTTAGTCTTTATTTTTCGTATGCTTTTATGTTTCTTTCCATTTCTCGAGTCCAGCCAGCTCCTATTTCATGCCTTCCTGTTGTTTACACTATTTATTTTTTGAGTTTTGAACTTGTCAGAAAGTGTCGATCTTTAATATCTAAATTTTATTTTTTAAGTATTTTTGCCCCTATTGGAATTTTGTGTTATAGTTTTCCTGTGTCATGTCTTTGTTTGTGTATGTTTTCATCTGCTGTAATGTTTTGATTCTCATTTTCCATTTTCTTTTTAAACTAACTTTGGGTGGATGTTGGGTTATTTTAATGTTTATTATTATCTATTTCAGCTGGACTTTCCTAACAGATAAGCATAGAGATAGGAGGAATGGGTTTGAGTGGCTTACTTGGTTCTAAGTTCAAAATCTCTTTCTTTTGTTGCTACAGAAAAGAACAATTCTTTAAGAAATAGGGCTTTAATGTGACTTTTTCTGATTCTTTGATACTCCCTTGTTTGAGGGATTTTGTGGGGAGGGGTCATGTTTTTCTTTCTTTTCATCTTCAAGCCCTCAAGGGATCCCCCCCTTTCTAAGAATCTTCCCTCTTCCTGGAAGCAGCACAGTCTCAAGGCTGTCTCCTACCTGTAGTAGGAGAACCTCTTTATAGCAATCTTATTTTCGACTCCCCGTAGGAAATATTTAATCTCCCAGGTCTCAGATCTGTTCTTTGTGGTGCTCTTTTACTCAGGCTGGAGAAATACCTCTCTTTCTTGGGATGAGATTTGGTTAGTGTCACCTGAATTCTACCACTCTAGGACCTTGCCGCAGTCTTTGCCTCACCTTCTGCTGTGCTGTGCATTCAGAATCAACCTCACTGGCTTCAGATGTTTGTTTTCCCACTTAAATGTAAATGGAAGCTTCTAATGTTTTCTGACTCCTAGCTATGCTATAGGCGTGGGCCAAGAGTAATTTTATTTGCTCTGCTTTTCTGTTCTGTAAGACTTTCAGGAGGATGTATGGACAAATTTGAATCTAAGTGGCTGCTGTTATCCTTAGTAATCCTGAAGGCCAAACCTGAGTCTTTGAAATGTATTAATGAAGGTAATAATTGGTCTTAATTGGATAATAATTACCAGTGCAAATATTTTTATTCCCTCAAAGGAATCACCGTATCATTCATTTAACTAACTATTTACTGAGCAGCAATTATGTGCTTGTATTAGGCAAAATCTGATCTACCACTTGCTACTTGTTAAGACCCTGGGAGGGAGCTAATGCAGACGTACCTTATCATCCCCATTTCACACATGAGATTTTCCCTCACCAATTATTCTGCAGGCACATTGGCCTTCTCCCAATTTCTGAATGATTTATGCCCCAGGACCATTGCACAGCCATTATTTATCTGCCTGGAGCACTCTATCACTGACTTTTTTTGTAACCTTCCGACTTTAATATTACCGCTTCATTATTTTCTTCCACACTCACCTCCATTATTTGTTGTTACTATACATTGTTCAGTTCCTTTGTAGCTCTTGTCACAATTTGTATTGAGATACATAGATATTTGGCTGTTTGCTGATGTATTGTCTGTCTCTCCATTAAACTGTAAATTCTGTGAGGACAGAAATCACACCTGTGTTCAATCTTGTCTGGGTTCAGCCACGTCAAAGTGCTAGGAACATGTAGGACTGCAACAAATATTTGCCAAATGAATGATGCCCAGAGAGGATAGGCAGTTAGCCCAAGGTCACACAGCAGGTTAACGGAGGATCCAGAATTAGAATCCTGGTCCCTCCAAGCTAAGTGGTTCATTCATTAGCGACGTTGCCTCTTCATGGAGGATGCCATCCTCTCTCTGGGGATAAAAGACAGATGTTCTCTCTCATTTTTGCCTCATTTAACCTTCTAAAAAATCTCCGTACTCAATGAGTATGGGGAAAACCTGATTTTAAAAGTTAATTAACGTCAGACCACAGTTTTCTGAAGTTAGCCACGAAACCCAATCTCTGTGCTCAGCCGGCAGCCTAAGGGACTGACCAGAAGGGCTCAGGGGACAGGGCAGCTGTGGTCCAGTGGCTGTAGATATTCAGCCACTTCAAAAGCAACAGGACTGTATTGGGCATTTATTAGCTGCCAGGTAGGGCACTGGGCACTGGGGATTGAAAAATAAACAAGACAGACATTTCCCTGCCTCTGGTTGCTCCCAGTGCAGTCAGAATTCCAGAGCAGCACATCGAGCGCTGTGAATGGGAAGGACCAGGGGCAGTGGAAGCCCAGAGGAGACACTAGGCCATTCTCAGGGCTCAGGAAAGAGGGCTTCCAGGAGGAAGGGACTTGAAGGATGAGCAAGAGTTAACCAGATGAAGGACAAAGAAGAGATAAGTGCAACAGGTAAAGCGCTAAAGAAGAGCCCAGACGCAAGAGGGAACAGAACACACTGAGATGATTCCAGAGGCGTCAAGTTGGAACCCAGCCAATTGGCAGTGTGGTGGAATGACCAGAGAGGAGGCTGGGGCCAGGTCAGAGAAGGACCTGGAGGCTGTGCCAGGAGTCAGGCTGTGACCTGGAGGTCAATGGGGAGCCATGACAGGGGGTTCCTCTGAGGAGTGACACAAATCACAGCATCTGAGTGCAGAAGGGACCTCACCTGTGATCCAGTCCCACCACCCTCTCAGCTTAGGAAGCTCTGCTGGAAGTTGCACACCTCACCTCTAGTGACAGGAAGCTCATCTCTCTGGATTGCCTATCTTGCTAGATTGCTCTGATAAGAAGAGAATTCTTCCATATAATGAGCTAAAAGCACGGCTCTAAATGCAGCTGCTCTAACACAAGGGACAGAATAAACCACAGCTGCTCTGATATTGTTCTCACTCCTGAGTTCTGTCCATCTGTCCCCATCCCCCCACCCTTGCTTACCCACTCCACATTTGTGTTCTTTGCACCTCTTAGTCACCTGCCAGTCACTCCAGTTCCTGGTTCTTGGTTGATGTGGAGACCCCAGTTGTTAGCTTTCTGTATCTTGGTCCCTACCCTGACCCAACCTGGGCCCTCTCTGGGTCCCAGGCCCAGATTCTCGCTTCATCTTTCAGGTTCTGCCCAGCTAAGCCCACACGACGCTGAGTTATTAAACAAATTCTGCCAAATGGAAGTATCTGCCACCAAGCACATTTCACATGGGAAAAGAGAATTTTCATCTATCAAAAGCACATTTATTTCAAGGGAGCCTATCACTCACTGAAATTCACAGGAGAAAGAGAGTCCCAAGAAAATCAAGGGCATTTGCATTACAATCCACCTCAATGCCCAAAAATATCCCGCTGAACATGCAGAATTTCAAGGAAAACAGTATGTTTTGCTTATTTGCAGGAAAGAAATGAATGTTCAAGAGAGGGAAGGGGCTGTGGTTTAAAATCTCCAACTTGCAAAGGAAAGCATATGTCAACCAAAGAATCATCTTTGACCCTGCAGATTTTGGAGCTGGTCCTGTCGGGGCAGGCAGAGGATCCACACACAGTATGGAGGGGAAGGCACTGTGTTTGGGGACAGACTGAAAGGATTTGCAATCCTATTGTTTGGGAACAATAGCTGACACTGAACCCTTCTTTATAACAGGTATCATGCCAAGAATTTGCCAAATATATATTTTTTATTTAGTAAGATAAAGTAAATTGCCCAAGGTCACATGGCTAGAAAATTGCAAAGTAGGACACACAATCCTGGCTTGACTGCTTGCTGGATGATCTTAACCTTTCTGTGCCTCTTCTTCCAGATTGTTAAAAATGGAGCATGATAAGGATTCTATCTGTGCTCCGCAAACTTGCCTTTCCAATTCTCCCTAATGGTAGAGGAAAGTGGGCAAGAACTTGACCTACACGGATGCACTCCCCACCCTTCACCTGGAAGTGGGAAGTAATGCCCAGAATGCTTATTCCAAAGCAGAAAATGTCTTTGAAGTCTTGCACTTGAGGCTAAAAATTAATGTGATCTGTATCCTACTCCATAATACTCTGTCATTAGGGTAAAACAGCTTGAAATGATTCCCAACTGGGGAAAAACAAAAATGAACAGAAGATTTCCTATCTGGCTACTGAGATCACGGGGAGCTGCTCTTGATAAAAACAATAGCCGACACTGAACACTTCCTTTATAACAGGTATCATGCCAAGAGTTTGCCAAGGATTTATTTAGTCAGATTAAATAAATTGCCCAAGGTCACGTGGCTAGAAAGTTGCAAATAGGACTCAAAATCAAGCTTGTGTGACTCCGCAGCCCAGGCATGTAAACTGCCCACTTTATAGCACTGAGTTTACCAGTGACAGGGAAGGAGGTAAAAGTGAAGAGCAATGACATCCCATCAGGTTGGCAGCCAGGCCATTTTCCTTCTCTGTCTTAGAGTCATAATATTTTAAAAATCCTTTAGCCAGGTGTGCTGGTGGGTGCCTGCAGTCACATGCTGCTTGGGAGGCTGAGGAGGGAGGATCACAGGAGTCCAACAGTTCAAGGCTGCAGTGAGCACCACTGCACTCCAGCCTGGCTGACAGAGATCTTATCTCAAAAAAAAAAAAAAATATATATATATATATATACACACACACACACACACACACACACACATATATATTAAGAATTCAGACTTACTTGAATATGTGCATTCAGGATTTATTTTCCAAGTTATTGTTTTATGAGCCTCATTCATGATTTGTAAGAGGAGAGGCTCAGAAAGTCACTAAAGAGGTGCCGTGCTGTAGCATTCTCAGGATGATCTTGGAAAAAAATTTCCATGAGGGCCCCATCCTGCTGGGAGGTCAGTTACTCCCTCATTGAGCTCTGGTCCTTCTTTTCTGTCTCAGGGAAATTCTCAGCTTCAGTGACTTCAGTGAAGAGAGCTGACTGCTGCTAAGAGCCTCGATTTTCCCCATGAATGCTATCATTTTCATTGCACCATCTCCCTTCCCACCTTCAACTTTCACCACATCCTCAGACTTGCCTTGGGCAGTGGATAATTCGGTTTGCCTTGCAGTGGTTGTCCAAGAGTGGCCAGCCTTGAAAACTGCTAAATACTTTTAGATGTTAAGTATCTGTGAACCACATTTCTCAGTTTTCATTCATTTTTGCTGTCCAGCATCCTGCCCTTCCGCTGTATAACTGGTTCATGGAGCAGTGTGGTTCTGTGGGGCTACAGATGCGAAGGACTTTCTTTTCTCCCTTATGATGACCCCCAGTAGCAGGTGTCTTACTGACATCTCAGAAAGTCCCCCTTGTGGGTGTTGGAAGTCCAGTCCTGGTCCAAGCCCACTTGAGTCAGCGCTTTTCCCCTCTCACAGCAGGCCAGACCTGTGGTTGGTGGGACTGCAGTGGGCAGATGTGATTCTCTCTTCTCTCTCCCCCTTGCTCAAGCATCAGAGCTTGGGAGAAGAGAGCCAAAGTCTGCTTCTGGGATGCCTCTTTCTACTCTCCTTTTTGGACCTAATATCCCTGATGTTTCTCTTCTCAGATCTAGCATCCTCCCCCACCATAGTTAAAACACATGTATATCAGTGTAGTTAAGAGGGCTTTCAAAGTTACTTCCTGTTTCATTACATATTTGTCTAAAATGATGATGAATCAAGCTATGCTATTTTTAGCAAAAGTTGTCTTTTTTTTTTCTTTTGGCCTCCCCAACACACTGAAAAAAATTGAGTAAAAAGCACTTCCAGGCAAATATCATTAGTGAATGATGTGATAACTAATGAAGGCCTCATATTTTGCAGGGGCTTTGATAAGAGCTCTCTCACTTAAGCTTCAATGACTGTAGAATTGAACCCATTTTCACAAATATACTATAATTTTTTCAAGTTGACACTGTACTTGATTAAAAAATAATGTCAGGTAATGTTAAATATTCTTCAACATTATTTTACCATCCAGAAATGTTATCCAAAACCATTATTAGTAAAACAATCAAGGATGTATCAAATGGCCAAATTATTAACACCTGTTTTACCCAAATGTATGGTAAATAAATAATGATAGTTTCTAAAAGTTTTATTGAACGTGTACTAGAGTCAGGTCCCAAGCTAAGTACATAGTATTTCATTTAATACTTACAAGTCTATCCCCATTTTATAGATAAGGAAACTGAAGCTAGAGAGACTAAATATTCTCAGTTTTTGTACCAGCTGTCCAAGGGGGTTGTCTTAGTCCCTTCAGGCTGCTGTAACAAAATACCATAAGCTAGGTAGCTTGGAAACAATAGAAATTTATTTCTCACAGTTCCGGAGGCTGGGAAGGCCAAGATCAGGGCAGATTCAATGTCTGGTCAGGGCCCATTTTCTGACTCACAGATGACACCTTCCTGCTGTGTCCTGGAGCATCTTGTAAATACTGAAAAACAAAAATAAAAACAATAAAGCAATGCCCCCCAATAATAGGGTATGTCAAAGGGACACAGGAGCCTCCAGTGACCAAAGTTGGATAATCTGAACTAAAAAAAAAAGTAATATTGTATTATAACCTAAAGTATAAAATAAAAATCTATGAATCCATTCTGATACAAGTGAATGAATAAGAAAATAAATGGAAGGATTGAAAAATCTCCCATGCAGAACTCTAAATAATTTATGTAGCTATTCCTTTCTCAAGAAGGTGAAACGTAACTCCCCACTCCGGGAGTGTGGGCTATGCATAGTGACTGCCTTCCAACGAGTACAGTAGGCAAAGGGGAAGGGGAAATGAGTAACTTTGTAGTGGAGAAACCTGAAAAGCACCACCTCAGCTAGGTGATCAAGGTCAACGTCAATAGTGATAAGTCATTGTATTAGTCTGTCCTCACATTGCTATAAAGAAATACCTGAGACTGGGTAATTTATAGAGAAAAGAGATTTGGTTCACTCACGATTCTGTAGGCTGTACTGGAAGCATAGTGGCTTCCACATCAGGGGAGGTCTCAGGAAACTTACAATCGTGACAGAAGGGGAAGCAGGCACATCTTACATGGCCAGAGCAAGAGGAAGAGGGAGAGGGGGAAGGTGCTACGCTTTTTAACAGATCCCGTGAGAATGAGCTCTATCATGGGAACAGCACTAGGAGGATGGTGCCAGATCATTCATGAGAAACCACCCCCACGATCCAATCACTTCCCACGAGGCCCTACCTCCAACATTAGGGATTAACTTTTTTTTTTTTTTTAGTGTAAAAATATGAACTTTTGTTGTCCTATTTCTGGGGAAAAGGGTTCTACTTTCCACACTGAGCCAGCAGTGGGCTTGAGTTATAATATGTAGATTCCTTTTGGTTATAGTTGCAGAAGAAGCTATTAAATTCTTGAGGGTTTGACATCTCCTGGAAAGAAGCAAACTAGAAGATGGACCAATGATCTGGATTGCTTAGAATGATAACATTTATAGTAGGATCCTAGTTGACATGCTATTAGTGTTGAAATAATCATGCCTGTACTGGTCAGTGAGTTCAGTATCCTGGTTGGAATACCAGTTCCAGACCTTTAGGTGACATGTTTGAATTGAGTTCTCATTGTAGAGTCATGGCCTTGACTCCATCAGCTGTGGTTATCTTCTTTGGTCTGAATACCTATCAGTCCTTACCAGCTGTAGCAGCCACTGCTTGGTCAAACTTTGCCACGAAGTCTGGCTCATGGAACTCCAGCTGCCTGACAAGTGCATTGCACTCCTGCTCAGCCCAGCCTTGAGACCACTGATCCCAAAGACATAGCTGGCACTCAAAGATACAAGGTGGTCCATTTGCCCCGGACACACTAAGCTGCACCAGACTATTTGGCAGTGGCTGTACTTTTCCTGGCACTGCCTTAGCTACCAGGTCCTCCAGGAAACGTTCACACTGGGGACCTGACTAATTGGCAAATCAGTGAAGAATACACTTCATCTCCTGGGAAGTGATGTAAGACATTGGAGAAGGGGAAGAACTAATATCGTCTGGTACTGAGGGTAAAAGAGAAGGGAAAGATAGTGGCGTTGAAAGGGAAGATGACTCCAGTGGCATCCTCCCCTTTTCCCTCAGAAGGCACCTGGAGATTGTCACAAGAGTCCTTAGATTCCAACTACTGCTGCAGCTTCTAGGGATTACAATTTGATATGAGATTTGGGTGGGGACACTGATCCAAACCATATCAGTCATGTTAATAGTATGTACCCTTAATGTGATGTGATGAAAATGTCACTTTGACTCTGTGCTTTTCTTCCCCCAAGCTTTATTCTAATTGTGAGGGGGAAAGTTATATAAATCCTAATTGAGAGACATTCCATAAAATACCTGACTAGTACTCAACACTGTCGAGGCCAAAAAAAAAAAAAAAAAAAAAGAAAAAAACAAGGAAAGTTTTAGAAATCATCAAAGCCCAGAGGAACCTAAGGAGACATGGTAAATAAATGTAATGTGGGATTCTGGATGAGATCCTGGAACAGAAGAAGATAAAAACCAAAGAAATCTGAACAAAGTAGGGACTTCAGTTTAAAGTAATGTATCAAATTGGTTCATTAATTCTAACAAATGTATCATAATATATAAAATAATAGGGAACACTGGGTATGGAGTATATGGCAACTCTCAGTGTTATCATCACAATTTTTCTACAAGCCTAAAACTATTTGAAAAGCTAAATTTTATTTAAAAAAATTGAACACAGCTTCAGGGACCTAGGGCACCAGAGCATAAGGTCTAACATATGTATAATTTGAGTCTCAGAAACAGAAGAAAGAGAGAATAAGGCAAAACAAAAATTGAAGAAATAATGGCTGAAATTTTCAAAAATTTGGTGAAAGATATAAATTTACAGATTTAAAAATCTCAGTGTATTCTAATTATGAATATGAAGAAAAGCACATCTATGCATAGCATAGTAAAACTGCTGAAAATGTATATATGTATTGGCAGGTGGCAATTTATTACTTTAATGTTTATATAGAAAATAAGAAATACTAAAAATAATAAAAAGCAAGTAAAGGAGGAAATAATCCAAGCACAAAAATTAATAAAATTGAGAAGAAATATATAATAAAGATTGAAGAGACTAAGAAAACCTCTGGCAACCGATGAAGTAAGGAAAGGGAAGACACAAATATGAAATATTATAAATATAAAAGAACGATAGCCACAGATGTAACAGACAGTACCACAAATAACTTTATGCAAAGAAAATTGAGTGCTTAAATGCAATGGACAACTTCCTATTAAAGTGTTATTTATTATCATTGAATCAAGAAGAATAGAAAACTTGAGTAGTTTATTCCATCTGAAGAAAGGGGATCAGTAGTTTAAAATATATTTACCTTCAAAACACCCATCCTACACAATTTAAGCAATGAGTTCTAACAGTCTGTCAAGTAACAAACAATTTCAACCTTCCACAAACTCTTCCAGAAGCTAATAGATTAAGAAACGCTCATCAATTCATTTTATGAAGGTACTAAGTCCTTGATGCAAAATAGACATGCACACCATGAGGAATGTAAGTTACACACCATTCTCATTCATTAATATAGATGCAGAAACAAAAATATTTGCAAACCATATGTGTATATGTATATAAATGCATATAATCATTATTAAATTGGTTATATCTCGGGAATCCAAAGATGGTTCACATTAAAGGAGAAAAACTCATGGTCATCAGCACATGCAGAAATCATTTGAAAACATCTAACGGTCATTTGTATTTAAAAAAAATTGGGAAAGAAGAAACAGAATTTTCTTAACTTGATAAAGGGATAAAAAACATACAAAAATATACAGCAAACATTATATTTAATAGGAAAATGTTAGAAGCAATTGATTTAAATTCAGGAAAAGGCAAGGGATCCAACAGCACAGCTTCCATTCAGCATTGTACTGAAGACTCTAACCGAACCTCTAAGACAGGCAAAAAAAAGGTAAAAGGTTTGGAAAGGATGAAAAATAAAATTTGTGGAGTAAATTATTATAGATTAAGACAACATAAGAGACTCTTCAAATATTATAATTAACAAATTTTGCAAGGTTTCTGGATATAGAGGTCAAAACTTTAAAATCATTCACTTTCTGTGCACCAGTCACAGATACTAGAAAATGAAATTTTAAAGGTTTGTGATATCTTAAGGGACATAAGAAGCATAAGAATAAATCTAACCAAATATGAGCATAGGATTTGTGAAGAAATGTTTAATCCTTTATTGAAAAAAGTTAGAGATAAGTCTAAATAAAGGGAGATATATACCATGTACATAGATAAGAAGACTCAATATTATAATATTGTAAATACTCTATAAATTAATTCATAAATTTAATGTACTTCCAATTAAAAGCTTTATAGTATTTTGTGGAGCTTGACACATTGATTCTAAAAATTTATAGCAAAAATCAAAGAGCCATGATAAGATGAGTTTAAAGAAGAGCAAGTTTGAAGGGATTTGTTCTGGTAGGTATCCAGTCTTCTTACATGGCTACAGTAATTAAGAGTGTATTTTCTGGCAGGTATGAATAAATTAGTGAACAAAATTGAGAACTCAGAAACAGACCAATGCTTACACGAAAACTTACTATGTAACAGAGTTGACAGTGCAGGTCAGCAGGGAATAATAGGGTAATAATTTAACAAATGGTGCTAGGACAATTGGTAATGCAATGAAAAGAATCTGATTTCTATCTTGCACCACAAACAAAAACTAAATTTTAGGGGGATTAAAAACCTAACATAAAAAAAGAAAAATTGAAAGCATTATAAGAAAATGTAGAATATTTTTATGAACTCAGAATAAGGGAGGGCTTCCTGTTTTTTTTTAACTTAATCCCAAATGTGATAGTATAAAAGAGGGCTTCTTAAACAAGAAAGAACAAGGCATCATCTATGAAAGAACTGAGTGATTCAACTACATTAAAATTTAAAACTCTTATTCATCAAAAACACTGTAAAAAAGTAAAGACAATGCATGTATGCCCATAAAAGAATTAGTACACAAAATATATAAAGAATATCTATACAACATTTGTCAATATAACCCAATATGAAAAAAAAATTGTGAAGCATAGGAAGAGGCAATTTACCAAGGAGGCTATTAAATGGACAATAAATACATGAAAAGATGCTCAACTTTATTAGATATCAGAAAAACGCAAAACAAGACTACAATAAGAGACCATTTTACCCTGTCAGCTTGGCAATAATTTAAAAGTCCAACAATATCAAGTGCCAGGTATTGTCTATTTGCCCCTCCAGATCCACTCTCCACCCTTCTCTGTACAGAAAATGGAAAATGAGAGGACCATGAGTTTGGGATTTATTTCCCTGGTTCCCTCCCTGCTCTGCCTAGGGCTGATGATGGCTGTGATGCTCTACTGAAAACTATAGCTCTTGTTAAACATCCGTTCCCACAGGTGCATGTCTCTTAAATTCGAGTAACACTCCCATGCCTTCCAATTCAGGCCTGGGAGTGTCAATGACTCCCCATTGTGGATGCTTTACCAACTCTTGTTGGTTGCTTTACCTCAGTTCACAGCTCTGAAAAAAAATCCCTTCCTTAAACTCTCTTTAATTATCCCATCTGAGTGTGTCATCTTTCCTATCAAGACTGCTTAATATACTAAGTAGTGGCAAGAAGGTGAAACAATAAGAACCCATATACCACTATGAGAGTGTGAATTGGTGCAAGCACCTTAGAGAACAATTAGACAATATTTAGAAACTTGGAGATGTGCATACTTCATAAACCAGCTATTCCATTATTTAAGCTGAGAAAAACGATCTCTGCATGTTAGGAAACATAAGAATTATCTTCACAGTAATGTTGCTAATAGCAAAAAGTTAGAGATAATGTAAACATCTATCAAGAGGAAAAGGATAAATACTAGAATGGCCACATAATGTAATGCTATTCCATAGTGAATATTAGTGAACCAGGAGTTATATTAATATGTATTGACATGGATGAATCTCACTAACGTTATTTTTATTTTTTATTATTTTTAAGCTCTGTTGGACTTGACTCACATTTTTAAGGTAACAAGAACAAATAGCAAAAGAACACACAAAGAATGGTACTATAAAGCTTTAAAACATAAAAAACAATACTAATTACTGCCCAGAAACACAAAATATATATAACAAATTTATGAAGAAATGTTTGGGAATGATAAATATGAAATCTAGAATAGTGGTTACCTCTAGGAGGGAACAAGGTGAAGTGATTCCAGGATATATAAAAAGAGGATTTAGCTGTGTTGGCAATATTTAATTTCTTAAGGTGGAAGATGTATAAGTATACATGGTATTATTTTTAAACCTTCTTGTAGGTTTTGGATATTGCATATACATTTTAAATTTTAAATAAAGAAAAAACTCAAAGTTTATTAATAAAATAGATTGTTCACATGAGGCTGCAATGTAGTTAGAAAAAAATGAGAGAAATACATTTAAAGCAAGTTTTAAAACCACGCATATAATATGCTAGCATTTCTATATGGTTGTGTTTGTTTAAATTATCTCTGGAAAGATACACATGAAACTGTTAATAGTGGATCTTTTGGACAAGGGGGCTCAGTGGATGGGGCAGCATTTTTAGATATGTTTTTATGTCTTTTGAATTTTGTACCATAGGCATCTATTATCTATTCTTAAAAAATAAAATAGGCCGTCTGCAGTGGCTCATGCCTGTAATCTTAGCACTTTGGGAGGCCGAGGTGGGCAGATTGCCTGAGCTTGGGAGTTCGAGACCAGCCTGGGAAACACGGTGAAACCCCGTCTCTACTAAAATACAAAAAATTAGCCGGGCGTGAGGGCATACGCCTGTAGTCCCCGCTACTCGGGAGGCTGAGGCAGGAGAATTGCTTGAACCAGGGAGGCAGAGGTCGCAGTGAGCCAAAATCACACCACTGCACTCCAGTCTGGGTGACAGAGTGAGACTCCGTCTCCAAAATAAAATAAATAAATAAAACGCTTGAAAATGGCCTATTGTCTTCTGTTGACTTGGTGAGAAATCTCATCATCCAGCCACTCTACACCAGCTCACCAGCACTGGTATTTAAAACAGGAGAGAGTATGGTGTCCAGCAGTCATGAGAGAGATTGCACGGCCCTCAAAACTGAAAATATTTACTATCTGGCTCTTTAGAAAAAGGCTTGCCAACCCCTGACTTAGAAGGATGTGGATATGAGAGACGAGGGTAAGAAAAATGTCAAGAAAGATGGCCAGGCTTTGAGTTTGAGTTATGAACTGAAATGGTTGGAAGATGCTCACTGAGCTAGGGCATACAGGAGGCAGACAATTGTAGTGGGAGGGGTGGGGAGGCAAGGAAGTAGCTCTAGAAGATTCTAAGTGTTTTGAGTTTGAGATGCCATGGGATGTCCAATTAATGATGTCATTAGGCATTTTG
The DNA here is from genome assembly GCF_000001405.40 of Homo sapiens. Classification (NCBI taxonomy): domain Eukaryota; kingdom Metazoa; phylum Chordata; class Mammalia; order Primates; family Hominidae; genus Homo; species Homo sapiens. Next base: position 113,764,780 of record NC_000009.12, read on the forward strand.
TTATGTGGATCTGGAGTCATTGAGAGGGATCAGAGCTGGAGATTCAGAATTGGGAGTCATTGGCTTAGAGGTGGGGCATGAAGGAGATCATTGAGGCAGTGAGAAGAGACGATCCCAGGAAAATCACAGCTCTTTAGATGGAGTGAGGGGAAGAATTGAAAGGAGACTAAGGAGAGGTGGTCAGAGAATTAGGAAGAAAACCAAGAGAATAGTATGGAGTCACCGAATCTAGGGACAGAGTCTTTGTAGAAAAGAAACAGGTCCACAGATTGAATGCTGCTGAGAAGGGCTGATGAGTGAATATGCCTGGTGATCTTGATGAGAATATTTCTGGTGAAATAGTGGGATTCTAGTGAGATTTTGGTGATCAGAGAACGAGAGAAAGGATATTCCAGGCTGAGGGGACTGAATCAGCATAAAAAGTGACCCAGCACAGAATAAACCATGTCTAGGGAATGGAGAAGAGAGAGTTGGAGAAATTCCAATTCCAGGAGGAATTCCAGTTTCAGGAGGTTGGATTATATTCTGTAGACATTAGGGAACCAAGGCAGATGTTGAGCACAGAAGTGTAATTAAGAGAAGATAAACATTTCTTTAAAAGAAGACTGCCTGCATGGCTCATGTCTGGGAAAACTGAGATTTTCCCAGGTTTCTTTGAAGATTAGTGTTTTAAGAACTAGGACCCAGTGGCTCTATCAGTCCTGAAGATTGAGCAGGGGAAGAATTCATTTCGTGTGATTACATAGAACCAAGCCATTTCCTGATACACCTACACTTGAGACTTGGGGAAATGGGATGTGGAGGATATGGGTACTAGTAATTCTGATGAGGATTTAATTAAGAACTCAATTTTCCCAGACTTCCAGTACTTGACTGCCTGATGTTTCTTTAATGGGAACTGTTGATATGTTCTAATTATGGCCGGTTATTTATGGGATCAGGTCTCATCTCTCTGCTCAATTATGTTTTGTTTGGGAGATCTGCATTCTTTTATGACTCTAGTTCTTAAGTGAGTCTATTGTCTTCCCCAAAGACACACTTAGTCTGGGGACCTCTCATCTGTGGCTTTTCCTCTACCAGAAATCCCACCACCCTTTTCCTTTCTCTTCTACTCATTGATAAATTCTGAAGCCATAGGGAAGGCAACTCCTCTCTCTCATATTCACAGCGCTATCTGTGGCTGTACTCTTGTCTGGCCCTGGATTTGCCCTGAAGACTCAGCTTAAAGGCTTCCTTTAAATGTTTGAGACAGGATTCTTTAAAATTATCTGAGTATTAGATGTCTTTGAAATTCTGAGAGAAGTACAAATTCCAGGTGCTCAGGGTCAAGACACACATTTGATAGTCTGAATCAGAAATAACTTACAGAGTTTCTTCATGGACGAAAAGCTTCTGGTTCACTACTTTGGAGATATTCTTATAAAGTACACTGGGTCCTAGAAAATGTGTGCTCCCATGGACACAAATTGAGGAATAACAGACACTGGGACCTACTTAAGGGTGAAGGGTGGGAGGAGGGAGAGGATCAGAAAAAATAACCATTGGGTACTAGGCTTAGTACCTAGGTGACTAAATAATCTGTACAACAACCCCCATGATGACACAAGTTTAGCTATACAACAAAGCTGCACGTATACCCCTGAACCTAAAATAAAAGCTAAAAAAAAAAAAAAAAGTGTGTTCCCTCTAGACCTGGAGTATCTTGAAAGCAAGGATCATTCTATTTACGTGTGTGTTGGGAAAAATAATTTTAATAGCAGAGAAGGAACTGTATTTTGAAAACTGCTTGGGAAAGCCTCTTAGAGGAGGAAATTGAGTCCATAAGAACATTAGCTGGAAGGAGACCTCAAAACAAGCTAAAAATTCTTCATAAGGAACAAACAAGAATTTTGAGTTGGCAGAGAATAGAGAAGGGGAAAAAGAGTAAAGAGAGAAAAGAAAAAGAAAGATGGAAACCTGGCATCATGGCAAGAGGCTGTAATATGGTTTGGCTGTGTCCCCACCCAAACCTCATCTTGAACTGTAGCTTCCATAATTCCCACATGTTGTGGGAGGGACCTAATGGGAGATAATTGAATCATGGTGGTGGTTTCCCCTATGCCATTCTCATGGTGGTGAATAAGTCTCATGAGATCTAATGTTTTTATAGGGGTTTCCTCTTTTGCTTGATTCTCATTCTCTCTTGCCTGCCACCATGTAAGATGTGCCTTTCACCTTCTGCCATGATTGTGAGGCCTCCCCAGCCACGTGGAACTGTGAGTCCATTAACCCTCTTTTTCTTTATAAATTACCCAGTCTCAGGTATGTCTTTATCAGCAGCATGAAAATGGACTAATACAGGCTGGAAACTGGAGGAGAGTGACCCATGAAAAATTTCTAGTGGTGAAGTGGCCAAAAGACTTCAAGTGACCAGGGATGTCAGTTTTCAGTGTGAAGTTACTGTGATGTTGTAGTGTAAATGCCCTCCTTCACACCTAAACCACAAGTCATAGTCTTCTATTTACATAAATGACCTGTGTGGGTGATCTGGGGGACTTCAAGAAAATGGAGCTGATTGCCACTCAAGATAAGATTAGTTGGAAGAGGCAGAAATACAGAACCAGAGGAGGAAGCATCTAAAAACCTTTGGAGATATTGGGAGGGGCACTGGGTTTTACTCTGAGTATCAGTCAGAATAGGAAACTTTATGCTGCAGTAATAAAGAACCTCCCCACTGCCAATCTAAGTGAGCCACAACCACAAATGTTTATTTCTCACTATGCTGTCATCAACCTCTCTGCACTTTGGGATTCAGGCTGATGGAGTAGCTCTTATCTGGGACATTGCTGATCAATAAGGCAGAGGCGAAAAAGAAGGTGATGAACCACACATTGACTTTTAAAGTTTCCTTTCAGCAATCTCACTTCTAATCGTGTTTAATTGGTTAAAGAAAGACACCTGGCCATGCCTGAGTTTAACAGGGTGGAATGTGCTCAGTGCCACCAGAAGAGGTACCAACCATGGTGAACAGACACACACCCTACCACACATTCTATCTTGGCTGTGGTTTGAACTGAAGTTTACTTAAACCTTAAAGGATAAGGTAGTAACTTAATACTTGGTAAATAAGTACATAGCATGTGGGGTTTTTGTTTGTTTGCTTTCTTCCTGACCACCCACACTGTTTCAATTTATTGGAGAAATGCTCAGCCCTGTACTATCCTTGTTTGTGGGGCCTAGAAACTGGTTTCCAGGAAAGGTGCCTGGAAGTCAGATCTTTGGCTCAAATTGACTATGTAAGGATAGAGAAACCAGGATGCTTCTTTTCTCTGCAGACCTCCTGGCCTGGTCCATGACCATAGCTCAGTCCTTAGGACACTGTGATCTGGACCAGCCCTAGGACACCGTGGGGTGTAGAAGCAGTGATTTCCCTGGCTCCAATCAACAATTTCACAGATATCTCTCCATGGTAAATGTGTGATAGACTATAGCTATGCTTGTTTTCTTCCAACAGAATGGATGTGGGTACCACATTGAAGGATACCGCAGTCTTGCCAGGGAGAAAAATAAAACCAAATATAAGGCAAACCATGATCACTGCCAAAATAGAGATCCAAGAATGCTATGTGAGGTCTGTGCCAGGGTAACCACAGTCAAGGCAGCAGGGACAGCTTCCAGGGAGTGGGTAACATTGAAATGTCTCTGGATGGACATTGAAGGATGGAGAAGAGTTTTCAAATTTAGTTTCATTGTTAATAATTTTTAAATAATCCAATTTCACTATAGAAAATTATATCTGAGGGAGAAAAATGTTAATAATTTGGAGTATACCATTCTGGACACTTCCTATATGTAGACTATTTTATAAAACTGTGATATTATTATGTTATTTTGTAAACTGGATTCCTTCTAGCATTATAAGTTGACTCCATAACAATAAACATGCATCTATGTTATTTTGAATTGTGACCTAGATATTCTGTTTGGATACATGATAATTTGTGTAACCAATTGTTCTATTGGTGTATACTCAGGTGGCTTCCAACATTGGGATGAGTAACGTTAGACATGTGTCATTATGCATGTCCACAGTTACTACAAAAGGATCAGTTCCTGGAAGGCAAATTGCAGACTCCTAGGACATATACTATGTTAAGACTTTTAAAGACCATAGACTGTTTTTCCAACAACCCCCACCAAAAAGAAAGAGAAAGAAACAAGGAAGGAAAAAGAAAATAAAGACTGTAGGCTGTCAAGTTCCAACAGATGAGATTTTAACTGGAGCTGAAGGTCAGAGTGATAGAAATGCATGCTGGAGGATGGGCACGGCATAAATGAAGGTATGAGAGCAGAAATAGAGGGTGTGTTTCAGTATTGCTATTCTAGAGACAAGCAGAACATCGTTTCAGTCCATACTGGTCATGATGAGATCAAGTCAGTGGGGGGAACTGTCTCCTGTTCAGGCACAAAACCTCTGCTCCCCCATGATTTTCTAAATGCCCTTATTCTGCTTCCTTTTTCCTCATATAGCACGTGGCACACAGTAGGTATGTCGTAAATGCTGGACTGAACTGAGTCAGCAGAGATGTCTATAACTCTGTTGCTCCCTCAAAGCCCTTTCGCCTAGACGTGTAGGATAAAAATGCAACAAAGGAGAAAGTGACAGAGGAGCTTGATTTATCACAGTTTTGTGATTATGAAGAAAGAATTTCATCCTACAAACATCCCTTTTCTGGCCATTTACATTATCAGTTTGGATTCTATGGCTTTTCAGAAGACGAGGAAATATGTAATGGGATGAAAATGTGAAATACTAGTATAATCATTTATCATTTTCATTGAAGAGAGGTATTGATTCTCTGGAATGCTCATGAACCTAGGGCTGCTTCCAGAATGTAATGATTGCTCCCCCTGGACATATCCCCTCTCTACTCAGCAGGGTCATCTCAAGCCCCAGATGCTCTTCTTGGCACTAATATGAGTGATCTCTGGGGACCAGAAAAGATCCCCCACCCCCCACCCAGAAGGAGCTCTCCCTCCTCCATCTCCAAATCTAACCAATGCTTCGAGGTCCCTTCTCAAGTAACAACCCCCCTTAAGCCAGCACCAATGGCTTTTCTTTCTGAACCTACTTCTGCACACAATGTAGAACCTCATGATGTCATATACTGCCATTTTCTCTCAGTGATCTGAACCTGCAACAGGAGGTATTGATTGATTGATTGATTGATTGAGACAGGGTCTCGCTCGGTTGCCCAGGCTGGTGTGCAGTGGTGCAATCTCGGCTCACAGCAACCTCTGCCTCCCGGGTTCAAGCAATTCTCCTGCCTCAGCCTCCCAAGTAGCTGGGACTACAGGTGTGTACCACCGCACCTGGCTAATTTTTTTTTGTATTTTTAGTAGAGACGGGGCTTCATCGTGTTGGCCAGGCTAATCTCGAACTCCTGACCTTATGTGATCCACCCACCTTGGCTTTCCAAAGTGCTGGGATTACAGGCATGAGCCACCGTGGCTGGCCCAAGAGGTCTGTATTTATTTACTGTTGCTGCTACAACAAATCACCACAAACTATGTGGTGTAAAAGAATCCCCATTTTTTTTTTTAATCTCACAGCTCCTTGGGTCAGAATCTGGGGGCACGATACCCAGCTGGGCCTCTCTGTCTGAGGTCTTGTATGGTGTTAGCTGGGCTAAGTGTTTATCTGGAAGCTCTGGGGCAGGTTCTGCTTATAAGCCCATCCAGGTTGTTGGCGGAATTCAGTTCCTCTTGATTGTAGGACTAAGGCCTCTCTTCCCTTGCTGGCTATCATCCAGGGCCCTGTCTTTTGCTGCCAGAGGCTGCGTGCATTCATTTTTGCTGTTTTCCACATGGTGCCCTCCAGCAATGGTGGGTCAAGTCTGTCTCATGCTTGTGATATCTCTTTTTCTGCTGCATCATTTGAACTCCAGCTGGAGAAAGTTCTCTGCTTTTAAGAGCTCACACGGATCGACTGGGCTACCTGAACAATTCAGGATAATCTCACTGTTTTAAGGTTTGCAACCTTAATTACATTCTCAAAATCCCTTTTGCCTTGTAGCCTAACATTATTACATAGTCCAGGGACTAGGGTGTGGACATCCGGGAGGGTAGAGTAAGGAGGTGATGGCAGGAATTCAGGGCTTCCTCACTGCTGGCGCTCCTGCGAGCTCTGGGATGGGCCCAGAGTTTCACCCATCTAGCTTCACCTTTCCTCATTTTGTGGAGCTCTCCCTGAGGTCTCTGGTTCCAGTCACAGTTTAATAGGAAATTGGCTTCTGTGCAAGTAATGCCAGTTGTCTCTTCTTTTTGTATAGCACTTTGCAATTTCTAAAGCAAGGCAGGTGAGAAAACAGCCTCAAAGCGGGCAAGCTACTTGGGGAATGACAGCATTGATAGGGCATGAGGTCGCCAGTGTGGGCGAGAAGTAGGTTGCAAGTCTTCAGACTGTCAGGCCATCGCTCTTTCCAAATCTGGAAAATTCTCTATGACCAGAAGCCAAGCAGCTAAGGAACATATTTTCCAGGTGTCTAAGAGAACCTCAAGAGGGAAGCTGGCAAGACAGAGGAAGATTGGCAGGCTATCGCTGGACCCCAGCTGCTGGGAATTTGCCCTGGCTGACCTCCCCTATAGTGCATGTCACATGGTCACTGGCACGACCTAAATGGAGAGACTATCTTGGGCAGAGCTTCCCTGCGTTGTGCAAGCTGACACATGGCTCTGACTTGGCCATGGTTCATCTCAGGGTGGCAGTTTGAAAGAGAGGACAGAAAGTAGAGACCCCCAGAACAGTAGAGCTGGGAAGCAATTTAGAGATCATCTAGTCCCAACCCCTTCTCCTGATTTTCAATAAGGGAAACTGAGTCCCACAGGTGTGGAGAGATTGCCTAGGTGAGTCACGACTAAGACGCAGCCATTCTGCCTTCCAGAGCAGAGTCTAGTCCTCAACCCTTCCTATGTCTCGGCCCTTCCTATTCAGTCATCCTGTGAGCCTATGCTTACAAAGCACAGCATTATGGCTTGCATGCCTGTGTGTACACAAGTGTGCTTGTCTGTGTACACCCAGACACATACATGTGCCAGCAATCTTGGTAGAGTATAATGATTGAGAGCCTGGACTCTGGAGTCACACTACCTGGGTTCAAATCCCTATAATGCTAATCTTGGGCAAGTCACTTAACCTCTCTGTGCCTCAGTTTCCTCATTTATAAAAAATATAGTAGTACCTACTTCATAGTTTTGAACCTTTTCTAAATGTCTATACGTAAAGGGCTTCAAACACTATCTGATAGAGTGCCAGTGCTGGGAAATCACTTGGTCCTGTTATCTCCAGAAAGCTCACTGTCATGCCTGCCTATTGTTCTCTTGGTTGGGAAATAATGTTCTAATAAAAATAATCCCATACAACAATACTCATAAACTGAAATGCCTAGAGGGGTTGGGTAGAAGTGAGCAGGGCGTAAGAAGAATTGTGTGACTCCCTCAACTCTTATTTGATTTTCCGTTTTGAAAGAGAAACACAGGGAAATATTTCTCCACTCTAGGAAAAACAACAGTGCACACCCAGTGATAGATGGTGACTGTACCTTGGCCTCAGTGTTAGGACAATAGAGAGTGGTGGGGACTGTGGTACACGGGAGAGCCCAGGCCCTGTCTGAAGGTGTGGTTGCCACTCAGTTTAACTGATGATTGCCATGTGAAAACTCAGATCTGGGGTTGTCAGCTCTCCTGATTTTCTCAAGAAAGGCCAGAAATCTGCATTTTAAACATGTAAAATGTCCCAATTATTAAATGTTGGCTCAATTCTTTGAAAACATTGGCTGAGCCAAACAAAACATCTGTGGACCAGACTCAGCCACAGCTGCCAGTACTCAATTTCTGCCTGATATTTATGTACTGTAGTCATCGTTTTTACTTAATCCAGTGGTGGCCGTGTGAGTAACATTGAGTTCTTATCAACGCCCCCATCTAAGGATGAGATTAAAAAACCAGCTCAGAGGGTGGCAGCTCACTGCAGGTAACTGGTTAAAGAGAAAAATCTGAGATTATAAACTGGATTCTCCAAAGAAGGCTATACCCCTGTTTCTGAGATAGGTCCTTTGTTCCACTCTGGGCTTCAGTTTCCCCATTAGCAAAACAGGTTAAAAACACAGAAACACCCTGTGTACAACTTTGGGCTATTGTGAAGATTATGAAATTATGAATGGGAAGTACCTCACAAACTTGAAGTTTGATGTAGGCCCACGTGAAGGGCTCTTATCACCATGTAATCGTAATAATAGTAAACAGTACATGCTTCTTTGAATCCTTTTCTGCCGAAGGAGAATTGGCACATTTTAGACTAGTTTTTAACTTACAGGCTAGGCAATAAACCCGAAGCATTGTTTGCAATAGCAAGAAATTGGAAATGACTTAAATACCCATTGATAAAGGAATGGATAAACAGAGTATGTAATCCTCAGTTGAAATATTATGTGACATTTAAAAAGAATTAACTGTGAGTGTGTAAAAATACAACATGATCTGGAAAGCAATACTGAATGACAAAATAAATTGGCAGAATAAGCATAGCATAATGACATTTAAGTAAATTTTTAAAACTCACCCCAAACTCTGCATTGTTCACGGATACCTACTTATATATTAAAGTATATAGATATGCATCCTGGCTAACACGGTGAAACCCCGTCTCCACTAAAAATATAAAACATTAGCCAAGCCTGGTGGCGGGAAACTGTAGTAGTCCCAGCTACTCGGGAGGCTGAGACAGGAGAATGGCGTGAACCCAGGAGGCGGAGCTTGCGGTGAGCGGAGATCACGCCACTGCACTCCAGCTTGGGCGACAAAGCAAGACTCCGTCTCAAAAAAAAAAAAAAAAAAAGTATATAGATATGAGAGGGCGAAGATGCACCCTCAATTTATGATAAAGATTGCTTCTGGGTAGGAAGGGAGGGGGACAGGCTCAGGTGGAGTACAAAGAAGCTTCAACTTTATCTGCAATGTACAGTTTCTTTTTTAAAAAAATCTGAAGCAAATGCAACAAAATGTTAACATCTGTTAATTTTAGATAGTGAGTACATGGGTTTTAAAAAATTGTTTTCTATTTTTTTTTGCTTTTTAAAAATAATTTAAAGGAAGGAAGAGAGGGAGGGAAGAGGGAGGGAGAGAGGAAAAGAGAGAGAGAAAGAAAAAGAAACAAAGAAAAAGAGGAAGGAAGGAAAAGAGAGAGAGAGAGAAAAAGAAACAAAGAAAAAGAGGAAGGAAGGAAAAAGGAAGGAAGAAAGAAAACCACAACACTCAAAGTCATATTTAGAGCTGGGTCCAAAACTTTGGTCGAATTTTAGAACACTTTGAGAATAAAAGAATAATGGACCACAAAGAATTACTGCTGTGACTGGGACCCCACTACTTGCATCCATACCCATTTCTGTGAAGACCTTCATCAGGTTGAATTATTAAGAATTCTCTTTGGCAGGGCGTGGTGGCTCACACCTGTAATCCCAGCCCTTTGGGAGGCCGAGGCAAGGGGATCACAAGGTCAGGAGTTCGAGACCAGCCTGGCCAGCATGGTGAAACCCCATCTCTACTAAAAAAACACAAAAAACTAGCTGAGCATGGTGGCGCATGCCTGTAGTCCCAACTACTCTGGAGGCTGAGGCAGAATTGGTTGAACCCAGCAGGTGGAGGCTGCAGTGAGCCGAGATTATGCCATTGCACTCCAGTCTGGGTTACAGAGTGAGACTCCATCTCAGAACAAAAGAAAACAAAACCAAAAACTCTTCATTTCTGGGGGTCTGTACATGGTTAGGATCTTAGGCCAGTGGGTGGGTGGCTCTGATGATAAACATGGAGTGTTATTTCTCTAGTGGCTATTGGCTCAAGCAAGGGGAAGAAAGGAAGCCCAACTTCACTCCCAAATAACCCTCTTGATACATTTATCACTAAGTGACTTAGAAATACAGACAGCATCCACTCTGAGGTTTGATAGGATTGCAGGCACCATTAAAGCTCTTGAAATTCACCCCAAGTTAGAAGAAAGGCAGCTCACAGTTCTTACATCAGTCAGGAAGAGTGTTTCCTGGCTTTGAGAATGAGCCTGGTTTTCTTGCTGGGCATGGCATTGGAGTCAAGAGCAACAATGAAGGTGGCAAATGATGGGGTGGACTGTTTTTCCCAGGGTTTATGGAGTACCATCATTACTTAAGCTATCCCTTATTGCACACTTACTACCCTTATCACAGCACTAGGCTCAGTGCCTTTCATGGTGGGACATCTGCTGTCTTTGGTTTCTTTTTTTCCCTCCTATTGAGGAATACTTCTCCTCTCCATGTGTTTCTGGTGGAGCCATTTATCATAGTACACAGCAAACCTCAGCCATTGGCCACATGACCCGAGCCTGGCCAATCACAGTTCCCCATCTTCCTGGCAACAAGAATGAATTAGTTCAAGAGGTGGGCAGGTGACCTTTGCAGAGGATAGAGGGAATTTATCTGGGATTGCCAAGCAGATGCTGAGATAAAGAAGCATTTTCTTGGCATTGCTAAGCTGGGGCTGCTGTGGCCATGTCCCCAACATGGGGAAGGCCTCTCTGCAGTAGGAGGGAAAGAAGCCAGCATGCAGAAAGGCAGAGACAAGATAAATGCAGAGAAAGAGTCAGTATTTAGTGGCTCAGTATTTGGCCCTCAGTTCCAGATGTGAAGCACTTGTCCCTGCAGTTATTCCTCAGTTTCAGTGGGCTACCTTATTATCCACTGAACCATAGGAACCAATTGATCCCTTGTTATCCCTTCAGCAAGTTGGGTTTCTGTTGCTTACAACCAAAAAATTCAGAAACTTAGAGAATGACCTCAGAATCTAAGATTCACTAAAATCTAACAGTGCAAGGGCAGGCCATATCAGTGCTGTTCACCATTGTATATCTAGTGCTAGGAACAGACCCTGTTCCATAATCGTTTTTCAGGAAATACTTGTTAAATGAATAAATAGTACTTAAGTGTTACATCACAGAATTAGTGTACAAACCCTGATAAGGAGGTGTTACTATCAGAAGTTCCCAATGCTCAAATAAGGGCTCAAGTTCACCCAGCTGGAAAGTGGCAGAGGTTAGTTTCTGACAAGATTCTTAAGCCTGATGCTGTATCACCTCCCAGTCTGACAGCTCCTTTCCAACTGCTCTCCTTAACCGTACTCATGTGGAGAACCAGGGTGATTGCAAAAGCACAGACCTAATTCAATCACCTCCTGCTTTAGTCCTTTACTAGTTGCTATTGGTCTGCTGCAGTCAGTTGCAGAGGCTGGATTGCATCGTGGGGGCATTCCCATATCGTTCACCTTTCCCACTGCCTCCTACTGCCTTGGCCTCACCCTTCAGCCAAGTCCAGCTTCCAGATGGCATTTTCTTGCCCAGTGATTTTTTTCCCCAAAAGTCTAGGAATCTGTTCCAAGTTTCTGGAAGTTATTGGATCCTTAGTTTTAAATCTTTTTCATATGCAAGCAGTTTATTCTCATTAAGAGAAATCCTATCTTCTGCTTGTTTAACTCTGTCAGTTAAATCCGTTAAGTTTATTTGTGTTTGCCCAGTGGTAATTTTTATTGAGGGAACATCTGAAACCATCTGCAGGGAGGAAGTTGAAGAAGCTCTTGGAGTGCCCCAGCTCTGTTACTGATTTTCCTGACATCTTTACCACCCAGAACGGCTCCTTCCATCCACGGGAGGCTGACCACAGGGTTGCTCATCTCTGAGTCCTTTTGAGTTTTGAATTTGGAATAATAGGAACAGCCTTAACTTTTGAGATTTCATATTGTGTGCTTTTTTTGTTGCAAGGGGTTTCAGAGAGAGACAGAGCCCTAAAGAGCTAGGATTAATGATTTCCAGTGCAACATTACTAGGGAGCACAGGCAGAAGGGACAGAGTCCCTGTTTCCTGCTTTCAGATGAAGGGAAAGGATGCATAATTCATCCTTCTGGGAGTGATCATTCCATCCTCTGAGTTCGTATTGCATTTTGTATCTTTACCAGACCCCTGGCACTTCCTCCCTCAGGTCACGTTCATCTGCCTTATTCCCCTACTGGACTCTGAAAGCCTTGAGTGAAGACTTTGTATCATTCATTGTGATGCTGTATCATTCATTGTGATGTGTATCATTCATTGTAATATTGGACCCCCTCGTTTATCCAGTAGAGTGTTTTGAGTATAGAAACTCTTTTTAGTGTTTGGTGAATGGTGAATGAATGAATGAGTGGGTGAATTCATGAATACCATTCCCTGAATATAGCCACTGACTTCCCAGAATGGGTACTGTCATGGCATAACTGAGACAACCACATGTGAATAGCCCTGGGGTTCCAGGGAAATTATTATTGTTGCATTATCATTGCTTCTGTTTTATAAGACTTTTAAACATTTATTTGCTTAACTTCATTTTCTTTAAGGAAAAAAAAAAGATACTCACCTAGCTAATCAAAAGTCTTGCGGCTGGGCGCAGTGGCTCACGCCTGTAATCCCAGCACTTCGGGAGGCCAAGGTGGGTGGATCACCCAAGGTCAGGAGTTCAAGACCAGCCTGGCCAACATGGTGATGCCCCTTCTCTACTAAAAATACAAAAAAATTAGCTGGGTGTAGTGGTGTGTGCCTGTAATCCCAGGTACGTGGGAGGCTGAGGCAGGAGAATCACTTGGATCCAGGAGGTGGAGGTTGCAGTGAGCTGAGGTGCACCACTGCACTCCAGCCTGGGTGACAGCAAGACTCCGTCTCAAAAAAAAAAAAAAAAGTTTCTTGCATTGGTTCTTTCAGTATAAATAGCAATTTCCAAATGATGTAGAACAAAGATAACCATGATCACAAAACCAGGCATCTCAAAAAGACAAACTTTATATTTCAGGGCAAAAAAAAAAAAAAAAAACTCAAACAAAACTTTGCCTGTCAACTCCCCTTGATTCCCATCCAGATTTTTTAGAATCTCATTTTGACTTAAAAGAAGTTTTTAATAGATTGAGCTTTCAACTGTGAACTAGGATATCAAGATAGGTGGTAATCTGTCCATTCCTGGAGGTAGGCAAGTAGAAGTTGGATGACTACCAAAGAGGAAAATAGAACAGGAAATAATGACTAGAATACAGTGAAAAGTCCAGCAACATGATCTAGGAACAGAGAAATGACAAATTCAACTCCACAACTGGTAAATAGAATGAGTAGTGGAAAATAGCAGAAGATTTAGGCTTAGACAGTCCTGAGACTGAATCTTGGCTCTAGTATTGGATAGCTGTGTGACTTGAGGAAGTAACATAACTTCTTTGATTACATGAGATATACATCATAACGAATCTAGCACAGTGCCTGACAGAGAGTATGTTAAACCATGTTAGCCTCTTTTATTTGTGCTTATAAGAGGAGGAAGAGTATAGTAGATTGCAAAATTGACCCCAAATTCCTCCCATCCCTAAAATCGTATGCATTTGCAACATGACGTTAACTCGCCTCTCATCTAGAGGTAGAGTCTCTCCCCTGGGGGCTTTGGGTGCAGTCATTTGAATTGGTCACTGAGGCCTTGGCAAATGTGGCACAAGCAGAGGCTTAGAAAGGACGCTTGGGAACCCTGAAACTGACCATGTGAGCGAGTCTGATCTAGCCTCCTTGATATGGGGAGAGCCAAATGACAGATTCTCCCACTCACTCTAGCCAATATGTGAGTGAGGCCATCCCAGACCTCTCAGCCCCCAGCTGACCCACTACCTGACTGTAGAACTATCTGGTTGACCCAGAGACTCTGGAACAATAACAAAATAATTCTTGTTTTCAGTCACTGGTTTTGGGGTGGTTTGTTATGCAGCAAAAGCTAACTATTACAAGTAGAGTCAAAAAAGTATCTAATTAGAAATAATTGAGATCAACGAGTAAATGGAATTTGCTTTTCAGAAACTCATTGGTTAGGTGACTTTGCCATAATGTAGATATATCTCTTGACACAAGGGCCATCTGTGTGAGTAGAAATGTCTGAAACATAGTTGAATTGTCTGTCAGGCTTTTAGCCAATTTAATCTACAGAAATGCATGTTATGTCCAGAACAATGAATTTTAATGCTTAGGCTGCTAAATGCAAAAAGAAATGTAAGCCATATTTACACAAGTGCTGTGTTCCCTGAAGATCCTGCAGGTCCTCCTGGAGCGGAGGCTGGCTGGGGACATCACTGGTGTTCTTTCTCTAGGAAAGGTGACTGTGATCCCTGGGAAAAGCAAAGAAATATTCAAGCCTTATTTAGAGCCCACTTTAATATTACCTAAAAAGCACGATTCACAGGCTTTGATGTCTTGGCTGAGTAGAAATAACACTTCCCTCATCAAAAAAGTTGTTTGATCCTTGAATTCTGTTTTTTTTTTCTTTTTAGATATTAACTCAGAGCATTTCAGTCTCCCCTGGGTATGAAGTGATGAAAGGGGGCAGTTGATTTAGGGAATAAAGTTATTTAACTTCATTATCTTTGCAGCCCTAAAAGGGGGGCACTGTCCCTTTTCTGTTGGCAATTGCAGGGAATTGCCTGCCACCATCGCCACACAGCCCCTGGACAGTTGTCACATGATCTCACACATGGTAACAGTTCTTCTGTCCTCCAGGACCCTGTGTATTCACATGATGACCAGAGTGATCTTTTAAAATGCTGAACCATGTAATTCCCCTGCTCCAAAATCTGCAATAGCTCCCTATTGCCTAGGCCACAGAGACCCATCTCCTTTCCCTGTTGTCTTTGTTTCTTGCTACAGCAAAATCCCGCAAACTGGGTGGCTTAAACAACAGATAATTCAAGGTCTCACATTCTGGAGTCTGAAACCAGGGTGTCAGCAGAGCTGGATCCAGCTCTGAGGCTGGGAGGATCAATTCTCCATCTCTCTTCTAGTCCTTAGGCATTCCTTGGCTTATAGATGGCAGTCTCCCTATGTTGTCACTTCAGCTTTGTCTATCTCTGTGTCCTTCTCATCATAGGACTCAGTCATATCGGATTAGGGCCTGCCCTAATAACCTCATGTTTTTTTTTTGTTTTTAAGAGACTGGGTCTCACTCTGCAATGGCACGATCATAGCTCACTGCAGCCTTGAACTCCTGGGCTCAAGTGATCCTCCCGCCTCAGTCTCCCAACTAGCTGGGACTACAAGTGTGTACCACAATGCTCAGCTAATTTTAAAAATTTTTTGTAGAGTCAAGGTCTTGCTACGTTGCCCAGGCTGAAGTACAGTGGCCCAATCATAGCTCACTGGAACTCTGAGGCTCAAGCAATCTTCCTGCCTCAGCCTCCCTGTTAATTTTTTTTTTTAATTTATTTTTTGTAAAGACGAAGTCTCCCTATGTTGCCCAGGCTGGTCTCAAATTCCTGGGCTCAAGCAGTCCTCCCACCTCAGCCTCCCAAAGCATGAGATTACAGGCATGAGCCACCACATCCAGTCTAATGTTATTTTAACTTGATGATTTTCAAAGACCCTATTTCCAAATAAGGTCATATTCACAGGTACTGGGGGTGGGGCACAGAACTTCAACATCTTTTGCGGAGGGACACAATTGCGCCCATAGCAACTGTGTCTTAAGGCCCTTCGTAGGCTGAGCCCGCACTCTCCACCCTGGAACAATCCCTGTGCCTTCACAATTCTGGCTCCAACATCATCAGGCATCGTTATTTATGTTTGAGTTCAAATTTCTCTTCCGCAACCTATTAGGTCACTTACCTGCTCTGTGCCTCAATTTCTTCATCTTTAAAATGGGAATAAAAATAATACCCACCCCAGGGCAATTATTTGGAGGGTTAAACGAATTTATGCAAACAAAACCCTCTGAATAGTATCTGGCTCAAAATTGTTCAGTGAAGATTCTTTACTATTATTTTTATGTTTTTTGAAGTTCTCCTTCTTTTCTTCCCATCCAATGAGTCTCACTCTTTTGCTGTCCCCAGATAGGAGGCTGGGGCATCCCCAGGTCACACCGCAAGTCCACAGCATTAAACCCCAGACCTCTTCCCTGAATCCAGCACTGGTTCCACTGCCCTCCACCACCCGCCCTGCCCCAGGCCTCCCCTGAACATTCCGCACGCTGCCCACACTCTTTTTCTTTGGCTCCTTTCTGCGTTCCCAAATGGTTCCAAGGTTGAGCCATGAAAACCTTCCTGTACTTAAAAACCTAGCTTCCAATCTGAGCTAAATGTGCCCTAAGTGTTAGCAGCCGTCGTTCTTTTATGTGTTAATTTGTCACTGGGGATACGGAAGGGATGGGAAAAGCGTGGAGCACTAGAAAATGGTTTGCCTCGGTCTTCATCAGCATCCTAATTATTCCACACCTTTTAAATAGAGGAAGTATTAGCATTCCTAAACTGCGTAGGGGTCTGATTGAAATAATGTCTCCTGAATTACTTTTCCATAAACTGAAAAAATAAATAAATAACAGGGAAGCGCCCCAGACACAGCCTCCTCCTGGGCTTGTGCCTGGCTGGGTCTTAGGGGAGGTGCATGAGAGGAGAGTGGCCGGGCTGTGGCTGCATTTGACCCACTGAGGTCAGGAGATATCTGTTCTCTCTGTTCCTACTCCTCCCATCCTTCCACATTATGCTCTTTCCTCTGGGCCCAGCTCATGTGAACCCTCCTCCTTCAGGAAGCCTTCCTTGACAGCATCCCTTCCTGGTTTCCACCAGTCTTGGCTTTTGGTTCTCTTGAGTGAAACTCCTGTTGCTCTATGCAGGTGGCCCTTCCAACTTGGGTGCTAATAGCTCAAGGACAAAGCCTCTTTGGAACTTTGTCTTGTCCTCTGTGTCACCGCCGGCACAAGCCCTGGCCCCCAGGAAGGTCCTGCTATACAGCTATTTACCTATGTTGGCCAAATGGTAGACAGCCTGAAGTCTCAGTGTGTCACAGCCCCTCCTACTCTCTCCCATTCCAGCCACCTCTCCAGATGACTACTCCAGAGGACTCAGCTAGCATCAGTGAAATGGAGAGTGGAGCTTCAGATACAAGGAACATTTTCCCAATAGCCAGTGGTCTCATCACAGAATGAGCTGCCTTATAAGATACAAGGTTCACCGCCCCTAGGAGCTTCAGAGCAGCAGATGGGAGGCCCTCTGTGTCTCCAACGTCCCATGGCTCCAGGTCCCGTGACACTAGAGTTCCATTCTATATTTCATGTCATTCTTTGCAAAGGAAACACCAGTCCCTTTTATTAGCTCCCAGACCATGCATTAAGAAGGAAATCTGTAGCCACTTTGTTAAAGTTGGTACAAACAGAACATCTCACATTTCAGAGCTGTCACTCCACTGAGAGTCATTCACATAAACAACGAGGTCCTCGTGGGTTTGATGGCAACACAAACACCACTTGTGACTCAATTAAGGAAGCAGTAATTAAAAAGGGGGAACAGCATGCAGTCTCTCCGATCGTATTTTCCCACTGAGGCCTGGGCCGCTGACGGGCAGAATCTAGGGGACTTATGGGGGATCTTTGCTGGGGCCTGTGCCCCTGCTCTGGCCAGAGCTTGCCCAGGGTGAAGTGGGGAGAGAGAGAAGACATGGACACATGGGCCTTGACCTCAGCTAGTGACCCATCTCTCACACCAGCAAGCGGTGTAAGTTAATAAATTTTTTTTTTCTAAATTAACCAAGTGTACCTAAGGAGAAAACCATTGACCCCAGAGATTAGTCACAGTGTCTTGGTTCTCAAATAACCATAGTCAATATCTTTTATTTTTACTATGTTCCAGGCATTAAGTCATAACAACCCCATGACACAGCTACCATTATTAGCTCTATTTTTCCAGATGAGGAAACTGAGGCACAAGCGCAAGGTCTTTCAGCTAAGAAGAGGCAGAGCCTGTATTTAAACACTGACAGACTGGCTCTAAAGCCCACCCTTAAGCACCGTAATTAATTTGCCTCTTACTTTCTGAAATGCTCTTTCCTGGCCCTGGCCCTCCTAATAGTCAGCTTTACCATTTTTTAAACACTTACTGTGTTCCAGAAACTGTGCTGTGTACTTCCTGTGGAGGATCTCATCTTATGAAGTATGTTCTGTAATTATCTCCATTTTACAGGTGGGGAAACTGAGGCTCTTGGAGATTAAGTGCCATTCCTCACCTAGCTAAGTGACAGGGCCTGGAATCAAATCCATATCTGCAACTCCAAATATTCCATCCTGCATTTCTTACTCCCACCTGTGAGTATTGGAAAGCCAAATAGTGGACTAACAGGTATTTTCCATTTGTTTGTTGGTAGGATATCGGTGTGGGAAGAGAGGACACAGTAAGATGCTCCTGTCCTTGAGGGTTGCTATAGACTGATTTATGTTCCCCCACCCCCCACCAAATTCATACTTTGAAGCCCTAATCCCCAATGTGACTGAATTTAGAAATAGGAATTTTAGGAGGTAATTAAGGTCATAAGGGTAGGGCTCTAATGCAGTAGGATTAGTGGCCCTATAAGAAGAGAGAGAGAGAGAGATCTTCATCTCTCTCTTTCTGTCTCCATGTACACCCACCAAAGAAAGACCATGTGAGCACGCAGCCAGAAGGTAGACATGTGCAAGCTAGAAAGAAAGCCCTCATCAGAACCATTCTGGTACCCTGATCTTGATCTTGAACTTCCAGCCTCCAGAAATGTAAGAAAACACATTTCTGTTGTTTAGCAACCCAGTCTATGGTATGCTGTTATGGCAGCGGAGCTGACTAATCCAGGGGTATTTCTGAAGCATTAAGGCCAATGTATGGTGGCAAGCAAGGAATATGGCTGAGCCATCATCCGTTCTATGGTTGGATAGATGGATGCATGAATGGGTGGATGGATGGGTGGATGGGTTGATTGGATGGATGAGAGATGGCTGGTTGTTTCAGTGGGTGGATGGATAGGTAGATGAGTAGATGGGTAAACAGATAAATAGATGAATAGGGAGATGGATGGATAGATGAATAGATGGATGATGGATGATTGAGTGAGTGGATGGATGGACAGGTAGATGGGCAGATGGATGAACAGATAAACAGATGGACAGATGAATGGGTGGATAGATGTGGATGGATGGATGGATGGACGGACAGACAGATGGAAAGCTGGGTATACTTGTTATTCACCCAGAGTTAGGGGCAATGCCCCTGGATCAACACTGCTCTGGGGACTATTCCAAATCCATCTTGGTAGCTTTTCCCACAATTGCCTCTCAATTTTCATGGATGACTGAGAGCATGGAGAAGAGTCTTCATGGGTGTCAAAGAATCTGGATGTTTCTCCATAAGCTGTTGCTCAGATTGCATGATCAGTGGATTAACATCAGTCCCATCCCCACCAGGCAGCTCTGACTAACACAAATACGCAGAACAGCCGCATCCTGAAATTACTCCAATGTATGCTTTCAATTCTACAAATCACATCCCCTGAGTTCAGAGCAGGATGTTGTTTGGGAAGATTAACAGCTGTGGGAATCATGCTGGGGGTTCTGGATCCAGGCTTACCTGAAGGCTTGGCAAATATTCTGTACACCTATTGTGCACTGGTTCTGAGAGGGGTACTGGGGACAGAGGTGAACAGGACCCCATATCACACTGGAGGAGTGCTAAGTCTGGGAGTGATTTATGAAGCCTCCTCCCTCAATCCTCAGAGGCTCAGTAGGCTCATAAATGTCCCTGTTGACCCTCACCTCCCACCCCCACCTCACCTAAGCAAACTGCAGGAAGACAATTCCCTCCTTGCACAGGGAACAGAGCACCAAACAAAGGGGAAGGGAAGGCAGTGTCCAGGAGGACAGCAGACTTCAAAACAAAGAATGCTCAAGGGCCATGTCCAAAGGGCTGAGTAAGAGGAAGAGAAGGAGCAACACTGGATCAGGAAGCTAGAGTAACTTTTAGTTTCTGGGGAGGAGTAGTGTGGGGCAAGGTATTGGTTGGGTAGAGACAAGAAGCTTAAACAGAAGGCAGGGCCCAAAGAAGCAAGCAGGCAGACAGAGTGAGCCACTCTTCAGAGCACCAGAGACGTGGGGCAGGCAGGGAGGACCATTGAGACAGAGAGTGGTAACCACGGCGATTTGCTGAGCACCATGCACCCGGCCACTGTGGCACGCCACACGTGTAAGATGAAGTCCAAAAATGCTGGTAAATCTTTTAGCCCAGTGCCAGGCCCAGGGAAAGAACAATCCTATGGAATGGGCTGTATCTTTCCTCTTTTTTCATTTAAAATAATATATTAAAGGTCAGAGAACTAGAGTTTCAAGCCCTTGGTCCTACCACAAATGGGCCAGAGCCACAATTCCTGCCTAGGTCTGTATGATCCAAGGGCTGTGCCCTTCACCCCTAGTTTTGCTACCTTCCAATTAGAGCTCTGAAACTGACAACATCCACCAACATCTCTGGGTCAACATCAATTTCCTTGTCTGAAAAATGGGTTGTCTAGGGATTCAGGGTTGAAGGAATCAGTGTGACGAAGAAGTATTTGTCAAGTGGGGTGCATTATGCAAGTTTGTGGGGTGTGGCTGCTAGTTAGAGGCAGCGAAGGGAGGAAACAAGGGCAGGAAACATTGGTATAGCTCTTAGTATATGCCAGGCACTGCTCTGAGTACCGTTCATGATATGAACCCATTCAATCCTCACCTCATCCCTAAGAGTGGGGGAACTATGATCATCTTCATTTTACAGGGAACCAGAGGCACAGGGCATTAGGTAACCTTCCCAGTGTCCCACGGCTGCACCCGCAGAACCAGCTCCCACACTTGGCCATCTGCCTCAAGGCCCAAGCTCTTCCCCACTCCAGGCTGCATGGCACAGCAGAAACGCAGGCCTGGTGCCAGATAGGCGGTGAGAAGCCTGGCTCAGCCTAATAGTTCTGTGCCTTTTGCAACTCACTGAAACTCTCTGGGACTATTTATCTCTAAAATGGAGATTTAAATGCAAGCACCCAGCTCACTGGGCCTATCAGGAGGATTTTGGGACGTGATGTAGGCAAAACACTCAGTTCCATGCCTGGCACATGTAAGGGCTAAATGAATGGCAGCAGCTATGATGGTGAGGAGGAGGAGGAAAAAAAAGGAGAAGGAAGAGGAGGAAGAAAAGGAGGAGGTGGAGGAAAAGGAAGAGGGAGAAGAAAAGGAAGCAGAGAAAGAAGAGAAAGAGGAGGAGGGGAACGTGGACACCCACTGCCTACTCAGACTTGTTATTTCCGGCCTCTCCCTTGGCTTAGATGAGCCAATCTGCCATGTCAGCCAAAGGCAAGAAGGGCCCAGTCACCCACAGTTCCCATGCAGGGGGCTTCTCTCCCGCATTTCCCCCTGACAGCCCCTTCCTTGATCCCAGCAGCTCCCAAAGCCCCAAGTATAAGAAGCCCCATAAACAAATCCATTGAAGGCAAGGTCACCCTTTGGGCCTGTAAATCAATAGGCTTTCCATGGCCATTTGCAGAATCAAAGGCATAGTCAGCTCCAGATAATACATCATGCTAGAGAGGCCAGGGGCTGGGAGCTGTCATCTCCACTCCACGAGCAGGAAAATCTATGTCTTCTCTTGGGCCCTGGTGCTAGTGTCACTGAGGGCTGCCCACTTGGTCTCTTGCATGAGCCAGGGTGGGGCAAGTGGCTATAGCTGCTGTAAGCGTGTGTGTGTAGAGAAGAGAGATTTGTTGTGTCGGGTTTTTTGTTTGTTTGTGTTTTTTTCCTAAGAGGCCATCAGCATTCTGGCAGCGTCCTGAGAAATTCATCAAATTATTTAACCTTTGCTGGAATAAATAATACATGTGCTTTCTCAGGATTTATTCTGATTAAGCCGTTCTGGAGTGGTGCCAGGCCTGAGCCAGCCCCAGGAAAGGCAGGAAAGAGGCTGGTGGCACAGGATGGGAAATCAGAGGCCAGCTGAGGGCTGGATGGGAGGGGGCCGATGAGGCTGGAGGGCCCTTGTGGTGGAGATGGACCCCTATAAGCCCCTCCAGGTTGGTGGGTCGTTGAGGAAGAAGATGAGCTCCATCAGCCTCTGTCTCTCCACCTGTAGGCTTTTTGCCTTCCTCTGGACATAAAAAGGGAGGTACAGTGGAGAGAGGGCTGAATTGGGGTTTGAAAATGTGGCTTAGAACTGCGAAGTGACCACCCGCATGTCCAGGAGTCTGAGAACCAAGCGGACCTGGGTTTGAATCCCTGCTCCACTCTGCCATCTGCTTCCATATGCACTTGCCCAGAGGGTGCTTGGGAAGCCCAGGATCTGCCCACAGTGAGTGCTCACCTTGATACTAGGTTGCTAGTATTGAGGTGATACTAGTTTCAAGTGCTTACCTCGATACTAGGTTGCTAGTATCGAGATGCTACTAGGTGATACTAGGTTTCGAGTGTTCACCTCCATACTACATTGGAACATATTAAACTGATAGGTGACCAGCTTTAACCTACAAAAGGACCATTTCATATGACTCAACCTATGTAGGCATGGAGTGATGATAATTAGAAGCACTAACATTGAGAGCTTTCTAGATGCTCTAATCTATATGCTTCCAACAAATAACCTTCTTTAAACTTCAGTCCTACAAGGTCTATACCATTATTTTCATCCTCATTTTATAGGTAGGGAAACTGAGGCCCAGAGAGGTCAGGAGCCTGCTGAAGGTCATCTAGTTGACAGAGGGCTGAGCTGGGATATGAACACAGTCTAGCCTAAGAACTCCTGTCAATGATATACCATGATGTCACTTCTGCTTCACCTTCCCTGGGAGGACATTGTCACTGGAAAAGGCTAGAAAAGGCTCTAGATTTCCAGAGTGGATGGCCTATGTGGAGGGTAAATGATATACAAAGGAGATAAACTGCAAAATCTGAGCCCATCAGTGACATGAAATTTGCAAGAACTTGATTTCAGTGAGAATCTAGATAATTTACAGAGACTTCAAAAGTGGGGAATCAGAGTGTCTGGAACTTTTGCATAGGCAGAGGTGTTGGAGGCTCCCAGAAATGTTCTAGAGAGATCTAGAAGCCAGCCACAGCAATCACATCTCTAGAAAAGGCTCTGGATTTTAGGAAAAGATGCCTCTTTGGCTTGCTGAGCACCAGATATGGAAGCCTGCAAGTCTTAGAGGCCAGTACACAGGACCTAGGACAGAGCTGGTCTAAACGCAGAGGTGAGAGGTGGGGCCCGGGAAGCCGGCCTCACTTTCCTTCCTGGGGCCTCAGTTTCCTCTGCTGCTGAGTTGGTGGGTGGCCTCTCTCCACAGTCCCTCTGAGCTGTACCATCCTGTAATCACCATCCTGCAATCTCCATGCATTTGCACAGCCAAGGAGAGCCGGCAGGGGCTCTGGGGCAAGTCAGCTTGGATCCTAATCCGCTCCATCACTGAGCAGCTGTGTGACCTTGGGCAGGTGACCTGACTCCTCGGCACTCATTTCTTTATCTGCCCCAACAGGGGAGCAGTAATTCCTACCTCTAGGCTAGTAGGTTTGGTTAAACAAGAGGATTCTGTAGAGTGCCTAGCTACGAGAGGGGATGACAGAAGTAGCAGCTGCCGTCTCGATGGCCAGGTAGGCCTGGGCAAGGACAGAGGGAAGAGAGGAGAACAGAAACACCAGAATCCCGGGGAGTGTCCCAGGAGAGGAGACAATGGGGTGCTGGCTAGGACCCCAACTCCCTCCTTCCCCAGGGATTCAAATTTCAAAGCTTCACAGGACAGAAAACCACAGCATTCCTACAAGTGCCAGTGGGCTCTGGGCCCTTGCTCAGGAGCAGAAACCTGGGTTTGGAAAAGATTCTCAATTGCCCAGCGATAACCCCAAATAATCTCTCTTGAAACCACATATCATTTTCCTCTTAAAGAAACGCAATCTCTAATTAGAGTTTCCTCTGAACGTTTTCTCTTTGAAAAAAATTAAAAATGTATAAACCCTCCTGTATCGTGTATGTATATTTCATTGCTGCATAATTGGGATCTTTGTCAGTAACTGGGGTAGCAAGCGACAGCCTTTTAATCGGCTACAGATGCTAATGTAGAGAGAGACATTTTCCTCCTCTTTGCTCAACTGTTCCAGCCAGAGACTAGAGTCCTCCCTAATAAGTATTTATGTCAAAATCTTTTTTGGGGAGTGGGGGGAGAGAGAGCAGCTGTAGCATAGTTGAAAGACGTGGCTCTGATTACAGTCGCCAGCCAAAGGGGGGGGATCACTTTTAGAGTGAAACAGTGTTAATCAAGTTAATCACAAAACCCGTGCTATAATTGCTTCTGCTCTCAGACAAAATTTTACTTTTATCTAAATTACTAAAGTGAGGAGAGAGCAATCCGCTCTAATTTAGCTTTTGAGCTAAGGAGAAAGCGTGTGTGGAAGGCTGGAGAGGTTTTTAAACATCAGGAGAACTCATGCCATGGAATTCAGCTCTCCTCCTCCTTCCCTCCCTCCCTCACTACCTCCTCCCACCCTCCCTTCCTTCCTTTGAGACAGCTTAGTCCGATGGTTGAAAACTTGGACTCCTGGATCTGCCACTTAAGGCTGCGTTAACAAGTTCCTTGGTCTCTCAGTGTCCTCAGTTTCTTCATCAGTGAAATGGGGATGATCTGCCTCAAGATTGTGAGGCAGATTAAACAAATTGACGAGGATGACATACTTGGCGTGTGCTTGGCGTGTGCATGTGCACACACGCATACACACCCCAATACTCAAGAAGTGTTAGTTGGTATTGTTAGCCCTCCATTTTTCCTTCCTCTCTTCCTTCCTTTGCCTCTGCCTCCTCTCCTTCCTCCAACCCCTCTCCCTTTCCCTTCTTTCCCTCCTCTCCTCTCTCTTCTCCTCCTCTCTCTTCCCCTCCTCCTTCTTCTTCTCTCTCCCCTCCTGTCTTCTGACTCCTACCTCCTGTTACTAAGCACTCACTCTGTATGAGGCATGACCTGTCTTCAGAGACTCACAGTCTGGTGCTCAATCAGTTCAAATACAAGCAGGGAATGAGTAAGGCCTCAGGATAACACAAAAAGAGCTATGGGCTTGGACCAGAGAGGACCCCTTCTTCCAGAGGCGACATCCAGAAAGGCTGCATGGAAAATGTGGTTTTGTAGCTGGGCGTTGAATGACACAGCTACAGTGACATAACATAGAGTTATGAGGGTGGGGGGAACTGGGACCAGATAGAAGGACCAGCATGAGCAAAGGTCTGGAGCGGGGAGTAGACAGTTTAGGGATGCTGTGGCAGGGCTGGGTGCCATCGGCTGGGACTCAGTCCTGATGACAGGCCCAAGCTATCATTCCTGCCCTGTGCAGCCCTCAAGTCTCATCCAAGTCAGCTCTGAACATGGGCAGAAGAGAAGTCTTACTTTCCTCAACCTCCAGGAGACCCCGGGTTGGATCTCGCAATGGCCACTCGTTGTGTATGGACACAATCGTGTCATCATCGGCTGTCATACCCCACCTCCCCTCCTCCAGCCTCACTTTCTCCTGCAGCAGAGCCTCTTGAGGTCTTCCAAATTCATGCTTAGTCCAACGAGGAGCGGATGCCATCCAACTTGCCCGGAAACACAGATTAGAGAAAACACACACAGTCAATTTAACTGGCAATTAAACAGGCTCCCCTATGTAATTAGCGTCAAGACAACTCACAATTACTACAGGGTGCACATTCGCAGCCGACGCTCCACATTTATATAGAGCGACAATTACTGGGCGCTAATATCTTAACAGGAAGAGAGGAAATTTGTGAAACCATTTCAAGGAGGCAGCCCATCTTGTCCCTTTGCACTGTAAATAACTCCTTTGTAAATGCAACTGTAAAATTAAAGAGGGAAGGCTTGAAATGATGCAGATGAGAAATATTTACTCTGTTGAAAGTAAGTGATTGCTATTTTGAGATGACTGATTTCAGGAGACTAACTAGTTGTGCCATATTAGTAATAACAAACACACATGCTGAAGGCTTCCCTTGTGCCAGGCCCATTATGGACTTTCTTGCATCTGGGTTTCACGATGACTGTCTCACAGAGACGGGGAACTGAGGTCAGGGAGGTGAAGAAGCTTCCCAAGGTCACACAGCTCACAAGGCAGGCAGCAGGGTATAAACCCGGGTCTGACCCCAAAACCGTCGTGCAAAATCCACCTTGCACATTGCTTCTGTCTGTGCCACCTGAAAGAGCTCTCACGTCCACTCCCAAAGACTAGCAAATGGGGGGAGGCAAAGGCTCAGAGAGGAAGGGGTTTGCCCCAGGTCTTGCAGCAAGTTCATGGCAGAGTGTGGCCAGGATCCCAGGTTGCTCATCATTGGCCCTCTCCTCTGTGCCCTAGAGTATGTACAGAAAATGATGCCTGTGGAAAGCTACCAATGAAGGTCCCTTCTGGTAAGACCATCTGCCCTAGATCTGCCTTGTAGGTCTGAGGTCCTTGTTCCCAGGAAGAGAGAGGCCTGGGGTGGCTTCAGGGTCAATAGATGCCACACAACATAAACAAGCAAAGAGAACATGTGAAACCAGCAAACATTGCACTGGTCACACAGTGAACATTTTCCTTTCTCTCCCCTTCTTTTAACCTTTAGAAATGCCCGCTGCAAGGAATAGCAACCATCCCGTAAATTAGGAACCCAGCAATTAGGAATACTTGGCCAGATATAATATACAAGCTTAGTTCATCAAAGGACTTTAGCAGTAAAATCTACCCACCCCAAAGCCTATGTCAAGTTGGTGAATGTATCAGTTAGCTACTGCTGTGTAACAAACCTCCTAAAAACTCAGGAGCTTAAAAACAATGATGTATTATCCCTTCCCCATCTACTGGTCAGCTGGGGCTTAATCTGGGCTGAGCTTTGCTGGGTGCCCCTTCTTCTTGCTGCAGGTCTGTGACTCAGCAGACAGCTCTGCTCCACGTGTCTCTCAGTCTTCTTGGACCAGCAGGTTGGCTGGGGCACAGTCCTTTCATGGATCTGGTAGAGGCTTAAGAGTGTAAGCAAGGCTGGGCACCGTGGCTCGCCTGAAATCCCAGCACTTTGGGAGGCTGTGGTGGGCAGATCACTGGAGGTTAGGAGTTCAAGACTGGCCCGGCCAACACGGTGAAACCCCGTCTCTACTAAAAATACAAAAACTAGCCAGGTGTGGTGGTGCACCCCTGTAATCCCAGCTACTTGGGAGGCTGAGGCAGGAGAATCACTTGAACCTGGGCGGCAGAGGTTGCAGTGAGCCGAGATCATGCCACTGCACTTCAGCCTGGGCAATGGAGCGAGACTCTGTCTCAAAAAAAAAAAAAAAGTATAAGCAGAAACATGCAAAAAAGGCCTGGGCTTGGGTCTGTCACTTCTGTCCACATGCCATTTGCCAAGTCACATGGCCAAGCCCAAGTCATATGGCAAGTGTGTGTATGCAGGGAGGGTTAAGAATTGGGAGACAAGGGCATTCAATTTACCGCAGTGGAATAAAACAGCAATGAAGTCATTTTCTTGTTTGAAAAAATCAGTATTTGATGGAGAAGGAGCTAGCAGCTGGGAAGATATGACTTAAAGTTTTAATGTATTACTCTGTAAAATGCAGATAATCACAAATAGCTCACAGGGCTGTTGTGAGGTTTAAATGAAATAATCCATCTAATTTACCCAGCACCAACCATGCCTGACAAGTCACAGGCACTCAATGACCACCCATCCCTAAGGCGACCGACTTGTGCCAGTTTACCCAGGACTGTCCATCCTGGGAACCCCCTCAGTCCCAGGCAAACCAAGACAGTTGGTCACCCTAACTATCCTCATCACTAAAATAATACGTGTGAGCTAATCTTTATTTGCCAGGCATACTGCCACGTATGTGGGGAAGATTCTCTCATTTACCCCTTACAACCACCGTACTCAGCAAGGGGCCACAATTTTGATGCTACTGCCTACAGAACTCAGGGAGCACCAGAGAACATGGAGGTCAAAGATAGAGTTTTTCATGGATTCTTCCCTCAAGGGGCTGACAATCTAGGAAGAAAGAAACAGATGAATAGTAACAAGCATCACACAAGGGAGAAAGTGATTCTGGCAGATCCATCTTCCTCAAGGATAGTAAGGTGGGGATTTTAAAAAATTAACATTCACGTTCCTTTATAACTACTTTTTTTTTTTTTGAGACAGGGTCTCACTCTGTCACCCAAGCTGGAGTGCAGTGGCATGATCGTGGCTCATTGCAGCCTCAACCTCCTGGGCTCAAGTGATCTGCCCACTTCAGCCTCCCAAGTAGCTGGGAGCACAGACGTGCACCACCACGGGCCCAGCCTGTAGCTACTTGCCTTGATAGCCAAGGTTGAGTTTGGCTGTGGAAATTTAGGGAAAATTATATCTGACAATGATTTCCTTGACAAAATGAATTTGACTTAGTTCTCCCATTGGGGAGTCTTGTTCTAAATCTATTTGTTTACAAATTGGAAATCCTTTAAGTCACCCGAGGGCTGGTGGAGGCTGTTCAGCCCCTTTACTCCCGGCAGCCCTGGGGATGAAGAAGAATCTGTTCTCGGGGTGCTCTGGGTGATGTCAGCATTCCCCCACTTGCTAAGAAAGGTATACGAAATCAAACTTATCAGTTCCACTCGTCACCTCTCTCCTCGCGGCTGGGCCCTTCACTTTTACGTTTTCATTGTTTTAAAAAGTCATAGACAAAGCATTATATTACCAGGAACACAACACACGCATGCAGCGTTACCCGGTGAAGCCAATTTTATACTCAGCCCTGATGTCTTCTGGAAGGGCCAAGCCCACAAAGGGCATTGAGGCACCTTGGGTGGACTGTGGTTTCTGAGAAGATCCAAAGGTGGACTTGGGCATTTAATGCCTCATGACCTTCAGCTGCGGAAACCAGAGGGCTCATCTGGCCAGGTTTCCACTCACCTTCCCTTCATTTCAGTTCGATAGTGAGTGTTCACTTTCTGGTCTTACTGGCCAAACTCAGGCTCCTTCTCAGAGCCTGCGAGTTCATTTGTCATTCACCCAGGTTTCATGGAGGGCTCTTGGGACCAGGAGGCCTACACTCAGCTGCACAGATAAACAGGTCAGTGTTGGAGACACGCAGCCCGACACGTGTATAAACAGCGAGGCAATGTCAGCCTTGAGAGGTCCAAAGAGCGGGCTGCAAAATGTGTGATGAGGGCAGGAAGGAAGGGGGCAGGGACTCAAGGGAGGCTTCTCAGAGGCGGCAGTATTGGGGCTGAGCCCAGCACATCTGCAGTCCCTCCTCCGTGAAAAGAAAATTAGGTTTTCAATCCCTGGCCTGCTTCTTATGGTCGGGGGCTTTAAGCAAGTCGTCTAAGCTTTCTGGACTCAGTTTCTACATCTGCAGAATGGAGAATGATGATTGTACCTAACTCGTGAAGGCGTCATGAGAATTAAATAAGACAACGTGTATCATGCACTCAGAACACGCAGTCGTTTATTTAACAAGTACTTACTAAGCACTGATTTGATGCCAGGCAGTGTTCTGGGCAACGCAGAACACAGAGGCAGACCCAGGCCCCACAGTGACTTCACAGGACCCGGAACATGGGTATGGGACGATTAAACGGGAGTTGTCATCATTATCATCGCACCTGCCTTAACCCAATGGGTCAAAACAGGGCCCAGAAGCAACACCACCCAGGTGGCCCCAGATCCCCAAACTCCCTCTGCCCTCAACTAGGAGGCACTGAATTAAAACTTTAACCAACACGTGCATAACAATAGCGAGGCAATATCAGCCTTGAGAGGTCTCATCTTCAAAACAAGAATGAGGGAATTAAGCTTTCTGAAAGCAGGAAGTTAGCCCAGCTTTTAGATGCAAAAAACAAATGTCAGGCTCCAGTTTGGAGAGAAGTCTTGGGACTGGAGGACCCTATCGTTCACCCCAGTTTCCACCTTCACGGTAAATATGTCGCCACCAACCTTGTAATGTTGGTAGTGATGGCCACTGGCAGCTGAATGTTCACAGCGTGCCAGGTGCTTACCTGGTCTGGCTTTAGCCCTCTACAACCTGTGAAATGCCCCCAGGGAGGTACTTTATATCAAGGCTCTCAAACGTTGGCAGGCATCAGACTCACCAGGAGGGTTTGGGAAACACCCCTAAGGTGTTTCAGTAGATCTGAGGTGGGGTCTGAGGTGGGGTCTGAGAATCTGCATTTGCAACAAGTTCCCAGGCAATACTGATGTTGCTGGTTCAGGGACCACTGGCTTAGAACTTTAACCCCATTTTACAGGTGAGGAAACTGAGGCTCCGCGAGGTAAAGTGACTAGTGCATTCACACAGCTAGAAAGGAGCAGGGCCTGTGGTGTGATCGACTGACCTGGTTTGCTTGGGACGGAGGGATTTCTGGGGACATGGGACTTTCAGTGCTAAAACCAGGACAGTCCCAGATAAACCAGGGCAGTTGGTCACCCTATTTTCAACCCAGGCCTGAGTGACTCCATTGCCGTGTCTAGAGGCACTTCAGAGTTTACAAAGGGCCTTTACATCCATTAATACTGTTGCTATTATTATTAATAGCCACTATTTATTAAAAGTGAATTATATATTCTAAGTGCTTTACATCCAAGATCACTCTGAATTCTCATAACACCCCTAAGAACTAGGAGTTATGTTTTCCATGTTGCAGTGGTAAACTGGGGCATAGAACAGGGTGATTTTTCCAGGTCACATGGCTACTAAGTGGCAGAGATGAGATTGAATGCTAGGCTCTGCCTTGTCTCTGCACGGGGCCTCCCAGTAGAAAGGTGAGCCTGAGGGACTGGGTGTGGAATGCAGTGTGGTGGTTCCCAGCCTTGGTTCTAGAACCAGAGTGTTCAAATCCCAGCTCTGATGCTTGCTGGTGGTACAATCATGGGTAAGTCACTCCAGGGGTTCAGTGTCCCCTACTTTAAAATGGAGATCATAATAACAGTGGCCTTGTTATTGTTGGAGTGAATGTGTACTATGGGCCAGAGTATCGTTGAAGGGTTAAGTGGGTTAATGCCAGAGGGAGTGCACAGAACAGGGCGTAGCACTGAAGGCTCAGTAAGTGTCTCCAGTCTGCCAGCCCACCCTGCAGACTTGGGACTTCCCAGCCTCCACAATTGATTAAAATCTCTCTTTCTCTCTGTCTCTGTCTATATGTGCTGTATCTTTATCTATCTGTCTATCTATTTACCTATCTATCTATCTATTTTTCTATCTATCTAGTCTGTCTATCATCTATCATCTATCTAATCTATCATCTATCCACCTATCTAGTCTGTCTGTCTAATCTATCCTCTATGTATTTATCATCTATCTAGTCTGTCTGTCTAATCTATCTATCTATCTAGTCGTCTGTCTAATCTAACATCTACCTATCTAGTCTGTCTAATCTATCGTCTATCTACCTAGTCATCTGTCTAATCTATCATCAATCTATCATCTATCTAGTCTGTTATCTGTTATTGTCTGTTATAGATTATTATCATAATCTATCATCAATCTATCATCTAATTTATCATCTATCCACCTATCTAGTCTGTCTAATCTATCATCTCTCTATTTATCATCTATCTATCTAGTCTGTCTGTCTAATTTATCTGTTATCTATCTAGTCATCTGTCTAATCTACCATCAATCTATCATCTATCTAATCTATCATTTATCTAGTCTGTCTGTCTATCTATCTATCTATCTGTCTATCTATCTATCTATCTATCTATCTTTCATCTCTCTCTCTCTCTCTCTCTCTCTCCTGTTGGTTCAGTTTCTCTAGAGAGCCCTGACTGATATACCCACCACCTCTCAGCAGCTCCCAGTCCTTATCTGAAAGATGAGGATGACTGCAGGATAGACCCCTATCCTGGTTTCTTCCAAAAACCTGTGGATGTATGTGAAACTCGGGCCAGAATTAGAAAGCCAAAGTCAGTCTGGGACATCCTTGGATTTCAGGAGCTCCATGAACTGTCTGAAATTTTATGTAACACTCTCATTTATTCATTCAAGAAATCATTATTGCTTGTCTCCTTGGGACCAGGCATTGTGCCAGATGCTGGGGATGCAGAGGGGAATGATTCAGAATGGGATGGTCAAGAAACAAGACAATCAGCAAGTGGCAACCAACAAATAGACAGTGACCCCTCGTGCCAAGCGTAGGTGGGAAGAGGACGAGAGCCGACAGGAAGGCCCTCAGCTCTAGACAGACTTCTGAGCTGGGGCCTGACAAAGGAGGGGGCACCAGCCAGCCCAGGAGGGAATGGGGTGGTGTGGAGGGAACAGCAGGATGTGCAAGGGCACTGCGTCAGGAAGGAGTTCAGAGAGACAGAGAAAAGACAGTCCAGGGTGGTGGGAAGGGAAGTGTGAGGCAGGGAGGAGACCGGAGAGCTAGGCTGGACTTGATCACAGGACTTGGGATTTTATCCCCAGGCCAATGGGAGCCATTGAAGGGTTTTGAGCAGGGGTGACGTGGTCCATTTGAGAGTTGCTCTTTGACTCCAGTGTGCCTGGATGTCCCTGGTGGGGGAGCGGGGTCCATGGAGAATGGTTCCTGGGTGCCTGCCTTCCTTTCAGCCAACTCTCCCAGGTATTCTGGGGTGGGAGAGACAGGTATCCCCTAGTGGACGAAGGAGGTGCCGCTGGAGAGTGATCAGGTAGGTTGAGAGTTTTGGGGAAACTGGGGCCCCCAGTTCCTCCCCTGCTTCCCACCGCATCCCATTGTCGTTTGACCGGGCTCAGGAATTCAATTGTGGCATCAGGTGAGGTATAGTGAATGATTGTAATGAAAGGTTTGTCAATGTTTCCACTGGAAAGGCAATTTTCCCACGTCGTCTGTTTTGTATTTTTTTCCCCCTCTTTCTTTCCTGGGTATAAAGGAGCCTGGTCAGGACTACTGATTGTGCATGCGAGACAGGTCTTGAGGTCGTTATGCAAGTGTTAATGTTCAGTTACAATATACAGTAATGAATTGGGACTTTCGGAGTAATAGCAGTCTGTGCTATTGGCAACAATGAGTGTATTCATCTTAATTTTTAACATCTATTGCCTTGGAGAAGCTTTTATAATTAAATGTTTGGTTGCACCAGCAAATAAGAGGAAGGAAGTTTCCTTCCATGGAAAGGAAAAGCCTTCCTATATTCATCCAGCAACAATTCTGGCCCTGAAAACACAGGCAGTTACTATTGCTTTACCCACAGATGTAGTGAGAGTCAGATTTCAGTCCATTACAAAGAGGAACAGAGGCGTTTTAGGATGATTACAATAATCTGGCGATAGACCAAACTCCTTTTTGAGGTAGTGAGTTCCCCATTGCTGGTGGTATTCAAGTGTAGCCTATGAACTGATAAGCTGTAGAGGGGATTCTTGCATTAGAGAAGCGTTTTGTTTTTGTTTTGTTTTGTTTTGTTTTTTGAGTCAGAATCTTGCTCTGTTGCCCAGGCTGGAGTACAGTGGCACGATCTCGGCTGACTGCAATCTCTGCCTTCTGGGTTCAAGCGATTCTCATTCCTGATATATCTTCCCAAGTAGCTGAGACCACAGGCATGCACCACCACGTCTGGCTAAGTTTTTGTCTTTTAGTAGAGATGGGGTTTTGTTATGTTGATTAGGCTGGTCTTGAACTCCTGGCCTCAAGTGATCCGCCTGCCTCTGCCTCTCAAAGTGTGGGAATTACAGGTGCGAGCCATGACGCTCAGCCTCGAGAAGGGTTTCTTATTGTCAGGGTGTGGGGTTTTGTGGATGAGACCCACAGAAACATCTTTTAGCATGAGCTGCAAGGAAGGTTCTATGGGGAATTTTTCACCAATTTACAGGACTTTAGTGGCACCTGCCTGGTGACAATAATGTGCTCCTCTTAGGTGACTCATTCATTCTGTTCTTTTCCAGTTGTTAATTCCTGCAGGCCTGGCAATATGATGTTTTCTGAGTCATTGTATATATTTCAGGGTAATAAAGCTAAATCTTCTTTAACCTAATTCTAAACTTCAGGCTTGTTGCTCTTCTGATCAGCCTTCTCAAGCTCCGTGAGGTTTGGCAGCAATTTTCCTGTGTTTCAAAGAAGAGCCTCCAGAGAGAGCGCAAAGGGGCATGGACCAGAGAGTTAAGAAGGACTCAGTGCAGGATGTTCCCTCTTCATTTACTGCACAGGGACCTCACCTCTGGAGTGGCATCTCCACCTCCTTCTATATGTCAGCAGCCAACTTCGAGCCAATGTTGTATTGTTTTAGAACTACTGCAGGGATTTCTGGAATTCTTCATGCAAACTTCAGGACTATCAGTCACTCCCTGGCTGCATGAATGAACTGCGGAAAAAAGTGGGTTTCAGTTTTTAGAAAAGCCCCAAGCTAGGCCAGGCATGGTGGCTCACGTCTGTAATCCCAGCACTTTGGGAGGCAGAGGCAGAGGATCACTTGAGCCCAGGAGTTCAAGACCAGCCTGGGCAACACAGGGAGACCCCATCTCTATTTTTTTTAAGTTATCTAGACATAATGGCCTGCACCTATAATCCCAGCTACTCAGGAGGCTGAGGTAGGAAGATGGCTTGAGCTGGGGAGGTCAAGGCTGCAGTGAGCTGTGATTGTCCCACCGAACTCGAGCTTGGGTGACACAGCGAGATCCTGTCTCATTTGAAAAAGAAAAAAGAAAAGCAAAGCCCCATGCTGACCTTTGTGCAAGGGGTCACAGTGCCATTCTAGGCTTAGAGGGCCTTCATCCAACATATGCCCACAGAGGGCCACAGCTGGGAGAGCCCAAGCTGGTGAACAAGGAAGATGCAGGCCCTGTCCTTGTGGTGAGTCTATTTGCTTCCCTGTCTTTCTCCTGCTAGACTGTGGCTTCTCTCTTCCACTCTTCATGCCCTATGCTGCCCAGCTCAGTGCCTGGCACTCAGAAGCATCAGTGAAATGTTTGTGAAATGAATGAATGAATGAATGACAACCACTCCCCTTTGCCTCCTGAAATCAGCGAAAACAGAGCCTTCAATCCCTTTCTTCTCCTCTCCCTCCCTCGTTTAAGAGCATCTAGCTGGGCGCGGTGGCTCACGCCTGTAATCCCAGCACTTTGGGAGGCCGAGGTGGGTGGATCACGAGGTCAGGAGTTCAAGATCAGCCTGACCAACATGGTGGAACCCCTTCTCTACTAAAAATACAAAACCTAGGTGGGTGTGGTGGTGCACACCTGTAGTCTCAGCTACTCAGGAGGCTGAGGCAGAAGAATCTCTTGAGCCTGGGAGGCAGAGCCTGCAGCAAGCCGAGATCGTGCCACTGCTCTCTAGCCTGGGCTACAGAGCAAGACTCTGTCTCAGACAAAAAAAAAAGCATCTAATTGCACTGAACCATAATTATCTGGTGTGCTTGCCACACTTTCCAGCTGATAAGGCCCTTTTTTCATCATCTCATCTGACCTGTCCATTGCAAGGTTTAGGAAACACAGAGTCTCTGGAGCAGTAGGTAATAGAGAGAGGACCCCAATTCTGGTCCTCCAATCCCCAGACAGAGCCACTGGCAACTATGCATTTCCAAGTCCTGCCACTTCTAAGACCCTATCCTCAGAAAACAGCAGCTGTGGAGGGGCCCACTCCTCACTTCCGTCTCACGCAGACCACCCACGCTTTGGCCCCTGCCTTCCCCTTCTGATGTCCTCGTAACTGCCCCAGGACTTGTTCTGTAAGGGGCTTTTCCTTGGCAGGCAATTACCTGAGTTCATATGGTTAATTGAAATATTCCTTTTCCTAGAGTTTTAATTCATCCAGCGTAGTTTCAGGAGCCACAGATAATAAGACCTAATTTATAATTAGGGCTTATCAAGAATCAGCTAATTTCTAGACCCCTGATTCCCAAGGAGGGAGTGTAGAGTGGGGGCCTCTCTTCCCTTTCCAGGGAGTTGCTATCCACAAAGCTCAAAGAGGCACCAGGGAGGAAAGAGAACTAATTGGTAGCTGGCCCTCCATCTTGGACAATTTATTAATTGGATTATGGGAAGTCTCAGGCCCCAGGCAAATCCCAAAGAGGCGCTGCTGCCTCCCCTGGTTTACTATGAGAATATTAGACACAAAGACACGAGACCTGGGTTCCACGCAGTCTTTCAGGAGCTAGGGATCTTTAAATAAGTCACTGAACACTGCCTTGCCTCAGTTTCCCCAGCTATACAATGACCAGGATCATCCCTGCCCTGCTGGGCTCTCAGAGATCTCCTGGGAATTACACAGATGACTGGGCAAGTACATTTCAGGAGCTGTCATGATTATTTTAGGGCCTGTGTGCCTGGAATGGGCCCAAAACACAGCCAGAAAAAGGTGTCCCAACCCAGGAAACAAGGTCTCAGAGAGACTGAGACTGGCCAAGACCCACAGGCAGTAAGAGTTGGGGGTCCGCCTTTGACCTCAGTTGGCCTTGTACCCGGTTTCCTGATCTTTCCTTACATCTGCAGATCTTTGGGGTCTTAGACCCAGTCTCCCTATTGCTTACCTGCTGCAAGCTTCACTTATCCCCTGAAGCCTCTCAAACATCCACCCAGCCAGTGCGAGTACAAGAAAGGGGTCATGCAGGGACCGTGGAGTGAGGACAACTTTGGAATCACATAGGCCTGATTTAAAACTCACACTCTGCCCTTTACTAGCTGTATACATCAGGATTCTTTGGGTTTCATGGGACAGAAACCCAGTTCTAATAACCTTAAGCTAAAGAGAAATATTAGCTAATGTATCCGGAAACTCTAGAGTTACTAGCTTTAGGTAGGGCTGGATCCAGGTGCTCAATGATGGTGACAGACCCCTCTTTCTTGCTTCAGCTCTTATTGTGATTTTTTTCTATGTTTACTTCATTCTTTTTTTTTTTTTTTTTTTGAGATGGATTCTCACTCTGTTGCCCAGGCTGGAGTGCAGTGGTGCCATCTTGGCTCACTGCAACCTCCACCTCCCATGTTCAAGTGATTCTTCTGCCTCAGCCTCCCATGTAGCTGGGATTACAGGCGCCCACCAACACACCCAGCTAATTTTTCGTATTTTTAGTAGAGATGGGGTTTCACCACGTTGGCCAGGCTGGTATCAAACTCCTGACCTCAGGTGACCTGCCCACCTTGGCCTCCCAAAGTGCTGGGATTACAGGCATGAGCCGCTGCGCCCAGCCGACTTCTTTCTATAGCAGGATTTCACCAGTGGTGGGAAAAGATGGTGGTACCTCATCCCTGGGGTGAGGGAGAGAAGGCGGAATAAGCTCACTACATAGACTGAGCAGGATTCCCTTGCAGCTGAGAAGAGTGGTTCTGCAAAGAAAGGGAGATTGGCAGGACAAAAAGCCAGGTCATCCCAAGCTAATCACGCACGCTGTGTGATCCTCTGTCTTCCTATCTTTACAACAGGATCGAAAACCATATTGCAGAATAAAAGAGTAATATATCAAAGTCTATTGTATTTCCATACACTAGCAATAAACAATCTGAGAACAAATTAAGAAAAACAATTCAATGTATAATAGCTTCAAAAGGAATAAAATACTTAGAAATAAATTTAACAAAAGAAGTGCAACACTTGCACACAAAAGCTACAAAACATTGTTGAAACAAATTAAAGACCTAAATAAATATAAAGACAACCTGTGTTCATGGAAGATTTCACATTGTTAAGAAGGCAGGACTCATCAGATTGCTCTATGATTGCTTTTTGTCCTGCTCTACATATTCAGTGCCATCCATGCAAAATTCCAAATTATTTTCTTCAGAAATGGATAAGCTGATCCTAAAATTCACATGGAAGTACAAGGGACCAAGAATAGCCAAAACAATCTTGAAAAACAAAATTGGAGAACTCACACTTTCTGATTTCAAAACTTTCTCAAAACTACAGTGATCAAGACAGTGTGATACTGGCCTAGGATAGACATAGGGTCAATGGCACTGACTTGAGAGTACAGAACTAAACCCATATATCTATGGTCAACTGATTTTCAACAAGGATGCTGAGACAATTAAATAGGGAGAGAATAGTTTTTTGAATATATGGCACTGCAACAATTGGCCATCCACATGTGAAAGAAGGAAGTTGGACCCTTACCTCACAAATTAGTTAAAAATTAACTGAAAAAGGATCGTAGATCTTCTAGCGAAAACTATAAAACTCTTAAAAGGGGCTGGGTGCAGTGGCTCATGCTTGTAGTCCCAGCAATTTGGGAGGCCAAGGCAGGGGGATCACGAGGTCAGGAGATGGAGACCATCCTGGCCAACACGGTGAAACCCTGTCTCTACTAAAAATACAAAAAAAAATTAGCTGGGTGTGGTGGTGCACACCTGTAGTCCCAGTTACTCGGGAGGCTGAGGCAGGAGAATCACTTGAACCCAGAAGGCGGAGGTTGGACTAGGCAATGGGTTTCTTAGATATGGCACCAAAACATAAGTGACCAAAAAGTGGGTAAATTGAACTTCATCAAACATTAAAAACATTTAGTTTTTTGAAACTTCTAATTTTTACTTAAAAGGGCACTATCAAGAAAGTAATAAAGAGAATGGGAGAAAATATTTACAAATCATATATCTGATAAGAGACTTTTATACAGAATATATAAAGAAATATTACAATTCAATCAAAAAACAAATAATTAAAAATTGGATTTATAATCAAATATCAAAAGATTTAAATGTGCATTTCTCCATGGAAGATATACAAATGACTGATAAGTACGTGAAAAGACATTCATCATTAATCACTCAGGAAATGCAAATCAAAACCACAAGGAGATAGCACTTCATGTCCACTAGGATGGCCATAGTCCAGAAGATGGTCATTAACAGGCATTGGCAAAGACGTGAAGAAATTGGAAGCTTCATTGGTTGCCGGTAGGTACAATGTCGCAGTCACTTTGGAAAACGGTATCACAGTTCTTCAAAAGGCTATGCATAGAGTTACTACATAACCCAGCAATTCCACTCCCCATTTCAAAAGAATTTAAACCATATGTGTACACAAAAACATCTCCATAAATGTTCATAACAGCGCTGTTCATAATAGACAAAAAAAAAAAAAAAAAAAGGAAAACCTCAAATGTCCATCGACTGATCATTGGATAAAGCAAGACGTATTTTATCCACATGATTGAATACTATTCAGCCATAAAATGCAATAAAGTACTGATCACATGCTACGACACGGATACACCTTGAAAACATCATGTTATATGAAAGAAACCAGTCACGAAAGGCCACATATTATACGATTCCATTTATATGCAATGTCTAGATTTGAAATCTCTATATAGACAGAAAGTGGATTAGCGGTAGCCAGGGGTTGGGAGAATGGGGAATTGGGAGTGACTGTTCAGGTATGTAAAGTTTCTTCATGGGTGATGAAAATATCCTGAAATTAGATAATGGTATGATTGCACAACTTGGTGACTATACAGGCCAGGCACTGTGGCTCGTGTCTGCAGTCCCAATTCTTTGGGAGGGCAAGGCAGGAGGATGGCTTGAGGCCAGGAGTTCAAGACCAGCATGGGCAACATAGCAAGACTCCATCTCTACAAAAAAATACAAAAAAAAAAAAAAAAAAAGCCGGGTGTGGTGGCACATACCTATAGTCCTAGCTACTCAGGAGGCTGAGGCAGGAGGATCACTTGACCCCAGGAGTTTGAGGTTACAGTGAGCTATGATTGTGCCACTGCACTCCAGCCTGGGTGACAGAGCAAGACCCGTCTCTAAAAAAAAAAAAAACAAAAACAAAACTTAGTGAATATGAGACAGGAATGGCACTAGATAGTCACAGGAGGGTGTAAAAACCCAGACAACAGCTAAAACAGGAACTAGGCAAAGAAACCACAGGATAACAGAAAACACAAAATAAAGGAGAGAAAATGGGCATAACTCTTCTGGGCAAACCCAAATAAGGGAGAAACGGAGAGGAAAACGGGGTTCCTGACATTCCCTTGTTTTCTAGAATACCTAATAATTATTCCATCCTCTAATTAAAGAAACACCCATAAAATTAAAAAACCCAACGCCATTGCTCATGACTTGTTCTCACACGTCCACCTGCACTTCTCTCTTAAGTGTGTACTTTCCCTTTGCAATAAAAGCTTCTTGCCTTTCGATTCATTCTGACTTATCCCTGAAATTTTTCTCGACACTAGCGGAGGCTGGGGTCTCACTGGCATTCAGGGACCCTCCTGAGCCCTCCGGAAACAAATATACTAAAACCACTGACTTATACACTTTAAAAAGGTGAATTGATGGTATGTGCATTATATCTCAATAAGGCTCTTATTTTTTATTTATTTATTTATTTTTTTGAGAAGGAGTTTTGCTCTTGTTGCCCAGGCTGGAGTGCAATGGCGCAATCTCGGCTCACTGCAACCTCCGCCTCCTGGGTTCAAGTGATTCTTCTGCCTCAGCCTCCCGAGTAGCTGGGATTACAGGCATGCGCCACCACGCCCGGTTGATTATTTTTAGTAGAAGCGGGGTTTCTCCATGTTGGTCAGGCTGGTCTCGAACTCCCAACCTCAGGTGATCTGCCTGCCTCAGCCTCCCAAAGTGCTGGGATTACAGGCGTGAGCCACTGCGCCTGGCAAGGCTCTTATTTTTTAAAGTAGTGTCAAACACCTACCACACAGAGTCATTGTGGGGCTGATGTGAATTACTTCGTCTAAAGCCCCTGGCACAGTTTGAGGCACACAGTAAGTACTGAGTAAGTCTTAGTTTTCTTTCCTTTCCAAATAAAAACTCCCTAACTCCCCTGCCTCTCCTCCACCATCACCAACCCTTTTTCAGCAATTCCACCCTGGTTTCTAAGGCAGAACTTTGAGGCATTCCATAAAGAAGGCTGTGCTGCACTTGGCTACCCACAGAGCAGCCAGGGTCATTCTTAAGATGGCTAGTCTGGTCTTCCTAATATTAATAAGATATTCATTTCCCTAAGAATGCATCAACCTCTGTAGCCATCCTGGAAACATGGGAGGGGGCTAATGCAGCTCTATTAATCCAAGCAGGCCTCACATCCACTTTGATTCAAAGGCTTCATTCTGATCAGTTTCCACAAAAGGGATGGTTTATTAGTCGGTGATGACAGGTGAAGTGAACTCAGGTACTGAGCGTTTGGCTAAGGATGACAACGAGGCTATTTTAAGTCATTGAAGTTCAAGGGTATCTGTCTCAGCGCCTTTGTTTAAATTGATTTGCAGTCCTGATCGCTTGACCTTGCTGCATAAAATAGTTTCTAAGGGGAAAAATATAAGAGCGCAATTCTAACCAAGGGAACAGATGTGTCCCAGCTTGCCCACCCTGCCTCACACCAGCCAAACCTACCCACCCCGCTGACCTTGAATGTGGGTGCGGATGGTGACATGGTCATCATGCAGCAGGAACAGGAAGGAGCAGAGAATGGCCCAGCAGAATGCTCCAGCCATCTGAGTGGGGAAGGCCCAGAAAAGGGGAGGATTGCCCAAGGTTGGGAAATGAATCAGTGACAAAATTAGGATTTTAATCCAGGTCGGTGCAACTCAGACTTCTCCTCTCAATTCCTATTTAAAAAAATGTTTAATATTTATTAAGTGCTTACCACGTTCCAGGCACTCTCTAATGCTTTATGTATATTAGCCCATTTAATTTATACAACAGCCAACAAGAAACAATTATGGATGTTTTTGTTTTACAGATGAAGAAACAGAGAATCCCCATTTTATAGGCAGCTTATTGGGGTGTCCAACCGTTTGGCTTTCCTGGGCCACACTGGAAGAAGAAGAATTGTCTTGGGCCACAGATAAAATACACTAACCCTAACGATAACTGATGAGCTGAAAAAAAAATCACAAAAATATCTCATAATGTTTTAAGAAAGTTTATGAATTTGTGTTGGGCTGCATTCAGAGCCGTCCTGGGCCATGTGCAGCCTGTGGGCCGGGGGTTGGACAAGCTTGGCTTAAGTAATTTGCCCAAGGTCACAGGGCGAGTAAGATGGCAGAGATGGAATTTGAACCCCTTGGAGTAGGACACTACAACCAGCCTCTCAGCCACCACCCATTCCATCTCTATTTGTTTATTGCTTTGTGAAAGAAAACAGGTCTAAGCAAGGGTCTTGCCAGATCTAAGCAAGACAGTTTGGCTGTCTACATGGACCAAGTTAGCCTGGTTATTGTCACATCCCCCAAGCACTTCATAATGGTCATATAATATTTACTTATTTTTTTTTAGATGGAGTTTCACTCTTTTTGCCCAGGCTGGAGCGCAGTGGCATGATCTTGGCTCACTGCAGCCTCCACCTCCTGAGTAGTTGTGATTACAGGTATGTGCCACCACACCCAGCTAATTTTGTATTTTTAGTAGAGCTGGGATTTCACCATGTTGGTCAGGCTGGTCTCGAACTCCTGACTTCAGGTGATCCGCTGGCCTCAGCCTCCCAAAGTGCTGGGATTACACGCTTGAGCCACTGCTCCTAGCCACATCATTTCTCGAAATCAGTCCTCTACCTAGGTCTTCTGGAGTGCCCGAAGCAGCACTGATTAACCAGTAAGAAACGTGCTGCACCTGACAGTATTTCTTGGCGACATCCAAACAAGCTACCCCACCCCACTTCCCTCTGACCAGTCTAAGATGTGCATCTCCAATCCACTCTTTCAGCCTTTAGCCTGCTGGAGGTAAAGCCTGTGGCTAAATCCAGCCTGCTGGGGATTGCTACTTGTAATGGGCAGAAGGAGCACTGGATTGGGAATCTGGGCATCCATGTGAAAATCCTGTGTGTCCTTGAGTGAGTGGCTTAACCTCTCTGGCCCTCAATTTTCTCATATGTAAGATGGATTTAAGAATACTTGCTTTTCTCTCACGGTTGTTCTGAGGATTAAGAGAACTTGCCTGTCATGGGTGGATTTTGAACCATGGAAAGGATCATGCATTTAGGAGATACTCCGAAAACAGAGCCCTCTTCCAAGTGACGAGGTGTAATGAGAGAGAGTGACCAGTAGGTGGCAGTG
Organism: Homo sapiens; assembly: GCF_000001405.40. Classification (NCBI taxonomy): domain Eukaryota; kingdom Metazoa; phylum Chordata; class Mammalia; order Primates; family Hominidae; genus Homo; species Homo sapiens. Next base: position 113,807,575 of record NC_000009.12, read on the forward strand.
CTTCAAAGCAGCCTGTGGGATCCCAGAAGGAACTTCCTATTAACCCTTCCTCATTAGGCGGATAGAACCTTAGCCCCCAACCCCCAGCACACCCCGGTAAAGGTCATCGTGAAGCTCAGATTGCAGAAGTGCCACTTCCAAGGTTCCACGACGACACAGTGGCAGAGGCAGGATCAGACTCTGGTTGGGGTGGTCTCTGCATGTCTCCCTTCATTCAACCCCTATTTATTAGGTTCCTAGGCGGCGCAGAGACTCACGTTAGACCTTCCTGTGAAGGGGGAAGGTCTGCTCCAGCCTGGGGGGTTTACAGGCCATTGGACCTCCACACCTAGAGTCCCCCATTGCTTCCTGGCCCTCACTCACGGGGATGAGCACTCACACAAAACTCAACCAAAGCTGGACACCTGCCAGCGGGAGGTAATGGGCAGCAGATGGATTAGCGACCAGGAGATCTAGTTCTAACCCGTTTCACCTCTAGCTTGCTCTGTGACGTTGGCCAAGGCCCTCATTAGTAGGTCATGAAATCAATTTAGTGGATGTTGAATTGGGGAGAAAAGGAATTTAAAAAATACTAGCATATCTCTCTGTATCTGCCACAGTACAGGTAAACATTTTTTTTAATTCTGCTTTTATGCACACACACACACCCTGATATAAAAGGCATTTCACCTTGTGCACCACAGTCTCATAGTTCTGGGAACAACGTGTGAGAGACTCAAATTCTGCATCCTGAGATCCAACGTCTCCTCTCCCCCATCTTCACATCTACAAGCCGACCCCAAGCTGCCCAGGAATCCCTATCTGGGTATATTCCTACAGTTCGCTGCTTCAGCAGTGGGAAAGTTCTTATAAGCTGATGATGCACAAGATACCATCTTATCCTCAGTGCAGTCACGCAGGGTAGATATTCCCCCATCTACAGATGAGAAAACTGAGTCTTAGGTCCCACAGCCAGCATGTGCTAGAGGCAGGACTTGCCTCTCAGGGTCAGCCTCACCCTGGGAAGTTGCTGACTCCACTGACTCCTGCTGCCTTGAACACACAGGGCCCAGAGGCCACTTCTCCTAGGAAAAGAAACAACCGCTTACGGGTGCTTCCATTTCTCTTATTCCAAGTCACTTTTATTTTCTCTCTCTCTTTCAAGTTTGATTGAATTTACACTTAATGAATCCAACTTTATCATTTAGGGGATGTTGGAGCAATAAGACTTGGCAAGGCATGAGTGATGATGCAATAAGTTCTGCTGGGAGCCGGGAGCCATCCTGCTCCCTCCCTTGAGTGATGGCTGTGTGACTCAGGCCCTAAGAAAGCCACCACACTCCCCGAAAGGAGCAAGACTAGGTGGAGATGGGGTCATGTTACTTAGGCCAAGGACTCAGAACAGGTCTTTTAGATTAGGATGGGTGGACAGGGGTGGGAAATGGAGGGTCAGCAAGATGGGAGAAGTAGAAGCCAAGGCTGCCAGTGAGCTGCTTGCTCTATGGCCTTGGGTAAAAAGTGACTTTACCTCTCTGATCCTCAGTTCCTCCATCTGTAAAATGGGGCAATGGCCCAAAGATGTTGTTTTGTAAATTGTAGAAGGAGGCTCATGCTCTTATCAGAATTTCAAAGGTGGAAGATTGACAGCAAAATAAGCTGCCTGGAAGTCCATGTCATTTCCCTTTACTGGCTGAATGATGATAAAGGACAGTTCCTCTATCCGAGCCCCGCACACGTGTAAGGCTGGTGCAAGTGCCTCTGGGCAGGACGGAGGGTAACATCTTTGATGAGGAAATAAAATGAAAAAATAAAAATTAAAGTGAGATTTTACTTTGGTTAATAAAAACGAGGCACGCACAGAAAAGAAGTGGCTGGGTGAATGTGCCCAAAATGTTCACATTCAGGGGCAGAATTTATTTTCCTCCTGATTTTTATCTGGATTTTCTAAACTTTTTTTTTAAAAGATGAAAACACACAGATGGGTGAATGAGCTATAAATGTAGCATTTAATGATGAAGTGGATATTTATGTAACTACCCTCATTGCCGTTCCTTAGAAGCCTCTCACTTGATCTTAGCCAAAAGGCCAAGAAGCGATCCTTAGAAGCCTCTCACCGAAACCTTTTCCACTCCCTGGAAGGCAGCTTTTTCCTATCATCTCTTTTTATTTTTCATGGTTTTACTACCTAAGTAGGCATCCCTAAAGAATAGTTTGAGTTTGCCTATTTTTGAAATGTATGTAAATGAAATCGTACTGGATGTATTTTGTGGGGGTGTGTATGTATCTTTAAAGTTAACATTACGGTTTTAAAATGCATTTTTGTTGCATGTGACTATAGTTGGTGCATTTTTTTTTTTTTTTGAGATAGAGTCTTGCTCTGTTGCCCAGGCTGGAGTACATGGCATGATCTCGGCTCACTGCAACCTCCACCTTCTGGGTTCAAGTGATTCTCCTGCCTCAGCCTCCTTTAGTAGCTGGGACTACAGGCATACGCCACCACACCTAATTTTTGTATTTTTAGTAGAGACGGGGTTTCACCATATTGACCAGGCTGGTGTCGAACTACTGACCTCAGGTGATCTGCCCACCTCAGCCTCCCAAGGTGGTGGGATTACAGGTGTGAGCCACCTCGCCTGGCCAGTTTGTGCATTTTTTGATGTTGTGTAGTAATACATTCTATGTCTATACCACAATGTATCTACCTGTTCTACTGTTGGTGGACATCTGGTTGTTTATGTGTAGTTTCTAATTTTTCTACAATGAACACATTATTACAGCTAAAGTGCCTGGCACATAGTAGGTGTTCAATTAAAATTTTTGAATAAATCCATGAAGAGCAACAAGCTTTGTTTGTTTTGTTTTGTTTTTAATTAAAGAAAAGTTTCAGTGGTACTAGAAAGGTTGAGACTGTGGACAAAGATAGCTCAAAGGGAGAATTTTCCAGATTTTCTGATTTTCCCTGGAGCTCAGAAGAGACACATTGGGTTAAAGCAGAAGATTGGTGGATGCCATCTCCATTACCTAAAAAAGCCTCAAGCATATTTGGGTGTCCCATTTAAAATAAGAGTAAAATAATATGGAAAATGAAGAAAAATTCCCACAGTCATAGTGTTACAGTGTGATTAGAGGAAATTAGCATTTACAGAAAGCATTGTAGCAAAGTAGGCAAAGCAATTAACTGGAGTCAGGGGAGCTAAGCTGAACTCCCAGCTCTTCCATAAACTGGCAGTGTGGCCTTGAGACAGTCATCCTAACATCTCAGAGCCTCAGTTTCCTCCTCTGTTGGATGGGGACTGATTCCTCAAGGAGCTGATCAAGTGAGATGATGTAAGTGACAGAGTTTTGTAAAGGTCTATACAAATACCAGGGTTTCGTATGAAACCATGGGGACGGAAAGCCAACCTTTTAGAAGGTCCATTTCCTGATACATAATTTTCTTACTGCAAGTGAAGCACTCTGCCTTAGACAAAGGAGATACAGAAACGTGGAGATGCCTCATTTTGTCTATAAAATGGGGGGACGAGACCAATCTGAAATAAAAGTGACTACTTTTGATTATTAGAAACCTGACTTAATTGAAGAGGTTGGGGGAAGGGGTGGGAAGTGGAGTGGCCCAGGTCACTGCCTGCTGCCCTGTTAGCTCCATAAGGGAAGGGACTTTGTCTGTGCAAGGCACATGGCAGGCACTCCATTTTGAAAGAAAGAATGAAAATAACAACGGTATTTTCAAAATCAGATTTAGGAGGAACCCTACCACACAGGCTGGAGCACAGTGGCACAATTGCGGCTCACTGCAACCTCTGCCTCTTGGGCTCGAGTGATTCTCCTGCCTCAGCCTCATGAGTAGCTGGAATTACAGGTGCGCGCCACCATGCATGGCTAACTTTTTGTATTTTTAGTAGAGACAACGTTTCACCATGTTGGCCAGGCTGGTCTCAAACTTCTGACCTCAGGTGATCCGCCCGCCTCGGCCTCCCAAAGTGCTGGGATTACAGGTGTGAGCCACTGTGCCTGGCCGCCCCCACCTTCCTTTTGCATCGTAGATCTCTTTGAAAAGTTAACAAAGTCTTTGAATCTTCATGAAACCTCACAGAGGTCCAGGAAGGCCTGGTTACAACCATGCATGAGAGCAGAGTTCCTAACCTTTTTTGTGCTATTGACCTCTGTGACAGTCTGCGGATGCCCGTATACCCCTTCTCAGAATAATGTTTTTAAATGGAAATAATACATATATATTTAAGTGCATATGTATTTTTGATTGAAATATTTTACATTGAAATGTAGTTTTCAATATTATTAAAACTATGTAAAATTGTAATTGATATGTTTCCTAATAGTGAATTAAACAAGCTCATCAGGCTCAGTGGCTTATTCCTCTAATCCCAGCACTTTGAGAGCCTGAGGCAGGAGGATCATTTGAGCCCAGGAGGTCGAGGCTGCAGTAAGCTGTGTTCGCGCAACTGCACTCCAGCCTGGCTGACACACCAAGACCCTGTCTCAAAAAAAATAAATAAAAATATAAGTAAATAAACAAGCTCTAGCAGTAGATCTAATGGCTAACATAATTTTGAAATAGCGATGAACTTAAATGATGTTTTGAAATATCTGTAACAACAGAATTGTGATAGGAAAGCACTAGCGATTTTTATTGGTGCACGCCACAGCATTGCTAATGTGACTGTTTTGTTGCCTACATTCAAAGTGAAAGAAAATGCTAAATTTCAGTTAGGAGATTAGTGAAAATTAAGAAAAATAAAGATGTCATTTTTGCCCACATCCAAGTTTGCAGACCCCCTAAATTCTAACTGTACAACTCAAGAGTCCCTGCAGGTTTTTGAAACTGTTCACTAATAATGAATTGGCCCATAATACAGCCACTGTGTCTTTTGGGTAGATATTTCTCCTTTATAAATGCATGAACACAAAGACTCAATCACCTGTGGAACCTGAGGTGATGGAAGGGACAGAAGACAAGGAAGGGCTAGGGACAGGGAGGGTCTTGTGGCATAAAAGAATTCCTACAAGTGAGCACATTGGGTCAGATATTCCCCAGTGATCCCTCTGACACTACACCCTTCTTCAAGTCCACACCACATTAATACATTGGACCAAGGGACAATGGATCCAAAACATGGCATTTTAAGACTGTAAGAAGGAACTGAGCTAGTTTACAGAGGTAAATTCTGCTCTTGGTGCTTTTAAAATTAAAAATGAAAAACAAAAAAATCCCAATGAACTAAACTTACTGCTTTAGATCTTGAAGGATAGTTTTCCCTACCCTCCCCTCACCACACACACAAACCCCAAGGAAGATAGTAGCCAGGAAAGAAAGATAATAACAGGAATAAACAAATTAAGAAACACAAAAACAGTGGAATCAATAAATAAAACCAAGCGCTGCTTCTTTGAAAGAGCTAATAAAAGAGACTAACCTCTGGCAAATACAAACAAGAAGAGACCCAAATGAAATCAGGAATGAGAGCATGATTATCACAACAAATCAAAAAGATTAAGAAATATTGAGAGGAACATCAAACATGATTCTATGGCAAATTTTTTGGAAATTATCAAACAGATGATAGCCTACAAAAATATAAAATAATACAACCAATACAAGAAATGTAGATTAGATCAGCAGGCAAGGAAGAATCTGAAAGAGTGAGAAATTTATTAAAGAACAACCCTCTCCACCCCTAAAAAGCACATTTTTTTACCCACCCTAGAGTCTCTGGAGAAATCTTTCCAAATTTTACAGAACACTACATTTTCATGTTACATAAATGTTACATAAATTATTCTTTAACATAGGAAAAGAATGGTGGGAAAAAAATCTGCTTATTCATTTTGCAAGGCAAATACGGTCCTGATTTTAAGTCCTGATACAGAATTTTTTTTAAAGGGAACAGGATCCAATATCATTTAAGAACACAGTCCCAGAAAATAGTGTTCAGCGCACACTCAGAGACTAAAACACCATGACCACAAAGGGTTTCTATGGCAAGGCAAGGCAAGTTCAGCACAAGGGTATCTATTAATATAACACATAAGATCAATAGATTAAATAATATGAACCATATGATCATCTTAGTGGATGCCAAAAAATGCATTTCAATAGATGTCAAAATATTTTTAAAAATAGGAAGAGAATGACACTTCCTTAACATAATAAGGATCTATTTAAAACCAAGCCAGCATCCTTTTTAATGGAAAAACATTAGAGATTTTCCCATTAGAAAAGAGAACAAAACAAGAAAGTTCTGTATCACCATTATTATTTAATATTATATTGATGATTCTGGCTGATGTAATAAGACACGAAAAATAAACCATAGGAATAATTATTATAAAGGTAGCAAGAAAGCTTCAGATGATACAAAGCTCCAGAAGATCAAAGCAGATGATATGATCATAGACTTTAAAAATCTGATGTTCTTGTGTAAACTAATATTAGCAATAATATAAAGGTTCAATAGTTTCATAACTGGCTTTATATCATGGGTACATGATAAATATTTTAAAAATCAATAACTTTCCTAAATAAATGCAATTAAAGACAGGAAATAAATTAAAAATGAGATCCAATTCACAATCAAATATAATGAAATACTAAGACAAAAACATGACATACAGAAAAATTCAAAACTCTCCTGGAAAGCATAATAGAAAACTTGAATAATGGAAAAACATGTTTCTCAATGTGTCTAAATATTATAATTTTATAATTCAATACAAAAGGATTTCTTAAAGATTTTGAAAAAGCGCATTTAAAAATAATTTGGAAAAAACAGTCAAAATAGCAAAGAAGCTGGGGGTGGTGGTTCATGCGTGTAATCCCAGCACTTTGGGAGGCTGAGGCGGGCAGATTGCTTGAGCCCAGGAGTTTGAGACCAGACTGGGCAATATAGTGAGACCTCGTCTCTACAAAAAATACAAAAATTAACCCAGTTTGTTGGTGTGCACCTGTAGTCCCATATACTTGGGAGGCTGAGGTGGGAGGATCGATCACCTGAACCTGGGAGGTTGAGGCTGCAATGAGCCGTGATCATGCCACTGTAGTCCAGCCTGACAGAGCAAGACCCTGTCTCAAATGACAACAACAACAACAAAACACCACAACAAAAACTGATAGGGGTTTCTAAGGCACAAAAACAAATTTTTAAAATAGTGAAGGATAGTCTTTAAAAAAGCAATGATAATAGAAATACTTAAATAAGTCATTAAAGAACAGTACTGCAATGGTATGATACTAGAGCCAAATGAGAACTAGATGAAACCAAAAGTCCGGAAACAGACTTGGTGACATAAGAGAGCTTCATATATAAAAAGAGTGTCACAAAATGATAGGGAAAGGAAATACCTTGTAATAAAGGAGTTGGGGAAGTTGAACAGTAGATAAGCAGGGAGATTAATTTAGGTCTACATCTAAAAATAAGCTTCAGATTTAGAAAGGACTGATTGAAAAACATAGACAACCCAGTGGAAGTGAAATGCTATAGTGTTAACTCATCTGAGAAATAATAATAGGCTCAGGATAGAGGAAATGGAAGAAATTACAAAAAGAAAAATGGACAAATTAAGCTATGTTAAAATGTTAAATGCATGCATACACAAATATAGAAAGCAAAAATAATACAGTAGGGGGAAGATTTGTATTGAATAGGCGGCTCTTAACTATTTTTTTAACTTGACCTTTTTGGGAATCTAAAGAAAGTTAAGAACTCTTTCACATTTACCTACAGACATATATACAGGAACATACACACACATATATGTGCATACACACAACATACATTCACATTGGCACAGACAGACATATACATAGACACAGACACATAAATGACGCATATGCTTTTGTAGGACTGTTGAGTACCCTATGCCTCTCCTGGGACCCAAGGTTAAGAATACTTCATCTTGAAAGAATAGCTTACATTAAATAACTTAAGAACATCCCAAGGCCAAACAAATAAATGAGCAAAAGACGTGACCAAACAATTCACTGAAAAGGAACAGAAACAGTCAACACAAAGACAATCAATAGGCATAAAATATGTTCCAATTTTTGTCTAACAAATTATCAAATTGGTATGAAACTGATTTTTAAAAGCAAACTAATGCTGATGAGGTTTCAGGAAAATTGCCATATTGCTGGTCCTTTTGAAAAGTAACTTAAAATACCTGACAGGAGCCCCAAAACATCAATACTTTTCGACCTAATTGTCCTTTTTCTGGGAATTCATTCTTATGAAATGAATTTGAGGAGCAAAGCTCCTTGCAGACCTTCATCACGCTGTTTATGAATTGTGTTCATGTAAAAGCAGAACCCTCTAAATATTGAAAGAAAGGGCAGGGGGACAGCTAAACAATTTTGGGAGTCAACGTAATGGAATGCTATGCTGGCACTAAAATGAAAATCATGAAAATAAGAAAATGATAATATGCTTAGTAAAAAAAGTAAAACAAAATTGTGTAGTTAATACTATAACAATGGTGGTGAATGGTGAATTTTTCTTAAAGTTTTCCTTAATGTTTATGTAAGAAGTTATATTTTATGCTACGCATGAAGAGGACATTGTACTGTAATAGAGTCTGAGAAACAGAGGGATCATAGCTTATGGGGCTGCAACTCAAAGCCAGGACTCCTGACTTAATCTAATTGTAAGCATGAGCTATTTGAGACAAGGCCCCGGAAACTCCTGTGATGAACTCTGAGTTTCCTTCCCTCCCCTCCTCTCTTTTTTCTTTCCTTCCTTTCTTTATTTCTTTCTGTTTGTTTTTTCTCTTTTTGGAGGAATGGGTGGTTCTTACACTTTGTGGTCATGATTTGTGCCTACCAATCCCTTCAAACTCACAAAGGATTCCAGTGCTGGAATACAAAGATATTTTAAAGTGATGTGATACAGATGAGCTCAGACTAAGGGAGATAAAATCCTTACACCATGCATTGCAACCCTCCTCTAGAATGCAAGCTCCATATGTCTTCTTCTGCCACTGAATCACTAGCATCCAGAATAGTATTTGACATATATTCACGGCTCAATCAACATCAGATGGATGGATGGGAGGAAAAATGAATAAGGTAAAGGAAGACCCAGTTAAGAAGGAGAAAGAAGCAAGCCTGAAAATGCTAAAACTTTGAGAAGATCATGGCTATGGAGGTTCACAGGGTGATCAAGAGAGGACAAATCAAAATTTTATTTTATTTTATTTTATTTTGTTTTATTTTATTTTATTTTATTTTATTTATTTTCTGAGGTGGAGTCCCGGTCTGTTACACAGGGTGGAGTGCAGTGGCGTGATCTTGGCTCACTGCAACCTCCCTCTCCCGGGTTCGAGAGATTCTCCTGCCTCAGCCTCCTGAGTAACTGGGACTATAGGCACATGTCACCATGCCCAGACTAATTTTTGTATTTTTAGTAGAGACAGGGTTTCACCATGTTGGCCAGGCTGGTCTCAAGCTCCTGACCTCAGGTGATGCGCCACCCTCGGCCTCCCAAAGTGATGGGATTACAGGCATGAGCCACCGTGCCCACCGATTTTAGGAACTGCTACAGGTGTACACTCAGAGCACTTGGCTGCAGCACTTGCCCATTTTTCCCTGAGATGCACTAAGAGATGGTGCACTAAGTTGGGATGGGTAGTCAGACTGGTTAGAGAAGAGTAGTGTCCCCAGCTAACCCAAGTAACAAGAGCAAAATATGCTTCAATGAACCCTGAATGTCCCTGCTCTGTAGGGCCCTTTGGTGGAGAAGACATTTTTAAATTCCCATTGGCATCTGGAACTTGGAATTCATCCAGACACTTAAGATCAGGTACTGGCATTGGAGGTGAGCCAAAAAGCAATGAACCAGCCTGGGCAACATGGTGAAACTCCTCCTCTACAAAAAATAGAAAAATGAGCAGGGCATGGTGACTTGTGCCTGTAGTCCCAGCTACTTGGGAGGCTGAGGTGGGAGGATGGCTTGACACCAGGAGGCAGAAGTTGCAGTGAGCCAAGATTACACCACTGCACTCCAGGCTGGGCAACAGAATGAGACCCTGTCTAAAAAAAAAAAAACCACAACAGTGAGAGGTGAGCTAATCTCAAATCTAAGAATTACCTGGAGAACTGTGTCTGCCCACACCTACACATAGAGAGGGTGAAAAGACACATTCCACAAAGAACTGAGCTTCCCTGACAAATGGCTGCGACCTATACCACACGGTAAATTGAATGCTCTGAATGGCCGACCAAACCTTCAGAAACATAAGACTTCTCTTTTTCTCTATGTTTGATTTGAATATATCTGAACTTGCACCTTCTCTAATAGACTTCATCTGCAAATCCAGCTCTGCCTCCAAAGAATAAGTAGAAGGACAGTCACCAGAGAAAATTTTACCAGTACAAAAGAAGGAGCAAAATCAGATATAGGATCCAAAAAAAAGTTTCCCCCCGAAACAGACCTATGCCAGAAACAGAAGGAAAAAAATTTAATATCAAATTTATATTTTCTATGCGATTACAGAACATATTGCATTTCTGAAAAGATAATTATGTGTGATAAGGCAATTTTACTTTAAGATGGAAAGCATAATTACAGAATTTTAAAATGCAGTAGGGGCAGTGGGGAGCATATTAAACATTGAAGAACACTGAATAAATAATTTAAATAGTCTGTTCAAAAAAAAACTTCCAGAATTCAGAAAGAAGCATAGTGAGATGAAATAAGATGAGCAAAAACATCACAGTAAATCTGAAAGTGGAAATAACAGTCTGAGGGAAAAAACACCCACGAAGAGCAGGTAAAATTAATTTTAAAAAGTCACATCTAGACACATCCTGATGAAAATTTCAAATGTCAAACATGGATGGGAGTCAAAGATTAATAGGATTTTGATTTTAAAAATAGGGTCAACCAAAGTAACTTCTAAAAAAGTAGAAGGAAGAAAGTGGAATACATGAACAATATAAACAATAATTGGGAAATTAAATAAGAAACGTAAAATAAATGACAGAATTAAGAAGAAAGATGTTAGTGATCATAATAAATATAAACAGATCAAACACCTCTATAAAAAGACAAAGACTACCATACTGAGTCTAAAAGCAAACTCTACTTGAACAAAAAATGATAATATTTAAAATAAATGGACAAAAACATATAAGGTAACTGTTAGTTTGGCAAAAAGGAATATAAGGACATTATTAATATAAAAATTAGATTCAAGCCAAAAGTTTTAATGGAAAAATGAGGCTAAATTATTTCGATAAAAATAAAATCCTCATTTATGATTAGTCATTAACTTTGGGCACTAAATAACATGACATTACAATACACAAAGCAACAAAACATTAGAGCCTTAACAAACACTGCTTTATCCACTCTTTCACTACTGACCATAGTGGAGTAACTGAAATAAGAGGGATCTCTTATCATAAACATCTAGAAAACTGGATAGTGTATATGAAGCAACTGTCTTCAGGCAAGTCTGACATCTAATAAAAAAATTACTGTCTTCAGGCAAGTCTGACATCAAATAAAAAAATTAATCAGCCTTATAAAGAAGCAGAAAAATACAGCCTATAATGAGAAAACTCAATCAATTGAAGCTGACCCAGAAGTGATACCCTTGAGTAGACAAGAACATTAAAACCCTACTGTAACTGTGTTTTGTATGTTCAAGAAAATAGAAGAAGGTTGAGGAAGTGAAGACATGATAGATATAAAAAAAGATCCAAATCAACTTTCTAAACATGAAAATTACAATATGTGAAATAAAATATACAATGGTTGGAATTAACAGCAGATTCAACATTGTATGTGAAGTTGAAGACAGAATAGAAACTATCCAAAATGAAATACAAAGAGAAAAGAGATTGAAAATAATGAACAGAGCATCAGTGAGCTGTGAGAAGACTTCAAGCAAATCAATCCAAGTGTAACTGGAGTCTTTGAAAGTATTAGAGAATAGAAAACATATTTGAAAAAATAATAGCATAAAGTTTTCCAAACTAAGTGAAATCTATAAACCCACAGTTCTAAAAGAGTTAACAAACTCCAAACACAAGAAACAATAACAAAAGATAAGAAAAAGAACTACACCAAGATCACCATAGAATTGGTTAAAAATAGTGATACAGAGAAATTCTCTAAAGCATCTAGAAAAGACAGACATATTATTTACAGAGAAACAAAGGTGAGGATGGCATAGGAATTCTTGTTAGAAACAATCCATGCTGGAAGAATTGTAGCAAAATCTTTAAAGTACTGAAAGAAAAGGACTCCATAAATTTTATATCCAATGCCAATATCTTTCAGAAACAAAGGCAAAATACTTCTTCCGACACACAGAGCTGAACAAGTTCACCTGCAGATCATGGCACAAAAAATGTTAAAGGAAGTCTTAAAAACAAAGAGAAAATGATGTTAGATGAAAATGTGAATCCACAAAAGGAATAAAGATCCCCAGAAAAGGCACCCATCTGGGTAAATAAACTAAATAAATAAATGTCTTACTATTTAAATGTCTTCAAAAGATAATTGACTATTTGAAGAAAAATAATGAAATGGGGTTATAACATATGTAGAAATAAAATGTAGGATAAAAATTAGCCCAAAGTTTGGGGATGGAAAAATGGAAGTATACAGTATATAGAGTAGTGAAGTGTTAAATTATCACTTGATGGCAGACTATGATAAATTACAGATGTATACTCTAAGCCCTAAAGTAATCACTTAAGTAGGAGATATATAACTAATAATCCCATAAAAGAGATCAAATCGAATCGTTTAAAAACGTAGTTAATCCAAATGAAGGTAGAAGTAGACAGAAAAGGTAAAAAAAGAACAGATAGAACCAAAAGAAGACATATAAAAAACTAATAGATTCAAACCTAACCATATCAATAACATTAAATGTAAATTGTCTAAACTCCCCAATTAAAAGTAAGAGATTATCAAATTGTATTTTTTAAAAATAGTCAACTATATGCTTTTTAAAGTCACCCACACTAAATATAAAGACACAAATACTTTTAAAGTATCAAAAACAATAAATCATGCTAATGTTAATCAAAATAAAGCTAGAATGTATGTTTAAAGTCAGACAAAATAGACTTTAGATGATACTGATGAAGTCTCAGATGGAAATGAGGGATAGGTTATTGGACAATGGAGAAAAGGTAATCCTTGTTAAAACCTAATGTTCTGTGAAAAGTGGAACTTGTGAGTGATGACATTGGATATGTAACTGAGAAAATTTCTAAGCAAAGTGTTGAGGTGGTGTGGTTCCTCCTGACTGCTAATGGTAAAATGCAAGAAGAGAGAAATAGATTGACGATGGAATTGTTAAGCAGAAATACCCAGACCATAAAGATTTGGAAATTTCTCAATTCTTTGCAGAGAGCAAAGAATATAACCAGAGATAAACAGGATCATTTCATAACACTAAAGGAGCCAATTCATCAGGATGCAACAATCCTGAAGGCTTATGTTCCTTTAAAAAAGCTTCAAAGCCTATGAAGCAAAAATTAATACAACTGCAATAGTTACACAAACCAACAACCAAAGTTGAGGATTTCAACACTCCTTTCTCAATGGACAGAACAAGTAGACAAAAAAATCAGAATGTAGAAGAGTCAAAGAGCATTCTCAATCAACACGACCTATTTGACGCTTAGAAAACATACTACCCAATAATAGCAGACTATACGTTCTTTTTAAGTGTACATAGAATATTTACCAAAATAGACCGTATTATGGGCCATGAAAGACATCTCAATTTAAAAGAATTCAAGTCATACAAAGTATACTCTTTGACCACAGTGTAAATAAATTAGGAACCAATAACAGAAATATATCTTGAAAACTGCCAAATATTTGAAATCTAAATAATATACTTCTAAATAACCCCAAAAGAAACAAAAGAGGAAATTACAAAGTATTTTGAAATGAGTCAAAATAAAAACACGACATATTAAAATTTGTGGGATGCAGCTGAAGCTGTACTTAGAAATTTATACCATTAAACGCCTATTAGGAAAGAAGAAAGTTCTCAAATCATTATCTAACCTGTCATCTTGAGAAACTAGAAAGAAGAGAGAATGAAACAAAGTACACAGTAGAAAGAAAATAATAAAGATCACAATGGAACTTAATTAGAAAAAGCAAAATGATACAGAAAATCAATGAAATAAAAAGTTCTTTTAGAAGATCAATAAGCTCTATAAATCTCTAGCTAAGCTGATAAGAAAATGATTACATCATATGATAATCTCAATATATGCAGAAAAGCCTGTGACAAAATTCAACATTCGTCTATGATAAAGCTCTCAGAAACCCTAAATAGAAGCTGACGAAAGGGATCTATATAAAATGTACAGTTAATATTATGCTTAATGATGAAACAGGAATATTTTCTTTAATATTTTCTGTTAATATCAAAGACCAATAATATCTCTCACCACTGCTAATCAACATTGTACTGGAGATTCTAGCCAGATCAATCAGGCAAGAAAATACATAAACATATACAGATTGTAAAGGAAGAAGTAAAACTGACTTTGTTCACAAATGACTTAATTAGGTACATAACAAATAATCTAATAAAACACTTCAAATCTAATAAATGGGTAACAGATTTGCAGAAGACAAAGTCAATATACAAAGGTCAATAGTATGGAATTCCACCTCTGGGAAGATGGAGTAGATGTAGATTTCCCTATTGCTCCCATTAAGTACAACTAGACACCCTGGATGTAATGTATGTTTTTAAAATAAAAAGAACTCTGAAAGGTCCCAGACTGACAAGGGACTTCAGACTCAAAGAACCACATGGCAGCAATTTCTCTTGGTTTTCTTTTTGCCTCATATACCCCACACTGGGTACTAGATCACGTAGCAACATGAAAACACCAATAAAAGTGTGATGGTTGATTTTGTGTGTCAACTTGAGTAGGTTATGGGATACCCAGGTTGCTGACTAAACATTATTTCTGGGTGTGTCTGTGAGGGTATTTGCAAAAGATTAGCACTTGACTTGGTGAACTGAGTAAAGCAGAGGGCCCTATCCAGTATGGGTGGGCATAATCCAATCTGTTGAGGGCCTAAATAGAAGAAAAAGATGGAAGAAGGTTAAATTTACTCTCTGGCTGACGGAATGAGCTGGAATATCAATTTTCTCCTGACCTTGGCACCATGGTTTTCAGAGCTCAGGCCAGGCTGGAATCTGTACCATTCACTCTCTGGTTTTCAGGCTTTCAACTACACCATTGGTTTTCCTGGGTCTACAACTTACAGAGAGCAGATTATAAGAATTCTCAGCCTGCATAATAATGTACACCAATATCTTATAATACATTTCTTTATATATTTTATTGTATCTATTTCTCTGAAGAACTCTAACACCAATATTGGTACTGAAAACTGGGATGCTGCTGTACTAAATATCTAAAAATGTGAAAAATGTGAAAGGATTTGGAACTGGGAAACAGGTAGAGGCTGGAAGCATTTTGAGGTGCATCCTTAAAAAACCGACATTGCCATGAAGGGACTTTTGAAGGCAATTCTGCTGAGGGCTCAAAAAGAAAAGAGAAGAGCTGTAGATAAATCTTCTGTGGTTTATAGAGAATACATGAATAATCACATATAGAATTGGTATAAATATGATTGTTGAGGGAAATTCTATGAGGTCTCAGGTGGAAATAAGAAATACGTTATTGAACAATGGAGAAAATGTAATCCTTGTTAAAATCTAGTGTTTTGTGGAAGGTAGAAATTGTAAGTGATGACACCAGATATTTAGCTAAGAAAATTTCTAAGCAAAGTGTTGGAGTGGTATGGTGCCTCCTGACTGCTAACAGTAAAATGCAAGAAGAGAGAAATAAGTTGAAGATAGAATTGTTAAGCAGAAAAGATCCAGAACTTAAGATTTGGGAAATTCTCAGTCTATCCATATTGCAAAAAATGAGAAACCATGTTTGGAAGAGAACATCAATAAATGGGCCAGCCAATCATTTAATAAGGAGATTAGTGTGGATGCAGACCACAGACCTTATCAGCCATCTCAACAGATGCCAAAAATAGAAATGGGACTGTACCAGTAAAAACACTGCCAGCAGGAACTAAAGGAAATGGAGAAAATGGAATGGAATGAAGGAAGGCTGTGAATATATGTGAATATCCTTCAAAAAGAAGAAGGACTCCAAATGCAATTGAGAGATCATCAACAGGGCAGATGGCCTCCAACAGAAGCCATGCGGGTAGGACTGCCCAGCAGCTCAGGGGGCATGATCCCCACACAGCAGAACCGTGACATACGTGGGGCCACCACAGAGAGACATACATGGGCAATGCCCTGCTGAGCTGTGGGGGTGACATTGCCACGACAGTGGGTGAGGAAGACAAATTATCAAGCCAAAGAAGACTACTCTTGAAGTTTAAGATCTCATGGAGTTTGCCTTGATAGGTTTTGGGCTTGCTTGGGACTTGTCACCCATTTTTTCTGTACTAATTTTCCCTTTTAGATTGGAAATGTTTATCGTATGCCTGTTCCACCATCATATTTTGGAAGCATATCATTTGTTTTCACAGTTTCACAGCTGGGGAATTTTGTTTCAGGATGAATCATACCTTGAATCTCACCCATATCTAGCTTAGATGATATTTAGATGAGAATTTAGACTTACTGCTGAAAAAATGTTGAGACTTTTGGAGTTGTTAGATTGAAATGAATGCATTTTGCATACAAGAAGGACATGAATTTTGAGGAGCTAGGGGCAGAATGTTGTGGACTGAATGTTCATGTCCTCCCAAAACTCATATATTGAAATCCTAACTCCAACTGTTATGGTATTAGGAAGTGAAACTTTAGGGGGTGATTGGGTCATAAGGGTGGAGCCTTCATGAATGGGATTAGTGCCCTTATAAGAACCATGAAGGAGCTTTCTTTTCTCTCTCCACTCTCTGATACTTGAGGATATAATGAGAAGATGGCCATCTGTATACCAGCAAGAGGGCCTTCACCAAGAACCTGACCATGCAGGCACCTTGATCTCTGACTTCCAGTCTACAGAACTTTAAGAAATAAAATTTGTTGTCTAAACCACTGTATTAGTCTGTTCTCATGCTGCTAATAAAGGCATACCCGAGTCTAGATAATTATAAAGGAAAGAGGTTTAATTGACTCACAATTCTACATGGCTGAGGAGGCCTTGCAATCATGGCAGAAGGCAAGGAGGAGCAAGTCACATCTTACGTGGTGGCAGGGAAAATAGAGAATTTGTGCAGGAGAACTCCCCTTTATAAAACCATCAGATCTTGTGAGACATATTCATTATCACAAGAACAGCATGGGAAAGTCTCATCCTCATTATTCAATTACCTCCCACTGTGTCCCTCCCACAACATGTGGGAATTATGGGAGCTACAATTCAAGATGAGATTTGGGTGGGGACATAGCGAAACTATATCAACCACTCAGTCTACAGTAATTTGTTATAGCAACTCAAGTTAAGACAAGAAGCAAGCAAAAAAGGCACCAACAAAAGCCTGCTTTATTTAGCCAAAGGACCAGAAAGAGGGAAGCCTAGGAGGCCAGAAACCTATTAGAAACTGACTGCTTTACTGCGTCCAAACACCACAGGAAGAATCTATGGCTTCACTTCAACACAGTCTAGAGCAGGACAAGTGGAGAGCATAGACTTCCATCTTCATCAGCCTGTAGTAAGACTCCAAATCCTTCCACCAGGGTCGTGTCAGAGAAAGCTGAGTTGTAACTTTCTCTACTAAGCTGTAAAGAGGCACCCTCCACAGCATCAAAGGAGACTATATGGGAACCAGGACTTCCACCCGTCCCTCGTAGTAAATGAGATGCCCTCTTATACTAGGGTGGTGTCAGAGAAACCTGATTGAAAAATGAGGACTTTCACCACTACTCAGCAATACCAAGTACCACTTCATATAGTGTGAAGGGAGGCCACATGGGGAGGAGTAACAAGGCACCCCTAACCCTCCAAGATAGGAAGTTATCAGTGGAGGCCTGATGGAAAGTCAGAATGCCCAAACAGATCAACAATAATGAGGAGATTTTCACCCTGAGTGTCAACAGAGGCTGAGTGGGGAATTTGACTTACTGCCACCACCTGGCAATATCCAGGCAGAGTCAGAGTAAGCCAGGTAAAATGGAAAGTTTAAGTAACATCCAGAGTCTCATAATATAATACCCAAAATGTCCAGGTTTTAGTTTGAAAAATCACTCATTATACCAAATCCAGGAAGATCTCAAGCTGAATGAAAAATCATGATCAATAGATGCCTACACTGAGATGGCAGAGTTGCTAGAATTATCCGACAAATATTTCAAGGCAGCCATCATAATAATGCTTCAGTGAGCAATTACAAACATGTATAAAATAAATTAAAAAAACAGAAAGTTTCAGCAAAGAAATATAAGAGATAAAGAAGAATCAAATGGGAATGTTAAAAATAAGAAATACAATAACCAGAATAAAGGACTCAATGGGTGGGCTCAAGAGCAGGATAAAGAAGACAGAGGAAAGAATCAGTGAACCAGAAGGTGCAACAATAGAACTTATCTGACCTGAACAAAGAGAGAAAATAGACTGAAAGAAGCAAATGAACAACATCTCAAGGACCTGTGTGTGGGACTTTAACGAAAGGTCTAATGTTTTGTCATCAGAGTCCCAGAAAGAGAAGGGAAAGGGGACAGAACAGAAAAAAGTATTTTTTAAAATGGCTAAAAACAACTCTCAAGTTCGACGAAATATATAAGTTTACAGATTCAAGAAGATTTACTGAACCACAAGCAGGACAATCCCCAAAAATTTATACCAAGAGACATCATAGTCAAATTTCTGAAAATTAAAAGAAAACAAAACAACAAATCTTGAAAGCTGTGACAGAGAAATGATACCTTACCTAGCGGCAAAAACAATTAGAATGGCAGAGGATTTCTCATTAGAAACTATGGAAACCAGAGGAAGTGATACAATATTTTTCAAGTGCTCAAAGAAAAGAAATGTCAACTCAGAATCCTACATCCTTCAGAAATGAAGCATAAATCAAGACGTTCTGAAATGAAGAAAAAACTAAAAGAATTTGTTGCCAGCAAACCTACCCTCAAAAGAATCTCTGAAGGAAGATCTACAAAGAGAATGGAAACAATCTTGGAATATCAGGAAGGAATAAAGAACACAGTAAGCAAAAATATGGATAAGTACAATAGACTTTCCTTCTGTTGAATATTCTAATTTTGTTTGAAGGTTGAAGTAAAATTGGAATACTGTCTGATATCCTTTGAAATGTATGTAGAGGCAACATGTAAGACAATGACATTATAAACAGGGGAAGGTAAAGGGACATAGAGGGAAGTAGGTGTTGAATTGGTAAAATAAGAACACCAGTATAGTGTGATAAGGTTTATATATATATTTATACAGACACACATACATATACACACATATGTAAAATATAAATATATAAACTATATATATAAATTTTTATATATGTATTATACATAAAAATAATATATATAGAAATATATAAATTTGTATATATAGAAATAATATCTATAAATAACATATAAAGATATATAACATAATATATGTATATATTTCTATATTATATAAAAATATATAACATATATAATATATAACATATAATATAATACATTAAATATATAATAAAAATTTATATATATAATTTCATGTGGTGTGTCTATGTATTAAACTGTACATATACATATATGTATATATATGTATACACATATAAAAATTTATTTTTTTAGTGTTACCTAGGTATCTATAGATTATATATATATAACATATATGTGTGTGTTTATATATGTATAGGTAGAGATACCTACTAATACTTAGAACATCCACTAAAAGCTATGTGGAGATATACAGTATAGATAACACCATAGATAAGTAAAAATGGAATTCTAAAGAATGTTCAAGTAACCCACAGAAGGTAGAAAGTAGAAAACAGAGAAATAAAAACAGAGAACAACAGAAAACAAAAAATAAAATGGGAGACAATCCCTAAAATATCAATAATGACATTAAATTTAATGTAATTAAATGTAAATGGTCTAAATACACCAATTAACAGACAGATATTGGCAAAGTAGGTTAAAAGACGTAACCCAACTACAATAAACCTATTTCAAATACAATGATACAGATAGGTTGAAAGTAAAAGGATGTAAAAAGATACATCATGCACACATTAATCAAAGGAGACCAGGAATGGCTATATTATCAGACAAAGTGGACCTTAAAGAAATAAAAATTATATAAACTTTTAAAACTTTTTAAATTTAAAATTTTAAAACCCTAAAGAAGACTTAGCAATCCTTAAGGTATATGTGCAAAAAGACAGAGTTGCAAAATATGAAGCAAAAACTGAATTTAAAGGAAATTTAAAGAATTTAAAGGAAAAATCCACAATTATAGTTGGAGACTTCAATACATCTCTTTCAACAGCTGATAGAACAACTAGATAGAAAATCAGCAAGCGCATAGAAGAACTCAACACCAGCACCAATCAACAGGATCTAATCAACATTTATAGAACACTCCATTCAACAAGCGATGAATACAGATGCTTTTCAAGTGCCCAGAGAACATATACCAAGAGGGACCACATTTTGGGTCATAAAAGAAACATTAACAGATTTTAAAGGATTGGAATGGTAAAGAGTGTTCTCCAACCACATGAAATTAAACTAGAAATCAATTATAGAAAGAGAGCAGAAAAATCTCCAAACACTTGGAAAATAAACAATACTTAACTTCTAAATAATCCATGAGTCAGACAGGAAGTCTCAAGCGGAGTTAAAAATATGTTGATGAGAATGAAAGTAAAAATATGACATATCAAAATCTCTGGAACACAACTAGAGAAATGTGGACAGGGAACTTTGTAAGCCTAAATGCATACATTAGAAAACAGAAGAGTTGTGTGTAATGGTGCATGCCTATAGTCCTAGCTACTCAAGAGGTTGGAATGAGAGAGTCACTTTCACCCAGGAGCTCAAGACCAGCCTGGGTGACAGCAAAAACTGTCTCTAAAAATAAAAAGGAAAAGAAAAGAAGGCAAGTCTCAAATCAATAATCTAAGCTCCCACCTTAAGAGCCTAGATAAAGAAAAGCAAGGCTGAGTGGGGTGGCTTACACCTGTAATCCCAGCACTTCGGGAGGCCGAGGCAGGCAGATCACAAGGTCAGGAGTTTGAGACCAGCCAGGCCAATATGGTGAAACCCCATCTCTACTAAAAACACAAAAATTAACTGGGTGTGGTGATGCACGTAGTCCCAGCTAGTCAGGAGGCTGAGGCAGGAGAATAACTTGAACCTGGGAGGCAGACGTTGCAGTGAGCCGGGATCGTACCACTGCACTCCAGCCTGGGTGACAGAGTGAGACTCTGTCCCCCACCCCTCCCCGCCAAAAAAAGTAAAAATAAACCCAAAACAAGAGGAGAATGGTAATAATACATATAAAAACAAATCAATGAAATTTTAAAACAAAAAACAATAGAGAAAATAAATGAAACAACTCATTCTTTCAAAATATCAATAAAGTTGACAAGCCTCTAGTAATACTAATAAAGTAAAAATAGAAGGCACATTTATTCATATCAGTAATAAAATGGGGAATCACTACGGATCCTGCAACATCAAAAGGACAATAGGGAAGTACTACAAACAATTACATATGTGTAAGTTTGAAAACTTAGATGAAATTGACTCAATTTCTTGAAAAATGCCAACTACCACAACTCACCCAATATTAAATAGATAACATTAATATCTTATAATTTATTAGAAATTAAATTTTTAATTTGAAAACTCCCCCAAAAGAAATCCCCAAGACCAAATAATTTCACTCAAAAATTCTACCAAACATTCAAAGAAGAATTAACTCCAATGCAACACAACCTCTTCCGGAGATTCTAGGAAGTCTTCAAATGTGTTTTATGAAAGTAGTACTACTCTTCTACCAAAGCTAGAAAAAGCCAGTACAAACAAGAAAACTACAGACCAATATCCCTCATCGATATAGATATAAAATTTCTTAAAATACATTAGGACATAGAATTTAGCAATGAATTAAAAGGATTATACACTATGACCAAGTGGTATTTATTTCAGGGATGCAAAGCTGATTCAATAATTAACAATCAATCAATATAATCCACCATATTAAAAGGTAAAAGAAAAAAATGACATAATTTTTTGAGTGAGGCAGAAAAATCACTTGACAAAACTCCACACTAATTTATGACAAAACTTTCAGAAAAATAGAAATAAAGGGAAACTTCCTCAGCTTGATAAAGCACATTTACAAAAATCTGCTGCTAACATTATACTTAATGGTGAAAGACTGAATGATTTTTCCCTAAGACTGGGAAAAAACAACGACATCTGCTTCATTGCTCTTATTCAACTTAGTGTAAGAAGGTCTAGCCAGTGCAATAAGACAAGAAAACAAAATAGAAGGGATACAGAGCATAAAGCAAGAAATAAAACTGTCCCTAGTTGCAAATGTCATAATTGTTTATGTATAAATGTCATAATTGTTTATGTATAAATGCCATAATTGTTTATGTATAAAATACTAAGTAATCTAAAAAAAAATCCTGAAACTAGTGAGTTCAGCAACATCACAGGATATGATACACTTTGAAAATCAATTGTACTTCAATACAATAACACATGGACACCAAAATTTAAGATGCAATACCACTTACAACTGTTCAAAACAAATAATATACTTAGGTATAAAGCTAACAGTACATACACATATACATATACGTATGCTGAAAACTAAAAATGCTGATGAAATAAATCAAAAAAGATCCAAACAAGTGTAGAGACATAACATGCATATATTTTAGGAGACTCAAAAGAGTAAAGATATAAATTCCCCCCAAATTAATATAAAGGTTTAATGAAATTTCTATCAAAATCCCTAAAAGATTTTTCTGTAGATATAGATAAGATTTTTAAAAAATTATATGAAAAGGCCAAGAAACTAGAATAATTAAAACAATTTTGAAAAAGAAGAATAAAGGGGAAGGAATCAGTCTGATTTCAAAACCAATGTGGGTAACAAGATGTATATCAGATAAGGAAGTTGTATCAAGAGTAAACAACAAACTCTCAAAACTCAGTTATAAAAAGGAAAACAACCTAATTTTTTAAATGACACAAATTGAAACATAATTGCACAAAAAAGATTTATAAAATAAAAATAAGAAAGCACCATCAGCCTGGGAAATGTATATTAAAAGCATAATGAGATGCCATTATACATTCACCTTGATGGCCAAAATTTAAACCACTCACATCAGTAATGAAGGGAACCACTGAAACGCCTGTGTTGTTGGTGACAATGTAAAATGTACAGCCACTGTGAAAAAAATTTTGACAGTTTCTTATAAAGTTAAACATAGGCTGCTATGGTTTGAATGTCCCCTCCAAAAGTCATGTTGATTTTTTTTTTTTTTTTTTTGAGACAGAGTCTCACTCTGTCACTCAGGCTGGAGTGCATTGGTGCAATCTCGGCTCACTGCAACCTCTACCTTCCCAGGTTCAAGTGATTCTTGTTCCTCAGCCTCCTGAGTAGCTGGGATTACAAGTCCATGTCACCATGCCTGGCTAACTTTTGTATTTTTAGTACAGATGGGGTTTCACCATGTTGGCCAGGCTGGTCTCAAACTCCTGACCTGAAGTGATCCACCTGCCTCAGCCTCCCACAGTGATGGGATTACAGGCATGAGCCACCACACTGGGCCCCAAAACTCATGTTGAAATTTAATTGCCATTTTGAGGGTAAGAGTTGATTAGGCCATGAGTGCTCTGACTTCATGAATAGCTTAATGTAATTATCACAGGAGTGCATTCATCATTGCCAGAGTGGGTTGTTATAAAGGGAAATTTTACCTTCTCTGTCTCACACTCTCACCCTCACTTGCCCTTCCTTCTGCCTTCTGCCATGGGATCATACAGCATGAAAGCCCTCATCAGATGCTGGCACCATGCTCTTGGACTCCCCAGTCTCCAGAACTGTGAACCAAATAAAGTTCTATTGCTTATGAACAACCCAGTCTCACATATCCTGCTGTAGCAGCAAAAATGGACTAAGACATACACTTATGACACAACCCATAGAAATGAAACCGTACATCACACAAAGACTGTACACAAATATTTATATCAGCTTTAATCATAGTAGCCTGAACTGGAAAAATTCAAACATTCATCAACTGATGAGTGGATACACAAATTGTATACCACAATAATGAAGCACAATTTAGCAACAAAGAGGAATGAACTAGTGATATTAGTAGCTACATGGATCAATCCCAAAATATTGTGTCAAACAAAGAAGCCAGGCACTAAAGAGTACAATCTGTATGATTTATTTTATATGAAATTCTAAAAAGGCAAATATAATTTATAGTGACAGGAAACAGGAAAGTTGCTGCTCAGTCTGATGTTGGGAGGAGTTGGCTTGTAAAGGGCGCAGTGAACTTTTTGGTATGATGGAAATCTTCCCTATTTTGATTGGGTCACACTAATTGAAATGTACACTTAAAATTGGTACATTTTAATGTATGTAATGTATATATAAATTAATTTTTGTTTAAATCAATAAAGTTGGCTTAAAGAATGTTCAGTCTCTGATAGATCAAATAAGAAAATAGAAGAACTGAATAATATATTTAGTTACAACATATGAGAGAGAGAAACAAGATAGTCTATGAATATATTATTCTCAAATTTTCATAGAACATTTTAAAAATTAATGATTTCATGAGTTACATGGAAAAGATGAATCCTAAAAAGGAAGATTTCATTGACACATTAATGTAGTACAATGCAGTAAAATAAGGACTGTGTTGCAAAATAATAAATAAAAATCACTTGGAAAATTAAAAATGCCCTCATAAATAAGCTTAAGTCAAAAGCAAAATCATACTGCAAATACAGGCTAGAAAATAATTATGATAACACTGTGTAACAAGACTTATGAGACTCCAAAGTAGTGCTCAGAGGATAATTCATAATTTTAATGTTGTTTATTATGAAACAAAGAAGAATCAAAATAAAGGAACTAAGCATTTATTTCAAAAAGTAAAAAAAATAAAATGAACTTAGCTAAAGGAGGAAAGAATAAGATTAAAATCAGTACGTTGGAAAAAATGAAAGCAAGATAATTAATGAATTCTAAATATAATTCTTTCTTTTTCTTTTCTTTCTTTCTTTCTTTTTTTTTTTAAAGACAGGGTCTCGCTTTGTTGCCCAGGCTGGAGTGCAGTGGCACAATCTTGGCACACTGCAATTTCTGCCTCCTGGACTCAAGCGATCCTCCCACCTCAGCCTCCTAGTAGCTGAGACTACAGGTGCAAGCCACTATGCCTGGCTAAGTTTTCTATGTTTTGTAGAGATGGGGTTTCACCATGTTGCCTAGGCTGGTCTCGAATTCCTGAGCTCAAACAATCTGCCTACCACAGCCTCCCAAATTCTGGGATTACTAGATATGATTTAAAAAAAATTCATGAGAAAACAAAGTTCTGGTAAAAGTAATCAATTAAAAAAAGAAGAAAGGAAAGGTAGATTAACATTTTTGAGTGATGTTAGGGAAAATGGCCAAGCAAAGACTTCCAAAAATTATCTTCTTCATGAAAACTTTTTCAGAACCATGGAAATAAATTAAAGCCTTGTAGCAATGTGGGGAGCATTTACCCAGCAAACTGGCTGAATGTTGTTAAGAATATCGAGCTTCGTGGTGCTTTAATTGCTTCAGTCCAATATCCCATTCTTCAATGCTACAGTAGCCTTGAAAACAAACAGCCTACATATGTGGTGAAAACTAGCATACTGATAATTACCAGAGGGAGAATACAGCTGTAGCTGCTTCAAAGCCTCATTCTCACTGAACTTTCATTATTTAACCTGTCTGGTGAGTCCCTAGAAGACCTCATGTTCAAGGGTATATTTATTTGACCTGATGGAGTGGCTGGTCCATTGCAAAAAGCCCAGAGCTGTTTGTCAAAAACAATGACAGGCAATTGTTTAATTTCTTGGTTTCCCGAGGTGTAGATTTCTGTTGGAACAAGCAATAGACAAAACAAAACAAAAAAAAATAAGAGAAGCTGAGGAATGAGATGTTCATAGTGGCTTTGAAAGGCTCTGATATTACATTAAAACTTCAACTGCCGTTCATTTTTGCAGAAATTGACAAGCTGATACTACAATTCACATGAAAATTCAAAAGACTAAGAATATCTAAAACAACTTTGAAAAGAGAAATGAAGATTAGGGACTCATGATTCCCAACTTCAGAACTTAGACTTCAAAGCTACAATGATCATGACAGTGTGGTAGTGGCATAAGGATATATGTATGTATATATATATATATGATATAGAATTGAGAGTCCAGAAGTAAACCCATTCATCTATGGTCAATTGGTTTCTAACAAGAGAGCCAAGAAAATTCAATGGGCAAAGAATACTCTTTTCAACAAATGGCACAGGAATAATTAGCTCTCCACATGCAAAAAATGAAGTTGAATCCCTACCTCACACTGTGTACAAAAATTAACTCAAAATGGATCAAAGACAAAATATAAAGGCTAAACCTACAAAACTCTTGGAAGAAAATATTAGTGTAAATCTTTGTGATTTTCAATTAAGCAATAGCTTCTTAGATATAACACCTAACATTCAAGCAAGCAAAGGAAAACTAGATAATTTGGACTTCACCAAAATTTAACATCTTTGTGCTTCAAAGGACACTATCAAGAAATTGAAAAGACAGCTCACAGAGTGGGAGAAAATATTTGCAAATAACATTTATGTGATAATCATATATCTGATATGTGACTTGTATCCAGAACTCTTACAACTCAACAATAAAAAGACTACCCAATTTAAAATAACTCCATAGGCAATGAATATAAATAGGAATTCTCCAAATAAGATATAAAAATTGTGAATAAGCACTTGAGAAGATGCCCAACATTATTAGTCTTTAGGGAAATGCAAATAAAAACTATGAGATACACTTCACACCCACTATAGGATAGCCATAATTAGAAAGATAGACAATAAGAAGTGTTAGCAAGAATGTGGAGGAATTAGAACCTTCGTACTTTGCTGGAAGGAATATACAATGGTTCAGCCACTTTGAAAAACAGTTTGGCAGTCCCTCAAAACAGTGAACATAGTGTTACAATATGATCCAGCAGTATTACCTTTAGCTGTATTTTCAAGAAAATTCAGTGTGTTTACACAAAAAAAATTGTACACGAATGTTTAGTATTATTCAAAATAGCCAAAAAGTGGGAACAACAAAATGTCCAGTAAGGGTAAATAGATAGAAAAAAAATGTAACATATCTGTGCAATGGAATATTATTCAATCACAAAAAGGAATTAAATACTGATACATGCTACAACATGGATGAATATTGAAAATGTTATGCTGAGTGAAAGAAGCCATACACAAAAGGCCACATATTGTATGATTTCATTTATATGAAATGTCCAGAATAGACAAATCCATAGATACAGAAATATTAGTGCTTGCCAGGGGCTGCAGGGAGAGGGAATGGGGAATAGTAGCTTTAATGAGCCAGATTTCTTTTAGGAGTGATGAAAACATTCTAGAATTAGATAATGGTGATGATTGTAAAACTTGTGAATATATCAACAGCCAATGAAATTTGCCATCTTACCGCTTTAAAATGGTACATTTTATGGCATATGAATTATATCCCAATAAAAGTTACATTGTTCAGAATGATAAAGCAGATTTAACCTGAGATTTAGAGAAAAAAATGTTATTTGTAAGTGCATACTACACAAAAATTACAAAAATACTATGCAGAAATATTGGACATTTTAATGAACTAGATTATTTTATAAGAATCTATCTCCCTAAAATTAACTAAAAAAAGAAACAGAAGCTGGGAGGAAAAACACATGCAATAGACTACAAAAATAAATAAATAAATAATAGATGAGAAAAAAAAGAAATTGAAAATCTGCATAAACTAAAAACCTGAGCTGAATTTGAGATGATTGTCAAAGAATGGTATCAAAGACATCAAGTCCATGTTATTTCATTGGCGAATCTTTCAAATCCAAGTCTGATAACATTTATAGACATACATAGAAAACTAATAATCAATTATTCTTTGGATTATGGATATAAAATTTATTTTAAAAAATTAAAGGGTGATTGAATCCAGCTGTACATTAAAAAAATACATCACCATCAAGTAGGGCTTATTATAAGAATAGAAGGTCAATTCAATATTAAAATTCACTGTTATAAATCATATTATAAATCATATTAATATGTCAAAATGGAAAACCATATAAAACTCTTTAAACCAGAGGTAACACTTATGCAATTTGATTATTTATTTATTTTATTTTTTAGAGACAGAGTAACATTCTGTTGACCAGGCTGGAGTGCAGTGGCATGATTATAGCTCACTGCAGCCTTCTAGGCTCAAGCAATCCTCCCACCTCACCCTCCAGAGTAGCTGGGACCACAGGTGCATGCCACTATTCTTGGCTATTTTTTTTTTTAATGTTTTGTAGAGACAGAGTATAGCTATGTTGCCCAACTGGTATTGAACTCCTGGCCTCCAGTGATCCTCCTGCCTCGGCCTCCCAAAGCGCTGGGACTAAAGGTGTGAGCCAATGCACCCAGCCTTAATATTTTTAATTACGTAAAATCAAATGTCAGTATTATGCTTAATGGCAAAGAAATAAAAACATAATTAAAATCAGGGAGAAGACAACAAGGCCCCCAACCATCAGCGTTATTTAACTTCATCATGTAAGTGGCTGCCAATGCAATTAGGTGATAAACTTTAATAAAAGCATGAGTGATATTTAAAATATTTAACAAGAAGTTTAGTAATATAAATGAATACATACATTAAAAATATTAAAATTCAGTCCCTTTTACTCTTTAAGGAAAAAAATCTATATCAATATGTGATAAAATCACTTGCCCATTAATAGAGGTTGTAATTAAAATTGTTCATCGAATTATTCTCATAATTTCCAAATCATTTGTTGATTTTTAAAAATTGCTAGTGCAATTTTTTTTCAATACTGCTATCACTAATTAAATGATGCTCCTCTCTGAGCTATAACCTAACACACAAACCACATCAAATTCTTCCAAAAATTTATCATTAATTGGTGGTCAGTGGATGACTTGGTAAACCTGCGTCTTTTTTTTCCAACTTTTATTTTAAGTTGAGGGGTACATGTGCAGGATGTGCAGGTTTGTTACATAGGTAAATGTGTGCCATGGTGGTTTGCTACACAGATAATTCTGTCACCTAGGTATTAAGCCCAGCATCCATTAGCTATTCTTCCTGATGCTCACCCTCTTCCCATCCCCCACACTCCAACAGGCCCCAATGTGTGTTGTTCCCTCCCAATGCGTCCATGTGTTCTCATTGTTCATCTCCCGCTTATGAGTGAGAACATGAGGTGTTTGTTTTTCTGTTCCTGTGTTAGTTTGCTGAGGATAATGACTTCCACCTCCATCCATGTCCCTGCAAAGGACATGATCTCATTTCTTTTTATGGCTGCATAGTATTCCATGGTGTATATGTACCACATTTTCTTTATCTAGTCTATCATTGATGGGCAACCATCTCACACTAGTCAGAATGGCTATTATTTAAAAGTCAAAAAATAACAGATTCTGGTGACATTGTGGAGAAAAAGGAATGCTTTTACACTGTTGGTGGGAGTGTAAATTAGTTCAACCATTGTGGAAGACAGTGTGGCGATTCCTCAAAGACCTTGAGGCAGAAATACCATTTGACCCAGTAATCCCATTCCTGGGTATATACCCAAAGGAATAGAAATTATTCTATTGTAAAGATACATGCACGCGTATGTTCATTATATCACACATCTTTTAAGGTCAACAATGTTGTTCATAGTGCTGACTCATCTCTCAGGCTTCTGCTGAACTTACAGCAATTAATCTAAAATTTTTCTAGCCTTTAAAATACTCAGATTTTATGTTTTTGAATCTCTATTACCAAATAAACCACAAAATTGTTTGCTATAATATTGTTTTTAATTACAAAAATTATTTATCAATTTTAATTTACTTCTGATCCATTTGGAGTGCCAAAGCAATTGTAATTACAAATTTAAAAACAATTTAGCAAGGAATAATAAAGAAAACGAAAACATATTCTTTTACTTTTGCCTTTAAACAACAAATACATTTCTGATAACTTGTCAAATATTTTCTCTTTGAATTGATTCTTTAACTTATTTAAAAGGGTATATTATGTTTTTTCTTTCTATAAAGTCTCCCTTTTCCTTTAGCTTTCTATGTTCAAACATTTTTAATTTTTAATGCGTTAACCTGCTACAATTAAAACTTTTTATTAAATTGAAGATATTGATATTTTATTTTCTAAATTGACATCAACTGAAATCTTTTTTAAATAGGTACTTTTTCTACATATTTGCTCCTATTACTCTAATTTTGTTAAACTGATAAACTTGATATAATTTTCAAAGTACTTTTGTAATTATAGCATTATAGGCTGCCCATCATGGCCCAAGTATTCTAAGTTTCTTTCTTTCAATTCCCAAATCTTCAGATATGTTATTAAACATTTCCTGATGCATGATTATAAATAAAAACTTCATTAAAACACTTATAATTACTTACTTGCTGTATGTATTTACTGCATCATTCAGGGATAATTGAATTCAGTGAATTGGACAGTACCACATTAAAACATTTAGACATTTTCCTAAAATTTTGGCTAAAACTGTAGACTTTCTCCCTAGCTTTTCACAGGCATTGCTTATACAAAAATCTAATAAAGTTTGTGTGGAAATATTTCTTATTGAAACCATTTTTCTCATGTGTCAACAATAAATTTTGATGAATTACTTCAGATGTTATTTTTTTCCTGCTTCGTGAGATCAACAAAAGCCATTAAATTATCTTCAAAGTCTTCAATTTCACATTTTAAGTAAATTATTAAAACTATTTTAAATGAAACATTTGAAGCTTCCTCAATAATTGAAATTTTACTTCCTTGATTTATACATTTTCCAAAAAGTTGTTTTCTCATATTAGTAGATAAATGTTTTTGCAACAAGCAAGTTCATAATTTAGATTGCCATGATAAGCCCATATTGATATTGTTCTTTTTTTGAAGTTCTATTAAATATTTTATGTCTGAGAATGCCCAATTATTTTTAAACATACAGATCATATTTCCTAGATGTTTTTCATTTGCTTTATTGATATTCTCATAAATTATTTTAGAAGTTTTTGTTTTTATATGAAACTGATTTATGTTTTTATAATTTTATCATTGATGAGATAAGTTTTTCTTTATTTAAGCCATGAGTTTTAACAGAACATAATTGTCATTCCAGCAAAATGTGGAAGTATAACACTTTTAATTATAAAAATTTTGAGCAGTCTTTGATCATCTGAATAACACACACTAGTGATACAAAGCCACTTGTATTATTTTTACTAAAATAATCCAGTTGTTTTTCATTCCACTTATATATATTATTTGTTTTATTTTGCACCATCTCTTACCCAGTATCAAAAGATGTGCCAGGTTCTGGTTTCTGCACACTATCAGAAGCTATTCCCAGCATTGTTCATTATTAATATCATTTTTTCTTTGTTCTTCCACAGTCAGAAGATTCATGTTTATAATATTTAAAAAGAACATTAAGAAACTTATCCAAACTCTGCTGTATCTTCAATCTGGGTTTCATTTTTAATATTTTATTATAAAGTCTTGAATTTATAAACATCAAAACACTGCACAATTACTATTTAAACAAAGAATGATAGCACACTAACAATAAAACCAAAGTAAAAACTAAACAATTAAGAAGCAGGAGCAATTACCTGATTTGGGCATAATAATAAATTGTGGATTCTCCTAAAGCAGTCTTTCTTGAACTTTTTGGTCTCAGAATACTTTTACAGTGTTAAAAATTACTTAGGACACCCACAGAGCTTTTGTTTATGTGGGTTGTATCAATACTTACCATATTAGAAATAAAGACATAACTTTAAAATTTTTGTATTTATTCAGTTAAAAATAACAACAATAAACTTATTGGATGTTAACATAAATAACATTTTAATGAAAATAATTATATCTGCCAAATCAAAAAAACAGTGAGAAAAGTTTTGTAGTTTTTGCAAATCTCTTTAATGTGTTGCTTAATAGAAGTCAGCTGGATTCTCAGATCTGGGTTAAATCTGTTGTGATATCACACATCTCTGCAGCCTCTGGAAAACTCCACTTACACTCATGAAAGAATGACAGTGAAAAAGGCAAATAAGTCTTAGTATTATTGTAAAAACAGTTTCGTTGTCACAGACTCCTGAAAGGGTCTAAGATATCCCCAGGGGTCATCAACCTACATGTTGAGAACCGTTTCCCTAAATATCTTGCATTTCCTAAAGCATATCCTATGAAGCCACACTGCCTTCTATGAAATGGACCAAACTGGTGAAGAATGCTGCAGAAAATTGTTCTGATGTCACTACGATGGAAGGCCCATTTATCAGCAGTTGTTGTCATGTGCTACAGCCATTAGCTTGAATGACAAATTTATATTAGAATATTTATTACGTATTAGTTCGTTCTCACATTACAATAAAGAACTACCTGAGACTGGGTAGTTTATAGAGAAAAGAGGTTTAATTGGCTCACAGTTCCACAGGCTGTACAGGAAGCATGGTTGGGGAAGGCCTCAGGAAACTTACAATCATGGCAGAAGGCCAAGGAAGAAGGAGGCACGTCTTACACAGCCAGAGCAGGAAGAAGAGAGAGTGAAGGGGGTGGTGCTACACACTTTTAAACAACCAGATCTCGTGAGAACTCACTCTCTATTACAAGAATAGCAAGGGTGGAAATCTGCCCCCATGATCAAATCACCTCCGACCAAGTCCCTCCTCCAACATTGAGGATTACAATTCGACATGAGATTTGGGTATGGACACAAATCCAAACCCTATCATATTATTAACAGATTTTGCTGTACCTAGCTGTTACTGGTATACTATCAACTAATGCTAAAGTATTTTAAAATTTAAAGACTGGTAAGACATACTGGTAAATAGCTCAGAATGCCAGCCCTGCTGAGAGGTATATATTTAAAAGGGAGAGTTACAATTGTCATTCTTCGTAGCTGATGTATTGACCTATGAAAGCCAAGAAGATCAAAGGAAAAAATATTCAAAGCATTTAGTAAGAATTTGTAGTGCAAAAATATCAACAATGTATGTGTATATGAATAGCTATATGTAGATCTACATCTATAACTAGCTTTTCTATATAGCAAGGATAATTTCAACTTAATAAAAATATGCATAACATTGTGAAGAACAGAACTTAACTGGGGAACATAAAAGAAGATACATTATTATCCTAAATGGAAGGATTCAATATTGGAACTCTCCTCAAATTAATCTGTATGTTAACACTATCTCTATCAAAATCTTGCTATTTTTATACTTGATACAATTATTTTAAAGGTATTTATATAGGTATTAAATTTTATTTAAAAAATGCAAGAATAGAAAAAAGCTGGAAAAAAATAAGGTGGGGTGTATTGGATCTGCTTTACTAAATGTTAATATGTGCTAAAAGTTTGCAATATGAAAATAATATAGTTCTAAGACAAGAATAAATGAAGACACTAACAAAACAGAATAGAAAGTCCTCAAAAGACTCAAGGCGTACAGCAATTCAGTATATTATAAGGACAGCATCTCAAAATCAAAGGAAAAAGAACAACTATTCAATAAATGATGGTACAACTGGCTAGCCATTTTTAAAAAAAGAAAGTTGGATGCCTAACTCACATCATACACCAAAGTAAATCCCAGTAACATGAAAGACATAAACATCAGTGAGACATTTAGAGCAATTAGACAAAAATATAGAGGAATATTTACATAATCTCGAAATAGAAAGGGCTCTTTTAACCATTATAAAATAGTTGTATAAAAATAATGAGTAAAGTAAAAAATAAACTAATCTATGAGAAAAATTTGAACATTCCAATAGAAAAGTGGACAGGAGCATACTTATGAATAAACACAGGCAGCCAGTAAGCATAAGAAAAGATGCTTAACTCAGCTATAATTAGAGAATGAACATAAAAGCAAGATATCAGTTTTCACTCATCATGTTGGTCACAAGTAGAAAAAACCATGCCGTCTATTGGCTAGAGTATGGAGAAAGAAAGGTTTCAATTAGAGCAGTCGCTTGAGGTGGGAGTGGAGTAACAACTTGGAAGTACTTAGTCAAGTTCTTAAAATATTCATAATCTTTAATGCAGTAATTCCATATTTAAGAAAATATTCAGGAATGTTTATAACAATGAATGCTCAAGATACTTTTTACAATATTACCTATCGATAAAAAATCAAAAATGACATAAATGGACAAAACATGGGTTTGGTATATTCATATAAGAAGAGGTATACTATGTTCTTATATATCACATAGCATATATACTATATAATAAAGTTATGGTATAATCATATGAAATATACTGTCACAAAATGTTATATTTTACTTGGAGAAGAGTTCATGATACAATTTGATTCATAAAAGCATCATTTCAAGCAGCACATAAACTTTGATGTCATTGTTTTTAAAAGCTTATTACTCATACATCTGTATTATATGTAAGCGTAGAAAGTATTTGTCAAGCTTTATACTAAAATACTAACACTCATCAGCTTTAATGGTAAGCTTAAAGATGATTTTACTTTTCGCTCTTTTTGCTGATCTGTATTTTTTCAACACTTAGACACGAATGACTTCTACAATAATATATATATTTTAAATATTGCTTAGGTTGCCACCCATTAAGTATGGTCCTTAATATTTCAAAGGAGTGTGCTCTGTTGGCTTCATACAAAGGGGAAGAGGAGAATTGGGCTCAGAAGGACTGGCTCAGTCTCCTGGAGACTGATGTTGTTGGCTCATATAAATGGTAAAAATGTACAGTGAGAGAAGACTGCCAACCCGCCTGGGTGTCTGGAGAGGTGGAGTCCACGAGCATCCACCATGGGCTGGAAGGAAAGCTATCTCAGGTGCCCCACGAGCATCCACCTCGGGCTGGAAGGAAAGCTATCTGAGGTGCCCTAGACTCCCAGACAGTCAGGGAGTGTTCTGTGGGTTGAGTTGCCCCATCTCATGGGCCTGTGGCTCTGGTCCTCTCTGCCAGGGAATCAGACACCGGTCCCTGCTGAGTGTGGGCTCCACATGTCCCAGTCACCTTTCTAATTCTGGCTTTATTGATTTCTGGGATGAACAACCACCATTCTCCTTTATGTCCAATGGTGTTACCAAGAAGGGTAAATATGACCGTGCTCAGCTCACAGCTCCCATCTTCTGCCTCACCAAGCTCCTTGTTCAGCCAAGTGACATAGCACCCCACATTATTATCTACTGACAGGCCTGTGTCTGTCATCAGACTTTGCTTCCACTAGCTCAAGAACCCACCTGGTTTGTATCTGCGGCTCTAGCATTTGGCCAGATGCAGTAAACCTGTTGCTAATCCTCGGAAATTTGAGATGAAATTTCATTTTGCCTGCTGTTCCCCAATACCATTCACACATTCAAACAAGCGGTCATTGAGGAACATCTGTGCCTAATAAATACCTGCTTTTCTGCCTAAACAGCACCCACCAGCAACTGACAAACATCTGTCAGTGATTAGTGAGAAGTACAGAGTGGCAGGGTATTGGCCTAAGCTGAGAAAGAGCTGGATTCCTTCCTCCCTCTCCTTCCGCATGGTCCCCTCACAAGGAAGGGCAAGCCCAGGATTTGGACAGAGTATTCCAAGAGCACAGAATTTGGGGATCAAATGATGGCTCGGTCACTTAGAAGCTGTGTCATCTTCAGCAACTGACTTCACCTCTCTGATCCTGTTTCTTTGATTGTAAACTTGAGACTAATAAGTGCACACCTTATGAAACACTTTTGATTATTATATGAAATAATGTATGTAAAGTGCATAGCCTCAGGTCAATAAGTGGAGCTTTAGTTGTTGCTGTTCTTATTCTGGTGATGATGATATGTATTAGATGAGTTAACTCTGGTGAGACTGAAGGACCTTGCCTTGTGTGTTAGGCTGTCCTTGTGTTGCCATAAAAAAACTTCTGAGGCTGGGTCATTTATAAAGAAATGAAGTTTAATTGACTTATGGTTCTGCAAGCTTCAAGGAAGCATGGTGGGGGCATCTGCTTGGCTTCTGGTGAGGCCTCAAGAAGCTTACAATCATGGTGAAAGGTGAAGGGGAGCAAGAGAGAGAGAGAGAGTGGGA
This sequence comes from Homo sapiens, assembly GCF_000001405.40. Lineage (NCBI taxonomy): Eukaryota > Metazoa > Chordata > Mammalia > Primates > Hominidae > Homo > Homo sapiens. The sequence continues at coordinate 113,843,954 of NC_000009.12, forward strand.
GAGAGGTGCCGCACACTTTTAAATAACCAAATCTCATAAGAACACACTCACTATTGTGAGGACAGTACCAAGCCATGAGGGATCCACCTGCATTACCCAAACACCTCCCACCAGGCCCCATCTCCAATACTGGGGATTACAATTCAACAAGATATTTGGAGGGGACATCCAAACTACATCACCTGGACCTCATCACTGTTTGCCATGCCCTTAGACTTGGGTCATGGTGAGACTGGAGAACTCCCATATGACAGATGAGGCTACTGAGGCCCAGAGGAGATGTGACTTGCTCAAGGTCACCAAGTAAGCCTGTCATCATGACCATCAAGACCCAAGTCTTCTTTCCAGGCAAATGCCTTCCATCAAGGCACATGTTCCCTCTGAGGAAGAATTGGGCCTTTAAAAAAGAAATTTAGCCTCTAGGAGGAAAGAGATTTCTCCATTTTCTTGCCTTGACATGAGTTTCCCTGGCACAATTGTCTTTGCATCATTGGTGGGTGGTGAAGGTGGGCTGGTGTTTTCTGATGCATGTTTTACATTTGCTAATTCCATCTCAGCCACCACACACTGGTCTACCCTGAAGAGGCTTACTGAGAAGAGCTGGCAGAGCCAAGCTTCCCTTCTCTTCAGGGAAAAGATGCCTCTGGTTGGAAGTCTGCCATCACCCTTGTATGGCTTGTGGATCCAGAGCACAGCACACTGGGGTATTAAAATGCCAGTGCCTGCTCCTAACAAAACTGCCTCACCAGCTGGCCAGGATCAGCATGTTTCTCATTCTCTGAGGTTGCCAGCTCAGTGTTTTCCTGCCCTGTGGAATGGTGTTTCTGCAAAACACTCTGGGATAGAGGGTACCATGGGCAGAAAAGTTTGGGAAGTTGTGCGAGCCACATTTCCCTCTTGGAAATGCTCCTTGCAAATTAGCATAATATAACCTCTGAAAAGTAGTCAGAAAGGGATTTGTCATCTCACATCTTGCAAATTTATGTAATCACAGAATATAACTTTTTAAAAAGGCAAAATAGTTATTATCACATGGTTGGTTCCCTCACTTCTCTCTGGTCTCTAATGAAGTGTCATCCCCTCAGAGAGGATCTACCTGGTCCCTTTGGCCAAAACAGGACCTCGTGTCTCTTTGGGTCTTCACCCTGCTTTTTGTTTCCTTATGGCACTTTGACATGTGGCACAATGTTTGTTTTTATGCTTATTTATCTGTTTATCATTTATCTCCCTCTCAGAATGTAAGCTCCATGATGGAAAATTTTCTTTTTCACTGCTATACTTCCAGTTTCGGATACACAGTAAGTGCTAAATAGACGCTGTCGAACAAATGAATATTCCTGCAAAAGAATTTAGCATCCTGGAACTCAGTTTTCATGGATGTCACAAAAATGGTGGTCTTGAATAATTCCTTTGTCTCAGATATAAATTTCTAAGCCAATTGGTGTAACTTTAACTGGGTTGCACAAATTAACATCAGCTCTGTGAAATTAGAAATTAATACAGAAGTGCAGACAACTCTCTAAAATAGCTCATGTTTCCATTGGAAGTAACATCTAGATATCCCTGTCTTTCTCCTCTCATTTAACCAGCACTTACTCT